>NC_000004.12:145171381-145796381 GCF_000001405.40 Homo sapiens | reverse complement strand
TCTCTCTACCCCAAACTCTCACCCTTCCCAGTGTTCCCAGTTTCGTGTACATCCTTCCAGAGATATTTTATGCACAAACAAGTGGAAACATGTCTGCGTGTGTTTGTTTTAGGAACAATTATTCTTAAGCAGCTCTGTACTTGAAAGAGTGAAGAACCTCCTTTCAAGCTGATAATCGAAATGGGGAAATAAAGTAAAAGTTTCTTCCCTCCGTAGTTCCAAATGGCAAGTTTTTCACCCGGTGGAATCATGTGGTTACATCCTTCCCAAGTTAACAGAATATGAAGGATATTAGCATCGTTTCAGTAGGGTAGACAGTGAAACCTGAAAGAATGGTTCAGTGGAGTCACCTGGGATTTATTACTGCTTCTGATAGGCCATTCTATCTCACTGTAGAGACACGATCGTTTAACTATGTGGGCCAAATATATGCGTGCCCAGAATCAACAGCTAGTTCTCTTTTGCATATTTTATATGATTTATCCACTGACTGGCTCCAAATTAAATTCAAAAGGAATTAGAAGCCTTAGCTGAGGAGCCACTGATAAGATACCCTACTCTGGCTAGGCAGATACAGCAAAGATTTTCAGAAATAGTACAACTGCTTCCACTTCCCTTTTAAATGTTACCTCACACACGTGAATCTAATGTAGGGATTTAGCTCTTACATGTTCTCTTGTTTAGGGCAAAACGATCGGCTCAAAAGGAAATACTTCTCATTATCGTGTTGCCTAATTCATGCAGTGAGATCCAACACAGAGGAACTCAGCTTCTGTTTTGAGCCTGATGGGATCTGACCTCTAATTTTTGTTTTGGGATATTAGATTATGTTAGAATGCCATTGATTCATAATTATTGCAGATGTAGTCCCAGAATTGTGTAACTCAGAGCCATGGGCTCTAAGAGACGAAAATTCATTGTAAAACAGAACACCAGCCGGGCACAGTGGCTCATGCCTATAATCCCAGCACTTTGGGAGGCCAAGGCGGGCGGATCACTTGAGGGCAGGAGTTCGAGACCAGCCTGGTCAACATGGTGAAACCCCATCTCTACTAAAAATACAAAAATTAGCCAGGCGGGTGGTGGGTGCTTTGTAATCCCAGCTGCTCGGAAGGCTGAGGCATGAGAATCACTTGAACCCGGTGGGCAGAGATTGCAGTGAGCCAGGATCATGCCACTACACTCCACCCTGGGCGAGGGAGTGAGACTTAGTCTCAAAAACAAAAAACAAAACAAAACAAAAAAACACATAACATCTTGCCCCTGACTTGGCGTGACCCTGTGAGGACACCCCCAGTACATGGATCTCGAGGGAAGAAGCAGATTCACCTGCTGTCTGCCAGCCACTGACTGATTCTTGGGTGGTCTGGCAGGTACATGTGGTTCAGCAGCCTTGGCTAGACAGCAGAGTTTGCCATTTTTCAAAATCTTCACTTTGGAAGAAGAAATAAAGGTGCCAGTCTGCTTGAAAGCCCTGTCTTTGAAAACTCACTTTTTAACCCATGGTTTCTTGCCAAACCAATATTTGGGATATGGTGTTATGCAGTGTTTTGTTCTGCTGTGGATGTTGCTGGTTTACTTAACAGTAGAAACAGCTCTGTGAATTAGGTCTTGACAAGTAAAAACCTTTTCCATCGGCCTTTACTGGTGTTGGGTATGTATGTGCTATTTTTTTTTCTTCTGAGACAGGGTCTCGCCCTGTCGCCCGGGCTGAAGTGCAGTGGCCTTAACCTCCTGGGCTCAAGCAATTCCCATCCCATCCCATCCTATCCCATCCCCACCCCGCCCAGCCTCAGCTTTCTGAGTAGCTGGGACTACAGGCACACACCACCATACCTGGCTAATTTTTGTACTTTTTGTAGAGACAGGGTTTTGCCATGTTGCCCAGGCTGGTATCCAACTCCTAGGCTCAAGCAGTCTTCCCACCTTGGCCTCCCAAAGTGCTGGGATTGCAGGCTATGTGTGCTTTGAAAGTGACAAATGTAAATATCTCTAGATGTTTTACCTGACATTATCTCCTGTAAGACTAGAATGTGACCACATTTTCAGCTCAGAAGACACCAACAGGACATTGAGGCAAATTCACACGCTGAAAAAGCAGCCATACACTGTTGAAATCAGAATGTGGCACACTTCCAACTGGAGAAGGAGGATCTGTGAGTTCCCATATTAGTATTAAATGCAAAAATCTTTGTTCATGCAACATTAAGGTTACAAATGTTCACAGGCCAAAATCGGGAAATAGCAGAAAATAAGATTCTCATGGTGACATCTGTTCTCCGCTCTAGTACACGTTCCGTAAAACAGTGTATGGTTGAAGACCGATTAGTTCTGCAAAGCCTTTAGTATGTAGTGTGATTAAGAACCTGAACCTCAGCATGTGGGGAGGCAGGGGGATGAGGTGAAGAGGGAGCTGAGCTGAGACTGACTTCCCCCCAGTCAGAGTTTCACTGGAGGACCTTAGGCAAGCAATTAGCTTATCCACATCTCAAGTTCTCTATGAACTAGAAGGAATACTATGCCTTCTTCCAGTTCTCCCTAATTCACCAAAGATGAGGCAAAGATTCTGCTGAGGGAAGGTCTCCAAAGACCTTTTGAGGTTGAACTTTTAACATCAAAGTTAGAGGTAACAGCTTTCTGTTATGGGGTAGGAAAGTGTGATGGTTAATACTGAGTGTCAACTTGATTGGATTGAAGGATGCAAAGTATTGATCCTGGGTGTGCCTGTGTGTCTGTTGCCAAGGAGATTAATATTTGAGTCAGTGGGCTGGGGAAGGCAGACCCACCCTTAATCTGGTGGGTACAATCTAATCAGCTGCCAGCAAATATAAAGCAGGCAGAAAAACATGAAAAGGTAAGACCAGCCTAGCCTCCCAGCCGACATCTTTCTCCCATGCTGGATGCTTCCTGCCCTTGAACATCAGACTCCAGGTTCTTCAGTTTCGAGACTCAGACTGGCTCTCCTTGGTCCTCAAGCTTGCAGACAGCCTATTGTGGACCTTATGATAGTGTAAGTTAAAACTTAATAAACTCCTCTTTTTATATATATATAAGATATATATTATATATAAGTATATATAAGATATATATCATATATATATTATATATATATAAGAGATATATATATATATATCTCTTAGTTCTGTCACTCTAGGGAACCCTAATACAGAAAGGGTGCAGTGTGCACAGGCTGGGACTTCTCAGCCTTGTCTATGTGGAAGTTATTGACATTAAATTACATATGTCATGCATCCATGCATGTTTTCTCTTGCCTATAGCTAGTGGAATTTTAAGCAAATCCACAAATATTTATTGTCTATTATATTTAAGATCTATGTAATGAGAGAGGGTAGGAAGAGACACTTTCCAAGGTGGCCAAGTCATAATGCATGAGAAAAATCAACACACAAACAACCTACAGTAACAGGGCACGTAACTAGAATGTATTGCATTTCCACGCAAGAGTAAAGTAGTCCTGCCATATTTTGCAGTTTATTATTTGATCTTTCTCTAGTTTTATTTGTAGCCAAAATTTTACATTGATTTTTTAATTTAATTTATTTGAATTCCTTTTCAATTTGAAAATTGAAATGGAAGGAAGACATCTTTTTTAAATACAGGTACTTCTTTTGCTCAACTACTTTGGAGTTGAATTATTGAATATTATCTGTTGCTTAAAAATATCCCAAGCCAGGCGCAGTGGCTCAGACCTGTAATCCCAGCACTTTGGGAGGCCAAGACGGACAGATTGCTCGAGCCCAGGAATTCGAGGCGGCAGTTAGCTGTGACCATGCCACTGCACTCTAGCCTGGGTGACAAAGTGAGACCCTGTCTCTTAAAAAAAAAAATTATATATCTATTCCTAGGCTTTTGGATATATATATTTCTGGTTTGTGAGCCAAAAGTCCATTTCTCAATCCTGAAATGACAAACAGAAGTAGCTTAGATTTTTCATTTATTTATATTGACAGTAGTAATGCCATTTCTTTTTTTTCTTTTTTTTTTTCTTATGACAACTGAAAACAATAGGATGCCCTGACTTTCATATACAAATTCAGTAGTTCAAACTCTTTGTCAATAGGAGTAGGAGTAAATTTGCATCAGACCTTCTACACTCTTAACTCCATTCCATTCTATTCTTCAACAGGAACGTTGTGTTCACAGCAGCTAATGAGGTTGTATTTTGATCTGAGGCCATGAAATGCAGCAGCACTTGCCACCTAGGAAAGAGAAACATTTAACACATGGTATTGGCCTCCTTAGCACCAGGTCCAAAACGAGGTCACCATCTCATAGAAATCTTGAGGCCAGAAGCTCAGCCTCAAGGCTATCAGCCTTTATCTACTTTGTCATAGAAAGCAGAGGTTTTTGCAAAGAGGAATGACACATCCCATGGACACAGCTAGAATTGTGTGCAGTATAAGGGAAGCTGTAGAGTACATACGCTTCCTAGTTGGGCATCCTGGGTTTAATCCTGGCTGTCCCTCTTACCAGCTATGTAAGAACAAGCTGATTTCATAATCAATTCTGTGCCTTGATTTGTCTCATCTATAAAATGAGGATAATAATGAGGCCAACCTTAATCTTTTGTTAAGAGAGTTAAATGAAATTATATAAGTAAAACCTGTAGCCTTAGCACGGTGCCCAGAGTAAAATCAGTGCTAAATAAATCTTAGCTATTCGTATGTATAATTCCTCTTTCAGCTATACCTAAATCCAAAGTTTTCTTAACCATTAAAGAAAGTATATGTGTATTCAAATTATTGAGAATGATATAATAGAGATGGCCTATTTTATTTATATAAAAAATAAAATATTTGCCAACTATGCTACTTATTATTACTGGTAACTAATTATCAGTGCTGCCAATCATTATGACATACGTTCACAGGAAAATACTAATAATCCCTTTCCTCCTCTCCTAGCTAACAAAGTGGTATGGTCTAAATGTTTATGTCCCCCCATTTCAATTCATACATTAAAATCCTCACCCCTAAAGTGATGCTATGTAGAAGATGGAGCCTTTGGGAAGTGCTTAGGTCTTGGGAGTGGAGCCCTCATGACTAGGATTAGTGCCCCTATAAAAGAGGCCCTTATAAAAGACCCCTTGCCTCTTCTGCCATGTGAGGGTGGAGTGAGAAAGATGGCTGTCTGTGAGGAAGCAGGGCCTCCCCAGACACTGAATCTGCCAGTGCCTTGATCTTGGACTTCTCAGCCTCCAGAACTGTGAGAAAAACATTTCTGTGGTTTATAAGCCATCCAGTGTTTTGTTATAGCAGCCTGAATGAACTAAGACACACAGTATTTCCCAGTCCTGTGTCTGTGATTCCCTGCCTGAGGAAAAATAATTACATAAACCAACAAACAGAAACTCCCATCATATAAAAACATATAACTGCCTAATCAAATAGGTAGGATTTCTGGATGAAGGAGAAAAAATATTTGTGACCACTGTTGCCTTAAAATGTTAAATCTGCCATCAACTAACAAAAATGTTATAATGTGCTAAAACCCAAGGTCAGGAGAAAGGCAAAGTAGAATAGTTATATTTCCTGTTAATACAGAATTCAATAGGTTAGGAGCAGAGAAAGAGGAAGACTGAAAATTTGAAACTGGATGTAGTCACACAAGAATATTGCAGTGTCTGGGAGCTGATAAGGGCTTTAAGGAAATTTAGAAATCTTTAAAGGAATGATTGATATGATCAAGACTTGTCCATAAGAAAAGAAGACTAGAATAATTGAGGATACCAGTGGATTCCAATCTTAGTGAAGAGAACTGCAGAATCCCTAGAGGCTTACTTGAATAATATCTGGAAATGACTGTGACTTGAATTTTAAAAAGAAATATATTCAGTATTCTAAAAACTCTATAGGTGTGATGCATAGCACATTGCAACATTTCAGGAGTAAATTAACATTAAAATTTTAGTATTTTAGAAAGTCTGGATTTACTTTCTAAACTCAGAGTATTTCTAGAATATTAGAGTATTTTAGAATCATTAAATTTTTAATTATAGTGATCTGTTCTTTTCATTTAGTTTATTCCTTTCCTCACTTATTCAGTAAGTATTAATATATATTGAAAACCTAGTTCAATGACAAACAAGAGAAAAGAGGAAATTCTTATATCTGCCCAAACAATGATAATGTTTTTCCTCAAGGTGTTCTCATATGTGCCCATATTTTATAGTAAATTATAGAAGATAACTTTTGAATTTAAAGATTTGCTGTCACCTAATACAGTCTTTAGGTAACTCTGCACTTGAATGCCTGTTATTTTTCTTCACTGGGAAAAGTTGAAAGAACAGACTATAAGGGTCTCATTCTGGAGCAAGTGAAAGCTGACCTGAAATAAGTTTTATGATTAAAATTTACATAATTGGTGCTCAGATTTTTCATATGCAGCAGCTCACCAGATGTAAAGATGTAAAGAAGAGGCCAAAGAGGAGTTGGGTAACAGAAAAGAGGCAGAGCCTCCAAATTCCACCATTCTCTCTCCAGGCAGGCCCTGGGGGAAGCATTTAGGTTGCCTCAATAAAGCTCTCTTTAGATTTATGTGATCATGGATGCTTCTTCTTTATGGTTGGTGAATTTACAGTGGAACAAATCGAGATTGTAACAGACAGAAGATCTGTCTCTGGTGAAATAAATTAGAACCATTAGATTTTCCTTTTTGGTCTTCTAGTATAATGTAATAAATGGTTGAGAGTATGGGCTTTGTAGTCAGACAGATTCGGGTTTGGGAAAGGCTATCACTTACCAGCTAGGTGACGTTGAGTTCAGCCACCCTGAGCCTGATACTGTTTTTGCTTTTGTTTTGTTGTGTTGTAAAATAAGAATGATAATAATAGTGTCTAATACATAGTGCTGCTATAAGGTTAAATATTAAATATGTGTGTAAAATGCATCATATAGTGACTAATGCAGTGGTCAGTCCTCCATAAATATAAGCTATTGTTTTAATTATGTACTGTCTCCTTAATATACTTTTAACAAACTCTGATATTGTTTTGCATAATGGAGATAAACTGCCAAAATTGGATGAAACTATTTATGCACTTTAAGTCTTTATCTGTTGGAATCATGTTCAGCTTAACCACAGAGACTTAACCAATTATGGATCTGTTTTTCCCCCATAATAAAGAATTCAGAAATAGGCAATGTAAGGCTAGTATAGCTGTTTGAGGAAAATATCGAGGACCCACCATTTAATTTTCTGCTCCTCCACCCTTATCAATGGCTTTCATCTTCGTGATTGAAAGAAAGCTGTGGTACCTTCAGACAGCCAAGAAGGAGGAGGCAGAGTGAAGGGCAAAAGTCTTTATAGGAACTACCACCTATATCTCATTGTCTAGAACTATGTTTCATGACCAGCCTCTAATAGCAGTGGAAGCTAGTAAGGAACGTATGTTTTTAACTGGGCACATTGCCACCTGGAAACAAAACAAAAACCCACATAGTTCTGTTAGACATTGAGTAAATAAACATCAGTTTCTGCCACAAAGCCAAACAAACAAAAAAGACATGATTTTCAGGCCTGATTACTTTTCTAACAAAGACTTATAAATGGCCTCAACATTGGGACATTCTGAGGGCCCATTGCTAAGACCTTAAATCTTACCATCATCATTAAGAAGAGAAGTGGTCACTGGTCTGTGTAATGGGCAAGATAATAACCAGGTCCTTTAGACATGATTCCTGAATCAATATTGTCAGTTTGCTTCCATGTTGTAATATAAAATTAGGTTGCTGTTCAGTACAACAGTCCTGATCTTGGTGATGTGATTATATCATTTATTCAATAAGGTTTTATAGAGGATCCCACTAATCTTGGAAGTACAAGTACAGGGAAAACATAGAAGCAACATCCAACTTTTCATACATGGATTTTGTAAAGGATTAAGTTATATAGTTTTCTTAAAATGATTATTGTTATAATGGCAGCCATCAATTGGCCTGGATTCTGGCAGTGACTATCTACATTTGGAGGCTTAGAGAAGGTCCCTATGGTGCTCAAGTTCTATGTGATCAGCCTCACTGGAATTAGGGGCACCTAGTACTAGCCATTTCTGTTACCCAAGGAATCAAGGTCCAGTTTTCTACTATTGATTTAATATGACCTGCATAAAGAACCAGATATAGAAACACAGTTCTTTACGATACAAATCAATCAGTAAGTATTTTTTAAGCTGTTACCTAGCACTAAGCAAAAAAAAATGGTTATCCAGTTTTCCTGGGATGATTTTTCAGAAGCAGCTGTTTACTAAGCAGTTAGCATTGATTTCATATGGCTTAGAGGAGCAGGCAGACTGTGGGTCTGTCTCTGCTCTCCCAGAGTCACTAGGCAGGTTACCTGGGGTCATTACTCAGTTTCTCTAGGCCTCAGTTTTCTTATATGTAAAACAGCAACTTTGAAAAAAATGATTGTTAAGATTCCTCCTTGATCTTGGGTTTGGGGCAGGATGGAGATTTAATTACTGTGGAAACGGTTACTTGACCCTGTGCAAGATGTGGGGTGCCCTGGGGTCTGAGAAGTCCTGGAGTGTCAGGCTTCATTTTTGCCCTCCTGAAAATGAAGGAGTTGGATTGGAAGTATCAGAGTCCTCTACTTGATCTAATGCTCTGTCAAACAGAGTTTGATAGAACTGTCACCTGAATTCTATCAGATGGGTTTAATTAATAAAAATTTTTGGAGACATGCTTGACAGGTTTCATATTCCCAGGGCCTGTGCATGGACCCCCTGAAAGTAGTAATGCAAAATTCTACTTTACTAAGTTTGTTAAGCATTGGAGGTTGAAATGAGCCCAAAGAAGATCAAGGCTGTTAACTCTTACATCTAAAAAGAATCTCCACCCAGTGTTTCTAACTGAGCACAGATTGACAAAAACTATTTCTTTTTTTTTTTTTTTTTTTTCCTGAGACGGAGTCTCACTCTGTCACCCGGGCTGGAGTGCAATGGCGTGGTCTCAGCTCACTGCAATCTCTACCTCCGGGTTCAAGCGATTCTCCTGCCTCAGCCTCCTGAGTAGCTGGGACTACAGGCGCGCGCCACCACGCTCAGCTAATTTGTGTATTTTTAGTAGAGACGGGGTGTCACTATGTTGGCCAGGCTGTTCTCGAACTCCTGACCTTGTGATCCACACGCCTCGGCCTCCCAAAGTGCCGGGATTACAGGCCTGAGCCACTGCGCCCGGCCGACAAAAACTATTTCTCAATTCTTCTATCTTAGCAGTTCATTGAGGTAACACCTTGGCCAGCAGAAATCTTTGGGTGAGTGTAATGGTCCTTAAAGGGGAAGTTGGTTCTGCCAAGACCTGCAGAGAGGTGGTCATAGGGAGCCTAGTAAGTCTGTTAGGACTGGCATGAGCAACACTTCTGGCATCTTGTGCAGGGTCACCAGTAGTAAATGAAATGATGGGACAGGTCACCAGTGCCAGCCATCTGCATTGTGGCTGCTGTTCCAGTACAGCTGTGACACTGCAAGGTAGATCCTCTGAGCTGGAAATTCTAAAACGGTAGATGTTGGCAAGTAACCCTAAATTGAAATGACTCTGAAAAAATTAAAAAGGGATACAGACGAGCTGCAAGCACTGGAACAAAGATATTAACCCCCAAAGAGTCATAACCACAGCTGACTCTTAGCTTCACAAGCAGCCCTCAGAAGGTGGTAGCTTGTTTTAAGCAGAGGCCATGCAGAACCCATGAAACCAAAGGACAGAGCCAGTAGGGCTGGAGTCTGACCAGAAAGTTCCATGCCCTCTGCTTTCTGCATGGAAAATGACCTGGTAGGTTTTAACCTATCCAAGACTACAGAGGATTTCAGAATTTCAGTTTGAGGTATGCCTCAAAACATTCCAGCCTTGATCATGAAAGAAAGAAGTGATCAAAATACCATATGTCACAATGGAAAACCCAAGCGGCCCCAGAGCCTCTTCTTCAGTAATGAGATTTAGTTGATCTGAACAGTTATTTATGCATTGAGGTCATATTTTGGCCAATCTTTTGCTTACAGCTGTCGCCAAATAAAGCCTTCTGTCTTAGCATTTCTTTTACCAAAATCAGGTTGAGAGATGGTTCTTTGAGAGGACTGTTTTGTCAGGGAATACAGGGATCTTTTCACACAGTAAAATGTGCCCACAAAGCCAAACAATACACCAAATATAGGGTCAAATTATGTTAAAATTGAAAGGAAACAAACTAAAGTCTTTTTCTTTGTCCCTGTTGTTTTTTGAGGTTTTGCTTATCTGTTTGTTTGTTTAATTTTACCAAAAATGCTCCCCAAATGGCAATGAAAGGTTCAAGGGAACTTTCTTCAGTAATACCATGTTTACCTCAGAGAGGATTGGCTGTTAGGACTTCCCTAGTTGATCTTCCTCTTGTTCCTTCTTTATTGTAAGTTTTGACATATTACACTTTCTAACATCTCTGTGCCTGGAAATATTCTAGGCTTATACTTTTAATAACAGAAATGGAGAAAAGTGCTAGTGTCTGGATTGTTGCTAAATCTGCACATGTGTAACCAAGAGTATTAAACTCAGAGCCAAAGAACAGGAAGAGAAGAAAAATCCCTCCTTTGTTTGTTTGTAGACTTTGGCATTGATTTCATGTGGCTTGGAAGAGCTTGAATGACACCGTGGGTCTGTCTCTGCTCTCCCAGAGTCACTAGCCAGGTTACCTGGGGTAATTACTTAGGTTCTCTTGGCCTCAGTTCCCTTATATATAAAACAGAAAACATTGAACAAGATGATCGTTCAGGTTCCTCCTTGAACTAAGATTTGGGGCAGGATAGAGACTTAGTTACTGTGGAAACTGTTGCCCAACCTTGGGCAACAGTTGTGGGTTACTCTGGGGCAGGAGAGGTCCTGGAATATAATGCTTCATTTTTATCCTCCTGAAAATGAACAAATTGGATCTGAAGATAACTGAGTGCTCTACTTGATAATAATGTATTGTCAAGCAGATTTTGATAGAACTCCTTCCTAAATTCTACCGAATGGGTTTAATTAAGGAAAGTTTTTGGAGGCATGCTGGATGGGTTTCATCTTCCCAGGACCTACGCATGAAATGAGACATGTCCCCTTGAATAACTAGGTTATAAGAAGCATAGTTTGCTCTATTGTATTTTGGCCAACTAGTCCTCATCATTATGGATGATAGGCCTCAGTTCACCATTAACAGGAGGAGCTGAAAGCCTTGTTTTGGGATTGCTAAGATGAGATCGTTCTCCTTACACTGTGTTCCTACTTTTCTAGCCATACTGTAAGGACAAAAGTGCTTAATCCTACACACCTATTTGCTTCATTTAAAACAAAAACCTATATAAGGAAGAGGAAAAGCCCAAATGACATTCAAGGCAAACATCATAGGTGGAAAAGTAGAGAAAAAACATCTGATCACATAATACCGAGTAGCCAGGAATTTCTGGAAGCAATTTATGGTTATCCCAGGGATCAGAATATAAGAGTGTGAAATGAAATAAAATGCTTTATAAGAGACAAAATCCTATGAGACTCTGTACAAAAAAAGAGGTTACCATTAGACAAGTATTTCAAAAAGAAATGAAGAGAATCTTAAGTATACATTCAAGCTATGTAAAATAATGAAACAAATGCTAAGGGATGTGGGAATCAAGATGAAGAAGAGCAAAAATTTAAAAACAGTACCCATATTCCAAGCTGTTTTGTGACTTTGGAACTAACTTAAAAGCAGTTATTGATATGTGCACTTTTCTTTTACAAATATTATGCTTCATAAAAAGTTTTTTTAAAGGAAATTCCTGAGTAATCTAAAAGAAGTTTTAAGGTTTTTCTTTCCCAACAGAAGAAGATAATTAAGATGGAAATGTGTTCAGCTGGGTGTACACTTGTTGCTGTTGATAATGAATATGGAGAGTTCTTCACAGGATGGGGGATTTTGGGAATTAAAGCCTGTCAAAAGGTGGAACCTAATGTTCAAAGTCCTAAGACCAAGAGGAACCATAGGAGGAGCCTTCAGTTAAGAGTGTTATAAGTAATAGAAAACCCAACCAACGGTGGCTGAAACAAACAGGGACTTATTTCCCTCACAAAACAAAAAGTCCAAAAGTGGGTGGTTGCTGGCGTTCACTCAGCTACTGAGAAATGCCACAGAGGACTGTATTACTCAGTTCCTGCAGTGCTATCAAGAAATACTGGGTAATTTACAATGAAAGGGTTTTAATTGGCTCACAGTTCCATAGGCTGTACAGGAAGCATGATGCTGGCATCTGCTTGGCTTCTGGGGAGGCCTCAGGAAACTTTCCATCATAGTGGAAAGTGAAGGGGAAGCAGGCACATGTTACATGGCCAGAGCAGTAGGAATAGAGAAGGGGAAGGTGCTGCACACTTTTAAACAACCAGATCTCGTGAGAACTCACTATCATGAGAACAGCACCAGAGAGACCATGCTAAACCATTCACGAGAACTCCACCCCCATGATCCAATCACCTCCCACAAGGCCCCACCTCCAATACTGGGAATTATAATTTGACATGAGATTTAAGCAGGGACACAGAACCAAACCACATCAAGGACCTATACTTTTCCCATCTTTCCCTTTCTCCATCCTTGGGAGTTGGCTTTTGTCTTCATGCCTTATATTCACAAAATGGCTGCCAGAGTCCCAGCCATTTCTTCTGTGATCAAGGCTGGAAAAGAGAAGGGGTCAATACCAGTATATCCTTCATTTTAACAGAAAAGCAAAAGCCTTCTCAGAACTTTGGCACATGGCTACCCAAGCCGCTTCCATGGCTGGAGAAGGCAGGGGATAAGGAAAGTTGAGAATGACTGTTGGGTTAACTGAAAATAGCAACTGCCAGAGTTCATCATAAAGAGAATCATCTTGTGGCTTGATGCTATTGGGAAGAGGTAAGAATTTAGAGCCTTTAGGAGTATGGCTCAGGACTGCAAACATTTCCACTAATAGAATCATGAAAGCAGTTAGTGAATTGAGTTAAAACAGCAATTCAAAAGGCAGGTAGCCTGATTTTTCATTCTGAATTGGCCATAGGCCTTAATGAATGCTACTAAATTATTAGTCTTTCCTACTATAAAATAAGAATAATGTCTATTCACCTCACTTGGACCCTTTTATTCAGTCATTCATTTATTCAACAAATATATACTAAGCACCTCTTATGTAGCAGAGATTGTGCTAATGCTGAGGATACACAAATAAATAATGCAAAACCTTTACCCCAGGGAAGGGAGGCCAGGGGACGTGTTGACTGAGTACTGCTTCACGTTGGACTATGCTGGGTGCTTTATATGCAGAATATATATATATATGGCTTATAGAAGATATGTAAACAAGTGATATAATAGGAAAAGTGGTACAACGGAAATATTCATAAAAGTTCCCTGGGACAGAGCAGGGGAAATGACTAACTCTACCTTGGGAATTGGGCAGGGCTTCACCAAGGAGATAAAATCTGAGATAGGGCTTCAAATTGAGTCTGAGTTTATTGTACAGAAGTAGTTGCGGGGAGTAGCTTTTGGTGGAGGAACAGTTGATTCAAAAGCAATGACACTTAAAAGGGAATTGTTTGTTCCTGAAAAGTCAAGCAGTCTACTTTGCCAAGCATTCGGGTGGTGGGAGGTGGCCAAAGCCAGGCCATGAAGGACTCAGAAGCCAGAAGTTTGGCCTTGAGGAGCCTTTGCCATACAGAACAAGACATGATGAGATTTGTGCCTCGGAAAGATCATTCTGGAATCTGTGAGGTGAGGAAGGGCTGTTGGAAGGGGTCTGATAGCAGAGAACCTGTTTTGGAGGCTTTTGCCACAATGTTGGTGAAAGATGATGACACAATTAAGGCAGTGAGGTCTAGAAAGACCTGCATAAGATCACCAGCTTCTGGTGACTGATTGGATGTGTTGAAAGAGAGTCGGGGGAGGAATCAAAAAAGATTCCAAAGTTTCTCACATGGCACTTGGGTGGCATCATTCACAGGAGATGCAGGAGAGTGTGGCATTTGCTGAGCCCCATTTCAGCTTCATCTCATCTCAGCTCCTGGAAAAAAGAACGGGCCTTTGCTTCAGGTCTTGTGTTGCCACAGTAATACTCCTCCCCCGACTGCCTCTTCCGCCAGGCCCCACCCAGCCGTGATTTCGAGGTCATGTTCTGGGATAAGACTCCAAATGGCCTGTGGTTGCCTTGTTCCTGTGTGCAAAATAAAAATGGATTGCTGTAGCAAATGCAAACATGAGGTGGGGAGAGCAGCGATTCCTAGACGAGGCTTGGAGTTGGGCGTGGGACTGTGGCTGAGCAGTCATGGGTGCCCCGTGACAACTGCCTGCCTCACTGCGACTCCGGGGATTCTTCCCACTCAGCTGCAGCACAGCCTCGGTAGCTTTCATCATTTTCTAAGACCAGTGGACGGAATCAGACAGTTCATGATGCTTCAGCTTCTCGAGTACATGATTGATACTTGAAGGAATTATTAAGGTGCTTATCTATTTTTAATTGCATCTACTTATTTGATATTTGACCCAATTCATTCATTCTTGTTGTGAATGTATTAACAGACCCTGTACCCTCTTGACCTCTCCTTATAATTATTACCGTTATTGTTCTTTGAAGCACTGTTTTGATTATACACTTAAAAGGAGCTACTGATATACTGAAATTCATGCACAGCTGAAATGCCCACTGCGTGGACTCAAGGACAGCTGTTTAAGAGTAGTTCTTGTCCTCAGAAGTTCATCTCCCTTTTTTTTTACTTCTCTTCACCCACATTTCTGCCCTCTTCCCCTTTAGAGGTTTTTAGTCACACATTTCTACTTTAATAAGAGCAACCCTTCTTCCTGAGGCCCCAAGTGCTATGTTTTAACAAACACAGATGAATCAGTTCATGTGCTTTATCAGTGTTGGGATTGCTGGCAGGTGCCTCACAGCGAACATTATTGCAATTTCACCATCATTTCCCCTCCTCCCATTTCCAGACATATATTCATATTTGTTTCTTCTTCCCTATCTGGCAAATCATTCCAGTGAAAATTGATCCCATTGATTTAGCCACATACAGGTGGAAGCCTGTATTTGGGAAGCAGTTTTAGCCAAATTGTGTGAAATAAAGTTTTTTCTTCTGATGTTATCTCTGACCCATGTTGTGAGCATTTTCTTTTTTTTTTTTTCTTTTTTTTTCTTTTTTTTTTTTTTTTTTTTTTGAGATGGTGTCTCGTTCTGTTGCCCGGGCTGGAGTGCAGTGGCACAATCTCGGCTCACTGCAACCTCCACCTCCCGGGTTCACGCCATTCTTCTGCCTCAGCCTCCTGAGTAGCTGGGATTTCAGGCGCCCGCCACCACGCCCGGCTAAATTTTTGTATTTTTAGTGGAGACAGTGTTTCACCGTGTTAGCCAGGATGGTCTCGATCTTCTGACCTTGTGATCCCCCTGCCTCGGCCTCCCGAAGTGCTGGGATTACAGGCTTGAGCCACTGCACCCAGCGTGAGCATTTTCATCTGCGTGGATTAGGAGAAGTTCTTACCACCATTCAATTATCACCACATGGTGTCCAGTTCTATAATGCAGTACTGAGCTTTAAGGAGATTTGCAATTATTTACTGAGGTAAAAGACAAGATATTAACTTAGTGTGTCATTTGTCTTGGTCTTCAAAGTGAGGTGAAAAGCCTATCAGTGGCCCATTCAAGTGTCCTTTTAGAAGTGTCTCCTTCTCTCTTTCTGGTGTTCTCTGTCACCTATTTTATGACATTATCATAGGAGGAATGTTTGTATAATCTGGTACAGTTCCACAAAAAGAAACATGGATTAGAAAATTAAAGGTAATCCTAGGGATAAGAATGAGAAAATAAAAACTCTTTAAGATGATTAGAGAATGTATTAAAGTCCATTTATTTCATTCATGGCTATGAATTATGGGTAGATAACTTGTGGCACTGTTTTCCCAAATATGAGACCTTTGGGGGAAATTCTGGTTCATTCTTGCATTAGGGAATTTTCTGTGGCACAGCGTGTGGTAGTTATCACTGATTCTACTTAGCACAAATTCCTCATTAAGGATTTTGCACAAACTGGAATGAAGAGCAAAGCTTTCTTCTTAAAGAGAATGAAAGCATATTTCCTTTCAAGGGATAGGACCATTTATTTTCACATCAGAATCTGAGATTTACAATTCTTTTTTGTTTGTTTGTTTGTTTGTTTGTTTGTTTTTGAGACAGCGTCTCACTCTGCCACCCAGGCTGGAGTGCAGTGGCGTGATCTCAGCTCACTGCAACCTCCGCCTCCCAGCTTCAAGCGATTCTCGTGCCTCAGCCTCTGAAGTAGCTGGGATTACAGGCACCCGCCACCATGCCCAGCTACTCTTTGTATTTTTAGTAGATACAAGGTTTCACCATGTTGGCCAGGCTGGTCTTGAACTTCTGAGCTCAAGTGATCTACTCGCCTCAGCCTCCCAAAGTGCTGGGATTACAGGTGTAAGTGACCAAGCCCAGCCTACAATTCTTTATTTACTGCCTTGTGGCAAGAGCCTACATTTCTGGAATTTTAACATGCAACTCAGGCAACTCATTTAACAAGTATTTATTGAGTATCTGCTGTATACTGGGCACAGTGCTATCAACTGACTAGAGGGTTAGTTGGCTGGTCTTTAGTGAAGAAAGAGAGAAAATACTGAAGAATTGACAGGGGTCGGAATCCACTTGCCACCGCAGCTTTCAAGAACGGCCTTCTTAGAGACAGGAAATGAGCAGGAAAACCAGTTACGGAGACTCATTTGCAATTACTAGCCACATTCTTCAGAGAGAAGGCTCTGCTGAAATCCTGAATGTTGACTAACAGAAAATGTATTCTTGTTGCCTTATTTCTCATGATGCTTTGTTCTTTTGACCCAGAAACAGAAAAGATAGTCCTAGAGGCAGGAAATGGATTACCATCCTGGAAATTCAATGACCAGCTTTTTCCCTGTGACGTGTGTGGGAAAGTGTTTGGCCGACAGCAGACATTGTCCCGACACCTCTCGCTGCACACAGGTGAGTGAGTAGGGCCTGGGCTGTCAGCCCTCTATGCTCCATCACCAACTTCTTTACTCTCCGGAAACTGAGTTTCTCTAAGAGAGGCATTACAGGAAGTGCTGGGAATGGCTGACCTTTTCAAGCCATTTTCTCTGGCATGTTTAAAGAAGACCTTGGAAAGGCTTTTTTATTTGTATTGAAAGGGTTCATTGAGTTCCAGGTAGGACCGATGAGAAAATATACACAATTTAGGTTTATTCAGGTAAAATTCCTAAACTCTGTTAAAAAAAATGTATTGAGTTCATCTTGAAAGTGAAGGACAGGGGGACACACTCCATCTTACTGGTTTTATCTTATTGTTGTGGGTGGGAGCAGCCAGGGAAAAGGCACCTTGGTGGAGAAACAGCTTCTGCCTTTATTTATGTATAATTGTGGAGAAATATGGTTGGTTCTGAGAGTTGGGAAAGGGAAGGCAACCAAGTTAACAAGGAGGAATAAATAGTAACTTAGTCCACACAGCAAAAATAATTGAAGACAAAAAGACATAAGGTAAAATCAGTAGTAAACATAAAGCAAGATGGAAATAATAAAATCAAACATTTCCATTTTTACACTGAAATCAGGTTTTTAAATAATCCAGATATATCTTATTTACAGGGAACACAAAAACAAAATGATAAAGAAAAGTTCAAAATAAAGATTTCGTACATCACACAAAATTTAAAAAGCAAGACAGGAAGTATTAATAAGACAAGATTAATTTTGTCTTTTTTTTCCCCCAAGATAGGGTCTCGCTCTGTCACCCAGACTGGAGTGCAGTGGCTGCATCCCAGCTAACTGCAACCTCTGCCTCCCGGGTTCAAGTGATCCTTCCATCTCAGCTTTCTGAGTAGCTGGGACTACAGGTGCACGCTGCCACTATGCCCAGCTAACTTTTTTAAAAAAAAAAGGTTTTTGTTGTCGGGCGCGATGGCTCACGCCTATAATCCCAACACTTTGGGAGGCCAAGGCAGGTGGATCACCTGAGGTCAGGAGTTTGAGACCAGCCTGGCCAAAGTGGTGAAACCCCATCTCTACTAAAAATACAAAAATTAGACGGATGTGGTGGTGCACGCTTGTAATCCCAGCTACTCAGGAGGCTGAGGCAGGAGAATTGCTTGAACCCAGGAGGTGGAAGTTGCAGTGAGCCAAGATCGTGCCACTGCACTCCAGCCTGAGTGACAAGAGCGAAACTCAGTCTCAAAAAAAAACAAAAAGTTTTTTGTAGAAATGGGGTTTCTCCATGCTGCCCAAACTGGTGTCTTTTCTTTTTATATTTTTAATATTTTTAATTTTAAATTCGACTAAAGACAAAATTTAGGAAAACTTTAACATGTTCAAAAAAGTGGAGTTTTATAAGGTCACATTCTCTGAGCATACTTAAATGAAATTTTAAATAAGTAAGGGTCAATAAAATGTCCTGCCTAATTGGACCAAAGAAAAAGGGAGAAAATAAAAATTCAAATAACAGACATCTAAAAGGAATGAAATAGAGAACACTTCATACATAAACCTGGAGCAAACAGCAAGAGCTCTAGTCAGAGGAAAATTTATAGAGGTAAACATTTTAATTAGAGAAAGACAAAAATAAAGGAACTTAATGGTCATCTTAAGGAATTGATAAAACAACAAAGTCTAGAAAGAAATGGCCATAAAATAGATAAATCCTGTTAAGCCTGATTAAGAAAATGAAGCAAAAATACTCAAAGTTAGGAATGAAAAAGGAAACCTAATCATCAATGTGGAAGATGTTAAAGAATTATTGGAGAATAATGAAGCTCTAAGAAAAAAAGCTGAACACTTAGATGACATAGATCATTTAAACAGAATGACTAAAATTGACCCAAAGTGGGGAGGGAACTTGAATCAGTCGGTTCCCAAAGAGAAATTTTGGAAAAATTATGAAGGACATACCGTTTATAAAGGCATCAGGTCCAGAAATTTTCGCTGGTGAGTTCTTTCTAACCTTTTGAGAAGAGGAAATTCCAATGTTATTAAACCTTTCCAAATGATAGAAAAAGATTTAAAAAGCTCCACAGTTTCACTTTATGGAGGATGCATAACCTTAATAACAAAACTTAACAACCTCACTTATTCATACAAACACAAAACTTCTAAAGAAAGGACACATTTTATCTGGACAGTGGGGCTCCTCCCCTGACCCTGCTGAGCCCAGATGCCAGCCCTTCAAGATGTTGGGGACCACCTATAACAATAATGGTCTCATATTTTGTAGAGAAGAACTTTTTTCCATGTTCTTCTCTGTGAACTAAAGAAGACAGGTATTTCCTTTAAGCCAGGCACAGTAATACCAAGTAAGCATTAAGGATAGAACACTGGAGTTGTTCTTTCCTTCATCTTCTGCTATTACCTTTATCTGTGTGATGAAAGCAAAGCCTGCTCCTTTTACTTTAATTTGCTTGATTAATCAAACGAATTCAGAATGCCACTCTGGAAACGATCCTGAAACATTTGTCAGTTTTATGAGAGGGTTTCCATTAAGAAGTTAATTGAAATTCTTTATTTATGTAAAATGAAATTTCCAATTAAATTATTTCACACAGCATTTTTTCCCCTTAATTTCATTAGTTTTTTTATTTCTTGGCCGACCCAGGCCAGGAGCTTAGGGAAAATGATGAGGCCTCTTTTACGCTGTAGTCCTGCAAATGCTGTGTTTTATTCCCCCTCCCCTGCTCAGCACTCACCCATGACTGACACATGGGGTACACACACACACACAAACAGACATGCACACTTGCTCACTCACAGAATATTCTTTTGCCCTGTGTGGGGCTTACCTTATCAGGAAAATGGGCTGTGGGTGTCCAGGAAAAAAAAAGCAGGTTATCTATTCTAGTTGCCCTGGGACTTTTTTTTTTTTTTCTTTTTTTTGAAACAAGGTTTATCTCCGTCACCCAGGCTGGAGTGCAGTGATGTGATTGTGGTTCACTGTAACCCTGACCTCCTGGGCTCAAGCAATCCTCCCACCTCCTCCTCCCAAGTAGCTGGGACTACAGGCACGTGCCACCACACCTGACTAATTTTTTAAAAATTTTTTTGTAGAGATGGAGTCTCGCTGTGATGCCCAGGCTGGTCTCGAGCTCCTGTCCTTAAGTGATCTTTCTGTCTTAGCCTCCCAAACTGCTAGAATTACAGGTGTGAGCCACAGTGCCCAGCCGGAGATTTTCTTTTATATTTAGAAGTACTAATACAGGAGTGACCTGCTGGGTAAAGACTTTTAGATACTTACAATTCCTAGGCATTACCATTGTCTCCATCTGAAATATGACTTGAACCATTCTTTCCTTGATACCTTTAACTGATTCTTGCAAGGTGTTGGGACTTCCTTTTTTGAAAGCGATTTGGGCTTTTTCCTGTTCCTTCTCCCCCAGAGGAAAGAAAATACAAATGCCACTTGTGCCCCTATGCTGCTAAGTGCCGTGCAAATCTGAACCAGCACTTGACCGTCCATTCCGTGAAGCTGGTGAGTACAGACACCGAGGACATTGTCAGCGCCGTCACCTCTGAAGGCAGTGATGGGAAGAAACATCCTTATTATTACAGGTGAGTTGCAGATGGAACATGCTAGTCCGCCTTTCTCAGACTCTTGACTTCAACACTTCCTACCTGTCTGCTGTGGGCATACATCACGAGGCCCCTTTTCTCAGTCATAGCCTGGCCTTCATTTGAGTAATTTCTTTGCTCAGATTGAGCCCTGCAGTTGCACAGACTCCTCTCTTGGTTTGGGTGCCCCTGGTGGTATTAATTGAAAGAGAAATGGTCTTAGAGGTGGCTCTCTGGGGTGGAGCTCCAGACAGAGACGGGCTCTGGGGATGATGAATTTTTAGGTCTGTTCAGCTCAGAAGCTCCAACCTTTGTAACTGAGTGTGTTGCTGCTCCCTAAGAATTGTTTAAAAAAAAAAAAGCTGAGGAAATATAAATCTGAGAACCCCAGAGAACTAGCCCAGAAGGCGTTACGTATTTCCCCATGGTTGTATCACACTTTAGTATGTGGATTTTATGTTTCATTTCTGTATTCAATCATGAATCAATATTGGTTTGATTGCCATAAAACCCCCAAGTTTCTGGCTGTCAAATCTTGTCCTAGAGAGTTGCCATACTGATTGGTGGAAACTTGCTTTTGCAGGAAATGTCTCTAGCAGTGGGTGGCTTCTATCAGAAGTTGTCCCGGATAGAGTAGCCTCTTGCTTGGAGTGCCATACAACAAACTGTAGGTGCTTTCATTGCTACTAGGGAAGGTTTCCAGAGCCAGAGAGAGGTTCCTGGACTATGAGGTGCTCTCCGAGTTTATCAGTGGACCGGCACCACTAAATACCTTGGCAATGCTACCCCACATCTCTTTGCCCAAAGGAAATCAATTAGGTGATGTGCAGCATCTGGAATCCATAGTTTTAAATTAACTTTATGATTATTTAGCATCATTATAACACATATGTGATTGTTACATGATGCTGGCCCTTAGTCTCTTTGGCACAGTGACTACTTTAGAGGCATCCCAGAAAGCAGAAGAATTTTCTAATGCAAAACCTTTTGGTGGAGAGACAAATGTGTTTCAAATTCCAGTTTTCTTGAGTGTACTGTGTATAAATGGACAGCCTACATTTAGAAGTATGTGTCACCCTTTTCTCTCCCCCTCTTTTCTTTTACCCTTTCATGTAGTTGTCACGTGTGTGGATTTGAGACCGAGCTCAATGTCCAGTTTGTCAGCCACATGTCACTCCACGTGGACAAGGAGCAGTGGATGTTTTCGATCTGCTGCACTGCCTGCGACTTCGTCACCATGGAGGAAGCAGAGATAAAGACTCACATTGGCACCAAGCACACAGGTGACCATTCCTGTCTGTCCTTCTCACACTCCTTCTCCATCCCCTGCACCCCAGAGCACCTGCCACCTGGCCGAAGCATCCCCACTGCCCTGAGACATTGCCCTTTTCCTTCCATGGAAGGAAGGACTTTCCCAAGGCATGAAAGCCACATTTCCCTGTAGTCATAATACTGTTTCCTGGCATGCCTTGTGCCTCACTGCTCTGAAAGACTCCCAAGTTCAGATGTGGTTGAGAGGTGCCGAGCTCTTTGCTTGTTGCTCATCCTGATCCTCTTCCTCATCACCATATGTGACAGTCTTTCAATGCCCCAGTCTTATGCCTTTGCACACTGGCTCTCATTTAAGCCCCATAGCAACCCTCTAAGTGAATACTATTATTATCACACTGTACAGTACAGGTGAAGAAACAGGCTTAACAGAGGTGAGATATTCCATCCAAGGTCAGCAACTAGGGGTTGCTGTGGTCACTAGTTTCAGTCACTAGTTCAGTAGTCACTAGTTTCAGTGACTACTGAAACTCAGCCCAGAACAGTTTTCATTCCAGAGCTTGCTCTCTGTATCATTGCTGTTCTGACAGCCCCGAGAAACACTTGGCAGAGCTTTGAACCTTTCTGTTTTCCCATGCCAGGGCACTACACACCTACTTCTGTAGGCTCTGTTCCTCTCCAGTGAAACTGCAGCCCTGACGCTCTCCTTAATGACGCATGGCATGTGTGTTCGCGGCCAAAGAAAACCAGATTCTCCTGAAACAAACCCATCACTGTCTAGGCCATGGCCAAGGCTTCACCAGTGCTCGCCTGTTATTTAAGCTTCTTGCCATTCTGGTTAACTTCTTCCATTTATTGATGTTAACATTCTGACTTCACCATGCAATTATACTCTCACAAGTGATGGTTACAAATGATACCAGCAAGGAGTCATTAAGTGAGAATGAGGAGGAGCTCCGTCTGCATTTGCGGGGCTTACAAATTAAGAGCTGATGTTGCTGATTGCCAGCCCTGGGTGTTGGGTCAGCCCCTCACATCATCAGCACTTGAAGGATTCGGGAAGGGGAATTTCCCTGACAGTTGTGCTGACGATGTACACAGCAGAGGAGGATCTCTCTGTGTTTCTCTGGCCACTTTGGCTCAGTGGTGCCAACAGTAATAAAAGCTTGTTTTTGTCAGTAAATTGAGCAGCTATGACTTGGAGGTCTGCAGAGAGCCGTTATGCCAAGTGAGAAGGTGCCATTTTTACAGTCAGTTGTCTGACTGTAACCACATTAGCCTGTGGGCAGCAGGTGAGCTGGGAAACCCATGTTGAAGACAAATTAAATTCAGCATTTCTGGAGTGGCTAATGGAGGAAAAGGCCAAACTCTTTTCCATTACCACTGGCTTTTCAGATAGTCTTTTTTTTCTCCTTTCTGTTAACCTTTGTTCTAACCCTCTTTACTCCAAAGTATACCTGAACCCAGTTGAAAACCTTCCTCCCTCCCATCCTGCTCCAAAGCCCCCTCCACACCCATACCACCATAGAAACCATAGAAACCATATGGCTAGGCAGAAGCTGGACTTGTCATCATTTAATTGTCGTGAGTGGAAACTTCACAACTAACCAGTGCAAACACATACCTCGTAATTACCACAGGGAATGAAGCAAAGATCTTGTTCTCTCTGATGTAGCAGGATTCAGGGCTCATTGTCTAGCAGGAAAGAATATTCTTGTTTGTTAGTACAGTCACCCAAGAGTGAAATGCATTAAAGAAGTTTCTTTTTTAATTCAGTAGGAGCCTTTAATGCTGCTGCTCTAAGAATAAGGTTAAAACCTATTTTATAAGCCAGGGTCCTGCAAGCTTTTTTCAAAGGGGCAAATAGTAAATATTTTAGGCTTTCAGGTCATACAGTTTCTGTCACTACTACTCAACTCGGCTGTTGAAACTTGAAAGTAGTCGTAGACAATATGCAAATGAGTGGGCATGGCCATGTTCCAATAAAACTTTATTTATAAAAACAGGAGGCTCATTTGAGCCCAAGGACTGTAGTTTGCTGACCCCCATTATAAGCTAATGGTCTCACAGCAAGGGTTTCCTGTATTTAGTATAGTTTTGAGATGTTTCAGTTTGACCCAAAATAGATCAATCTAAATCTGTAAATTAGTAAGTTGGACTATTGCAAAGTTAGGGTATAAAGCAATATATATGTTATATGACATATATAGCAGTATATATTCCCAAGAACAGGGAGCTTATCTAAGTCACTGCTGTATCTCAGCACCTGGAGCAGGCCCTACACAGTACAAGTGGGGAATCAATGTACCTTCAGTGAATGAATATATTTGTGTGCAAGCTCATCTGTGCACATTTGTGCATGCTAAGTAAGAAAACTATTCAGATGTGGCCCTTGCTTGAACCTTAGAGTCCTAGTGACTTATTTCTGTAATCTATGTGGAAGTTACTTGGCATGGAGGAAAGCACACACTGAATTCTCGATCCAGGTTCTAGACCCTATGGTACCATAAGTAGTATTGTGAATGTAGGACCTCAGTTAACTTCTCTGGACCTCCATCTGTTCCCTATATTTTCAGATGCGCAGAAGATGCCCTTAGGCCTAAGATTCTCTAATTTTATGAGCCTTGTTCTCTAATTTGATTTTCCTGTCTTAGGAAAAGGCCCCTATTATTTCAGTACCTTAGGAAATCTGCCACGCTATCTTGTTACCTAAGTGAAGTTGTGATCTACAGGATAAGCTCTAATCAACAGCACGCATTTTGTTTAGTCTCCTACAGAACCCATGCTTTCTCACATTTTCTTATGGGTTGGTGTTACTCCAGGCATGCCTGTGAGTGGTTATGTTAAAGGGATACCTGAGGAACTGTCCTCTCATTAGGCATTTCCGCTTAGTGATCCCTCCTCACCTTCTTTCTCCCACTGTCTGGCGTCTTGTCCCTGCAGAGAATATCAACAAGGGGAAAATATCCCCTTTGGTGCTTGTGACTTCTTCAGTGCAAATTTTGCTGCAATTTCTAAATGTTGCAATAAATGGCATTGAGGAATCTGAATGGCTATTTGGAAAATACAACTATCAATACCTCACCTCACATTGACACCAAAATAAATTCCAGATAACTTACAGAATCCCTATTAACAAATCAGCCCTAGAAAAGCCTGAAGAAAATAGAATATTTATCAAGCTTCCAGAGCTAGAAGGATTTGTAAAAGCTTAAGTGATAAAATAAAGCACAAATGAAAACAATCGAGAGATCTGACACATAAAAATTTCTTCAGTTTGCAAAATAACAGAAAAAGAGAAGCAAAACCAAAACCTGGGTCTGAAAAAATGTGTTTACAAAAATGACAAAAGGTTAATATATTTACTACATAGAGTATTCCTATAAACTGTTAAGAAAACCTTTAGGCCTCTAATTGAAGAATTAGCAAAGGATATGAGGACATGAGCAGTCAATTCACAATGAAGGAAATAAAAGCTAACCACTTACCATAAGGAAACACATACAGCTAAAACTCGAGGCTTATATTCCACCTGTTAAGTTAGGAGAACATTTGATATTAATACTCACTGTTGCTGGGATGATGCTGGTACTCACATTGCTGTTGCCCTGCGGAGTTGTAAAACTCCTTGGAAACTAATTAAGCTGTATATACCAAGAGGCTTAAAATGTAATGCCCTGTGACCCAGTAATCCCATCTCTGGGAATTTATTCATGGGAAAATATTCAATTAGTGAAATATTAATTTTACCTTTAAATTTAATTTTAAGGTACTATTTAAGTAGAATAATCCCCTCCATGGATATAATACAATCATTTAAAACAATGCAAATATTTTCAAGAATTTTTTGAGAGCCAACTCTGTACAAATATCTAAAATAGCATGGGAAAATACAAAGTATTAGTTATCATTATTATTATATTTTATTATGTATGTTTTATAATAGAATAATAATATTTTCTATAATGCTTACCATGATCCAGACATTGTTCTTAATGATTTACATATAAAAACCTATTTAAGTATCACAACCACCATATGAGGCAAGTGCTGATATCATCCCCATTTTATAGATGAGATAATTGAGGCACAAAGTTAAGTGTCTTGTTCAAAATAATACAGCTACTAAGTGGTAGAAGTGAGATTCAAACTCACATGTTCTGATCTATTTTATTTATTTATTTATTTATTTATTTATTTATTTATTTATTTATTTATTTTAAGACAGGGTCTCACTCTGTTGCCGAGGCTGGAGTGAAGTGGCGTGATCTTGGCTCACTGCAACCTCCACCTCTCAAGTTCAAGCAATTTTCGTGTCTCAGCCCCCTGAGTAGCTGGGATCATAGGCATGGGGCACCACGCCCAGCTTATTTTTTGGTATTTTTAGTAGAGATGGGGTTTTGCCATTTGGCCAGGCTGGTCTCAAACTCCTGGCCTCAGGCAATTCACCCACCTCAGCCTCCCAAAGTGCTGGGATTACAGGCGTGAGCCACGGCACCCAGCCTGGATCTAGAGTCTTTATTCTTAATCTTAATGGAAACAATTTAAAAGTAGAAGTGCTTACTTTGTTAAGAATGAAAAGTACTCTAAAATGTAACAGTGTCTGTATTGAGGAAGCAAGATGATTGGTAATTTTTTTTATGGTTTCAATTTCCTAATTTGTGCTGTTTAAAATTGTGCAATATTTAGGGGTTTTGTTTTGTTTTTTAAGTTCTCTTCAGCTGGTTGTCCTAATGTGTGAAGTTGCATCACCTGTGCACAGGTGTCCTTCACCAAGATCTTTGTGATGCTGAAGAAGGTAAATGACCACTTGGGTCACAGTTAGCCTTGGACTTGGCTGGCAAGGGCACCCTGGCTCTTTCCACAGACATAGCAAAACAAGATGAGGACAGAAACAGGAGAGGCTGTTTGGACTAGGGATTACACATTGAGCAAGCTGGGCTGCATCACAGAGTGGCTGGCACAGCACATTGTATCTTTATACATTTATTAATTTAGGTATTTCTGCCTGGTGCCTTAAGCCTAAGGGTACTTGAATCTATGTTTAGAGATGGTAGTTGAAATTAATATGTTTTAATTCTAAAAATGAATTTAAAAGAATCACTTGCAACAGGTGAATATTAGAAGATGGAGTTGCAGTATCAGGGATTCAGGGTCTCCGCTAAAAATGTTCTACCTAGAAAATGTAACTAAGCTGGTTAAATATATACTGATAAGCAAATGGCAATAATGGTACTAGTTGTCACATAGCTTTCTTGTACCAAGAGAGAAGTCTGTAGTCTAAAGTCATATACCATTGCTCCTCATGGTCAGTGACTGAGGTCACATACTTGCAGTTCTAATAGGAGCAAGATTTTTAAAATTGTGAACTGAAGTAAGAGTTGTCTGCCCTGGACCCTAAGTGCAGTTCTGACAGGAAAAGGATTTGAAAACATTGTAAGTGGGTACATATTTCTTCCTTTCTCTTTTTAAAAACTTTTAAAAATATGGTCACTCTAGAAAATTTTGAAAATGGAATAAAAGTAAACAAACATGACACCAATAATTTTACACTCTAGATGTAACCCACCATTACAGCTCTATTTCCAAACTTTGTATACCTAATATATATATATATATATATATATATTTTTTTTTTTTTTTTTTTTTTTTTTTTTTTTTGAGACGGAGTCTTGCTCTGTCACCCAGGCTGGAGTACAATGGTGCCATCTCCACTCACCACAAACTCCGCCTCCATGGGTTCAAGCGATTCTCCTGCCTCACCCTCCCAAGTAGCTGGGATTACAGGCATATGCCACCACACCTGGCTAATTTAATCTCCTAATAAAGGAAGTTAGGTTCTAACATTTACAGTCACTAGATTGCTTAATGAACTGATTTGAAGATAATTGGAGAACAGTCTCCCTATATTTTCTCCCCTAACCTAAAACGATGGGGTCATGTTGAATCTGTAAATCATTCTGTGGATAATTGACATCTTAACATTCTTAAGTCTCTTGAACCAGGAATAAAGTCTAGCTCTCCAGTTACTTGGGGTTTATAATGTACATCTTTAGGCCAGGTACGGTGGCTCATGCTTGTAATCCCAGTACTTTGGGAGGCCAAAGTGGGCAGATCACTTGAGGTCAGGAGTTCAAGACCAGCCTGGCCAACATGGTGAAACCCTGTCTCTTCTGAAAATACAAAAATTAGCCAGGCATGATGGCACACACCTGTAATCCCAGCTACTTGGGAGGCTGAGGCAGGAAAATTGCTTGAACCCGGGAGGTGGAGGTTGCAGTGAGCTGGGATCACGTTACTGTACTCCAGCTTGGGCAACAGAGTGAGACCCTGTCTCCAAAAAAAGAGTACATCTTTAGTTTATCACAGTAAAACTTCAAATGATTGATTAAACCACTTCATATGTTGTATAAGAACCTCACGCAAGTAGACTTCCATTTCTCTCCTCCTAGCGTTTATACTATTGTCATATGTTTACTTATATGTTTTATAAACCCTACAAAACAGTTATTTTTGTTTAAACAATGTTACTTTTATCTTTTAAAGACATTTCAATAATTTAAAAATTATGAATTTATCCATGTATTTATTATTTCCAGCCTCTTCATTCTTTTGTGTAGATCAGTTTTATATCTGGTTTCATTTTCTTCTGCCTGGGCTTTGAACATTTCTTGTAATTCAGGTCTGCTGGTGATGAATTCCTTCATTTGTTTTAATGTGAGCTTTTGTTTGTTGCCTTCATTTTTGAAATATATTTTCACTGGGTATAAGATTTTAGGTTGACAGTGTATCTTTCAGTACTTTAAAGATGTTGCTTTACAGTCTTCTTACTTGCATAGTGTCCAGTGAGAAATCCACTGTCATCCTTGTTTTTGTTCCTGTGCACATAACATATCTTTCTTCCTCTGGCTACTTTCAGGATTTTGTTCTTTAGCACTGATTTTGAGCAATTTATGATTTTTTTTGTATAGGTTTCTTCGTGTTTCTTATGCTTGAGGTTCATTGAGCTTCTTGGATCTATGGGTTTATGATTTTCCTCAAATTTGGAAAATTTTTGGCCATTTCAAATTTCCACCCTCCCCACCCCACCAGGGATTCCAATTAAACTTATTTTAAGCTTCCCAAAGGCATCCCACAGTTCACTGATGCTCTTTTCATTTGGGGAGATTCCTTTCTGTTTCATTTCAGATAGTTTCTATAGCTATTATCTTCAGGTTTACTCATCTTTTCCTCTGCCATGTCTAATGGGATTACTGCTGGTAATAGACACTGCAGTTTTCATCAGTAGAAATTTTATTTAGATCTTTTTAATATCATCCATGTCTCTACTTAACTTCTTGAACATATGAAATACAGTCACCACTGTTTTAATGTCCTTGTCTGCGAAGTCTAACAACTGTGTCTGTTCTGGGTCACCTTTGATTGGTTGATTATTCTCAATTCGAATTGTGTTTATCTTTTTGCACATCTGATCACCTTTGGATGCAGACATTGTGGTTTTTACCATGTTGGGTGCTTAATATTTTATATTCCTATACATACTCTTGACCTTTGTTTTAGGATGCAGATAGCTACCTGGAAACCTCGTTCCTTTGGGGTCTTGCTTTCATGATTCTTTGGCGGGTCTAGATCACTAGGCAGTGATTTATCTAGGTTTAACCCACTACTAAGAGACCTTTCTTAGTTTTCTACCTAATGCCCTGTAAATTGTGTTTTTCCAATCTGACTGGTGGAAACAGGCATTATTTCTAGCCCTCTCTAAGTGCCGGGCACTGTTCTCTAAGCTTTTCAGGTGGCTTTTCCCCCTCCAACTATGGGTAGTCTCTTCACCCCCGTGCTCTGATCCATACTTTGCTGAATACTCAAGGGGGACCCTCTCTGTGTCTCTGGGGTTGTTCTTCTGTGCTGCCCCTTCCTCTCTGATACTCCGTCCTGCAAAATCTGGTCAGACCCTCAGCTCTGTATCCGCCACTCGGAGTCTGTCAGGTTCCACCTGGTTCCTTCTCTCTGCAATGAAGCCTGGAGAGTCTCAAGGCAGGAAACTGATCAGTCATATGGCTCACCTCTTTTGTTTCCTGTCTCTCAGGGGCCACTTTTCTTCATTGCCTAACATCCAGTGATATGAAAACTAGCATTTGGTATATTTTGTCTGATTTTTTTCAGTTGTTAGTAGTAATGGTAAACCCAGTCCCTGACGCGCTCTCTTGAGTAGAAGCAGAAGTCTTCTGACACTAGATTTTAATGGTCTGCTGACTTGTTTGTATCTGGCTTTGAGGGAGAGGGTCCCGAGTACTGATGAAGAGCATGGACCCTGGAGTCAGACGAACTCAAACCTCTTCTCCACCACTTCCCAGCCATATGATCTAGGCCAGATTAACCTTTCTGTGACTCCATTCCCTCATCGTAAAATGGGGCTGATAACAGTTGTGCCACACAGGATTTTTGAAAAAACAAAATGAGATAATTTAAAGTATAATACAGTTCCTGGAACGTGGTAACATGTTTAGTATGTCTTAGCTATTACTGTCGTTTTATTTTAATTCATGTAAGACCTTAATAAACACTTGTCAAATTAATGAATGCCTGCTCTTGGCCCCCAGTACCACAAAGGAGGTAGGTGCCTTAGGACCTGGGATCCCCCAGCAGTGGGGGAGCTGGGGACATGAGCCTGTGCCCCCAGAATGATGATGCATCCATGAGACTCAACTCGTCACCCTCAGTTGCTATAATTCTGAGGATTTTCATCTCATTAACAGACTGGGTTATTTGCTTATTTTTCAGGGGAAGACAGGAAGACCCCCAGCGAATCAAATAGCCCCTCTTCATCCTCCCTCTCAGCTCTGAGTGATTCAGCCAACAGCAAAGATGATTCAGATGGCTCCCAGAAAAACAAGGGCGGGAACAATCTGCTGGTCATCTCTGTCATGCCTGGGAGCCAGCCCTCACTGAACAGTGAGGAAAAGCCAGAGAAAGGTAAGGAGGAGGTGGGTGTGAGCCTGCTCAACCCTCCGCACCCAGGATGACCCATTCTTGAGAATAAGCCCTGCACAGGAGCGATGTCAAAAACTGATAATAGGCCCAGGATGCAGTATGCTGGGCCTCACCTAAAGGTTGTATTTCTTTTGGCTTAATTTGAATCCGAGTATGGGGTGGAAGGATGGGGAGGGTGACATTGATTCCGATGTTTGTACATTTAACTCCTTTTAGCACAGAGATATGGGGAACAGTGCCTGGAAGGGTATAGCTGTCAGGCGTCGGAGGAGGCGGGAGGAAGTGGGGAGGAGCTTGGCTCCACTCCTGCCCTCCTCTCCCCGCTGCCCTGTGCACCTCTATACCCAGCTTCGGTCCTTGCAGGGTTCGAATGTGTTTTTTGCAACTTTGTCTGCAAGACGAAGAACATGTTTGAGCGTCATCTGCAGATACACCTCATCACCCGGATGTTTGAGTGTGATGTGTGCCACAAGTTCATGAAGACCCCCGAACAGCTGCTGGAGCATAAGAAATGCCACACTGTCCCCACCGGTGGGCTCAAGTAAGGAAAGCAAGTACAGAACCTTTTACTGCGTTGTTATTAAATACCCTTTCCCCTTCCCTACCCCGTCCCTTCCCGTGAAGGTTTTGGGAGTCATGGAGAAGGGGAGCTTGGTATGAGAGGAGTTAGTCAGGAACCCCTGCTGCCTTTAGCTGGATTGAATTAGACCTGTCCCCCTAGGGTGTCAACAGATGTCAGTAGGAGAATCCATTTTGCAAATACCCCGGGATTCAGGGCAAGAAAAAAGACACGTTGAAACAACCCAGCATGCAAGAATAGACTACACTGCTTGAGTTTTGTTCAGACTTGATTTTAATGGACTCAGGGCTTAGTGTCCCCAAGCATAAATCATACTGTGACCGAGATTCACCTTCTCTGTTTTTCCGATGGCTTGCTACATATCCTTTAAGTAAGCATTGCAACCACCCCACCCTCCAAAATTGGACAGTTTGAACAGGCAGGAAGCAACATTTTTCATGCAACGATCATGTGCTTCATGATCCTCCTGCAAACATACTGATGTCTTCTTCCCAAGATCTAGACAACGAGCATCATCTTTAACCAGTATTTTCAAGAGGCCCTTTGGTCTCAAGTGAGACCAATCAACTAATATCAAACGTACTGTGTGTCTGGCTTGATAACAGGTGCCAACAGGCACACAGGAATAAAACACCATTTCCACCCTCAAGAAATGTATGTCCTAGTACTACCTCATCTGCACAGTGAAATCAGAGTCCCTGTTCACAAGGCACTTAGGGTCTGGTAAAGAGAAAGCAGCACAGGTAGGAGGACACAGAAAGACACAGTTTTCAAGGCATAATTACTAATTCTCAGCTAAACGATCATGTTGAATGAAAAATTACATTTTACTTAACACAAGGGGGAAAAAACCTTTTGTTTTAAAACATGTTCGTCATTGAAACGCACAACCTGCCAGAGAGGTGGCATGACTCCCCTAGATGGGTGAGGAAGGGAGAGATGGAAAAGACCCTGGGAGTGGAGTGTTGGGGTCAGTGCAGGTTGGGTCCCCCCAGGCCCCTGCCTCCTCAAAAACTCCCCCACATAGAAGAGTCAGGGAACAACAGGACCTCCGTTGAACTCCATTTCGTTTCACTCTTGGGGGAGGGGGAGGGGAGGGCAGAAGGGATTGGGGAGGGGGTGATTATAATTCAAGGAAACCAGTAGATGGGAAATGCCTAGGAAGAGCTTATTTGGGGATTTGATTTGGTTTGTTCCCACTGTCCCTTTATAAATATTTGTGTGCTCTCATTTTAAAAAGAGAAACACCAGAACCATGTTTTTCTGTGGTTGGACCAGTGCTCACTGCCCTTCCCAGTAGCCCAGTCACACCCATGAACATTGCAGCCCCTGCCAGTTGTGGCTTTGCCAGTTCGCCTTTCCTCAGGGACCTCCAAAGTCCCCAGCCTCTGAAGCCATTGGGGAGAATGCACAGTGAATTCTGATGCTTTTGCTGGTACAGACACTTCCCGTGCGGTGCTAACCGTCCCCTGTGTAATAGTTTATGTTCTAGGATGACCAAGTAGAAGAATACTTTGAAAAAATTGATAATGCCTTCTGGCTATACAGTGAGTCTTTGTTTTGTTTTGTTTTGTTTCCTTTGCCATATCAGAGAATTAATTTGCCTGAGAGAGTGTCTTTAAGAAAATAACGGGAGCACGGAAAACCCTTAGCACTTTGCCTGAGCAGTGAAAGAAAGATTGAGCTGTGGGTCACAGAAATGTCCTTAAAATGAAACAGACTGCTGATGTCTAAATTGCTTTTCTGTGATGGAACTGCTTGTACTCTATATCCTGTTCATAATGCAGATCAAATAAGATTATACTATTATTTTTCTTTTGCCGTAGCTCAGGACAGTGGTGAGTTTCAGACTCCTCTAGGTAAGGCCCAGCTTGGCGTAGGGGTTGTGTGTGCACCTGACCTGGGAATGGGCTTTATATTTCTCTCGTGTGCACTCTTCTGTGAGCTGAGGTTCAAAGGCTAACGGCGAGCTTGGCGCTGAGGAGGCCGTGCACGGTGCACTTGGTTGTGTTGGGCTCTGCTGAACACCTCTCCAGACCCTCCGAGGACAGTCCACTCCTGAGCCCTGCCCTGCAGGAGCCAAGCAAGAGCTGAGGCAGCCACTTTTGCATCTGCATTCTTTGTGGAAAGAGAGCAAACACACTACAGTTCTCATATAAGCCACTGACTCCAGCCTGGCAGCTTCTAAAAGAGAGGCTCAGCAGAGTTTGTTAACATGGCCTCACCACTCCTCGTGGCCCCTCTGGACAGCCAGGAGGGTTGGTGGTAGCGTAGCCTCACTGCAAAGGATGGAGAAACCGAGCCACAGAGAGGCCCAGGCTAGGGTGTCCAGCTCCAGCCTGACAAGGTGATGGAGCTGGGACCAGCATCCGCCCTTCCAGAATCTACCTAAATTGCCTGTAGAGACCACTCAAATAATGAACCAGTATGTCCTGAGTGCTTACCGTGTGTTAAGTACTCTACCAAGCACTGCAGAGAATGCAGAGGAAATGTAAGATATGGTCCTGCCCTCTGAGAATTTCCAATCCAGTTGGATTATTATCCTATCTCCGGCATAATCATGTATTAATAATGTCTTCGAGCTCCAGATAGCAGTTGTCTCCCTCCCTCCTCCCTTCCTCATTAGCAGATGGGCCGTTGGGTGGGCTTCCTTCTCCTCCCATGCCCCTGCCATAGTCCTCAGCTTCCTTTCCTGACAAAGAGCTAGTCCTGTAGGGAGATATGTTTTACGAGTACATAGATATGTACACATGCACACACTCACACAGAGAGACACACACAGGCCTTCTCATCCTAACAAACCCTTAATAAGCACGATTCTGACCCCTGTGACTTTCTGTTTGCTGGAGGTAGCGCTCCCCCTATAAGCTGTTCTTTAAAACCTCTTAGCCTTTCTGCGTGTGCTTGGTGTGGTGCATGAAAAGTCGATTCTTTGTGTTGCTCCCATCTAGAGGGGAGGTCAGGAGGTTTAGACCTCTGCGCTGTCTGGTCGGGAGTGGGGAGGGCTCCGAGGGGCCGGGCGGGGGCTGGAGGGGAGCACCAGCAAATTGATTCCTGGCACTTTCTCTGCTCCCCTTGGTGAGGGCTGGCCTTGCCTGTATCGGCCAAGAGACCCAGAATAGGCTGAGCGGACCTTGCCAGAGCTGCTTGTCAGCGGGGACTGCTCTGTCAGCAGGGAGAGCCAAAAAGGGCCGTTCCACCCCTGAGAGGCGGCAGGGCTGGGCTGGGCTGGGCAGGCCAGGCCTCAGACACTGGGGGGTGGTGTGAGGGAAGGCTGGTGAGGCGGCGAGAAGCGCGGCTGCCTCCGAACCTTCCCGGCTGAACCTCCCTTGCGTTGCTTTCCCCGGCAGGTGCCCATTCTGCATTTATTCCACCAACCGCCCCGCTGCCATGGAGTGCCACCTCAAGACCCACTACAAGATGGAGTACAAGTGCCGGATCTGCCAGACGGTGAAGGCCAACCAGCTGGAGCTGGAGACGCACACCCGGGAGCACCGCCTGGGCAACCACTACAAGTGCGACCAGTGCGGCTACCTGTCCAAGACCGCCAACAAGCTCATCGAGCACGTGCGCGTCCACACCGGGGAGCGGCCCTTCCACTGTGACCAGTGCAGCTACAGCTGCAAGCGCAAGGACAATCTCAACCTGCACAAGAAGCTGAAGCACGCCCCACGCCAGACCTTCAGCTGCGAAGAGTGCCTGTTCAAGACCACACACCCTTTCGTCTTCAGCCGCCACGTCAAGAAGCACCAGAGTGGGGACTGCCCCGAGGAGGACAAGAAGGGCCTGTGTCCAGCCCCCAAGGAACCGGCCGGCCCGGGGGCCCCGCTCCTGGTGGTCGGGAGCTCCCGGAATCTCCTGTCTCCCCTGTCAGTTATGTCTGCCTCCCAGGCTCTGCAGACCGTGGCCCTGTCGGCAGCCCACGGCAGCAGCTCAGAGCCCAACCTGGCACTCAAGGCTTTGGCCTTCAACGGCTCCCCTTTGCGCTTTGACAAGTACCGGAACTCAGATTTTGCCCATCTCATTCCCTTGACAATGTTATACCCCAAGAACCACTTGGATCTCACATTCCACCCTCCCCGACCTCAGACTGCGCCTCCCAGCATCCCCTCACCCAAACACTCCTTCCTGGCCTATCTCGGACTGAGAGAAAGAGCAGAGACTGTCTGAGGGCAGCCATGTTCTGTACCAAAAACAGAGAGACAAAAGACAAAAAAAAAAAAAAAAACCACAAAACTTAAACACAACCCCAGCAGGTGTATGTTGCTGCAAAACCTACAGACCCCGATGGGTCTGGAACATGTGTACTGTATATCTTTAGTAAGGAATAGAAAATTGGCTCTGTGTGTATACCTATTGCATTGACCTGAAAGCTGCTTTATCCAATCTTCAGAGAGGTGACCTACTGCATACTTCTACCTTCAGAGGCATGCCTCCCCAGCCACCCACTCCCACTCTCAGCCCTTCTCCGTACTTTTCTCTGAAAGGAATCTTGTCTTGTTAAACCCTAAAGAGAGTGTCCTTAATAGCAATCAGCACTTGTAAGCTTATATACTGGTGCATTTGGTTTTCTGTTGGGTGAATGCGGTGTGTGGGCGTTTGTGGATTCTGAAAGAGAAAGCCGTGTGTCGTGTGCCATGACATTTCTATTGCACATTCTTTGTACTGGCTTCTTTAACAGCGATGAACGTTCTTTTCCCTCCTGGGTTGTTCATCCACGACAGTCTCTCCCTGTGCTCCTTCATCACCTTTCCCTCTCTCTTTGATGGCTACAGAGTGGTAGGGCCTGGTGCTTAGTCGATGAAGGAATGGTAGCCATCTACAGTGCTGCTGGAGATTTCCGCCAGAGCGCTGGAGACCTTGCGCTCAGATCTTCTCTGGTGATGAAGAGGCGAGGAATCAAGTGACTGATCTGGAAGAAATATCTCGCAGCACTGCAGCTAACATCACAGAACTTAAGTGTGTTTTGTGTGTGTGCCCACACGTAGACAAATGTGTACGGTGCACACACACAGTGCATCATTTTTTAAGGGCAGATTATATATATATATGAGATGTATTAATTCAGTGGTTACCATTTGTTTGCAGGAAAAAGAAATGTATGGGTGAAAAAATTTATGGTTGATAAATCCAGCCAAGGAGATTAAAAGGGGTTTGGATAAATTCTGGGTATAAATGCTCAGACTAAAAAAAAGAAATGGCAGTTTTGCACAGTGCTATGGTCTTGCACTAGTTTTTGTTTCTCATCTGAAAAAAAAAAAGTAAAATAAAAGGAAGAAAATGTACCTTTTTTATGGAATGAGTAGACTGTATGTTTGAAGATTTAGCCACAACCTCTTTGACATATAATGACGCAACAAAAAGGTGCTGTTTAGTCCTATGGTTCAGTTTATGCCCCTGACAAGTTTCCATTGTGTTTTGCCGATCTTCTGGCTAATCGTGGTATCCTCCATGTTATTAGTAATTCTGTATTCCATTTTGTTAACGCCTGGTAGATGTAACCTGCTAGGAGGCTAACTTTATACTTATTTAAAAGCTCTTATTTTGTGGTCATTAAAATGGCAATTTATGTGCAGCACTTTATTGCAGCAGGAAGCAGGTGTGGGTTGGTTGTAAAGCTCTTTGCTAATCTTAAAAAGTAATGGGTGATTTAAAAAGAAAAAAGGAAAAAAATCTTTGGCTGAATATGTTCATTGCTTGTATTTTTAAAACAACAGAATTTCCAGTATGAAACAGGCTGAAAGAGCAGGAAGAAATGTTCTTTGTATAATAATGGGAAGTTTGGAATATAAAAGTTTATATATTATTTATCTATTGGAGAACTGGTGTACAGGAGGAACATTTTCTTACTGTGTTGCTGTTTTCCATCATGTGTTATCCTAAGAGTTGGGGTTTTTTAAAATCTGTTTCACCAGGGGAAAATAAAAGCATCCCTAATGTTCTTCCTCTAGTCAGTTTGCTTTGCTGAAAGCTCCCTGGAAATTAGTACAGTTCTACAGGAAGCCAGAAGACTGTACTGTCTGTCCACACCATGGTCTCCTCAGTCCCCTCCACGCCAGCCCCTCTTCCCCACACCTAGTAGGTGTGCTACACCTCCCTTTGCCAGTCATCCCGCCATGGATGGGGAGCCTACTTGGTGCCCTGGCAAACCTGTTTACACTAAGGAGATGCCCACAGGGAGCGGGAAGCTCCCAAACCCTCAGTCATTCTCCAGCAGAGACCTTTGCTCTTGGCCAGGTTTGAAACGATGTTCAACCTCGCCACGTCAATGTCTCAGTAAAAGACACTATAGATAGTTATGGACAATACACTCCAAGAATACTGGGCTTATGGGTGGGTTGGTTTTTTGTTTTGTTTTGTTTTGTTTTCAAGTCATGTCTTTATCCCCATATAATGGAGAATGTGCCACTTGGCTAATAATGTGTTTTCAAAACTACAAGTTCAGTGATGACAGGAAAGAGGGCTAAAGTAGTCCCACAGAGGCTGGTAGAAAAGGCGAATCACACTTAAGCACCAGCAGGTTAAAAACCTGAAAGGGTGGCCCTGACAATTCAGACTATAGGTTTTACAGCATGCCACTTGTGCAATAGGAGGTCTAGGGTTGAAACTTTCAAGAACGAGAGGAGGTGAAGGAAGGAGACGTTTACTGCTCAAATGCCATGCATTTCACTGCTTGCCACTGAACTTGTATTTGAATGACTTAGTAATGCTTAATATAATTGGGCAACTTTTTTAGCACTTTGGAAAGAGTCATCAATCTTTCTGGTAAATTATAAAAGTTTTCTGAGTGAGAAAAGGTGTGTTTGGAGTTTGTTTGACTTTTTATATTATTATTGTTATTAATAAAGAAAAAAATCTACAGCATTTTTCAGACTCCACCCTAGAAAATATGTACCCCTGAATTTGGTTTGCAGTTTGATACTCAGGGAAGGATGTATTCCATAGATATCCTTTCCGTATAAAACACTAACATCTTTGAGAAATTCACCTACCAACTAACTTCAATTGTTGTCACTATGCATTCTTCAATGAAAACTAGCTTATTTTTCCATATAGTAATGCAGTTAGGGTTCTCAGCACTTTCTTTCTTCTATCCTTTTTTTAACTCTTCATATTATGTTCAGATGATCATACTGTCAAGGTTTGTGTACATTACTGAAAATTTGTATTGTATAAAGCTTTTTGCATTACGAGGCTGTACAGGGTCATTTTGACAGTAACTGGTATATTCCTTTGCATCTTATGTTGCATTGCCAATTTCTAGTGTATCCAGTTTGAAAGTATAATATACTCTAATTAAAAAAAAAAAAAGGTTGGCTATACTCTTGTTTCTTTTTCTTTTTTGGTTTGCCATCCTTGGCTGCTTGTTGGTCTCAGGGTTATGTCTTGCTTTGTTCTGTTTTTTACTTCTCTGTGTATTTTAATCAGATTTCAGAAGTGTCCACTCCTGGTTATAACTGTCACAAAATTCAAGTGTTGAACAGCGATGGTTATAATGCAAACTGTTATTATGTACATCATTAATGGCCATTAAGGTTGAGAGCATATCCATCATTCAGGACAGTGGCAGGCCAGCTCCTTCCTGAAATTACTTAGTGACATTTAAAAGTGTTTGCCAGCCCTATCCTCTCCTGCTTAACATCATTTCATTGACCCCATAGCCAAAGGGGGGAAAACAGATGAATAATTCCATTTATCTTAATGAAGTTGGGCAACTATGAGATTTTAATGAGTGGAAAAATGGTATGTTTTGCAAACTAAATAATAATCTATCCAAATGCAAGTAATAATAGTTCACCTTTCAAGGGAAGGTACCAGAGAAAGAAACTGAGACCAAAGACAGAGAGAGAAAGAAATGAAAAACACGCTAAGTTCAAACAATTTTTTAAAATCCATTTTGTTCTATCTATTTGAGACCTTTCCATGAATCTATGATGGTTGACAAAAATATATAAAGCAGCAGAAGAGACTGTTTTGCCTGGTTTGTAATTTGCATGCTTATAAATATAATGTCCTTTGCTTATTTCAAGCAATTGTGAACCACTTCACTCTAACATTTAAAAAGATCAAATTTACTTTTTTAAAAATGAGATAATGTAGGAGAAGCCACTTTGAAAATGGCCAGTCACTAATTAGACACTATTTTCTCTTTTATTTTTTCATCCAATAGCTATTTTTTAGGTGATTGAGTCAAATACGTTAATTTGATTCAAATACTAATTTTGTGTTGAGGTGGCTGGTGTTTATTGAAAATGTTAAAATAAGGCAGACTTCTTTGATTTTTGCTAGTGCTACAGGCAGGTGTGGCTTCTCATTTTGTGTACACATTCTTTTTTCCTTAAACTCCACAGCTACCTTACATTTTCCCTGAAGTTGAGAATAGCCAGCAATACAAAGAAAATAATCATCAGTTTAGTAATCATTTCCCCAGAAATGGGCCTTCAGTGACTTTGAGAAATGGTCTGGAAACAGAACTGTTCATGACAGAACAGACCACATCCTCTCTCATCTTGACTTCTCTGGAAAACATGGTGTGTGGACCCCGGCATCTCCAAGCCAGTCATGAGGCCTTTGATTGAATTTTAATCCAAGCACAATTAGATATTTCTCCTACTGTCATGCTACATAAATATAGTTTAAGCTAAGACTCAAAGCCATGTTTTCTATAATGTGTCCACTGCTGATGGATTGTTTGGGGGCCACCAATGAACCATGCCTGACCATTTAACTGAGCTGCCGCACCGGTCACAGGAGAGCAAGGAGAAATAGCAAACCATGGTGAGCACATATGTCCCCTTATCCACAGTCAGAAACACCACAGTAGAACCCCTGCCTGCCAAAGGTCATGTGGGGCTTGTGAACAATTTGAAGGGGAAGACACATCTCATTAGTCACCTCCATGCCTTCAGTCTGTGGGGACGAAGGAGAGCCAAGAGGTGCTTAGTGAGAGATGGAAGCGGGTAGCAGCTGAGTGATTTCATCAGTGCTTCCAGAAGACAGAGAATATAGAACTGGAACCCTTCCCAGCAGCAGCTTAGAACCTGTGAGCAAAATCACAAGATAAAAGGAGTCCCTTGGAGATTTAAGATTCATTCTAAGGAGCCATCTATCACAGATATTCAAGATACTCCAGCCAATATTCTTGCTTACATCATTCCCTCAGAATAGAAGAGTCCCACACAAAATGGGGTTTATTTTGGGAATAACTACAATTAACTAAGCAGGCAAATGCCTGTAAAACAGGCCCCAGGGTAAGTGAAGTGGGGTGACTCCCAGAAATTGGGGCACCCCGTTTTTCCCTGTACAACATCTGAAGGGTTATTTCTTAATCAAGGCCTCTTCTTCTTTATGAAGTAGTAGAGTTTCTGTTCATAATTCTTTCTTTGTAGTTGAATCTGTAAAACAGGAAAATTCAGATCCTGCTCACACTGATAGGAGGTGCAAAAGGGAAAAGAAAAACCAATTGCTATATTCCCCTGGAATTCCTTTCTCATACAGCTAAGTATTAGTTCATTAGTTCTTGGTTTTCAGTAGAATTATAAACCTGGAGCAGAGAATCTGCTTCAATTCACACTTCAAAATCATTTCCCCCTACACAATTCTTTATAGGTGGTTTTTTACCCTGTATAGTGAGAAAATTTGGATTACTTGGAGTCAGGCTACCTGAGTTACAAACCTGGCTCAGACACAAACTAGGGCTGTGATTAAGACATACCGTTAAGCATCTTATGAAAAGAGGCGCTGAACTAAATGATCTCTAAGGCCCCTTCCCACTCTAATATAACATATAATCAACTATGATTCTACAACTTGTTGTAAACAAGAAAAAGTCAGCCTTTTGAAAGAGATGGTTGCAAGGCAGAATCCTTGTAAGGCAGTTACAGCAAAAATGGCACCTCAATATTTTCAAGTCACAACAGGCTCAGTGAAGGGAAAAGAATGACTAAAAAGATTTTTCTGCTCACTTCAAAGGTTGGGAGATCTAAAGTTTTTCTCTTCTTTTTTCTTTCTTGAAACAGAGTCTCAATTCTGTTTCCCAGGCTGGAGTACAGTGGCATGATCTCGGCTCACTGCAACCTCCACCTCCCAGGTTCAAGCAATTCTCCTGCCTCAGCCTCCCGAGTAGCTGGGATTACAGATGCATGCCACCATATCCAGCTAATTTTTATATTTTTTAGTAGAGACGCAGTTTCACCATGTTGGCCAGGCCAGTCTTGAACTCCTGACCTCAAGTGATACTCCTGCCTTGGCCTCCTAAAGTGCTGGGATTACAGGCGCGAGCCACTGCGCCCGGCTTAAAGTTTTCCTTGTCTGGTTAGAGCTAACTCTCCATGCTTGGAATGCCTGCAGTCGTCTTGAGGGTGGCTTAAACATATTTTACTGAACTGTTTGATCTGGTTTGATGAGTTAGGGGTTTGCCAGATGGATAGAGAGGCTTTGCCCTGCCCACTTTCATCTCTCCAACTCTGCTCCCTCCATTTCCCATCCCAATTGCTTCCAGCCTCCTCAAAGTCACCAGTGCCACTGTGACCACTGAGCTCTGACAACCACTTTTCATATGTTTTCTGTAGAAGAGTAAATGGTTTCTTATAGCAGGTATAATGAAACATTTTATTTAGTTTTAACATAATGAAAGAATACACTAAATATTGAGGTGGCAAAGAAGCCCTGGGCAGGCAGCAAGAGCGACTTGGTGAAGCCAAGAGGAGGTCCTGTCAATGACATCTGACCCGAGCTGGTTGCTACAACAAAAGGTAGAATAAGGTGAGTCTGTGAGATGGGGAACAAGTGGTATCCAATACAATGATCATATTTGGTGTGAATGTTGCCATGTCTTTAGCCTCCAGGTCAATGTTGGTTACCCATCCACCCTGCTGGGTTAACTCAGCGCACTTCCCCTCCACTCCTGGCCCCCTACTCTTGAGAAGGACTGATGGTCTTGGGCAGAGCCAAGGACAGCACTGTGTCATGATGCTAAGAAATGGAGGAGTTGGCACATTAAGAGGCAGGCAAAGCCTTCTCATTCATGTAGCAGGGCCTCTTTAGAGTCCTCCCATATTGGGGGTGTGTTATTTCTCTGATGGGATGTAGCTCTTCTAGGACTTTTTAGGGAGAAGCCACTGGAGAGGGTTGTGCACTGCCTTCCACCATAGCCTCTTTGACCTAGGAAAGCCATATGAGAGCCAAAACAGGGCTGATAGGGACAAGTTACCACCCAGGCCTCTGCAGGCAGCCTCAAGCCCAAGCAAAAGGCATCCCAGTGGCTCTCTTAGGTCCAAACTCACCATGAAAGGGGTTGTGAGCCATACTCCAACTAGGAATAAAAAGATTACATTTGTCTGACATCTTCTCTGTGCATATAACTCCCCCAGGAATATGGGGCTGGACAAGGAGTAGGTGCACTCATAACAGATAATTGAAAATTAAAATATTCAGCATAGGGGTTTTCTCTGTTTCTTCCCATCTTTGACACACAACTAGCAGTTGTATTATTAATGGAAGATTGGGATAAAGATGGACTGATGGATAGGATGGCCACATGGATACATAGAATGTATATATAAAGAATGCATAGGTACATACATAATAAAGATAGAAACATAATAAATATGTATGTGTGGGACCACCCAGAAGGAAGGTCATCAATTTTATTATTCTAGGATTCATATTAAAAGACAATATTTTTCAAGGGTGGAGCAAGCTGGTCGAATAGAAGCATTCACCAATCGTCCTCTTTTTCCCCCACCAGAAACACCAAATTTAACAACTACACACACACACACACACACACACACACACACACACACAAAACCTTCATAAAGACCAAAAATCAGGTGAGCAATCACAGCACCTGGTTTTAACTTCATATTACTGAAAAAGGCACTGAAGAGGGTAGAAAAGACAGTCTTAAATTGCCAAGACCATCCCTCCCCAGCCCCCAGCAGCGGCCACGTGGCACGCAGGATCTGTGTACTTGGGGGAGTGAGAGCACAGCGATTGTGGGACCCTGCACTGACCTCAGTGCTGCCTTGTTACAGTGGAAAACAAAACTAGGCTGAACTCAACAGATGCCCACTCATGCTGGCAGCATTTAGAACAGCCCTAGCCAGAGGGGAATTGCCTATCCAAGTGGTCGGAACTTGAGTTCAGGCAAGACACACCATTGTGAGCTAAAGCGCTCAGAAATCCTAAATAAACTCAAAAGGCAGCTTAGGCCACAAGAATGGCAAGTCTTAGTGCTGTGCTGGACTTGAAACCAGTGAACTTAGAGGGTATACGACCTACTGAGACACCAGCCAGGGCAGCTAAGGGAGTGCCCATGCCAACCCTCCACCAACCCCAGGCAGTACAGCTTACAGCTCCAAAATGGACCACTTCCTTCCATTTGAGCAGAGAAAAGGGAAGAGAAATGAGGGCTTTGTCTTGTAACTTGGATAACAGTTCAGCCACAGTAGCACAGGGCACTGGGCAGAGTCATAAGGCGCCGATTCCAGGCCCTAGCTCACGGACGTTTCTAGACACATCCTGGGCCAGAAAGAAATTGCTGCCTTGAAGAGAGGGAGCCATTCCTGGCAACATTCATCACCTGCTGACTAAAGATCCCTTGGGTCCTGCATAACCAGCAGCGATACCCAGATAGTACATCAAGAACTTTGGGTGAGACTGAGATTTGCTGGCTTCAGATAAGACCCAGAACATTCTGAGCTGTGGTGCCTACTGTGAGAGATTCCTTCTGCTTGAGATAAGCAGAGGGAAAAACAAAAGGGGACTTTGTCTTGAACCTTAGGTACCAGCTTGACCACAGTGGGGTAGAGCACCAAGCAGGCTCTTGAGGTTCCTGATTCTAGACATTGGCTCATGGACAGCATTTCTGGACCTGCCCTGGGCCAAAGGGGAGCCCACTGCCCTGACAGGTGAGTCCCAGGCCAGGCAGCATTCACCACAAGCTGACTGAAGAGCCCTTGGGCCTTAAGGGAACATCAGCAGTCACCTGGCGGTACCCACCATATTGTGGGCACGTGATGGTAGTGGTGGCTATGGAGAGAGGCACCCCTGCCTGTGCAAAGGGAAAGGAAAAGTGGGAAGGACTTTGTTTTGTGGCTTGAGCACCAGCTTAGCCACAGTAGAAGAGAGCATGAGGCAGATTTCTAAAGTTTTTGACTCCAGGCCCTGACTCCTGAAGAGCATCTCTGGGCCTGCCTGGGTCCTGGGGGAACTCACTGACCTGAAAGGAAGGACATAAGCCTGGCTAGCTTCACTTGATGATCGTACAGCCCTAGGGCCCTGAGCAAACATAAGTACATAAGTAGAGCCAGGCAGTAGTTACAGTAGGCCTTTGGCAAGACCCAGTGCTGTGCTGGCTTCAGGTCTGACCCAGTGTAGTCCCAGTGGTAGTGCGATGGGTTGCTTATGTCACTCTATCCCCAGTTCCAGGCAGCTCAGAACACACACAGAGACTCTGTTTGGGAGAAAGTAAGGGAAGAAGACAAAAGTATTTACCTGGTAATCCAGAGAATTCTTCTGGATCTTATCCAAGATCACCAAGGCGGTACCTCTACCTCCTGCAAGAACCATAGCATTATTGGGCTGGAGGAGTCCCGTAATGCAGATACAAATTAGATCACAACACTCAAGTCCCTTCAAAGAATTGGAAAGCCTTTCAAAGAAGGATAGGTACAAACAAGCCCAGACTACAAAGACTAAAATAAATACCTAACTCTTCAATGCCTAGACATTGTTGAACATCCTCAAGCATCAAGATCATCCAGGAAAACATGACCGCACCAAATGAACTAAGTAAGGCACCAAGATCAATCCTGGAGCAACAGAGATAAGTGACCTTGAAGGCAAAGAATTCAACATAGTTGTTTTGAGGAAACTCAGAGAAATTCAAGATAACACAGAGAAGGAAATCAGAATTCTGTCAGACAAATTTAGCAAAGATGGAAATAAAAAGAATCAAGCAGAAATTCTGGAGCTGAAAAATGTGATTGACATACTAAAGAATGCAACGGAATCTCTTAACAGCAGAATTGATCAAGCAGAAGGAATTGTTGACCTTGAAGACAGGGTATTTGAAAATACATAGTCAGAGGAGATAAAATAAAAAAGAATTAAAAAGAATTAAACATTCCTACAAGATCTAGAAAAAAAGCCTCACAAGGGCAAATCTAAGAGTTATTGGCCTTAAAGAAGAAGTAGAGAAATAGATAGGGGTAGAAAGTTTATTCAAAGGGAAAATAACACAGAACTTCCCAAACCTAGAGAAAGATACCAACATTCAAGTACAAGAAGGTTATAGAACACCAAGTGAACTTAATCCAAAGAAGACTACCTCAACGCATTTAAAAATCAAACTCCCAAAGGTCAAAGATAAAGAATGGATCCTAAAAGCAGCAAGAGAAAAGAAACAAGTAACATACAATGGAGCTCCAATATGTTTGGCAGCAGACTTTTCAGTGGAAACCTTACAGCCCAAGAGAGAGTGGCATGACATATTTAAAGAGCTAAAGGAAAAAAAAAAAAAAAAAAAAAACTTTTACCCTAGAATAGTGTATCTGGTGAAAATATCCTTCAAACATGAAGGAGAAATAAAGATTTTTCCCAGAAAAAAGCTGAGGGACTTTATCAACAATGGAACTGTCCTACAAGAAATGCTAAAGGGAGTTCTTTAATCAGGAAAAAAAGGATGTTAATGAGCAATAAAAAAAATCATCTGAAGGTACAAAACTCACTGGTAATGTAAATACACAGAAAAAAAACAGCATATTATAACTCTGTAACTGATATGTAAACTATTCTCATATTAAATAGACTAAAAGATGAACCAATTAAAAATAATAACTACAACAACTTTTCAAGACATAGATAATATAGAAGATAAATAGAAACAACAAAAAGTTAAAAAGTGGGAGATGAAGGTAAAGTGTAGAGTCTTTATTAGTTTTCTGTTTGCTTGTTTGATTTTTTAGGCTAACAGTGTTAAGTTGTTACCAGTTTAAAATAATGGGTGATGGACGGGCACGGTGGCTCATGTCTGTAATCCCAGCACTTTGGGAGGCCGAGGCGGGCAGATCATGAGGTCAGGAGATCGAGACCATCCTGGCTAACACAGTGAAACCCCGTCTCTACTAAAAATAACAAAAAATTAGCTGGGTGTGGTGGTGGACACCTGTAGTTCCAGCTACTCGGGAGGCTGAGGCAGGAGAATGGTGTGAACCCGGGAGTTGGAGGTTGCAGTGAGCGAGATTGCACCACTGCACTCCAGCCTGGGCAACAGAGTGAGACTCTGTCTCAAAAAAATAAAAATAAAAAAATGGGTGATAAGATAGTATTTACAAATCTCATAGTAACTTCAAACCAAAAAACATATAACAGATACACAAAAAATAAAAAGTAAGAAACTAAATCATATCACCAGTGAAAAATCACCTTCACTAAAACGAAGACAGGAATGAAAAAAAAAGAAGGAAGACCACAAAACAACCAGAAAACAAACAACAAAATGACAGGAATAAATCCTCACTTGTCTATAATAACACTGAATGTAAATGGACTAAGCTTTCCGATTAAAAGACATAGAGCAGCTGAATAGATTTTAAAACAGACAAATGAAAAAACAAGACCCAATGATCTGTTGCCTGCAAGAAATACACTTCACCTATGAAGACAAGCATAGACTGAAAATAAAGGGTGGAAAAAGATATTTCATGCTAATGAAAACCAAAAAAGAGCAGGAGTAATTATAATTATATCAGACAAAATAGTTTTCAAAAATTATAAGAAGAGACAAAGAGGGTCACTATATAATGATAAAGGGGTCAATTCAGCAAGAGGATATAACAATTTGAAATATATATACATATATATATATATATATATACACACACACACACATTGGAGCATCCAGGTATATAATGCAAATATTATTAGAGCTAAAGAGAGACATCGACCCCAATACAATAATAGCTGGAGACTTCAACATCCCACCTTCAGCGTTGGATATATCTTCCAGACAGAAAATTAACAACTAAACATTGAACTTAATCTGCACTATTGACCAAATGGACCTAATCGATATTTATAGAACATTATATCCAATGGCTATAGAAAACACATTCTTCTCCTCAGTACATGAATCATTCTGAAGGATAGACCATATGTTAGTTCATGAAACAAACACATATAAATTTAAATAAAATCAAGCATCTCCTCTAACCACATTGGAATAAAACTAGAAATCAATAATGAGGAATTTTGGAAACTATACAAATACATAGAAATCAAACAATATGTTTCTGAATGGTCGGTGCGTCAATGAAGAAATTAAGAAGAACGTTGAAAAATGTCTTGAAACAAATGATAATTGGAACACATCATACCAAAACCTATGGGATACAGCAAAAGCAGGGAAGTTTATAACTATAAGTGCCTGCATCAAAAAAGAAGAAAAACTTCAAGTAAATAACCAAATGATGTATATTAAAGAACTACAAAAGCAAGAGCAAACTAAACCCAAAATTTGAAGAAGAAAAGAAATAAGGATTAGAGCAGAAATACATGAAATTGAAATGAAGAAAACAATACAAAAGATCAATGAAATTAAAAGTTGGTTTTCTGAAAAGCTAAACAAATTTGACAAACCTTTAACCAGACTAGCTAAGAAAAAAAGAGAGGTGATCCAAATAAATAAAAGCAGAGTTGAAAAAGGAAACATTACTACTAATACTGCAGAAATTCAAAGGCTCATTAGTTGCTATTATGAGCAACTAGATACCCGTAAATTGGAAAATCCAGAAGAAATGGATAAAGTTCTAGATGCATACAACCTATCAAGATTGAACCATGTAGAAACCCAGTTACTTGAACCAATAACTTGAATGTTATTTGACTAGTAACATGTAACGAGATCAAAGTGGTAATAAAAAGTCCCACAGCAAAAAAAAGCCTGAGACATGATGGCTTCACTGCTGAATTCTACCAAACATTTAAGAAGTAATACCAATCCTACTCAAACTATTCTGAAACAGAGAGAAGGGGATACTTCTAAATTCATTCTAAGAGGTCAGTATTACACTGATACCAAAACGAGACAAAGGCATGAAAGAAAGAAAAACAAGAAAGAAGGAGGGAGGGAGGGTGGCAAGGAAGGAAGGAGGGAAGGAAGCAAAAGGAAAAGAGAGAGGAAGGAAGGAAGGAAGGAAAAGAAAAAGAGAAAGAGAGAGAGGAAGGAAGGAAGGAAAGAAGGAAGGAAGGAAGGGAGGGAGGGAGGGAAAGAAGCGGGGAGGAAGGGAGACTAAAGATCAATGTCACTGATATTGATGAAAAAATCTTCAACAAAACACTAGCAAACTGAATTTAATGACACATTAAAAGGATTATTCATCATTACCAAGTGGGATTTATCTCAGGAATGTAAACGTGGCTCAACATATGCAAATCAATCAATGTAATATATCATATCAACAGAATAGAAGACAAAAACCATATGATCATTTTGATTAATGCGGAAAAAGCATTGTTAAAATTCAACACCACTTCATGATAAAAAAAAAAAACCTCAAAAAACTGGGCACAGAAGGAATACTCCTCAACATAATTAGAGCCATATATGACAGATCCACAGCTAGTATCATACTGAATGGGGAAAAACTGAAAGCTTTTCCTCTAAGATATGGAACACAACAAAGATGCCTACTTTTACCACTGTTATTCAACATAGTACTGGAAGCCATAGCTAGAGCAATCAGACAAGAGAAAGACAGGGCATCCAAATTGGAAAGAAAGAAGTTAAATTATCCTTGTTTGCAGATGATAGGACCTTATATTTTAAAAAACCTAGACTCCACCAAAAAACTATTAGAACTGATAAATTCAGTAAAGCTGCAGAATACAAAATCAACGTACAAAAATCAGTAGCATTTCTATATGCCAACAGCAAACAGTCTGAAAAAGAAATTTAAAAAGGGATCCCATTTACAATAGCTACAAATAAAATGATACCTAGAAATTAATCAAAGAAGTGAAAGATCTCTACAATGAAAATTATAAAACCTTAATGCAAGAAATTGAAGAGGACACAAAAAAGAAAGGTATTCCATGTTTGTGGATTGCAAGAATCAATATTGTTAAAATGTCCATACTACCCACAGCAATGTACAGATTCAATGCAATCCTTACCAAAATACCAACAGCACTCTTCAAAGAAATAGAAAAAAAAAATTCTAAAGTGTATATAGAACCACAAAAGACCCAGAATAGCCAAAGCTATCCTGAACAATAAAAACAAAACTAGAGGAATTACATTATGTGACTTCAAATTACACTACATGGCTGTAGTAATCAAAACAGCATGGTACTGGCATAAAAACAGACCTACAGACCAATGGAACAAAATAGAGAACCAGAAACATGTCCAGGCATCTACAGTGAGCTCATTTTGACAAAGGTGCCAAGAACATACCTTGGGGGGAAAGATGGTCTCTACAATAAATGGCACTGGGAAAACTAGATATCCATATGCAGAAGAATAAAACTAGACCCTTATTTCTCACTATATACAAAAATCAAATAAAAATGGATTAAAGACTAGTATCTAAGATCTCAAAATATGAAACTAAAAGAAAACATTGGGAAAACTCTCCAAGACACTGGAGCGGGCAAAGATTTCTTGAGTTATACCCCACAAGCACAGGCAACTAAAACAAATATGGGCAAATGGGATCACATCAAGTTAAAAGCTTCTCCACACCAAAGGAAACAAACAAAGTGAAGAGATAACCCACAGAATGGGAGAAAACATTTGCAAACTACCCATCTGACAAGGGATTAGTAATCAGAATATATAAGGAGTTCAAACAACTCCATAGAAAAAAAATTATAATAATCTGATTTTAAAATGGGCAAAAGATTTGAATACATATTTCTCAAAAGAAGACATACAAATGGCAAACAGGTTTATGAAAAAGTGATCACTGATCATCAGAGAAATGCAAACCAAAACTACAATGAGATATCATCTCGCCCAAGTTAAAATGGCTTTTATCCAAAAGACAGGCAACAACAAATGCTGGTGAGGATGTAGAGAAAAGGGAACCCTAGTACACTGTTGGTGGGAATGTAAATTAGTACAACCACTATGGAGAACAGTTTGGAGGTTCCTCAAAAAACTAAAAATAGAGCCACCATATGATCCAGCAATTTCACTGCTAGGTATATACCCAAAGGAAAAGAAATCAGTATATTGAAGAGGTATCAGCACTTCCATATTTCTCACGCCACTGTTCACAATAGCCAAGATTTGGAAGCAACCTAAGTGTCCATCAACAGATGAAAGGATAAAGAAAATGTGGTAAATATACACAATGGAGTACTATTCAGCTATAAAGAAGAATGAGATCCAATCATTTGCAACAGCATAGATGGAACTGGAGATTGTTATGTTAAGTGAAATAAGCTGGACATAGACAAATTTGACATGTTCTTACATATTTGTGGGATCTAAAAGTTAAAACAATTGAACTCATGGAGATGGAGAGTAGAAGAATGATTACCAGAGTCTGGGAAGGGTTCTAGGGGGTTAGGGGGAAGTGGGAATGGCTAATGGGTACCAAAAAAAAAAAAAAAAATGAATGAATAAGACCTAGTATTTGATACCACAACAGTGTGTCTTATAGTCGATGATAATCTAATTGTACATTTTATAATAACTAAAAGAGAATAATTGGATTGTTTGCAACACAAAGGATACATGCTTGGGTGATGGATACCCCATTTACCCTGACGTGATTGTTATGCATTGCATGCTGCATCAAATTATCTCATCTACCCCATAAGTATATATACCTACTATGTACCCATTAAAATAATTGTTTAAAGACAAAATTTTTCATTTTTTCTTTGTTCTATTTAATATAAAAACAGATTGATGAAAATGTATGAAAAGAAAAACTAAGGGTCAAAGATATCTTATTAATCAGAATGAATACCTCCTTGCTCACCTTTTCTACAATTAAATAAATGGGCATAGCAATAGATTATCACCATAGATCATCACCATACTATTCGTCAAGGTCCCATCTCTCTTTTTTTTTTTTGAGACAGAGTTTCAATCTGTTGCCCAGGCTGGAGTACAGTGGCGCTATCTTGGCTCACTGCAAGCTCCGCCCACTGGGTTCACGCCATTCTCTTGCCTCAGCCTCCCGAGTAGCTGGGAATACAGGCGCCTGCCACTACACCTGGCTAATTTTTTGTAGAATTACTAATTTTTTTTTGTAGAATTGCTAATTTTTTGTAGAGACGGGGTTTTACCGTGTTAGCCAGGATGGTCTCGATCTCCTGACCTCGTGATCCACCCGCCTTGGCCTCCCAAAGTGCTGGGATTAGAGGTGTGAGCCACCGCGCCCAGCCAAGGTCCCATCTCTTTATGGCATCAGACAATAGACATAGTAGCAGCAATAGTGAAATATTCAAGAGTTGGGGTTACAATTAAATGGGCAGAGTAATAATTTCCTGCCGAAGGACTTAACAATTTGGTTTATCTGCCTGTGGATAAGAAGCTAAATGTGTACACGAATGATTTTGTATCACAGGATCCTTTGTTTAAATATAAGCCCTTCACATTACCCATAATCCATTGCCACCCTCATCATTATTCCCTATCCCTTTTCTTCAGAGCCCAAAGTTTCCATCCCAGTTGAACATATTCTAAAGCAAGTCCCAGCCTACCTTACCAACCATTTCTCCCCCCAAGATTCCCCCTCCACGCTAACCATGATCAATGTCTCCCTCTCTTTTTCATTTATTATTTAATGAGCAACAAATATATGGAAAATCGTGTGTTGGCAGCTGATAAGGAATGGAAATAAATAAGATACATTTCCCAGCTTTAAGGAGTTTACTAACCAATAGAAGAAATGCGTGTTTGAGCATATGCATTATAATACAAGGAAAAATACACATAAATTGCTGTGAAAATATTGAATAAAGAATGACAGATTCTAACTGTGGTGGGAGGAGGCATTATGGAGGATGTAGCATGCAAGCTGCAATCTAAAGAATGAGTGGGATTTCCATACACAGAAAAATTGGGGAGGGCATTCCAGATTGAGAGAACAGCTTGAGCAAAGGCAAGAAGGTGAGAAATTGCTTGGTGGATTCTGTTGTGCTAGAAGATTACAATGAAACCAAACAAAGACAGCTTGTGTAGGGCTTCAAATCCCTGTCAAGGAGACTGAATGCCTAAACTACTCTGTAGTTAGTAAGAGCTAACAAAAAATTTTGAGGCGAATGGCATGAATTAGATCTGCATTTTAGGAAGATAATTCTAGCAGCACTAAGAAAGTCCTATGGTTTGAATCTCCCAAAGTTCATGTGTTGAAAACTTAATCCCTAATGTAGCTGTGTTGAGAGACAGTACCTTGAAGAGGTGATTAGCTCATGTGGTCTTTGCCCTCAGAAATGGATTAATGCCGTTATCACAGGCATGGCTTTGTTATCTCAGGAGCAGGATCTTCATAAAAAGATGAGTTAAGCCCGCTTCCCCTTCTGTCTCTCATGTGTTCTCTTGCCCTCCCACCTTCTGCCATGGGATGATGCAGCAAGAAAGCCTTCACAAGATGCTGGCCCCTTGATCTTAGACTTTCCCACCTTTAGAACCATGAGCCAAATAAGTTTCTGTTTATTATAAATGATATAGTCTCGGGTATTTTGTTACAGCAACACAAAACAGACTAAGACAGAAGGGAAGACTCAAAAGGCAAAAAAGACAGAGATGAGGTATGTTCCAAATGTCCTAAACTGAAGTCATCATCTTCTCCCTTAAATCTGACCCTTACCATGTATTTCTTACTCCAGTAAGGGCACACCTATCCTCCAACTTACCTAACCTATAAAACTTGGGGTCAGCTTTGTCCCCTTCTAGCTCTCCTACTTCTTTTTCTTCCTCTTGCTCTTTGGATAGTTAATCCATCAAAGAGCTCTGTTTATTTTATCTGCCAAATATTTTTATGACTCTCTCCTGTCTTTTCCACTCTTAACATCCTTGTGCAGATTCTTAGCATCCTCACCAGGTGGATCACAATAGTTTCCTGTCTAGAAGAAAATGCTCTGGCTGGGCGTGGTGGCTCACGCCTACAATCCCAGCACTTTGGGAGGCCGAGGCGGGTAGATCATGAGGTCAGGGGTTTGAGACCAGCCTAACCAACATGGTGAAACCCCGTCTCTACTAAAAATACAAAAAAATTAGCTGGGCGTGGTGGCGGGCGCCTGTAATCTCAGCTACTCAGGAGGCTGAGGCAGGAGAATTGCTTGAACCCGGGAAGTGGAGGTTGCAGTGAGCTGAGATCGTGCCACTGCACTCCAGCCTGGGCGACAGAGCAAGACTCTGTCTCAAAAAAAAAAAAAAAAAAAAAAAAACAAGAAAAAGAAAATGCTGTCGTGTAGAAAACTGAAAATGTATTCCAAAGCTCAGAAGAAAGTTCATGATGAGACTTGTTGGAGCAAAGATGACATTTGAAGACAGTGGAGAGGGTGGTAACACCATGGAAGAAACAGCAGCAGCAGCAACAACAGCAAAAACAAAGGCACCAATGACAGAACCTTAGGAGATGGCTTTAATGGAGGAGAAGAAAGAGGAGGAGTTGTCAACACATGAGAATGAGAAGAAACAGAGAAGCCAGAGACAAGCACAACATTGCTAGAGAACCCAACGGTAGAGAGACTTTTATGTGAAATCATACAGAAGGATGAGTAGAGTGAGGCTGAATCTCATAGCCTGTATCAATTTGATGGCCATTGGTGATCTTTAAGGATGCAGATTCAATGACAGGTTAGAAGTGGAAGCTAAATTCCAGTAGGTTACAGAATGAGTAGATGGTGAGATGCTGGCAACAAAGAGAAAAGTCTACCCTTGTATTGAGTTTAGTACTGAAAGAAATAAAGTTAATGCAGCCAGGCATGGTGGCTCATGTCTGTAATCTCAGCACTTTGGGAGGCCGAGGCAGGCGGATCACTTGAAGTCAGGAGTTTGAGACCACCCTGGCCAACATGGTGAAACCCAGTCTCTACTAACAACAACAACAAAAATTAGTTGGGCATGGTGGCAGGCGCCTGTAATCCCAGCTACTCAGGAGGCTAGGCAGGAGAATCACTTGAGCCTGGGAGGCAGAGGTTGCAGTGAGCTGAGATCGAGCCACTGCACGCCAGCCTGGGCGACAGAGTGAGACTCTGTCTTTAAAAAAATAAAAAAGAAAAGAAAAGAAAAAAAGAAAGTTAATGCATCCTAGCTCTCGCCAAAAGACCCCAAAGCTTTCCTTCTCTCTCAGGGAAATCTAACCTTTTCCCACTCCCTACTTCACATTCCTTTGAAGAAGAGTAAACTAGTGGCATTATAATCTCCAGCCACACTCCAAACTAATTTTCCATATCTTTTTCTATCAAGTCACCCTTTGAAGTGTAGGCCATCCATCTTCATACCATCCCTACTATTGCTGCCCACCAGGACCAGTTTCTGTTAGCCAAATATCCACAGGAAAAGAGGGCTACACAGATAAAATTTAGTACCTCGTCTCCTAAATACAAAGAGTCCAAAAAAGTTTTAAAATAAAAAAAGGTCAAAGGATGAAAAGTCGCCCTACCCCTCACCCCTCTGCTGTGGCAAGAGTTATAAAATAAGTATTCTAGACTGGAAAAATGAAGGATTAGAAGGGAATATGATCAGCCTCTAAGAAAACATGATGGATACGGCCAGAGAGCCCCAGACTCAGCCACCAAATTCCGGAATATTACAGCTAAAAGGTAAACCTTGAAGTTTCAAAGAGATTGTTTATGTTGGAGCCCTGGTCTCTGTTACCCTGACAAACTATCCTTTTCTGATGCATTGCAAGCCTGACCTTTGTGAGGAGGAGGAGGGGATCTCAAATTCTAGGCTGGACACCACTTCAGCCGTGGAGACAGCTGCAGCTCCATAATCCTCCCCACACTCACTGCTACCTCACCAATGGGAAAAAAAATCACCCTCATCAGATAGAATGGGAGGAAAGGTACTGGGTTTTATGAGATAGAAATGAAATAATCTGTTTTTTATTAACTATCATGAGAAAATTATTAGTTCATGCCAGAATCACAAATATAAACATTATCATATTGAAAGCATTTACTCTGAAGGAGACCATCTGGCAAAGCCTTGCAGACCACACTTTGAGAGGCAGAGCATGTGTCGCCATGGTGGGCTCTTCCATTAAAGCGGCAAATCCAGAAGAAGTGAAAATTTAAGGGTTTTGAGGGGAGTACTTTGCAGTAATGACATCTGCTAGATACTTGTCACATGTTCTCTAGAGGTGGACCTGCTTTTACAAATGCTGTTTTATGAAAACCTGTATTTTCAAAACAAGGGGTGGTTATTATTCAGAATCCCTCTCTTTAAAAGTGGGTTTTTCCTTGGGCACTGAATTTCAGAAGGGTATTTATATAATGTATAGAGCATTAACTGTTTAACATAAAGGTTGGAGAAAAGATGAAGGGGACTGTAGGAAACCCGATGAGTTAGGAGCCACAATTAATTACAGATTAACCAAAAATGGAAAATATAGCATTTGAAATTATAAAGTAAATGCATAGTTCTTTTGTAAAATGCAGTTTTGAAAACCTCACATTGTCACTTTTTTTTATTTTTTGTCTTTTTTTTTTTTTTTTTTTTTTTTTTTTTTTGCAGAAAGGGAGAGATAGCTATAATTTGGAAAGCATTTCACCCTCTCTGGATACAGATAGAGCCCTAGTTACATACAAAGTGAAGGAAACTTTACATTCCAGAAAAGAAGAAATGCTGATGGCAACTCTAAGAAATGCCTGACTCCCTTGAAGATCCACGTGAACGGTTTTCACCTGGCTTGCTTCCAATGTCAGCGGACTCTGAACTTAACGTTTGTTTGCATCTTCTGCCTTCATTTGCTCAGAGATGCTATTGCTGGTTGAATACCAGTTCCACGTTGAGCCTTTCCCAGATCTCCCTCCTCTAGGTCACACTGCATCCCCACATACTCAGGCAGAGACTATGCATATCTCAAAATCTAGTGAGAGTAGCAGCATCTAACAACTAGGAGCTCAATAGTTGTCAGGGGTGTTGGGCCTCAGCGACTCTATCTCTACCTTTTAGTCAGGAGAGTAATTCAGATTATACAGGCTGCATATGTTTACTGTCTCATCATATCAAACACTTTAGTGTGGATATTAGAAGTAGAGGAAAAAGCTCTCAAATAATTCAAATCTCCTGGGAGAATTTGGACTCTCAATAATTATTCTATTGTCCTTATACTTTTAAAAGTTTAACAATTGTTTTTAGTGCTTTCTAAAAGATAATACATGCACATGATAAAATAAAAGCCAATTCAATGATTATGTTTCAAGAAGAGAGTGAAAAGTCATAATATGATTTTGTTTGTATCTCCTGCCTTCATTTGTTCAGAGATGCTATTGTTGGTTGAATATCAGTTTGTGTTTGAGCCTTTCCCAAATCTTGACGCTCTGTGCCACACATTAACTTCTATGGGTGGACCAAGACAATCTATGGGATGAATTCCTCAGTCTGGAGTAGTAAACTTCTGGGGAGGTAAGCAGAGCTTCGCATTCTGGATCTCAAGCTAAGAGTCCTAAATTGCTATAACTTTGGTCACTGCACAGTCTTTTCTGACCAAATCTATAATCTATACATGACAACTCATCTGGTGAGAAATTATATTACTAAATGAGTGGACAAAGTATTTGTGTATGCTTCTTATAAGCTATTAGCCATAAAAGAAAGTGTTTAGGTAGGTCGATGACAAATGACTAAGAGAAAGAGAGTTGTAGAGAAACAGCAAGACTTTAGAGCATCTAACTCCATCTCATTCTGTAAAAGAATCTTTCATTATGTAAAAAGAAACTGTAGCCTGGACAGTGTGAGGGAAGGGAAGGGACAAGGACAGAATGAAAGAAGGCTATTTGCCTAATCATTAAAAAAATAATAATTGCTGGCCAGGTGCAGTGGCTCATGCCAGTAATCCCAGGACTTTGGGAGGCCAAGGTGGACAGATTGCTTGAGCCCAGAAGTTTGAGACCAGCCTGGGCAACATGGTGAAACCTCATCTCTACCAAAAATACAAAAAATTAGTCGGGCGTTGTGGTGCCCACCTGTGGTTCCAGCTACTCGGGAGGCTGAGGTGGGAGCATCACTTAAGCCCAGGAGACAAAGGTTGCAGTGAGCTGAGATCATACCACTGCACTCCAGCCTGAGTGACAGAGCAAGACCCTATCTCAAAATAATAATAATAATTGATTATATAATTCATATTAATTTAAAGTAGTCTTATGGTTCAGTCTTGTGGTTTAGTATCAAATCACAGATACAACAGTCCCACAGAAAAAAAATATAATTAACACCAACTTAGGTCTTAGTTTCTTCATAAAACACCAAAGAAGGGAGTGTGTGTGTGTCTATATATATATATATATATGTTTTTTTTCGAGATAGAGTCTCGCTCTGTCGCCCAGGCTGGAGTGCAGTGGTGCGATCTCAGCTCACTGCAACCTCCACCTCCCAGGTTCAAGCAATCCTCCTGCCTCAACCTCCTGAATAGCTGGGATTCCAGGTGCCTGCCACCACTCCTGGGTAATTTTTGTGTTTTTAGTAGAGACGGGGTTTCACCATATTGGTCAGGCTGGTCTTGAACTCCTGACCTCAGGCAATCCACCTGCCTAGGCCTCCCAAAGTGCTGGGATTACAGGCGTGAGCCACTGAGCCCTGCTGGGAGTATATTTTTAATATGCATCCAAAGAGCTTAAAAAGTCTTCTTTACACATTTTTCTCTATCAAGGATGTGCTCCAGCAGGAACCAACTAACAATGAATCTCTCCAAGCCTTACTCTCTTGCTCTCTCTATAACCCCTTAAAATTCCTCCCAACACTCAAGCCACACAGTTTCTTTCCTTTCTTCCTCAGCATTTTACTATACAGATGAATTTAACCTGTCTGGTTTCCACCCCATATTTTAGAACATGAACACTCAGATTGAAAGAGCCTATCATTACCAAGCAGGATAAACTTTAAAAATAAATTCATACATAGTGATATCAAAACAAAACTCCAGAGCATTGAGGTGAAAAAGGCAATCCTAAAAGGTACAAGAGGATACAGAGGATTATCTACGAAGGAGTGAGAGTCAGATCAAAAGGATACTGCTCATCAACCAAAGCAGTCTCAAGAAAATGATGGAATAGCTTAGAAATGCTCAGGAAAAATCAATTTGAACTTAGAGTTCTATAACAAGCCAAGCTAACATGCAGAGAGAGAGAGCAAAATATCTTCTCAGACATACAAGCCCTTAGAAAAATGTATTACCCACTCTGATGGAGAAGGGAGGAAAAGCAAAAGAAAATCTACCAAAGATGTGCTCCAGCAGGAAGAAAAATGAATCCAAAAGGTAATGATGGGCTATAAGCAGTAAAGAAGAACTTATTCATGTTTTATTTTTGTAATTAGAAAGTAATCGTTTTTCAAAGGTTGGGGAGAAAAGAAGATAATAATTCTTTATTTATATTCCATTTTGCCTTTGCATAATATGTCACTATAGTTTGCAAAATGCTTTCCTATAAATTGTCAGCAGCTAGAATCACAGGACCTACAAAAATATGTTTTAAGAGGGCTATGTTAAGACAAATATTAATTCCAATAAAACTTGGAAATGTGATCCCTGAATCTAGTAAGATATTTCTTGCCATGTACACTGGCTGTCTTCTACAATCATTATGATGACAACGTCATTGGGTCTAAGAAGGGTTGATGAACATGAAATTTAGCAGACTTTTTTTTTTTTTAACTCTGCCTACCAAGTTGAACCAGATTATGGACTGGTAGATAAGGAGATGAATGGAGGTAAGAACTATAATAGTTCAGATCGGCTGATGCATTCAAAAGGGACTCACGAGAAGTTCAGACTCTGAGGTTTATGAACTAGAGAGGACTCTCGCCGCCAGGGTGTGGCAGGGAGGCCACTATTCTGCCCAGAAGGCCTTCTAATGACAGATCCTAGGTTCCCCAAAGGCGCCTATTGAGAGGCTCATGGTGCTATTGCCTGTGTCATAGGCCGTGAATTTAGGGCTTGGAATCTCTCACTTGAACTTTTTTACACCATCCCTGATGTGTGCCAGAAAAAGAGCAGCTGCCAAAAAGCAGACATTTTCCTGTCTCTAAAAATAAAACACTGGCAACGCTTCAGGCTCCTGTGCCAAGACCTGGCCCTTCCCAGGATAAACAATAGATGGCCAAGCCGATTGGAGAGCAAATATTGAGTCCTGAAGTATGTCTAAGTCCAGCCTGAAATGCCTAGGTCAGGGCATGTGCACTCGAAAGCCAGGAAGCCAGAGAAGGCCCTCCCTGCTCCACAGCTGATGGACGGCAGCTGTTGCGCCCAGCCATGGACCAGGTGTGGCTGAGAGGAGGCCTCAGGTTACACCCAGACCTTGACCCAGCTCAGGTCACAGAGTCCCTATCAGGTCCTGCCCCTAAAGCCCCAGGGTGCATGGTGACAGATCTGAGGGCCTGTGAAATCCTGTCCAGAGAAAGCTCCCTGGGAAGGAAAGAGTTTCAAAAGCATCCTTCTGCATTCGTCACTCAGGGCTGTGCTCGTCACCTGTCAAAACTCCTCATGCCTAGCTGAGAGCGCTCACCTGCTAGACACAGGACCAGCAAAACCTCCTGAATATAGGAATGCTATAATAACAGTGTTCCCACTCTAATTGCCTCCCAGTTTGTCAAATCCTTCTACAGCACGTGTTCAAGCCCCTGTGCCTTGTCATTAGGGTTCAAACCTTCCAGACCATAGCTTGGCTTTTTGCTGGTTTGGGGACTTAATAAGTCTAAGAGGGGGTTAGGGGAGGAGAGGGCCTAAATATAGCAAATATTTGCAGGCATAATCACTCCATAAACATGCTTCACTGGAACAGAGTGTAGGGCTGACCCAGATGACGGATGTCACTCACCCAAGTGTCACATCATAAATAAAATTGAATGAGCCCATTCTCTCGCAGAACCAGAGTGATGCCTGTTCCCACTATAAATATTTATGAAGTCATCGTCCTTAAAAGACTTTATTTTTCCAGGTAAGTAGACTTTAAGGAACAAGTTAAGCAGAGCTTTGCCTGCAATTATGGAATAGTCACCATAGCTTTTCAATGGGTATTCCATGGAAAGGAAAAGAAAAAGAGAAAGAAGATAAGGAAAAACAAGTCCCTGTTCCATAGGGCTGCTGCACGAAGACCTCATTTATGCCAGCCAAAGTTCATTCTCATTCAAAAAGTGACAGCCTTCTCTGGGAAGAAGAAACCAGAAGCAGAAACCAGAAGAAGCCCTATCAGTCCCATTCCACTCAGGCCTGTGTAATGAAGGCGGCACAAACAGATCCTTGTCATCCAAATTCCAACCCCTCCCACCACCTCTGCTAGGAGAGACATTCTCCTTTGCATTCTCACTCTCCCAGTCTGTCTCTTAGTAACAGAAAAAAATGTACACCTCATCCCATTACTATGCTCATTTGAAAAGAATTCTCACAATGTGAGGATGTGTGCCTGGGTGGCTCTCTGGGTGTTTATGCAAAGTCTACTATTTTGCCCATAGTTACTCTTCCAGATTGCGTGAGGAATGGCACCTCGGAAACCCTACTGGCATCTGACAATCTTTTCCTGTGCTCCATGCACTCAGGAGGAGCAAACACCTCCTCCAGGCTTAGGAGCACTCCAACAGTCCCCTTCTCCAAGGCACTGTGGCAATCCCCGACCTGGAACTCTCAAGCCATTGTCTCCACTACAATACATGCTAATTTTCATGTCACGTTGCAACTTCCATGTTATTCATCTCCTCACTGCACCAAAGCCCTCGCCCAAGTGCATCAAGCCTGTTTCTTTCCCAGGGATGGCCTTGTGCCTGGGCTCTCTTCCCCTCCAAACTCCGGGGTGGCCCCTGCTTTATCAGACTGAACCGGCTCTAAGGAGAAAAGTTGACGATCATCCTGCTCTAGCCTCCGGGAAGTCTTGCTCCACAAAGAACAAGAGTCTCTGGTTTTGTGAAATGAGTCACAGGCTGCCTTGACCATGCCTATCTGGGGAGGCCAGGGCTGCCATGTATGGTCTGTGCTCCGTGGCACCCACCTCTCGCTGTCAGTCCAAGCTCTTTGCCAGGACAGCCTGAGTCATAAAACTCAGCACATTCCTCAGGCGTTGGCTAGTCTTTCCTTGTTATTACTTTGCTTTTGTTTTATGCAGCACCTGGTTTCATTTTTAAAACCCAAATAAAAATCACACGGTCAGGGCGGGAGTGGGGAAACAGGAGGAACAGCAAAGGGCTCTAACTCCGCAAACAGGGAGGCACAGAGCAGGACAGAGATGGGACTGCGGCTGAGGGACTGGGGAGATTCAGGATGTGCCACTAATGAATTGGTTTGACCACAATCTTCCTTGCTGTATATGATAAAGCTCTTGATGCCCAGGTCTCTTCCCCACCCTCCCATCCCCAAATTAGGCCGCAGTACTGTACTCATCAGCCACGTGACCTTCCCGAAGCCCCTCCACTTTCTGAGTGTCCTCAATCAATGGATATACATCTCGGATGAATCCTAAGGAACACTCTAGTTACAACACTCAGAGTCTATGAACCTGCCGGTTCCCTTTTTCTTGGACACAAGCCCTAACCCACGTGTGAGGGAATATGTTTCCACAAGCAAATATTTGTTCTTTGCCTTTTGGGGGTTAAGGAATGGTGGACAGACAGGCGAGAAGGTGTAGACCCCACCATACCAATGTTGCTGGTCAAATTGAACTTGTGTGGCCAGGTTACTGTTGCAACCTATCTGTAAAGCTGTTAGCCTTCATTTTTAGAATTAAAACAGAATTCTAATCAGCTATCCTCTGCGTATAGTAAAAAACAAATGATGAATTAATGATAGCCATTACCTTGGAGAACTGTATTTTCTTGGACTAGGAAAAGCCAAGAAATTCGAGATTAAAACCAGGATCATGAGGTACTAGACTCGGAACCTAAACAGAGGCCTTTCTCTCCTTCTGCCTGGGATGTCTACTGGGGCTGGCCAGGGCAAAACTCCGGAGGTTCCTAAGTGGCTACAGGGCTGCCTTTTCAATGCATGCTTTTGGAGAGCTTAATGGAAACCATACGAAGGTTGCCGGGAATCAGACCAGATGGCTCCCGGGGAATGTATTTAACCCGACCTAGGGCTAAGAGACAAAAATAATCACTAGGAGTTTGTGGGGCGGGAGGCAGGGGTGGTGCTGCGACTTTTAATTGTATTTTCTATTCAACAGAAATCCTAAGAGAAGGACGGTCTTGGTAACTAGGAGTAAACGGAAGGGGGTGTGGGGAGCAGAGAGCGGGGCTGGGGAGGAAGAGTGGTAGGAGGCGGCTACTTTAGTAAACCAAACACCGTTCTGCTTTTCCTCAGAAGTCGGCGGCTGCCGGGGCCCTTCGCGGGCCTAGACGGCAGCGGGCTCCTTCCCGCGCCCCAGGTCATGTGCAGCCCCTGCCGCTCCCGGTCCCTCCCTCCCGCGCGCTCCGCGGGGGCGACGAGGCGGGCGGTGGTGGGGGGGAATCAGCAGGAGGAGGGTCGTAGGCGGCGGAGGCGGCCTGTGGACGCTAGGGGAGGAAGATCGTGGGGGAGAAGAGGTGGGCCGTGGAGGAAGAAGGAGACGGCCGCTCCGGCGGGCCGGGAGGAGCGGGAAGAGGCGGACCGGGGAGGGGAGGGGCAGGCGGCGGGTGGGCGGGCCGTGGGCGCGGCTTTGGGGGCGCAGGCAGCCTACCGAGGGAGCCGGGACGGGAGGGCCACGACTCCGCCCCTGAGCTCGCGAGCCCGCCGCGTCTGAGGCCGCCCCCGCCCCCGCGACTGTCGGAGCCAATTCGCTTCCCGGCGGCGCCTTGCGCGGAGGAAAACCTGGCGGTGGAAGGCTCCGGCTCTGCTGGGTGACCGCTCTGAATACAAAGAGCATTTCTCACGCCCCTGCGCCTTCCCCGGGGCTCCCAGATACAAGGGACAGGCTCTGTGACGCCGGAGCCCCCGACGGTCGGGGCCGCAGCACCATTTCTGTGGTTCTAGCAGAGAAATGTGGTCCCAAGTATTTATTTAAAAAGGAAAATTTAATAAAGATTATAAAAACTTTTGTCTCTCTCCACCAATTAAAAAGGGAAAAAACTGATAAATGAAGCCCATGGAATTGTCCCAGAAAGCCAACCTGCCAGGGTCCAGACGTTCCTGGGCGGGGCGGGTGGGGGGAGGGTGTTGGGAGGGCCCCATACCTCAAAGTTGTTTATTAAGCAAACTCCACGCCTCCAGCCTTGTGGCTTCATTTTCCAACTCAGTTAAATGGCGATGAGGGTCCTCCCCAGCCATAATCGGAGTATCGATCAGCTTCTGAATCCTCAGATGAGCAAACCTTGCTTTCAGAATCGCACCGTCCATGAAGCTGGAGAAAAATGGCCTGGTTGTCAACACTCGCTCATCCGCAAAGGTCACTTTTCCACAGAATTGGGAATTAAATGGTCTCTTCCAAACCAGACATCATTCATGAGCAGGAGATGGGATTGATCCTGCATTTTCTTCCATCTCTCTTAACCTTCCTGTTTAATATATTGTGTCTCTGTTAGGAAGGCCAGATTAATAAAGTGGGAGAGAAAAAGGGCAGGAACTCTTGCAATCCCTAACCGGCCCCCACTGCTTCTCTGGTAAGATTCTTTCCAGGTTTCCCTAATTCCTTTAGTTCCCACATTCCTGGATGTGAATGCTCTGCTTTCCAGTTTCCATCAGGAACTTCTTCAAGATAGGACACAGGAATATAAATATTTAGAGAATGATTACCAAAAGCACTACCCAGCAAGCAAATACTTTCGAAACTAAGAATAGTGTTAATGATCGTTGAAAATTTCATTCAATCTCTACTTATTGCTTTGATGCAGGAAATTGGGCATTTATATATCTCAGTGCTTGTTCTCCTCCAAACTATATATATTTAAAAATATTAAGATTTGCCTTGTCTCGGCCGGGCATGGTGGCTCACGCCTGTAATCCCAGCAGTTTGGGAGGCCGAGGTGGGCAGATCACCTGAGGTCAGGAGTTCGAGACCAGCCTGGCCAACACAGTGAAACCCTGTCTCTACTAAAAATACAAAAATTAGTTGGGTGTGGTGGCACACACCTGTAATCCCAGTTACTCGGGAGGCTGAGGCAGGAGAATTGCTTGAACCCAGGAGGTGGAGGTTGCAGTGAGCCAAGATCACGCCATTGCACTCCAGCCTGGGCAACAAGAGTGAAACTCCTGTCTCAAAAAAAAAAAAAAAAAAAAAAAAAAAAAAAAAGATTTGCCTTGTCTCATAAATAAAAAGTCATGATTTATTTTTTTGCTCAGGACTCTAGGTCCAAGGTTTTCCAAATATGTGCCCCATATTAATTGTGTGGTGTGTGTGTGTGCACCTGCATGTACTTTTAGTCTGTTATTGCACCACAAAAACAAGAGCAGGATTAATGTCATTTATTTGTTGGGAATGGTTGACTTAAAAGCGGCTACTTTGAGTACAGAGAATTCCCTTTCTGGGAGGGGTTGGGGAAGCACCTTACAGAGAGAAGCAGCTGTTCCCCAGAACAGCTGCAGACACTGACTGGCAATGGAATTGCTTGGCACCAGTACAACTCCATGTAGGCAAGAGGGATTTATTTATTTAACAATAGTTAATGATTCTCCCAAGCAACTCCCAAGAGGCCAGCTTTCAGTAAATGTACTTTCAGGAAATCATCTACCCTTCCTAGAAACAGGCATCAACCCTACAGTGAAGGGATGTCCCTGGTTGACCACACAATATAACTTTCAGGGGACCATGCAGCTACAAATGCCCCCAAACAACTCCCTCCACAGTCTGCCACCGCACTGGCTTTCCCTGTTTGAAATGCTCCCTGGGAACATTATCAGGTCCTAAGCAGAAAAGTTGAGAAAAACTGCACCATTTTTGGAAGAGCATCATTAAAATAGACTGGTTGCCTGGGAACCAGCGTGGGTCATCCAACCCTCTCCCATTAGCGAAATGTATCATATCTGCTAGTTAATGTCCAAAGACCAGCATTTCCAAGTGAAAGTGAAATGTATGTATAACTGGTGGTTCTTGTGATACTGTTAGGTAGTACTTGTATAACATTTTTTATTTTAATGGTCAGGGTTTTTTTTTTAACACACATAACGAGCATATCAAACCCATGGTATAATAAACATAATTACTTAGGATGAGTCTGAGTTTTTTTTAAGTTAAAGAGAAATCTTAATAAAGTAATAGAATAGCAAAAATAGTTGTAACTTCTATGCAAAAACCAGTTTTTATTCTTTCTTTCAACTTACTCTCTAAGAATGTCTGCCAGAACTTTAAGACATAAAAAGAACCCCATTTTAACAATCTGTTTAAAAGCCCTGGGGTTTGAGAAAGTCTAATCAGGAAGGAGAGAATCCCTGGTCTGGAGGGTCATATTGGGGAAGCAGGGACCATAGATGCTGAGTGGCAGGACGGGCACATGAGGAGGGAAACTCCAGCCACCGGGCAACCAGGGTGGATATGCGGCAGGGCAGGACTATCTGAGAACTCTCTTTTTCACAACAGGCAGAACCCAACAACTCACCGATGAAAATTTGGACAGTACAATAGAAATTCCAACTGCTGTAAACCTCTTAGGGGCTTGTTTCCAAAACAGCTGTGGAGAGATCCACCCAAGAAACTATTCATGATGCTTTAAGAAAGACTTTATCTTATCAGAACAGCTCCGCTTTTTGCCTGATTGTAACTTAGGGAATACTTTTATACCAACTCTAAACATACACAGGCCACCACCCCTGCTGCCATGTAGAGACACTCAGAACCCCGCTTCCTGACTACCCCACAGATCCACTGTTGCATGGCAAGTAAAAAGATTCTTACATGCTTTAGGACACCTTTCCCTCGTCGACTGTAGTTTATCAGGGCCTCCTGTGCTGGCTTTTTAGGTCTCACACCTAGGGTGAAGAGATAGCCAATGTGTGAGTGTTTGCGATAAAGAGAGTCTACCATAAGTGAAATTTCCTGACATTCCCAAACCTTGTTTTAAATCAATAGATCCAAACCTTCACATACACAGCCCCCTCCTCTGCCACCAGCATGAGTGACAAATGCCTCTTGCATTTCTCCCTCCTGTTATTTCTGCATCCTACCTTTTGTATTGTTAGGAGAGATAAAATGATGTAACAATGTGGGTGCCAGGAGGAAGGAAGCAGAAATGCAAAAGGTATGAAAATATCACATGAAAGGACCGGGCATGGTGGCTCACGCCTGTAATCCCAGCACTTTGGGAGGCCAAGGAGGGAGGATCACAAGGTCGGAAGATCGAGACCATCCTGGCTAACACGGTGAAACCCCGTCTCTACTAAAAATACAAAAAATTAGCCGGGTGTGGTGGCGGGCGCCGGTAGTCCCAGCTACTCGGGAGGCTGAGGCAGGAGAATGGCGTGAACGTGGGAGGCAGAGCTTGCAGTGAGCCGAGATCGCGCCACTGCACGTCAGCCTGGGAGAGTGTGAGACTCCATCTCAAAAAAAAAAAAAAAAAAAAAAAATCACATGACCACGATTAAAATAAAGGCCAGAAAATGGATGTAAAGTAGTAGTTCAGGATGGGACTTACAGTATTTTCCATAATTTGGAGGTGTCGGAAAACAATCACCAAAATCCCAAATTTGATGTGCCTATAAAAAGGAGAGATAGAAATAAATACCAACCACTTTCATAATAATAGAAATCTAATAAAATTCATTTTCCCAACATTGTTCCTCCCCACCCCTGCATTCAGAAAGCACTGATACTGCTGTCAAAAGCCACCACTGTGAGTGCAGTGTAGTCTCAGCCACTTGGGAGGCTGAGGCAGGAGATTGTTTAAGCCCAGGAGTTCAAAGCCAGCCAGGGCAACATAGCAAGACCCTGTCTCAAAAAAAAAAGAAAAAGAAAAAGCCACCACTGTAATAACAAACAATAACAGTAAAATATAGACAAAGGAGTACAATCCTAATATGAAAATACCATATACAAATCAATAAGAAAAAGCTAAACACCCTAGTAGGAAAATGGATAAAGGAAATATACTATCATTATCATTCAAATATAATTATTCATGAATCAGTGTTTGCAAATTCACCTACTTGCTAAAATTTATTTGTAAATTAATTAAGCTCCATTCTAGCATTAGTTATAGTGCTGTTAGCCATGAGTTCATATATTAAGTGTCTTTAAACAGAAATATACATAAAAACAAAATTATATATTGATCAGTCGACAAAGATGTTGTGACTGGAGGCTCCCAGGAATCTAACCTTATATTTCCTTTAGGAACAATGGTTCAGTATTCCTTAATTCAGTATTCATGGTGATTTTACAAAATATAACCACAAATAGTGAGAATCAATTACAATTCATGAAAGAACTATGAATGATGAATAAACATAGGAGAAGATGCTTGACTTCACTAATAATCAAAGAAATGAAATTAAAAGAAAATTGAACTATCTTCATCTGTCAAGTTGGAAAACATCAAGATTATATTTTAAAGCTAATGTTAGAGAGGATATAGGAAAACAGGCACTCTCACGCACTACTAGGGCACGAGGCCAGTTTTTGGGAAGGCAGTTTGGCCATTTGTAAAATAAGTGTACTTTTGACCCAAGAATTCTTCTTATGGGAACGTACCCTGAAGAGATGATTTTACAGCTACAAAAACGTATATTCAAATTGATCACAGCATTGGTTACAGTAGTTATAAATTAGAAAACCTTAAATGCCTCCTTATATGGCGTGTGTGTGTGTGTGTGTGTGTATATATATATTATATATAATATATATTATATATACACACATTATATATATAATATATTATATATAATGTATATATTATATTATATATTATATTATTATATATAATGTATATATATAATATATTTTATATATATATATATATATATATATATACACATTTTTTTTGTAGGTGGAGTTTCACTCTTGTTGCCCAGGCTGCGGTGCAGTGGCATGATCTCAGCTCACTGCAACATCCACCTCCCGGCTTCAAGCAACTCTCCTGCCTCAGCATCCCAAGCCTCTGGGATTACAGGCACGCACCATCATGCCCGGCTAATTTTGTATTTTTTTTTTTTAGTAGAGATGGGGTTTCACTATGTTGGTCAGGCTGGTCTCAAACTCCTGACCTCAGGTGATCCACCTGTCTTGGCCTCCCAAAGTGCTGGGATTACAGGCATGAGCCACCGTGCCCGGCCTATGGCATATTTTAAAATTGTAATGGAGTCAGTTAATAAAATATTACGTATCCATTAAAAATCGTAACAAATAATTATGTTGATTAACACTGAAAGATGTCCATGAAAATATTGAGGGATAAAAGCAGGTTACAGAGGACAGTGTCCAGTGTGATCTCATCAATATACTGTGTGTATGCATGTATCCTTATGTATACATAAGTATAGAGAGACATTTATAAGGATGTTCACTGAAATGAAAATGGTGATTGTCCCTGGGGGAAGATTTCAGATAATCTTTACTTTGTTACTCTGTATTATTTGAATGTTTACAGCCAGAGAAAAGTTATTTTTAACTGCCAGTATATTATATATAATTTTTCCTCTGCAAGGAAAAGAGGAAAAGTTGGTGATGATAATAAAAATACAGTATCATCAGTTGTTCACAATTCGTAACCTTGGTTATTGTTGTGTTCCTATCACCTAATAGAAAGCCACACACAAAATAAGCACTCAGGAATAAACGTTTGGTGAATATTGTTTTTTAAAAATTTAACCCCTTTTGTTTTTTTAATGAATAATATGCAGTGTATAATAATTTAAGCTCTCTACAGGTAAGAGATTGCTGAGAAATGTTGGGCTTACCACTCCATGCTTGACATCAAATGACTTTTTAAAGGGCCTGGTTATATCAGGGAATAGTCCTGCATGCACATGAAGAGGGAAAATCAGGATTAAATGCAGAGTTAGAATAAAATTCCTTACACTTCCAATTAGGCTATTACCACAAATTGTACACACTTCAATTGCTTCCCTTTAGCATCTAACCAAAAATTATAGTTACATAAGAGGAGTAAGTTTTGTTGTTCTATAACACTGTAGAGGCAATACAGTTAACAGTAATTTATGGCCAGACACCGTGGCTCATGGCTGTAATCCCAGCACTTTGGCAGATCAAGGCAGGAGAATCACTTGAGGCCAGGAGTTCAAGACCAGCGTTGGCAACATAGGGAGACCCCCGTCTCTACAAATAATAATTTTTAAAAATTAGCTGGGTGTGATGGTGGCTCCTGGGGTTCCAGCTACCAGGGAGGCTAAGGCAGGAGGATTGCCTGAGCCTGGGAAGTGGAAGATGCAGTGAGCCATGATTGCACACTGCACTCTAGCCTGGGCAACAGAGCAAGACCCTGTCTCAAAAAAAAGCCCAATAGTTTATTGTGTATTTTCTTTTTTTATTTGAAATATCTCTGGAAAATTGAATATTTTCGAATAGCTACAAGAAAGGATTTTGAATGTTCCCAACACAAATAAATCATAAATGTTTGAGGTGATGGATATGCCAGTTACCCTGACTCACTCATTACACATTGTATACATGTGTTAAAATACCACACTGTTCTCCAGAAATAGATGCAATTATTATGGGTCAATTAAGAATAATATCTTTTTAAAAGTAAGCATCAAACAGGTAAGACAAAACTGTAGAAGTTAAATTCATAGTAATTCTTCTGGAGCTTTTGGGAGAGGTAAATATTTTTGTGTCTGCTATGTTCTCCTATGATACACAACTTACACTCTTAGAATTAGAGAGAGGCAAGACTGCTGAAATTCCAAGGCTTTAAATTTTTATTAAGGTCTTGAGAAGCTCAGATGCATTTTTTAAACAATTTTATTGATATATAACTTATAAACCTTGAAATTGACAAAATTTAAGTACACAGTTCAGTGAATTAAGTAAACTTATCAGGTTATGCAATCATCACCATAATCTAGTTTTAGAGTATTTTCATCATCCCAATAAGATTCCTTTTGCTCATTTATAGTTAATCCCCTTTCTTACCACCAGCACTAGAAAACCACTCATCTACTTTCTCTATAGATTTGCCTTTACTGGACATTTCATATAAATGGAATCATACACTATGTGATCTTGTATGTCTGACTTCTTTAACTTAACACAATGTTTTGAGGTTCATCCATGTTGTAGCTGTTTTAGTATTTTGTTCTTTTTTTTAATTGCTGAATAGTGTTCCATTGTACGAATATACTAGATTTTGTTACTCATTCACCAGGTAACAGACATTAGGGTTTCCAATTTTGGCTGCTATGGATAATGCTGCAATGAGCATTCACATGCAAGTCTGTGTAGACATGTGTTTTCATTTCTAGTGGGAAAAAACCTATACGCAGCATCACTGGGTTCTGCTATTAATTTTTGTTTAACCTTTAAAGAAACTGCCAAGATGTTTTCCAAAGTGGCTGTATTCTTTTATATTCCCACCAGCAATGAATGAAGGTACCTATTTCTCCACATCTTCTCCAATATTTGTTATTGTCTTTGTGATTATAGCCATTCTAATGGATGTGAAGTAGTAACTCATTATGGTTTTTTTCTATTTATTTATTTTTTTAAAAATTTCTAATTTTTTTATTTCAATAGGTTTTTTGGGAACAGGCGGTGTTTGGTTACATGAGTAAGTTCTGTAGTGGTGATTTCTGAGATTTTGGTGCACCCATCAACCAAGCAGTGTACACTGTACCCAAGTGTAGTCTTTTATTCCTCATCCCCCTCCCACCCTTTCCCCCGAGTCCACAAAGTCTATTGTGTTATTCTTATACCTTTGCAATCCTCATAGCTTAGCTCCCACTTACGAGTGAGAACATACGATATCATTGTGCTTTTTCACTTAACTCTTTTCTTCTTTTCTTTCTTTTTTTTTTTTTTTTTTTTTTTGAGACAGTCTTGCTCTGCCACCCAGGCTGGAGTGCAGTGCATGATCATGGCTCACTGCAACCTCCAACTTCCAGGCTCAAGGGATCCTCCTGCCTCAGCCTCTCAAGTAGCTGGGACTACAGGCATGTGCCACCACACTCAGTTAATTTTTAAAAATTTGTCATAGAAATGAGTTCTCACTCTATTACCCAGGCTGGTCTCGAACTCCCGAGCTCAAGCAGTCCTCCTACCTCAGCCTCTCAAAGTGCTGGGATTACAGGCATGAGCCATGGTGCCCAGATTGATTTTTTAATGACGAATTATACTGAGTTATCTTGTGTGATTTCATTAAAAATCAGGGGAAACTGCTGAAAGGGTGTCTTGCTTGATGTAATATGATGGGACCTAGTCATTAGAAATAAGTCAAGAGAGGGGACTAGCATGTGGCAAATGTTCATTGCTTTGTGTGCTATTTTATGCTGATAAACTTTTTTTTTTTAAAGAAGGTATCTTAAGCCAGAGTCAAAGAGCTTAACAATTACTTAGCTAAATTCAAGAAAAACCCACTTTTTCATAGCCACAGTAAAAGCAGACGGATAAGAAGTTTATCCTTCACAATTAGTGCTGATTGTTCCATGGTCTGTGAATTCTTAGCCTTTCAAAGCTCTGTAAGACTTTTATAAATCCCACAGGCCTCCCAGAGGCTTAACTAGCTTTTTGCTACCCTTCCTTTCAAGAATTATACTAATCATTAATTAGTAAGTGATATGATTCTATAATATTAAAGTTTTATAAAAAGTAATTTTGAGGGCATTTGGTGCATTCTGGGGAAAAAAACCAGGCATTAGAATTTGTGCTAGACCATAGCATTAGGTATTTATACATTTGTGTTTATCTTTCAGCCAACTTGGGCATTTTTCTCACTGAACTAGAAATGTCTCTCATTTTCTTTAGCGGTATATGGAGAGGAACCAGTGTTCCTCTTCACCAGTGTTAAGCTCACATATGTTGGAGTACGGTTAGCTAATGACTTTTCTTTGCGAGGTCACAGTTCACAAAATAGAGCCCATGATAAAGTTTGACCTTGGCAGCTTCAGCTGGCCTTTTAAGGACATTTAATGTTACCCTAATTTGCTATTATGTATCTACCTTCCTGCTCCCACTACCCAGTCTTAGAACTGTAACTGAATTGGGCAATTTGTTGATAAAACTAAATATCTTTGTAATTACCAACAAATTCTATCTTTAGGTATTAGGTCCTTAAATGTTGTGCCAACCCTGATGGAAATACCTGTATTTCCTGTAATTCCAGGTTACAGGTATTTAGTTTTTAAAAGCAAATTATCAAGAAAGCAAGTGTAGGCTTGCAGAATCAGAGAAGCTCAAGTTTGGAAGTATACCTCCAGGTCTTCTAATCATTTAGTCCACCTACTGGGTGTCTGTCATAGTACAACTGTCAACCTTCTCGGTGATTCTGTTTTCCTTTAATATGTTGGGGATACTTTCATCTCCCACCTGCCTGTCATTAGAAATGAAGGTTCGTGAACACAAAACATAATGTTGGAAGGTGAAGACAAACCATTCTCCATCCTTTCTGAGTACTGCAGCCTTAAGTTGTATGTACACAAAGGAGGAGAATTTAGATTAAATGTGAACAATACAACTTAGAAGCAGCCAAGATGTACGCATTGTTGGCCAGTATAAGTGTCTTTATGCAGCAGTCCCCAACCTTTTTAACACCAGGAACCAGTTTCAGGGAAGACAATGGAAACATGGAAGGTGGGTGGGCAGGGGCAGGGGTGATGGTTTCAGGATGATTCAAGCACATTATATTTATTGTGCACTTTATTTCTATTATTCTTACATTGAAATAGATAATAAAATAATTATACAACTCACCGTAATTTAGAATCAGTGCGGGCCCTAGCTTGTTTTCCTGTAATTAGATGGTCTCATCTGGGGGTGATAGGAGACAGTGACAGATCATCAGGCATTAGATTCTCATAAGGAGCATGCAGCCCAGATCCTTTGCATGCTCAGTTCACAATAGGGTTTGTGCTCCTAGGAGAATCTCATGCTACCACTGATCTGACAGGAGGCGGAGCTCAGGCAGTAGTGCCAACCATGGGGAGTGGCCATAAATGCAGATGAAGCATTGCTTGCTCCCCACTGTACACCCCCTGCTGTACAGCCCACTTCCTAACAGGCCATGGACTGGTACAATTTTTATGAATATTTTTCTGAAGATAGGTCCCAGAGCTTTCATCAGATTTTTCAAAGTGTCTCAAAAATATAAGGTATCATTGTCTTAAAGAGAGATGTGTTAACCATTGGGATAGATTAGAGAGCAAATCTCTTTCATGACAGATTTTTAAGAATAAGTCATTCAATGGTCTATATATTAGATACAAATTATTCTAGCAATGTTAAATTTCTTTTTTTCTGATCAGCTGACTTTAAGAAAATGTCAGACTTTTTTTGAGTGTGATAACAATGTTGTGGTTATGTAAGAGAACATTCTTATCCATAGGAGACTCATGCAGAAGTATTTAGGATATACTGTTATGATATTTTAATTTTACTCTCAACATTCCAGCAAATAAGTATATATAGGCATCAGTATAGAGAGATTTAGATAAAGCAAATGTTAGGAAATGTGGCAAAATATTAACAATTGGTGAATCTAGGAGAGGGCAGGTGGGTATTGATTGTGCCATTTTAACTTGCTTGTGGATTTTAGAAATTCTTTAAAAGAATTTTTAATTCTTTATTCTTTGGGAACAAAAGAATAAGGCAGTCCATTTATCTGTCTTTTTATTCGTGCCCTCCCCCATTTATCTGCCTTAACTTGGTAATTATAAAGAAGGCAGTTCTATTATATTTTGTAAACGGCTAAAACCAGGCACACACACAAAAAAAGGAAAATCACCAAGGAGCATCCCAAATTACATTTGAGCTATAGCTATAACCAAGGACAGAATTAAAAATAATGCTTCACCTTTTCCCTAATTTTCTCCCCACGTAACTCCCGCCCATCTCATAGGCAGACACATGGTTTGTTCATATAAGTCTACTAAAATCACTATGGTGTCCACCATATCTCTATCTTTTAAGTTCACAGGCAAAATCAATTGCAGCCACCTCCTAGTTGATGTTATGCTTGAACAGTAAAGTGCACACAGTAACAGATGGCATCTTGTGACCTTCTTAATAACAGGCTTGGCTGCCAATGTTCCCTTGTGCCCAGTCTCTGCAGGGAATTTGGAAACTGTTGCCTTACACTTGAATATCTTCCGGCAAACACATTTAACCATTTCTTAGTCTGTTTTCTAATTTAAAATAGAGAGAGGAAAACAAAACAAAATTCCCACCACCTAGAAGGGACATTGATATTTTCTGAGTCCAGAGGCCCATCCCGGGATTCTCTGGGGTGTGCTGGCAGTCACACAGCGTAGCTGTCATGTTTAGTGTGGTGAGGCCCTCAATTCCAGGCAAAGTGTTTATCACTCTACCTAGACATATTGGTGGCCAGTGTGATCTTTTTTTTTTTTTTTTTTGAGACAGAGTCTCACTCTGTCGCCCAGGCTGGAGTGCAGTGGTGCAATCTCAGCTCACTGCAAGCTCCACCTCCCAGGTTCAAGGTATTCTCTGGCCTCAGCCTTCTGAGTAGTTGGAACTATAGGCGCCCACCACCACACCTGGCTAATTTTTGTATTTTTAGTAGAGACGGGGTTTCACCATATTGGCCAGGCTGGTCTCAAACTCCTGACCTTGTGATCCGCCCACCTCAGCCTCCCAAAGTGCTGGAATTACAGGTGTGAGCCACCACACCTGGCCATCTTTTTTCTTCCTGTAGTTTAAAAGAAATGTATTCACTTCTCACAGCAAGGCATACAAATTAGCCAAAAAACAATCTAAGTCATGAAGTTAAAAGGTCCCTCTGCCATGACAGCTCACGCCGTGGTGAGTGAGGCTTGTTTTCAGTCATCTAGTTCCCTTTGTTGCAAACCTTGGGCAGCTGTGGCTATCAAGGTCCATAGAGAAATGGGGAAGGAGGGTGAGAGCAGTGATTAGGTGAGGGAGCAGCCTGCCTGTCTGACCCCTGACCCCTCCACTGTCCCACAGGGGCATCTTTCCTTTGTTGAAAATGGAAGCCAAATAAGGGTGACCCTAGGGGAAAACAATGAAGACAATCACACCAAAGCCCTTCGGAGTCCTTTTCTCCCCTCAGCAGAATGACCTGTAAGGCCTTGTACCAGGAAGGAAGTGCTAAAATCAGTCTCTGCTAGGCAATCAGTGTGGGGAGATGAGTGGAGGAAGAGCAAGAAGAACACTCCCGGGGAATATGTGGTGGGGTAAAAAGTGCAGCACCTCAGCTAGCAACAGCTCAGCCGACAGGTGGAATATTGTGTGGAGTCACTCACAGAAGGAGAGTCTTAATCACAGTAAGACCTAGGGCTCCTTTGGGGGAGTGTAGGTGGGGGGTTTTCACTCCTGGGTATCTCCCCGTATAGCTGAGGAGAAGTGAGAAGTGAGAGTCTTCCTGTTGGCCCCATTTCTGGACTTCAGAACAGAGGAGGCCTTGGAGAGGGAAGTTTCCTCTGCTGGGAAAAGCTGGCCTGGGTGTGAGAAAGCCTTGGCTGGGGAGCTGTGAGTCTCTCCCAGGAAAGCTGGGGGAGGTGCCCATTGCTCCTTTATGTTCGCCTCCCAGGGCCAGTGTAGAGTGCCTTTCTTAGACAGACCAGAAGACCCATGGAAAAAGCCTCCCTCTATTCAGGCATGCCCTAATCCACCTGTTGCCACCTTCATTCTGGGGCCACAACCTCCAGGATCAATAAGCTTTGGAAATGATCCAACCACAGAACAAGGGGGCACACCTCTGAGGCATGATCAAAACAAAACCAACCAAGCTCGGAAGCCACGAGATACTCACATTGCTAAGAAATGGGAGGTCCTTCCCCAGCCTCAGGCCACAACTCCTCCCACAGCCACCAGCAAGTCACCTGCCCTCTCTCCTCTTTTCTTCTCCCCGCAAATCACATTTGCCATCCCTTATTTATATTCCTCAAGCATACGTTTCAGATTTGGGGTTTGCCTGGCTGTATCTCCTTTAGCGCATCACGGAAACTGTGTAGGGGATGGAGAAGAAGTGAATATAACTAAAATCATGTTTGTGTGCAACAGTGCCACGCACTAGTAATTCACTTCATTTTTAAAGTGTTGCAATTCTAGGGGCTCCTACATAGGATTCTAAAGGCTGTCATTGGAAACACAGTTTTTCAAAGGATGCTGCTTTTTTTTTTTTTTTTTTTTGAGACAGAGTCTCACTCTGTTGCCCAGGCTGGAGTGCAGTGGCGCAATCTCTGCCTCCTGGGTTCACGCCATTCTCCTGCCTCAGCCTCCCGAGTAGCTGGGACTATAGGCGCCCGCAACCACGCCTGGCTAATTTTTTGTATTTTTAGTAGAGATGGGGTTTCACAGTGTTAGCCAGGATGGTCTCGATCTCCCGACCTCGTGATCCGCCTGCCTCGGCCTCCCAAAGTGCTGGGATTACAGGTGTGAGCCACCATGCCTGGCCCAAAGGTTGCTTCTATACACTATGTTTTAATTTTTAAAAGTCATGTATAAGTTTCCTTTTGGAAGACAAATTATAAACAAAGACCTGCCCCTATAAAGAAGTAGGTTGTGGGAAGGAAAAGCCAACCATGGAAGGACCATAAAAACCATTGTTCAACAAACAATGACAAACAATCTGCTCTGTGTGATGCCCTGTGCCAAGTGCTGGGAATACAAAGACAAGACAGACAAGTTCCTCCCTCATAAAGCTTATGTTCTAGTAGGAGAAAGAGATAATAAGTAAGTAAACAAATACCATAATACACAGAAAGCAAAGCAGGCATCAAGATAGAGATGAAGACGCTGAGAATGTGAAAAACTTATTTTAAAGGTGGTAGGCAGGAAAGACCTCTCTGAAGAGGTGACATTTAAGTTCAGAATTGAAGGACCTGAAGGATACAGCTCAGCAGAACTGGGATAATTGTGTTCCAGCAAAGATTACAGCACGTGTAAAGGTCCTGAGGTGGGAAATAGCTTAGCAGTTTCAAGTTGCTGAACGAATACATTATAACTGGAACAGGATGAGCAAAGGTGGGAGAAGGTGTGAAATGAGACTGGAAAGATAGGCAAGGTCACATTCGTGCAAGACCTTCCAGGCCATGGTAAAAAATTAGGATTTTGTTGTAAGTGCAACAGGAAACAGAAGTGAGATTATTCTGTTTATGCATTAAGATGTCCCTCTGTGGAGAATAGATTGTGTTGGCAAGACGTGACTTATGGGGTAGTCCAGTGACTTCTTACTGCTTTTTGAAGTCTTTCAAGGCTTGGAAAGGCTTTACAGAAGAATAAAAGTGGGATTGAAAGAGTAGGTGAGAAAGGATGTTAAAAATGGGCACAAATACTCTTGAAATTACATTGCAACTCATATGCATTTTGCCCTCTTAGAATATTACTTGGTTCTTGTCAATATTTTCCTAGGCACTGCCGTCCTTGTTAAATGTCATATCCCATAAAAGCATTTCCAGGTAGCTGATTTGGAGACTTGAAGTTTGCTGCCTGTGTTTAGGAAATATCCCAAGGATATCTCACACGTTTTCATATCTGGACTTTACTGTGGTCATACCACATAACACCTCCTTGTAGTGCATGTTACATCTCCTGGAACAGCAAGAATAAAAGAGACCAGTGCACTCTTTTGCAAGGTTCAGCTGGGCTCTCCCTAGAGCAGTACAGATGTGGGGCACAGATATGGAGCTTAGGACAGAGAAAGGAAAGGGAAAGCCAGTGAGTGTTGGCCCAGCTGTATCATTGTTTGCATTCTACATGCCCTTCATAAAGTTGCTTCTGCTGGACAGAAGTTTAATAAAACATATTAGAATCTGTATTAGCATAGTACAATGGAGAGAAAGTTGAATTAAAATTTTGTTGTATTGCAGCTTTATAATATTGGATTTGTATTAGCCATTGCTTTGTTCTACTTTGAATATAAGAGCTGAGCATATGATATAGAAGGGAATCAGGTCAGAAAAGCTACAACCAAATCAAACCCTTGGAAAGAAAATTAATATTAATGCAAAAGGAAAAGCACTTTAATGTAGGCAGAAATGCAACTGAACTCTTTGAAAGGCAGATGTGAAAAGGAATTTGAGAACCTTTCTCCTATGATGATCATGAATCACACTTAAGAACAGCCCATGCAATTTTTCTATTTATGAATGGATGTTACAAAGGAACAACAAGTTGACCAAAGTCCACTAGTTACAAGCAAATTTATATAATTGGCCTCTACTGACAATTTGATCCTTGGCTTCAAGCAAAATTAATGTTGATAGTCCAAAATTTGACATGGAAATGGAAAAGAAGCACAAGGAGAAATTATCATTTGGGTAAATTAAATAGTTCTGCTTTGATGTATTGTTACCTCTTAATGAAGAGAGGCAACATCAGTTATATGAAAATGACCACTTGCAAAGAATGAAAAAGGCAATATGGGTAAATTGATAAGCAGTCATTATGAGTATATTCACTGATTCCATTTCTACCTTTCGTCCTCCCAGTGCTTTACTATAATAACTGGAGAGGAGATAGGAATGCAAAGTAATACCTGCTGTAGAGTAGCAGATTATTGCTTTCGCTACTCATGTTTCCACCCCTCAAATGCCCCCACCCACCCAACTTCAGGACTGCTCAGCAGGTCTAGCAGGCCACAGGTGATTAGCAAAGTTAATCAGAATTCTGAAGGGCACAAAAAACAATATGAATGTAATAGAATTGTACTTTGTGCTACTCAGATCAGATGTGCTGTCACCTTAACTTACTATGAATGACATGTTCAGGCTGTTTAATTTCCCAAACACAGGCTCAGACTTGTCTTCAAGCTATGTAGTGTGTTTCAATTTTATGTTCTTTACTGCAAAGGGAAGAAAGAAAGTCTCCTGATTTTAACAATAGCACACACGGTTAGCTGTCCTCTCCTCTTGCTTCAACAAACCACAGAGGAACACATAAAACCCTCCTCAGATGTACTATGCTTATAAAGTCAAATTTTACTAGGAAAGCTAACAGAATAGTGATCATCCAAGGCAACCATCAAAAACCTTTATCTCCATTATTTAGGAAAACCCAATAAGGCTGCAGGATAACTTTTTCCACTATGTGCAGCCCCCACCACACACATAGACACATCCCACCACAAATGGGCATTACCTGAATATTTTATAAATTGCTACAAATCCTAATTTGATATTACAATCATTAGTCTTGTTAAACCTTCAAAGATTCAACCCTGAGAGACGGAAATTATATGGAAAATAATCTATTGTGTTCTCTTCTCAAAATCAGTGTGTGGCAGAATGGCCAGCTGTTCCCTTCCATAGTGTGCAGTTGTTGCTAGGAAGTGGCTGCCCAGCCAAGGAATCCATTTCTGAGCTCTCTGGCATCACATTGGAATGTGAGCATAAGTGATGCAAGTCACTTCCAGGCTGAAGTGGAGAAAGAGCACGTGTGTCTCCCCTCCCCTTCACCCCCACCTGCCAGATGGAGACAAAGGGCTCTAGGGCTTTCGGGTATTGGTGGAAGCCCAAGAGGAAGGAAGTCTGTGTCCCAGGTCACCATGAGAAAGGTCTACCTGCAGAACAGCCAACTTTGCCTTTGGATAAAGAAAAAAAAATTTTATTGAGTTAAGCAACTGGAATTTGGAAGTTTATCTATCAACCCCCTAATTAATAGACAATTTTGATAATAGATAATAGATAATTTGGGGGGGTTATCTATAACAATTAGTGTTAACCTAATTTAACTGTAACAGGGTGGAGGTGGCTATAGATTAGTAAATATAGTTTACTAGTTGATAGTTCACAGTTTTGGTTTATCTTCTTAGTTCCTTGGTGTACTCAGTAAAGCTCAGATTATATCACCCAGAGCTCCAAGCTCTGGTGGAAGTTACATTCTGGGAAGTTACATTCTGGGACTAATATGAAAGACAAAAATGTTTGCTTTGGAAGAGCTGTCATTTTTAAGAGCAACTGTTCCAGCATGGAACATGGTCATTTTCCTGCTAAAGACCACCATCCCTTTAGTAGGCAAATGGAAGCCATTGGGGCTACCATCAAGAATCTAAAAGCAGAGGAGAGTGATGTCAGTAAAATGGCAGAATAGGAGTTTTCTACCATCATTTCCCCATGGACGGATTGATTTTGACAACCACCCATGGATGACAGTACTATAGTGGGAGCCTGGGTGGCCAGTGGAAAAATTCCAGCACATTAGTGGGGTAAAAACTCCAAGAATAGATGCATTGAAGAGGGTAAGAAGAACAGTTTCCCTTTACCCGTGACACCTCTCCTGCAAGGTAGCACAACTCAGTGCCAAGAGAGAGCTCCTCAGCCCACGATTCTTCCCACGGGAAGAAGTGAGAGAATAGTGAGTGAGTGCCTGGCTCCTCTAGCTGTGCGAGACACTGCCCAAGAGGCCCACTTGTTTCTCACCCCACAGAAAATACTGAGGTGATTATCAGAGCTGAGTGGTGAGGGAGGCTGCAAACAGGGAAGAGAGGCAAAGACTCACAGCCACCAGGGCTCGGAACTCAACAGAGAGCCATGGATCCCAATTACTGCTTCAGGGAGTCCATCAGAAACCCACCCATGAGCTGCTTGGGATGCCTCACATGCAGACCACCCCAACTGGCCCATGGGTACACCCAATGCCCCACATGCATCACTACCCCTTCCCCTGTAGCCTGTTCTCCATATGTGTCCCTGGAGACAGCAAGTACAAGCCTCTGCAGATGGCATGTGCAGACAGCCCACCCAACTCCATGAGACTGGGAGACAGCACACAAATGTGAGCATTTTAGGGCGCTGCTCTAGGGAAGACAAACAAGAGCCTCTCGGCATCTGGTCTGGCTCTGCAGGATTGACAGAAGCCATCAATCTTAAGAATTCCCTCCAAAGAGGGAGCAAGAGGGGTGGAATGGGCGCATCCATAGAAAAGGCCTGAGAGAGCCATCAAATACCCAGCTGAGCTGACTGGTGAATGTGTTTTTCCCCTGAAGCCAGTCAGTGAAGACTGGAGGATATGACTATATCTCCAAAGGCAAAGCCAGTAACTCAAGACTTTGAGCAATAAGAAAAATCAAGGAAACATGTCACCACCTAAGAAACACTGTATTTTTCCAGTTACCAATCCCCCAAAATGGAGCTCTACAAATTTCCTGACAAATTTAAAATAATTGTTATGAAAAAGCACAGTGAGCCACGAAGAGAACACAGACAACTTAATGAAATCAGAAAAACAGCACATGAACCAAATGAGAAGTTCAACAAACAGAAACAAAAAACAAACGGAATATGTAGGTCAGAAGATAGATAGTGGCAGATATGTAGGAAGAACAAGTCTAGAGATCTAATGAACACGTGAGGATTGTAGGTAATAAAACTGTACTAGATCCTTGATTCATGCTATTAATCAATGAGTAGATTTTAGCTGCTCTTGCCATAAAAAAAGGTAATTATGTGAGATGATGGATATTTAATTTGCTTCATTATGGTAACCTCTTTACTATATATGTACTCTATAGCATCGTATTGTTTACAAGCGTACTTTAGAGACAGTGTGGGTTCAGTTCCAGTCCATTTCAATAAAGAAAACATCACAGTAAAGTGGGTCACATGAACTTTTTGTTTCCTAGTGCACATAGAAGTTATGTTTACCCTATGCTGTAGTCTATTAGGTGTGCAATAGCATTATGTCTAAAAATAAAATGAGCCAGGTGCAGTAGATCACGCCTGTAATCCCAGCACTTTGGGAGGCCAAGGTGGGCAGATTATGTGAGGTCAGGAGTTCAAGACCAGCCTAGCCAACATAGTGAAACTCCGTCTCTACTAAAAATACAAAAATTGGCCAGGCATGGTGGCAGGTGCCTATAATCCCAGCTACTCGGAAGGCTGAGCCAGGAGAATCATTTGAACCCAGGAGGCGGAGTTTGCAGTGAGCCGAGATTGCATCACTGCACTCCAGCCTGGGCAACAGAGTGAGACTCCATCTCAAAAATAAAAACAATAAAATAAAAAAAAATAAAATGGACATACCTTAATTTAAAAATACTTTCAAAGTTGGAATCAATCATCTCAAACCCTCTTGCTGCTCTATCAGTTCAGTTTATGTAATATTATAAATGCTTTGTTGTCATTAAAACAATGTTCATGGCATCTTCACCAGGAGTAGATTCCATTTCAAGGAATCAGTTTCTTCGCTCATCCATAAGAAGAACTCCTCACCTATTAAAGTTGTATTATGAGATTGCAGCAATTCAGTTACATCCTTAGGCTCCACCTCTAATTCTAGTTCTCTTGCTACTTCTATCCCATCTTACACATACTTACTCCACAGAAGTCTTAAACCCCTCAGACTCATCCACAGGGGATGGAATCAACTTCTTCCAAACTCCCGTTAATTTTCATATTTTGACCTCCTTCTATTAATGACAAATATTCTTAATGGCATCTAGACTGGAAAATCCTTTCCATAAGATTTCAACTTACTTTGCTCAGATTCATTAAAGGAATCATTATCTATGGTGTCCATAGCCTTATGAAACATATTTCTTCAATAATAAAACTTGAAAGTCGAAATTACTCCCTAATCCATAGGCTACAGAATGGATGTTGTGTTAGCAGGCATGGAACCAACATTAAACTCCTTGTACATCTCCGTCAGAGTTCTTGAGTGACCAGGTGCATTGTCAGTCGGCAGTAATATTTTGAAAGGAATCTTTTTTTCCAAGTGGTAAGTCTCAATAGTGGGCTTAAATATTCAGGAAGTCATGCCATAAACAGATGTGCTGTCATTCGGGCTTTGTTGTCCCATTGATACAGCACAGGTAGACTGGATTTAGCATAATTCTTATGGGCCCTAGGACTTTCAAAATAGTAAATAGCTTTGGCTTCAACTTAAAGTCACCAGCTGCATTATCCCCTAACAAGAGAGTCAGCCTATCCTTTGAAGTTTTGAAGCCAAGCTTTGATTTCTTCTCTCTAGCTATGAAAGTTCTAGATGGCATCTTCTTCCAACAGAAGACTGTTTTGTCTACATGGAAAATATATTGTTTAGTACAGCCACCTTCATTAATTACCTTAGCTATGTCTTCTGGATAGCTTGTTGCAGCTTCTACCTCAGCACTTGCTGCTTCACCTTGCACTTTTATGTAATGGAGATTGCTTCTTTCTTTACATGAACCAACAACAACTGCTAGCTTCAAATTTTTCTTCTGCACCTTCTTTGACTCTCTCATTCTTCCTAGAATTGAAGAGAGTTAGGGCCTTTCTCTGGATTAGGCTTTGGCTTAAGAAAATGTTGTGGCTGCTTTGATCTTTTATTCAGACAACTAAAACTTTCTCCATATTAGCAATAAGGCTGTTTTGCTTTCTTATCATTTGTGCGTTCACTGGAGTAGCACCTTTAATTTCCTTCAAGAACTTTTTCTTTGTATTCACAACTTGGCTAAATGTTTGGTGCAAGAAGCTGAGCTTTTCATCTGTCTTGGCTTTCAATATGCCCTCCTTACTAAGCTAAACTGTTCTAGCTTTTAATTTAAAGTAAGAAATATGTGATTCTTCCTTTCACTCAAACCATTAGAGGCCATTGTAGGGTTATTAATTGGCCTAATTTCAATATTGTTGTGTCTTAGGGAAGTGGGGGGCCCAAGGGGAGGAGAGAAATGGGGAAATGGCTGGTTGGCAAAACAGTCAAAGTTTATCAATTAAGTTTGCTGTTCTATATGAGTGTGGTTTGTGGTGTCTCAAAACAATTACAATAATAACATCAAACATCACTAATTGCAGATTACCATAACAGACACAATAATAATGAAAATTTTAAAATATTGTGAGAATTATCAAAATGTGACACAGAGACAAGAAGTGAATACATACTGTTGGAAAAATGGCAGCAATAGATTTGCTTGATGCAAGGTTGCCACACACTTTCAATTTGTGAGAAAAAGGCAATTATCTGTGAAGCACAATAGAGCAAAATGCAATAAAACAAGGTGTTTCTGTACCTTAAGCAAGCACAATAAAATTTATTAAAAAAAATTCTGGAGCTGAATAATGCAATAAATGAAATAAAAAATGCAACGGAGAGCATCAACAGCTAACTTGATCAAGCAAAAGAAAGAATCTGTGTACTCAAAGCAGATCATTTGAAACTACCCAATCAGAGGAGAAAGAAGAAAAAAATGAATGAAAAGAAATGAGGAAAGGCTATGGGATTTGGGGAACACTATCAAGATAACTAATATACAGACTATGATAGTACCAGAAGGAAAAGAGAAAGAAAGTACCAGAAGGGAGAAAGAAGTGGAAAACTTATTTAAAGAACAAAAACTCCCCAAACCTGGAGAGAGATACGGACAGCCAGGTACATGAAGATAAAAAATTCCCAAACAGATTCAACCCAAAGGTGACTTTTCCATTGTTAGGCGAGCTGTTAGAGCCCCAGCAATGGAAAGTGGTCAGCTTGCAGGTAGCAGGGTAGTAAGAATAATTTACCAACAACAGTATAGGTTTGAAAAGTAGTTTTATTAGAACACTGGAGAAGAGTGCAGTGGGGCACCTCAACAAAAGAGGACTGAGTGCATTGTGGTGAATTTTTCCTTAGGGGTATTTATGGACCTTAAAGCAGAAGCTTTAAGGGCAATTTGGACCATATTAGCCATGTAGGTTATAATAAATGATTACATTTGTAGACATTTTGGTGCCTTGATGTCAGCAAGGGTTGCACAATGAGTTTTGATATGCATGCATTCTGGAGATGTATAAAAATTCTAGTTACTTATAAATTCGGGGGAAAGAAGACTGGTACCAGATGCCAGCTTTAGATAATAGGAAAATCTAATTACTTCTAAATTCCTCAGATAAGTTTTGCCTCTGGATGGTCACCAAGTGATCTTTGCTTTCTTCAACCATGACACATTAAATCAAACTGTCACAGTAGGTAGCTAGTCAGACATGAGCAGAACAGGAGAGGGCTCCCTACCCCCACCCCACACCCCCCACCACACATACACACCAGGAATGTCAGGCAACCATCAGAGAGACAGGCTTAACTGTCTCTCTAAAATAATAATTGGCTGCAACCAATGCCGGGGAAAGACAGTCTCTCAATAAACCAAAACACCTGAAACTGGTAATCAGCAGCTTCCTGATAAGATTTCAGGAGATGGGTAAGTGGGCTCAAGTGTGCACATTAAGAGGCAAAATGGCAGAGTTTAACTGGTATATGACCTTCTAGGGACATTTGACTGGTAAGGGAAGGATGCCTCAAGTGAGCATGTGTACAATCCAGTACACACACTGTGCATGCTCCCCTCCCAAGCATTAGCAGGCCACTGCACATGCAGACAGCCCACCCTAAGGGAAGAATCAGGAGAGAAGGAACACAATACCCCAGAAGCAGGCCAACATATAAAACCCCAAGTCAAAATGTCAAGCTGCACATCAGATCTTTCAAGTCACCTGTTGGCCCTCTTCCAAGTGTACTTTACCTCTTTTCATTCCTGCTCTAAAGCTTTTTAACAAACTTTCACTACTCCTCTAAAACTTGCCTCTGTTTCTCCTTCTGCCTTAAACCCCTGAGTTGAATTCTTTCTTTTGAGAAGGCAAGAGTTGAGACTGCTGCAGATCTGTATGGATTCGCTGCTGGTAACATACTTTGGTGCCATGACTCAAATACATTCTGCTGTTAACATACTTTGGTGCTGTGACTCAGGTACGTTCCACTGCTAACATATTTTGGTGTTGCATGACTCAGATATGATCCCTTGTGGTAAGAGACTTCTACATCTTGCCTTCTTCAGCTGGAGACATTCAACCTCTGTGCATGGTTTATTCGCCCCTTTTACTCTCCTGCTTACTAACCAACCCCCAGAATGATTCCTCTCAGCTGCAAGTGGCTCTGCTCCTCTTGGCTGATCTCTCAGCTCACCCTGGCAGGTAGCTTGTAGGGGTGGGAAAGACCTTCGGGCCCACATCAAGTAGAACTGAGACACTAATGGCCCTCCTAAATAGGGAGCTCATGAGAATGGTGGGACTAAAGCCTAAACCCATGCAATGCTTGGGGTTTCTTCTGCTTTTTCAACTAAAATTACCTGTTTCCCCAAAAAACTGATGCTGCCTATTCTCCTGTTTTCTCTGTGTGTTTTCTGAAATGGCCTTGCACACCTGCCAGACTGTCTGCCTCAGGGGCAAGTCCACCTCTTTGTTTTCACTTTTGCATGCCACGTGACTTCTTAAACACATACTCCCTGTAATTCATGTTCCTGCAGCTCTTGCTGCATTGGCATGGCAACAAAGACATGGGCTTCCTTGCAGGTATCCCCTGAGATTTATACTTGTTTTTACCCTACCAACTTGGATGACTTCCAACCCTTTCCCTGTCTCTTGGCACATTGTGGGGACAGACATTAATTGGAACCCTGGCTCTGCCAGCAACTTATGACTTGTCATATGCTTTTTGTTCCTGTTATGCTCTAGGGGTAAGTTTTTCAGTGGCTTTGGAAGCAGGTTTTTCACCTGCATAGGGCCTCACTCTGTGGCCCTTTAAAAGCCTCACATACTTGCTTTTTTTTGAGTTAGAACCCCTCGGGAAGGAGGCAAAGTTCTTCCTTTGCCATTTGTGAGTTCTTACTCCAAGCCCCAAGTTCTCTGGAGGTTACTACTTTATGTCAAGAGGGCAAATAAACCTTTCCCTCTAGAATCCAAGGGTTGCTGTTTTTGTGAGCATATGAAGGCTTCCCATGAGTATTCTTCTCACATCCTCCCACTTCTTCCTGTAGCCTCCATTACTCTAATCACTTCCATGCCCTTCTCAACATGCATCAAGAACTTCAAGGTCATATTCAAAGGAAGGGAAGTCCAGCCCCCTTGAGGCAGTTAGCTGACAAGCAGGCCTCTTTTTACTTAAAAAACATGGAAAATGGGAATCTGAGAAAAGATAATGATTTTGTTGCTAAAATGCTCCAAGTGAGAGTCACTATGAGTTCATGGAGACAAGGATATATACAGGCCAGCCCAAGGCCGTAGGCACAATAGACCCATAGCACAGAGACAAAGCTTGGTCCCAGACTAACAGATTACCATTAGAAAAGTGATGAAGGCAAGGTTAGGGGTATATGGTAAGACTGGTTCATTCTGGAACCCCAAGGATAAACAAGGAGCCCACTGTTCACTCCAGTATCTCCTCTGTTCCCAAGTGCATAATTGTGATGAGATGGGACCAAGGTGAAGGGTACATGGGAAGACCAGTTCATTCTGGAACCCTAAGGATGAATAGGGGATGCCCCATATAGGATAACAGGAAAGTAAGAGGGGACACCTCGTTTTTACTTTTTTCTCCTCTGTCCTCTCTTCACAGACAGGTAATCTTGTCTCGATACCACAGGACATGCCCCTTGGATGTATCTCCCCAAACGGAAAGATCTCCCCAAACCTTAAAACAAGAAACTACTTTTCCTTTGTAATACTATTTGGCTTAAAAATGAAAGGGGAGGAAATTACAAAAGTCAGCCTTGGAACCTAGTGCCACTGTGCAGGAGGTCCTCAGATTAACCTCTTCAGTCTTTCATAACTAAGAGCAGAATAAGGAGGACAGGGCTAAGGAAAAGGAGAAACAAAGGGAAAGGAGGTGAGCTCAACTATTGGCTGCTCTGCGAGCCCACTAGCCCCCTCCAGGTTGCCCTAAGGACACTTCTCCAGGTAACTACCATTGGTGCAGGAAGCCAGGGCACTGGAAGGCACTGCCCCAATGGGATAAAAGCTATGTCCATGGCTTGCCCCTTCTGCCAGAAAGTCGGCCACTGGAAATGAGACTGCTTCAAGGGCCAAACCACCCCTGGGACAGAATCCCAACTCCTGATGGCCTTGAGCTGAAGGGGCTGTCTGCTCTGACTGGCTTCCAAATCAGACACTGTCATCAACAGGACAAACTTGAGGGCAACTCTGGAGGTGGCAAGTAAACTTATAAATTTCCCTTTTGGGTTCAGGAGCTGCCTACTCTGTGCTAATCTCCTTCTCTGAGCAACCTTCCTCCAAATCCTGTCAGGTAATGGGGGAAATGGCACCCCCTCCCTCCAAAAGAAAAAATTCACATCCCTTTATATTACTTAAGGGACCAGTCCCTGGTGATGTCTAAATACCCAACACCTCTTTAGGGCAAAAATATATTTTCCATGATGGGTGTGTGCTTAATATTTACCTGACCTCTGAATTCATCTTTCTAATAGCTCTATTTCTCCTAGGAAAGCTACCTAAATCTTTAACCAATAACTTCATCTTGGACCGTCCTACCCAGTGGTATAGAAATAGCCCACACTTATTTGGACAAGCACTAGCAAAAATCTAACTGAGCAATCTCTTGGGGTGGGATAACTTCTCCAGTACAGTATGTAAATAACCTTCTCATTTGTTCACCCTTTACAGAACTTGCAAAGCAACATGCAGTACAAATCTTAACTTTCTAATGGAAGGAAAATGATTTTTGTTGAATTCAAAGGTTCTAAAGGCACGGAAGGTTATAAAGAAGAGATTTTATATAAAAAAGTATCTTATATGGGCCTGGCGCGGTGGCTCACGCCTGTAATCCCAACACTTTGGGAGGCCGAGGCGGGTGGATCACGAGGTCAGGGGATCGAGACCATCCTGGCTAACACAGTGAAACTCCGTCTCTACTAAAAAATAAAAAAAATTGGCTCATGCCTGGTGGCCCAGCACTTTGGGAGGCCGAGGTGGGCCGGATCACCTGAGGTCAGGAGTTCAAGAGCAGCCTGCCCAATATGGTGAAACCCCGTCTCTATTAAAAATCCAAAAATAAATTAGCCGGGCGTGGTCGTGGGCACCTGTAATCCCAGCTACTCAAGAGGCTGAGGCAGGAGAATCGCTTGAACCCGGGAGGTGGAGGTTGCAGTGAGCCAAGATCCCACCACTGCACTCTAGCCTGGGCGACAAGAGGGAAACTCTGTCTCAAAAAAAAAAAAAAAAAAAATTAGCCGGGCATGGTGGTGGGAACCTTGTAGTCCCAGCTACTGGGGAGGCTGAGGCAGAAGAATGGCATGAACTGAGGAGGCGGAACTTGCAGTGAGCCAAGATTGCGCCACTGCACTCCAGGCTGGGCGACAGAGCGAGACTCTGTCCCAAAAAAAAAAGAATCTGTTTTCTTTTGTAACAGGACACAATTGGAGAAACTGGTTATTTTACCAAGGCTTTGACTGGAATGGCATGCTTTTCTTTAAGGAATCAAAATGGAATTATGAAGCCAATAAAAGCTCCTTCGGAAAACTGCCCTCATACCTTGGCTACACAGTCCCTGTATGGGGTTCCTGGCCTGTGGTGAGTAAAGAATATCACTTTATAACAGGTCTAGAAGCCCCAAGTTATCTTGAGACCACAAGAGGAGAGAAATTTACCATGTCATACAGGTATTTGATGGTGCCAACCTAAGGCTTTAAAAAAGTCTTACCTGAAATTCCTTATGGAACACAGTTTCATTAAAGCCAATTTTAAAAGGAGTCTATATGGTACATAATTATTCTCACAGTGCTTTATGCAAATAACCACGCCAAGTATAATAAGACTAAAGCTTATATTGTGAACAAGTCAGTTCTATCATGATTTGTCTTTAATAAAACTGAGGACCGGAGAGAAAAAAAATCTGTTTCAAAAACTATGGTACACCTATTATTAGATTCTAGTCTCATGAGTTTTTGAGTTTTTGTCTGCAATTTAGACTAACCCTGCTTATTCCTGTGAACCAACCAGTGATCTCTGGCTGCAGCTCAGAAGAAATAAGACGGATGGGTAATGTAAAAATCTGGATCAATATTCTAATTCTGGGCACATATTGGAATCAGCTAGCAACCCCATGCACCCAAGTCTTAGCAGGCATAACTATAGCCACCAGCTACCTGAGCATAATGGCAGTCTCAGAATTTTTTGGAGCTATCATCACCCCCTTATTTTGGCTTGGCATTCTTCTAATTCTAATAATCCTATCTGTTTCCTCTCACCTTCAGGCCATCAAGCTCCAGATGATCATCAGTGAGGGATACTGTCCTCTCAATATTCAAGAGCCACCCATCTACAAAGGACCCCTAGACTGCTCATCACTGGGACACGACAGAGGCAAAATCCTGTCCCTGTCTCTCTTGGACATGGTTGGATACGGCTTTCACCAACTCATGGAATCAGCTCTGCCATGACAGCTAGTAAGAGGCCAAGACCTGCAGAACAATCACTACCACCCCTCCCTGTCAGCAGGAATCAGTTACAGAAGACTGACCTTCATCCATTTTCCCCAAAGAATTGGGGTACTGGACTCTTGAGGGGGAAAATGTTACAGTAGGTAGCTAGTCAGGCATAAGCAGGGCAGGAGACGGCCTAGCTTCCAATCTCACCACACATACAGACCAGGAATGTCAGGCAACCATCAGGTTATGGTCAGGTGATTGCTAACTGTCTCTTTAAAATAATAATTGGTCACAGCCAATGCCAGGGAAAGGCAGTCTCCCAATAAATAGAAACACCTGAAACTGGTGATCAGCAGCGTCCTGATAAGATCTCAGGAGTTTGATGAATGGGCTCAAGCTTGCACATTAAGAGGCAAAATTGTGGAATTTAACTAGTATATGGCCTTCCAGAGACATTTGACTGGTAAGGGAAGAATGCCTCAAATGAGCATGTATACAACTCCAGTAAACACACTGTGCATGCTCTCCTCTCAAGTGTTAGCAGGCCACTGCAAGTGCAGACAGCCCACCCAAGGGAAGAAACAGGGGAGAAGGGATGCAAGGCCTTGGAAGCATGCTAACGTATGAACCCTAAGCCAAAGGTCAAACTGCGCACTTGATCTCTCAAGTTGCCTGCTTTAGCCTCTTCCAAGGTAATCTCTCAAGTCACCTGCTTCACCCTCTTCCAAGTGTGCTTTACCTTCTCTCATTCCTGCTCTAAAGCTTTTCAATACACTTTCACTCCTGCTCTGAAACTTGCCTTGGTCTCTCCTTCTGCTTATGCCCTTCAGTCAAATTCTTTCTTCTGAGGAGGCAAGAGTTGCGATTGCTGCAGACCTGTATGGATTTGCCACCAGTAACAAAACTTTCAAAAATCAAAGACAGAGAATTTTGAAAGCAGCAAGAAAAAACATTTGTCCTAATTTCAAATTATATTAGAAAACTGTAGCAATCAAAGGAGCATGGCACTGGCATAAAAACAGACACACAGACCAATGAAAAAGAATAGAGAACCCAGAAATAAACCCACGCATATACAGTTAGCTAATCTTCAACAAAAGCACCAAGAATACACAATAGGGAAAGAATAGTGAAGGAAATTAAAATATTTTATCCAAAAATATATTTCTTTGACATATTTTTAAATGGCTGCTACTTGGCCAGCAGACAGAAGTGGCCTTGTGAAGCTATTCTAAGTGGGGGAAATTTGCATCTGTAGAGAATCTTCATTAATGAAGCCATATCCCCTCCCATTTCTATGCCTTCTCCCAGATCCAGGAGAGGTTGAGAGTCTGACACCTTTATTGTTTATTTATTTAAAACTTTTTCCTCCAATACTGACAGATGAACTGACACCTTTAAAAATCTGAAAAGAAACATTTACCATCTATTCTCTCTGAGGGAGGCTTCATCTACATAAAAAAGCCACCTTTGCCAGCCAAGACTCCTCATTTCTCTCTCTCTAAACCTGCCTTGCCACTAAGCCTGATTTACCTGTTTCTGGACATGCTCTGAGTCTGCATTCTTTACTGTGGCCTCAGGATAATATACACGTTTCCGTAACTCATTGGGAAGTTGGGCTTTTATTCTGAAGGCTCCCGTGGATGCATGTTAAATAAATTTTTATGCCTTTTCTTTTATTAATCACTCTGCCTCACATCAGTGATTTTTACCAAAGCTTTAGAGAGCCAAGAGCCTATGGCTCCCACAGCAGTCTCGTCTATAATTAGGCTGAGAAAACTGGATATCGACATATAAAAGAAAGAAATTGTACTCCTATCTTACACTATACACAAAAATCAACTCAAAATAGATTAAAGAGTTAAACATAAGACCTGAAAACAAGAAACTCCTAGACAACATAGGGAGAAAGCTTTCTGACATTGGTCTTGGTAGTGAATTTTAGATATAACATCAATAGCAAAGTTTACTAAAGCAAAAATAAACAAATGGAACTACATCAAACAAAAACTTTCTACACAGGAAAGGAAACTATCAACGAAGTGAAAAGAAAACTGACAGAATAAGGGGAAATATTTGCAAACCATATCTCAGATAAGGAGTTTCATGCGCGTCCGTGTGAAGAGACCACCAAACAGGTTTTGTGTGAGCAATAAAGCTTTTAATCACCTGGGTACAGGTGGGCTGAGTCCGAAAAGAGAGTCAGTGAAGGGAGTTAAGGGTGGGGCCGTTTTATAGGATTTGGGTAGGTAAAGGAAAATTACAGTCAAAGGGGGTTTGTTCTCTGGCGGGCAGGAGTGGGGGTCGCAAGGTGCTCAGTGGGGGTGCTTTTGAGCCAGGATGAGCCAGGAAAAGGACTTTCACAAGGTAATGTCATCAGTTAAGGCAAGGACCGGCCATTTACACTTGTTTTGTGGTGGAATGTCATCAGTTAAGGTGGGGCAGGGCATATTCACTTCTTTTGTGATTCTTCAGTTACTTCAGGCCATCTGGGCATATATGTGCAAGTCACAGGGGATGTGATGGCTTGGCTTGGGCTCAGAGGCCTGACATTCCTGCCTTCTTATATTAATAAGAAAAATAAAACAAAATAGTGTTGAAGTGTTGGGGTGGCGAAAATTTTGGGGGGGTGGTATGGAGAGAGAATGGGCGATGTTTCTCAGGGCTGCTTCAAGCGGGATTAGGGGCGGCGTGGGAACCTAGAGTGGGAGAGATTAAGCTGAAGGGAGGTCTTGTGGTAAGGGGTGATATTGTGGGGATGTTAGAAGAAACATTTGTCATATAGAATGATTGGTGATGGCCTGGATACGGCTTTGGATGAATTGAGAAACTATATGGAATAAGAGGAGAAAAACAGGTATAAAAGGTCTAAGAATTGGGAGGACCTAGGACATCTGATTAGAGAGTGCCTAAGGAGATTCAGCATAGTTCTGCCAGCAAAGATTATTTATTTACTTCAAGAGTTTAGAGTGGCAGTTTGGGGATAGCACCAGGCGATATCAGCTGTGATGGCTTGGAGAAACAGTGTAAACCGGCAGTGTAAACAAGAGCAGGGCATGTATGAGTAGTTGAGAACGGTGAATAGGAGTATGACTAACAGATGAGGATGAAATTTGGGCTTGACTGAAGTAATGGGGGCTGTCTGTGAAGCCTTGCGGCAGTACAGCCCAGGTAATTTGCTGAGCCTAATGGGTGTCAGGGTCAGTCTAAGTGAAGGCAAAGAGAGGCTGGGATGAAGGGTGCAAAGGAATAGTAAAGAAAGCATGTTTGAGATCCAGAACAGAATAATGGGTAGTAGAGGGAGGTATTGAGGATAGGAGAGTATGTGGGTTTGGCACCACGGGGTGGATAGGCAAAACAATTTGGTTGATAAGGCGCAGATTCTGAACTAACTTGTAAGCCTTGTCTGGTTTTAGGACAGGTAAAATGGGGGAATGGTAAGGAGAGTTTATAGGTTTTAGAAGCCTATGCTGTAGCAGGCGAGTGATAACAGGCTTTAATCCTTTTAAAGCGTGCTGTGGGATGGGATATTGGCGTTGAGTGGGGTATGGGTGATTAGGTTTTAATGGGATGGTAATGGGCATGTGATTGGTTGCCAGGGAAGGAGTAGAGATGTCCTATACTTGTGGGTTAAGGTGGGGGGATATGAGAGGAAGACGCGAAGGAGGCTTTGGGTTGGGGAGAAGGGTAGCAATGAGATGCGGCTGTAGTCCAGGAATAGTCAGGGAAGCAGATAATTTGGTTAAAATATCTCGGCCTAATAATGGAACTGGGCAGGTGGGGATAACTAAAAAAGAGTGCATAAAAGAGTGTTGTCCAAGTTGGCACCAGAGTTGGGGAGTTTTTAGAGGTTTAGAAGCCTGGCTGTCAATAACTACAACAGTTATGGAGGCAAGGGAAACAGGCCCTTGAAAAGAAGGTAATGTGGAGTGGGTAGCCTCCGTATTGATTAAGAAGGGGACGGACTTACCTTCCACTGTGAGAGTTACCCGAAGCTCGGCATCCGTGATGGTCTAGGGGGCTTCTGAGGCGATCGGGCAGCATCAGTCTTCAGCCGCTAAGCCAAGGAGTCAGTCAGAGAGCCTTGGGCCAGAGTTCCAGGGGCTCTGGGAGTGGCTGCCAGGTGAGTTGAACAGTCCAATTTCCAGTGGGGTCCCCGCACAGATGGGACACGGCTTAGGAGGAATCCTGGGCTGCAGGCATTCCTTGGCCTGGTGGTCAGATTTCTGGCACTTGTAGCAAGCTCCTGGGGGAGGAGGTTCTGGAGGAACGCCTGGGCACTTCGGTTTAGGCGTTTGGAAGTTCTTGTGTGCTGGAGATGTGGCTGGGGTTTGTCTCACAGTGGAGGCAAGGAATTGCCACTTTTTTTTTTATTATTGTACACCTTGAAGGTGAGGTTAAGTCCTGTTGCGGGGTTTGAGGGCCAGATTCTAATTTTTGGAGTTTAATGTTGGGAGCAGATTGGGTAATAAAATGTATATTGAGAATAAGATGGCCTTTTGACCTTTTAGGGTCTAGGGCTGTAAAGCGTCTCAGGGTTGCTGCTGAACGAGCCATGAACTGGGCTGGGTTTTTATATCTGATGAAAAAGAGCCTAAACCCTTCTGATTTGGGGTAAAGAAAAAGGAGCATTAACCTCGACTATGCCTTTGGCTCCAGCCACCTTTTTAAGAGTAAATTGCTGGGCAGGTGGGGGAGGGCTAGTCATGGAATTAAACCGTAAGCTGGACCAGGTGTGAGGAGGGGAGGCGATAAAAAGATTACAGGGTGGAGGAGTGGAGGCTGAGGAAGAATTGGGACCTAGCTTGGCCTGGCGAGGAGGGGAGAGGTCAGATGGGTCTGTAGAAAAGGAAGATTAGAAAGACTCAGCGACGCTTGGGGTTGGGACTGAGGGGACAGGCGGGAAGGAAGGAAGATTTGGGATGAGTTGCACTGGGCACAGAGACTAGGAAGGGACTGATGTGTAAAATAATGCCTGGACGTCAGGCACCTCAGACCATTTGCCTATTTTACGACAAGAATTATTCAGATCTTGTAGGATGGAAAAATTGAAAGTGCCATTTTCCGGCTATTTGGAACTACTGTTGAGTTTGTACTGGGGTCAAACGGCATTGCAGAAGAAAATAAGACACTTAGATTTTAGGTCAGGTGAGAGTTGAAGAGGTTTTAAGTTCTTAAGAACACAGGCTAAGGGAGAAGAAGGAGGAATGGAGGGTGGAAGGTTGCCCATAGTGAAGGAGGCAAACCTAGAGAAAAGAGAGTGTAGAGACACGGAGGGAAGGGATTTGGGGGTTCTTACCCTCCAGAAAAGCAGGGAGGGGGGTCAGGGCACGGAAATAAGGGATTGGGGCACAGAGATAAGAGGTTGGGGTGTGGAAATAAGGGATTGGGGCACAGAGATAAGAGGTTGGGGTGCAGAAATAAGGGATTGGGGCATAGAGATAAGAGGTTGGGGCATGGAAATAAGGGATTGGGGCACAGAGATAAGAGGTTGGGGTGCGGAAATAAGGGATTGGGGCATAGAGATAAGAGGTTGGGGCATGGAAATAAGGGATTGGGGCACAGAGATAAGAGGTCGGGGTGCAGAAATAAGGGATTGGGGGTTCTTGCCCCATAGAAAAGAGGGACTTGCCACCAAGGGTGAAGGAGAAGGTGTTGAGGGGTGCTTGCCCCTCCCCCAGAAAAGCGGGACTTGCCGCTAAGGGTGAAGGAGAAGGGGTTGAGGGGTACTTGCCCCTCCCCCAGAAAAGCAGAGAAGGGGTAGAGACAAGGAGAGAAGGGGTTGGGGTACTTGCCCTTTCCCCACAAAAGCAGAGAAGGGGTAGAGACAAGGAGAGAAGGTGTTGGCGTACTTGCCCCTTCCCCAGAAAAGCGGGACTTGCCACTAAGGGTGAAGGACCAAGGCAGGCTTCCCTGCGTGGTCTGACACTCTTGAAACGTGGGTAGATAATCAGAGAGGCATCCCTGCAATGATTAAACACCAAGGGAAGGCTGCCTTCCCAGTCCGTGACCGGCGCCAGAGTTTTGGGTCCACGGATAAAACATGTCTCCTTTGTCTCTACCAGAAAATGAAAGGAATTGAAATTAAGAGAAGGGAGAGACTGCAGTGTGGCGCCAAGATTGAAAGGAGAAAGAGGTTGACGGATAGTGAGGGAGGTTGGAGAAGACAGTAAAAAGAGGCCGCTTACCGGATTTGAAATTGGTGAGATGTTTCTTGGGCTGGTCGGTCTGAGGACCTGAGGTCGTAGGTGGATCTTTCTCACAGAGCAAAGAGCAGGAGGACAGGGGATTGATCTCCCAAGGGAGGTCCCTGATCCAAGTCACGGCACCAAATTTCTTGCGCATCCGTGTGAAGAGACCACCAAACAGGCTTTGTGTGAGCAATAAAGCTTTTAATCACCTGGGTGCAGGTGGGCTGAGTCTGAAAAGAGAGTCAGCGAAGGGAGATAAGGGTGGGGCCATTTTATATGATTTGGGTGGGTAAAGGAAAATTACAGTCAAAGGGGGTTTGTTCTCTGGCGGGCAGGAGTGGGGGTTGCAAGGTGCTCAATGGGGGTGCTATTTGAGCCAGAATGAGCCAGGAAAAGGACTTTCACAAGGTAATGTCATCAGTTAAGGCAAGGACCGGCCATTTACACTTCTTTTTGTGGTGGAATGTCATCAGTTAAGGTGGGGCTGGGCATATTCACTTCTTTTGTGATTCTTCAGTTACTTCAGGCCATCTGGGCGTATATGTGCAAGTCACAGGGGATGCGATGGCTTGGCTTGGGCTCAGAGGCCTGACAAGGAGTTAATATCCAAAATATATAATGAACTTGTAAACCAAAAATAAAATTCTAAGCTCCCCCAACTGACTGGTGGAGCTTCCCCTTGGCCAAGGGCATTTTCAAATTATCCTGAAAAACTAGTTCAGGGCATGATGGGAAGTGGGGGTCAGACATGCCTCACAAACATCAACAGAGAGACCTTAAGACTGATAGAACAGACTCTTTAAATCTGATAAGAAACACAGTCTATTCTCTCTGAAACCTACCTGTAGGCTTCATTTGTATCATAAAACCTTGGTCTCCACATCCCTTTATCAAAACCCAGACATTCCTTTCTGTTCTACTCCAGGTCTTTAGATAAAATCCCTTTCAACCAATTGCTAATCAGAAAATCTTTAAATCTGCCTCTGACCTGGTAGCACATGCTTTGAGTTGTCCTGCCTTTCTGGATTGAACCAATGTACATCTTACATGTATTGATTGATGTCTCATGTCTCCCTAACATGTATAAAACCAAGCTCTACCCTAACCTTGGGCATATGTTGTCAGGACTTCCAGAGGCTGTTCACAGATGTGTCCTTCACCTTGGCAAAATAGACTTTCTAAATTGATTGAGACCTGTCTCAGATACTTTTGGTGTACAAACCCATATAACTAAATAGCAGAAAAAAAACTGATTTAAAAATGGGAAATGACTTGAAGAGACATTTTTCCAAATAACACATACACATGGCCAACAAGTATATAACAAGGTTCTCAACCTCACTAATTTCAGGGAAATGCAAATCAAAACCACAACCAGGTATTACTTCTACCTGTTAGAATGGCTATTATCAAAAAGTTAAAAAATAAGTGTTATCAAAGATGTGTGAAAAGGAAACCCTTATCCACTATTGATGGGAATGTTAATTGGGAGGTTCCTGAAAAAAATTAAAAATAGAATTACTATATGATCCAACAATCCTACTGATACATATCCAAAGGAAATAAAATCACGACCTCGAAGAGCTACCTGCACTCCCATGTTCATTACAGCATTATTCACAAGAGTCAAGATCTAGAAACAACTTACGTGTCCATCAATAATGAATGGATAAAGAGAATGTGGTATATAATACAATGGAAAATTATTCAGCCTTAAAGAGAAGGACATCTTGGTTTATGTGACAACATGGATGCACCTGGAGGACTTTATGCTAAGTGAAATTACTCAGCCACAGAAAGACAAAAACTGCATAATTTCACTCATATGTGTAATCTAAAAAGTCAAAGTTATAGAAGCATAGTAGAACAGTGGTTACCTGGAGGTGTGAGGTAAGATAAATGGGGAATTTTTGGTCAAAGAGTACAAACTTTCAGTTATAAGATGAATATGTATGGAGACCTTATGTACAGTATGGTAACTATGGTTAATTAAAATGTATACTTAAAATTTGCTAAGAGAGCCAGGCATGGTGGCTTACGCTTGTAATCCCAGAACTCCGGGAGGCCAAGTTGGGCAGATCACAAGGTCAGGAGTTTGAGACCAGCCTGGCCAACATGGTGAAATCCCATCTCTTCTAAAAACACAAAAATTAGTTGGGCATGGTGGCAGGTGCCTGTAATCCCAGCTACTTGGGAGGCTGAGGCATGAAAATCGCTTGAACCCAGGAGGCAAAGTTTGCAGCGAGCCAAGATCGCACCACTGCACTCCAGCCTGGGTGACAGAGTGAGACCCTTTCTCAAAAAAAAAAAAAAAAATTGCTAAGAGAGTAGGTCTGTTTTTGTTTGTTTGTTTGGTTGGTTGGTTGGTTTTGTTTTGTTTTTTCAGACCGAGTCCTCTGTCACCCAGGCTGTAGTGCAATGGCACCACCTCGGCTCACTGCAACCTCTGCCTCCCGGGTTCAAGCAATTCTCCTGCCTCATCCTTCCAAGTAGCTGGGATTACAGGTATGCGCCACCACACCCAGCTAATATTGTTTTTGTATTTTTGGTAGAGATGGGTTTCACCATGTTGGCCAGCCTGGTCTTGAACTCGTGACCTCAAGTGATCCGCCCACCTTGGCCTCCTGAAGTACTGAGAGTACAGGTGTGAGCCACAGTGCCCGGCCTACAATTTTTATTTGTCAATCATATCTCAGTAAAGTGAGAGAAAAAAAAAGAACCTGAAAGAAACACAGCAACCCTGGCAAAAGGGCTGGGCCCAGAAACTGATCATGTTGCACTTACCTTTGATATCTGTAGTCTCTTGGGTACCAGCCCAGCAGAGAAGATGACAGGCAGAACTGTTTGTCAATGACATCCTAAGGAAAGCAAGTAGAAGAAACAAGTTACAAATTTATGGATTTATAAATCACATGAAGCCTGTGGACTTACAGGGATTTCCATTCATCTTTTTTTAAAACTTTCATTTTAGGTTTGGGAGTACATGTGAAGGTTTGTTATTTAGATAAACTCGTGTAACGGGGGTTTGTTGTACAGATTACTTCATCACCCAGGTATTAAATCTAATACCCGATAGCAATTTTGTTCTGCTCCTCTCCCTCCTCCCACCCTCCACCATCCAGTAGACCCCAGTGTCTGTTGTTCCATTCCTTTTTTGAGACGGAGACTCACTCTGTCACCAGGCTGGAGTGCAGTGGTGTGATCTTGGCTCACTGCAACCTCCGCTTTCCAGGTTCAAGTGATTCTCCTGCCTCAGCCTCCTGAGTAGCTAGGACTACAGGCACGCACCACCAAGCCCAGCTAATTTTTTTATTTTTAGTAGAGACAGGGTTTCACCATGTTGGCCTGGATGATCTCAATCTCTTCACCTCGTGATTTGCCCACCTTGCTGGGATTACAGGCATGAGCCACTGCGCCTGGCCATGTTGTTTCCTTCTTTATGTCCATGTGTTCTCATCATTTAACTCTCACGTATAAATGAGAACATGCAGTATTTAGTTTTCTGTTCCTGCATTAGTTTGCTAAGGTTAATGGCCACCAGCTCCATCAATGTTTCTGCAAAAGATATGATCTTGTTCTTTTTTGTGACTGCATAGTATTTCATGATGTATATGTACCCCATTTTCTTTTTACAACCTGTCATTGATTGTCATTTAGGTTGATTCTAGGTCTTTGCTATTGTGAATAATGCTGCAATGAACATTTGCATGCATGTGTCTCTATGGTGGAATGATTTATATTCCAGAAAGATTTCATGACATAGATGCCAAAAGCAATCACAACAAAAGCCAAAGTTGACAAAGGGGATCTGGTTAAACTTAAGAGCTTCTGCACAGCAAAGAAACAGACAACCTACAGAAGAGGATAAACCAACAGAGTAAACAGACAACCTACAGAAGAGGATAAAATATTTGCAGGCTATGCATCTGACAAAGGTCTAATATCTGGCATCTAAAGGGACTTAAATTTGCAAGAAAAAAAACAAACAATCCCATTAAAAAGTGGGCAAGGGACATAAACAGACACTTTTCAAAAGAAGACATGTGGCCAAAAAGCATATCAAAAAAAGCTCATTATCACTGATCATTAGAGAAATGCAAATTAAAACTACAATGGGATACCATCTCACACCAAACAGAATGGCTATTATTAAAAAGTCAAAAATAACAGATGCTGGCAAGGTTGCAGAGAAAAGAGAACACTTTTACACTGTTGGTAGGAGGGTATATTAGTTCAACCACTGTGGAAAGCAGTATGACAATTCCTCAAAAAGCTAAAAATAGAACTACCGTTCTGCCCAGTGATCCCATTACTGGGTATTTACTCAGAGGATTATAAATCATTCATCTTTTTATTTGGTTTCTTAAACACTTGTTTGTTCTCTTCCACTCTTTCCATATTCCCAACTGTAATCCCACAATCCCATTAAATAAACTACAGTTGGACTTTCTTATCGTCTTTAGTGATTTGTTTGTTCTCTAATTTGTCATAAAAGGGTAACATTTTCAACTTCTGTGCATGAAAAGCTCAAACATTAAGTTCATAATTATTTCAAAGGGATTTATGAGTGTTTCTCTAGGGAGCTGTTTTCAAAATAAGATAAGTGCTATGAATGGGATAAGAAAGATTACAGTAATTATGTTCATTTCTGAAAAAACTAAAAACTTGGCCGGGCAGAGGGGCTCCTCACTTCCCAGTAGGGGCGGCCGGGCAGAGGCGCCCCTCACCTCCCCGACGGGGCGGCTGGCCGGGCGGAGGGCTGACCCCCCCACCTCCCTCCCGGACGGGGCGGCTGGCCAGGCGGGGGGGCTGACCCCCCCACCTCCCTCCCGGACGGGCGGCTGGCCGGGCGGGGGGGCTGACCCCCCCACCTCCCTCCCGGATGGGGCGGCTGGCCGGGCGGGGGGCCGACCCCCCCACCTCCCTCCCGGACGGGGCGGCTGGCCGGGCAGAGGGGCTCCTCACTTCCCAGAAGGGGCGGCCGGGCAGAGGCGCCCCTCACCTCCCAGACGGGGCGGCTGGCCGGGTGGAGGGCTGACCCCCCCACCTCCCTCCCGGACGGGGCAGTGAGGAGTGTCTCTGCCTGGCTGCCCATCGTCTGGGATGTGAGGAGCCCCTCTGCCTGGCTGCCCAGTCTGGAAAGTGAGGAGCGTCTCCGCCTGGCCGCCATCCCATCTAGGAAGTGAGGAGCGCCTCTTCCCAGCCGCCATCACATCTAGGAAGTGAGGAGCGTCTCTGCCCGGCCGCACATCGTCTGGGATGTGAGGAGGAGATCGTCTGAGATGTGGGGAGCGCCTCTGCCCCGCCGCCCCATCTGGGATGTGAGGAGCGCCTCTGCCCGGCCGAGACCCCGTCTGGGAGGTGAGGAGCGTCTCTGCCCGGCCGCCCCGTCTGAGAAGTGAGGAGCCCCTCCGCCCGGCAGCTGCCCCGTCTGAGAGGTGAGGAGCCTCTCCGCCCGGCAGCCACCCCATCTGGGAAGTGAGGAGCGTCTCCGCCCGGCAGCCACCCCATCTGGGAAGTGAGGAGCGTCTCCGCCCGGCAGCCACCCCGTCCGGGAGGGAGGTGGGGGGGGTCAGCCCCCCCGCCCGGCCAGCCGCCCCGTCCGGGAGGTGAGGGGCGCCTCTGCCCGGCCGCCCCTACTGGGAAGTGAGGAGCCCCTCTGCCCGGCCAGCCGCCCCGTCCGGGAGGGAGGTGGGGGGGTCAGCCCCCCGTCCGGCCAGCCGCCCCCTCCGGGAGGGAGGTGGGGGGGGTCAGCCCCCCTGCCCGGCCAGCCGCCCCGTCCGGGAGGTGAGGGGCGCCTCTGCCCGGCCGCCCCTACTGGGAAGTGAGGAGCCCCTCTGCCCGGCCACCACCCCATCTGGGAGGTGTACCCAACAGCTCATTGAGAACGGGCCAGGATGACAATGGCGGCTTTGTGGAATGGAAGGGCGGGAAAGGTGGGGAAAAGATTGAGAAATCGGATGGTTGCCGTGTCTGTGTGGAAGGAAGTAGACATGGGAGACTTTTCATTTTGTTCTACACTAAGAAAAATTCCTCTGCCTTGGGATCCTGTTGATCTGTGACCTTACCCCCAACCCTGTGCTCTCTGAAACATGTGCTGTGTCCACTCAGGGTTAAATGGATTAAGGGCGGTGCAAGATGGGCTTTGTTAAACAGATGCTTGAAGGCAGCATGCTCGTTAAGAGTCATCACCAATCCCTAATCTCAAGTAATCAGGGACACAAACACTGCGGAAGGCCGCAGGGTCCTCTGCCTAGGAAAACCAGAGACCTTTGTTCACTTGTTTATCTGCTGACCTTCCCTCCACTATTGTCCCATGACCCTGCCAAATACCCCTCTGTGAGAAACACCCAAGAATTATCAATAAAAAAATAAATTTAATAAAAAAAAAAAAAAAAACAGGTGAAAAATTGTTCATTTCACCTGATGGGACTTACAAAAAAAAAAAAAAAAAAAAAAAAAACTAAAAACTTAATATCAGCGGAGTAACTTGGGGACTCACAGATGCAGTGTGTATCCTTTGAAACACATCTGTATCCCAGTTTCCTTGAATCCAAATATGATACTCTAAGCAAGCAGGGACTGGGTGGGAAGTGCAGGTTATTTTGTATGGAATGAACAAAGTCATCAATTTCTAGAGTTCAACACATGGTAGTAATTATTTTAGGGCCTCTGATTGAGGGAGGAGGGTCCTCACACTTCAGGAACCTGTAACTCTGTGAGGCAGGGGTAGAGTGGAATTGATATCAGCCTAACGAGCCCTAAAATATTCCTATACATGTATTCAGCACACAAACTAGCCCTAATTATTCCTGAGACAAGGGCTGGTGGCCTACCCTGCATCTTTCTTCTCCTAATGACAGCAGCAGTTGAATCACCTGGGCGTATGAATTTAAAAGTGCAGGTTTTTTAGCTCAATCCCCAGTAATTATTCTTCAGTAGATTTGGGGCAGATGGTCTGATACAGGTGGTCACTGGGCCAATTTCCTGACTTCTACAGGAACCACTACTTTGCTTCTCTTAATACATTTTGTCACTAAACACTATAGTTTGGTTTGGGCTGGTTTTTTTGAATTTTATATAAACAGAATTATACAGCATGTCACCTGGTTCAAAATGCCCAACATTATGTTTGTGAGATTACTGAGTGGAACCATAGTTTTTTCTTATTCATTACCATGCAGCATTCCATTGTATGACCACACTACTGTTGACTCTTCTGTCAATGAATAGTACTTATTCTACATTTTGCTTCTTTTAGTTTTTTTGGCTATTATGAAAAGTACTGCTAAGAACATTATTGTACGTGTCTCTCCACGTACATGTGAAAGTGCATTTCACTTGGAGTAGAATTGCTAGGTCTACAATATCCATAGAATCAACTGTAGAAAGTAAAACCAAACTTTTTCTAAAGAGCAATATCAACTTACATTCCTATCAGCTGTATATCAGAGATCTTATTGTTAGGCATCCTTACCAACATTTAGTAGGCTTTTTTTTTAGACTCAAGGGGTACATGTGCAGGTATGTTACATGAATATATTGTGTGATGCCGAAGTTTAGGCTTATATTGAACCTGTCACCCAAACAGTGAACTTAGTACCCAATAGGTAGTTATTCAACCCTTGCTCCCTTCCCTCTCTGCCCTCAGTGTCTACTGTTCCATTTTTATGTCCATGTGTACCCACTGTTTAGCTCCCACTTATAAGTGAGAACATGCTGTGTTTGATTTTCTGTTTCTGCATTAATTCACTTAACAGCTGCATCCATGTTGCTACAAAGGACATTATTTCATTCTTTTTCGTGGCTGTGTAGTATTCCATGGTGTATACATGCCACATTTTCTTTATCCAATCCACCACTAATCAGCACCTAAGTTGATTCCATGTCTTTGCTATGGTGAATAGTGCTGCAATGAACATATGAGCACATGTGTCTTTTTGGTGAAATGATTTACTTTCCTTCGGATATATACCCAGTAATAAGATTGCTGGGTCAATGGCAGTTCTATATTTAGTTCTTTGAGAAATCTCCAAACTACTTTCCACAGGAGCTGAACTAATTTACATTCCCACCAACAGTGTATAAATGTTCCCTTTTCTCTTCAACCTCATCAATATCTGTTATTTTTTGACTTTTTATTAGTAGCCATTCTGATTAGTGTGAGATGGTATCTCATTGTGGTTTTTGTTTGCATTCCTCTGATGATCAGTGATGCTGAGCATTTTCTTCATGTTTGTTGGCCACTTGTTGTGTTTTCTCTTGAGAAGTGTCTATTCATGTCCTTTGTGCAATTTTTTTTTTGAGACAAGGTCTCACTCTGTCACCCAGGCTGGAGTGCAGTGGCATGATCATAGCTCACTATAGCCTCGACCTACCAGGCTCAACCAATACTCCCACCTCAGCCTCCTGAGTAGCTGGGACCACAGACACATGCCCCCACATCTGGCTAATTCTTTTTTTGTGGGGGGTGGGAGCGGGGAGATGGGGTTTCCCTATGTTCCCAAGCTGGTCTCAGATTCCTGGGACAAACAGTCCTCTTCCTGCCTCGGCCTTTCAAAATACTGGGATTACAGTCATGAGCCACCACACCTGGCCCTTTGTGCACTTTTTGATGGGTTTGTTGGTTTTTGCTTGTTGATTTAAGTTCCTTGTGGATTCTGGATAGTAGTCCTTTGTTGGATGCATAGATTAAAAATATTTTCTCTCATTCTGTGGGTTGTCTCTTTACTCTGTTGATAGTTTCTTCGGCTATGCAGAAGCTCTGTGGTTTAATGAGGTCCCAATTGTCAGTTTTTGTTTTTGTTGTGTTTGCTTTTGAGGACTTAGCCATGAATTCTTCGCCTATGGCAATGTCCAGAAGAGTGTTACCTAGGTGTTTTCTTCTAGGATTATTATTATTATTATTATTTTGAGATGGAGTCTCACTCTGTCGCCCAGGCTGGAGTGCAGTGGCGCCATCTCGCTCACTGCAAGCTCTGCCTCCCGGGTTCACGCCATTCTCCTGCCTCAGCCTCCCGAGTAGCTGGGACTACAGGTGCCTGCAACCATGCCCAGCTAATTTTTTGTATTTTTAGTAGAGACGAGGTTTCACCATGTTAGCCAGGATGGTCTTGATCTCCTGACCTCGTGATCCACCTGCCTTAGCCTTGCAAAGTGCTGGGATTACAGACGTTAGCCACCGCGCCCAGCCTATTTTATTTATTTTTTTTACGGAGGTTTGCTCTTGTTGCCCAAGCTGGAGTGTGATGGTGCAATCTCAGCTCACTGCAACCTCCGCCTCCCGGGTTCAAGTGATTCTCCTGCCTCAGCCTCCCGAGTAGCTGGGATTACAGGTGCCTGTTACCACGCCCAGCCAATTTTTTTGTGTTTTTAGTAGAAATGGGGTTTCACCATGTTAGCAAGGCTGGTCTTGAACTCCTGACCTCAGGTAATCCGCCCACCTAGGCCTCCCAAAGTGCTGGGATTACAGGTGTGAGCCACCGCGCCCAGCCTCTTCTAGGATTTTTATAGTTTGAAGTCTTACATTTAAGTCTTTAATCCATCTTGAGTTAATTTTTTTTATATGGTGAAAGGTAGGGGTCCAGCTTTCTTCTTCTGCATATGGTTAGCCAGTTTTCCCAGCACCATTTAATGAATAGTATGTCCTTTCTCCTTTTTTATTTTTGTTGACTTTTTCAAAGATCTGTTGGCTGTAGGTGTGTGGCTTAATTTCTGGGTTCTTTATTCTGTGCCATTGGTCTATGTTGACACTTAATATTAATAGTCTTTTAAATTTTAACTTTTCTGGAGGGTGTTTAGCATAAGCTCTTTGTGGTTTTAATTTGCATTTTATGATTCCTAACGTGGTTGAGCACCTTTGGTATGTTTATCGGTTATTTGGATATCTTGGTTTATTGATTTAATTTTGAAGTCTCTTTCCTATTTTTCTAGTGAGTTGTGTTTTTTTGGTATTAATTTGTAAGAGTTTTTACAAATTCATATATATACACATATATGTATATAGATACATATATGTCTCATAGATGCAAGCCTTTTGTCAGTCACTAAGTTGAAAATATATTCTTCTCTGTGGCTTGCCTTTTTATATGCCCTTAATATTGTATTTAGTTGAATAGAACTACTTAATTTTAAGGTAACTCAAAATTTATCTAACTTTTTCCTTCTGGTTAGTGTTTTCTGTGTTTTGTTTAAGAAATCTTTGCCAACCTTGAAATCATCAAGATATTCTCCATATTGTCATCTAATGGTTTCATTGATTTGCCTTTTACACTTTGTTATTTAATTCATCTGAATTAATTTATTTGGAATTGAAAACCGCCTTTCTTTGCTACTCTGCTGTCTTTTTTTATGAATCAAGTACTTGTATATGCATGGGTCTGTTTCTGGCTCTTTATTCTGCTCCACTGGTCTTTGTTTATTCTTGTTTCATAAAAGCACCCTGCCTTAATTACTGAAGCTTTATAATATGTTTGTTGTTGGTAGAACAAGACCTCACCTTTTTGTTGTTGTTGTTTGTTTGTTTGTTTATTTATTTTGAGAGTGTCTCAGCTATTGCCTGGCTCTTTGTAGTTCCACATAAATTTTAGAATCATTGTGTCAAGTTCTACAAAAACACCTATTGGAACTGTATAAAATCTATAAATCAATTTGGGAAGAACTGACATTTTTACAATATCCTTGTATTAGTCCATTTTCACACTGCTATAAAGATACTACCTGAGACTGGGTAATTTATAAACAAAAGAGGTTTAATTGACTCACAGTTCCACATGGCTGGAGAGGCCTCAGGAAACTTACAATCATGGCAGAAGACAAAGGGGAAGCAAGGCACATCTTAAATGGTGGCAGGAGAGATAGAGCATGCTGGGGAAACTACCACTTTTAAACTATCAGATATCAGGAGAACACTTTCACTATCACAAAAGCAGCATGGGGGAACTGCCCCCATGATCCAATCACCTCCTACCAGGACCTTCCCTTGACATGTGAAAATTACAATTGGATATGAGATTTGGGTGGGACACAAAGCCAAACCACATCTATCATCTTTCAATTCATGAACATGGTTTGTATCTCCTTTTAGATTGCCTCTATTTTCTCTAATGTCTTCTGGTTTTCTGAGTGGAGATCTTGCACATCTTTGATTACATTTCTTTGCAGAGATGTGACCTATTTTAGCCATGTTGTAGGTGCTTTTTTTTTTTTTTTTTTTTAAGGTAGGATCTCACTCTGTCACCCAGGCTGGAGTGCAGTGGTACAATCATGGCTCACCTCAGCCTCCATCTCCCAGGCTTAAGTAATCTTCCCACCTCAGCCTCCCGAGTAGCTGGAACCACAGGCATATACCACCACCTGGCTATTTTTTTGATTTTTGCAGAGATGAAGTCTCACTATGTTGCCCAGGCTGGTATGTGGCATTTTTTACATCATTTTCAACTGTTACTGGTAAGCACTAACTTTTTAATTTCCTCTTTTAATTTAGATATTTATTAAAAGTTTATATCATGCGATGTTTTCCTTTATTATAAAAATCATGTGTGCTTTTTCTTTACTTAAAAATGTTTCTGCTCTCCCTCCCACCTGTATTACTTTTGTATTGCTGCTATAACAAACAAGTGCTCCCTATTTGTCCTGTGGCTTTCCATGAGCCCTGGCACAGTGCTACTCCATTTGAGAAGCATAACCTGACATGCTGCTGCTTTTTCACTCCAGAGTTTGTTTCTGTAACTGCCAATTCAGAAAGGAAAATCATTGCTTTTCAAACAATTTTGGACTATTCTGAAAGGCTCAGTTACAGTTATCACAACTTTTTCTCTTTTCTGGGTTTGTGTTCCCCCTAAGCAACAATGAGGTCAATTGAAGGAGTCCAAGACTGACACAGAAAAGTAAATTTTGTCCTCTAGTGAAAAGGAGATGTGAACCCTGAAAATTTGAGACATGTCTCAGTTAATTTAGAAAGTTTATTTTGCCAAGGTTAAGGATGTGTGCCTATGACACAGCCTCAGGAAGTCCTGAGGACATGTGCCCAAGGTGGTCAGGGCACAGCTTAGTTTTATACATTTTAGGAAAACATGAGACATCAATCAATATATATAAGAAGTACATTGGTTCGGTCTGGAAAGGCAGGACAACTTGAAGCAAAGGCAGGAAGACTCAAAGAGGGGAGGGAACTTCCAGGTCACAGATAGGTAAGAGATGAAGAGTTGCATTCTTTTGAGTTTCTGATTAGCCTTTCCAAAGGAGGCAATCAGATATGCATCTATCTCATTGAGCAGAGGTGTGACTTTGAATAGAATGGGAGGCAGGGTGGCCCTAAGCAGCTACCAGCTTGACATTTCCCTTTAGCTTAGTGATTTGGGGGCCCCAAGATTTATTTTTCTTTCAAAGGGGTAGAAGGAAACCGCCCCCCCCACAAGATCCAATGTCTTCTGAAAGGGTGACTCCTCAGAATCCCCTTAAGTGACATCAAGTTTGGTGTCAGGCTGCCATGTGGCAAGAATAGATTTTTCACCCTCTTCCAAACAGCATTTCCCATTGTTTTCTGATCATATAAGATCCATCTGGAGCACTTATTAAACATACATTAATCAGTGCTTCATTATGATAATTTCTAAGGAGAGTGACTTGAGAACTTTTATTTTTAAAAAGAACTTATCATTTTCATGATCAAACAAATGTAGTAACCAGCATTGCTCTCAAGGACTATCAAGGGGGTGGGAGTGATCAAGTTACAATGTGCAAACCTCACTGTTGTTTCCAGGGTTTTTTAGTTTTCCTTGAATATACACTCCTCAGATTGTTGTAAACCTTTGGTTAATTTTCAGAGTTTTGAAAAAGTTGACTTTGACAATTTGTGCAAGCAGTGAATATACAGAATGTACATCCCTCTGTATATACAGTTATATACAGAGGGATGGATATACAGGGAGCCCCTCTCTGCATTCTACAAGTTCTGTCCTTCACAAGTTTTCATTATTATTATGATTATTGTAAAATACACACAAGAGAAAATTTATCATTTTAGTTATTTTTAAGTGTACATTCAGTGAAAGTAAGAACATTCACAATGTTGTGCAATGATTACTACTATCCATCTCTAGAACTTTTTAGTCAACCCAAACAAAAACTCTATATTCATTAAACAATAACTCCCCATTTCCCCCTCTTCCTAGCCTCTGGTAACATGTATTCTACTTTTTGTCTGTATGATTTGCCTAGCCTAGGTACGTCACACAAAATTTGTCTTTTTATGTCTGACTTTATTCACTTAGCATAAAGCTTTCAAGGTGCATCCATGTTGTAGCATGTGTCAGAATTGCATTCCTTTTTAAGGCCGAATAATATTCCATTGTATGTATGTACCACATTTTGTTTATTTCTTTATTGATGTATATTTGGGTTGTTTTCACCTTTTGGCTATGGCTTTCACAAGTCTTTTATTTATCATACTTTATGTATTATTCAATTCAAAGATTGTTTTCTAATTTTCATTGTGATTTAATTTTTACTCATGGGTTATATGAGTGTACTGTTAAATTTCTATATATTTAGACATTTTCTAGTTTTGTTTTTGTCATTGATTTCCAGCTTACTAACACTTGTCATAAGGGAGGAGACCACCCCTCATATTGTCTTATGCCCAATTTCTGCCTCCAAAGAAAGAAAAAGTAAAAACTAAAAGGCAGAAATGAAATCCACAAGCAGACGGCCCGCCGCCACACCCTGGGCCTGGTAGTTAAAGATCGACCACTGACCTAATCGGTTATGTTAACTATAGATTACAGACATTGTATAGAAAAGCACTGTGAAAATCCCTATTCTGTTTTGTTCCGATCTAATTACCAGTGCATGCAGCCCCCAGTCACGTTACCCGCTGCTTGCTCAATTGAGCACGACCCTCTCACACACACCCCCTTAGAGTTGTGAGCCCTTAAAAGGGACAGGAATTGCTCACTGAGGGAGCTCAGCTCTTGAGACAGGAGTCTTGCCGATGCCCCTAGCCGAATAAACCCCTTCCTTCTTTAACTCGCTGTCTGAGGAATTTTGTCTGTGGCTTGTCCTACTACAGTCAGAAAACATACTCTGTATTATTTGAATTATTTGAAAATTGTTGCTTTTTAATGGCCTAAAATATGGTCTTTACAGCAGTGTGAAAATGGACGAATACAAGGATATTGTAAAAATGTCAGTTCTTACCAAATTGATTTATAGATTTTATACAGTTCCAATAGGTGTTTCTGTAGAACTTGACACAATGGTCAACCACAGAATGTATATTCTGTGGTTGATAGGTTCAATACTATAGCTATGTCAATTAGGACAAGTATCTTAAGTTGTTCAAACTTGGTTTGCCTTTATTATTTGCTTTTTTCCATCAGTTACTGACAGAGGTATGTTAAAATGTTCAACTATGATTGTGTATTTACTTATTTCTCCTTTTGGCTCTTTCAGTTTTACCTAATAAGCTTAGAGACTATGTTACTAGATGCAGACAAATTTGAGATTGCTATATCCTCCTATTTGGTTGTTAGAAAATGTCTCTCCTTAACCCTAATAGTACTTCCTGCCTTCTGACCATCCCATTTAAAGCCAGCCTTCCTCTCCATTCCCCAGCTTCCCCTGCCTCAATTTTTAAAGACTTTTTTTCTAAGAGCAGTTTTTCAGTCACAGCAAAATTAAGATGAACATACAGAGATTTCCCATAAACCTCCTGTCCCTTCAAATTCATAGCCTCCCCACTATCAACATCCCCCACCACAGTGGTACATTTGTTACAACTGATGAACCTACACAGACACATCAATTATCAGCCCAAGCCCATAGTTTACCTTAGGGGTTCACCTTGATAGGTGCGTAATGTTATCTCATTATTTTAATTTGTATTTCCCTGATGACATATGTTGTAGTGGGACATCTTTTTTATTTTTTGTTTGAGACAGAGTCTCGCTCTGTCACCCAGGCTGGAGTGCAGTGGCATGATCTTGGCTCACTGCAAGCTCCGCCTCCTGGGTTCACGCCATTCTCCTGCCTCAGCCTCCTGAGTAGCTGGGACTACAGGCACCCGCCACCAAGCCTGGCTAATTTTTTGTATTTTTAGTAGAGACGGGGTTTCACCATGTTAGCCAGGTTGGTCTCGATCTCCTGACCTCATGATCTGCCTGCCTTGACCTCCCAAAGTGCTGGGATTACAGGTGTGAGCCACCGTGCCCGGCCAGTGGGACATCTTTTTACATGCTTATTTGCCAACTGTGTATCCCTTTGGTGAGGTATTTTTTAAAGTCTTTGGCCCATTTTTAATTGGATTGTTTGTTAATTTAATTTTAAGAGTTCTTTGTATATTTTCGATAACAGTTCTTTTTCAAATTTGTTTCTTTTTCAAACAAATCTTTTTCAAATGTTTGTTATTTTGGATAAAAGTCCTTTGCAAATATTTCCTTCCAGTCTGTGGTTTGTCTTCTCATTCTCTTGACGTTGTCTTACTCAGAACAGATATTTTTAATTTTAATGAAATTCAGCTTATCCATTATTTCTTTGATGGATCATACCTTTGGTGTTGTATCTAAAATATCATTGCCATTGCCATACCCAAAGTCATTTAAGGTTTCTCCTGTTATCTTCTAGGAGTTTTATAGTTTTGCATTTTACATTTAGGTCTATGATCCATTTTGAGTTAATTTTTGTGAATGGTATAAGGTCTGTGTCTTAGTTAATTTTTTGGCATGTGGATGTCTAGTTGTTCCAGCACCATTTGTTGAAAAGAACAATATTTGCTCCATTGTATTGCCTTTGCTTCTTTGTCAAAGACCAGTCGACTATATTTATGTGTACCTATTTCTGGGCTCTCTATTCTACTTCATTGATCTGTTCTCTCACCAATACTACACTATCTTGATTACTTTGGCTTTATAGTGAGCATTAAAGTTGGGTAGTGTCAGTCCTCCAACTCTATGTTCTTCTTCAATATCGTGTTGGTTATTCTTGGTCTTTTGCCTCTCCATATAAACTTTAGAATTAGTTTGTTGATATTCAGAAACTAACCTGTTGGATTTTGATTGCAACTGCATTTAATCTATAGACAAATTTGGGAAGGGCTGACATCTTGATAATGTTCAGTCTTCCTATCCATGGACATGGAAAAATCTCTCCATTTGATTAGTTCTTTTTTGATTTCTTTCATCAGAATTTTTTAGTTTTCCTTATATAGACCTTGTACATATTTTGTTAGATTTATACCTAAGTGTTTAATTTTGGGAGATGCTAGTGTATATGGTATTATGTTTTTTATTTAAAATTCCACTTGCTTATTGCTCATATATAGGAAAATAATTGATTTTTGTATATTAACCTTGTATTCTGCAATCTTGCTATAATAGCTTATTAGTTCCGGGATTTTTTTTTAAAATTTTTTTATTTTTGCTGATTCTTTCAGATTTTCTATGTAGATGATAATGTCATCTGCAAACAAAGACAGTTTTATTTGTTCCCAATTTGTATGCCATTTCATTCCTTGTCTTGAATACAGAAAGAATCAAGACTTAATAATTTATACTTGAGCCACGTTCCTGTCTTAGGAATTCCAAAATGTGACCCTTCCCTTATTTTAACCATGGCAGACAACTGGGATTGACACCAATATTTCATAATAGCTTAAGGTCTGTATCACACTAATTTCATTCTCCAAATTCGGAATCCTTTTGATTACGTTTATAAATTTACATATCTGCGGTTAAAACTGGTTCAGAACCAAATGATCAAGACTTTTACCAAGTTTCTTCTATCTCACACAATATGAATATTCAATGTATGTGGTAAATAAATAAGATGAATAAAAAGTGTAATGTATAATGTTTTGTGTATTTTAGTACTTTCCTGACTTAACCCACTTTAAATGATCAGTCATTTTATGTTTTGTCCCAGTAATTCTCCTTGGACCATTCTGACTTTATAGCAATGTAAAATGTCTCTCTATAGCCTTATGGAATTTTAATCAAATAGCTTTTGCTCAGAACTTAAAAAGACATTTGTCCTTGGGGCTAAAATTAGCCATGAAAAAGATTAAAAACAAAGCAAATTTAGAATATAATCAGTACTTTCAAAATGAGCTCAATTTGTGCTTCATCTTCATTTATAACACTTGCTTCTTCTTAGCTTCTAATAGAATAAGAAATAATTGTGCAAAGAATATATTTACATTTCTGAGGTTCCAAAAACAGATGAACCTCACAAGCTCATGCTCTTTTGTGTTTTGCAATGTCACAGGCCGCCTTGGTTGGAATGATTCACATAATGATCACTCTCTGAATAGGAAAAAATTCCAGGTCCTATACATTTTCACCAGATGTCCTATTCCTGCATTTTTTTCAGAGTTATTAAATATAGTACCTTTTTTCCTACTCTGGTAAATGGATCTGTTTGGATACCATCTTTCTTTCAAACACTATTTTCAGACAGGACCTCAGCAGTGCTTAAAGACTCCTGTTATGGTTTGAGTGTGTCACTCAAAAGTTCATGTGTTAGAAATTTAATCCCCAATGCAATAGTTTTGGGAGGTAAGGACTAATAAGAGGTGACTAGGTCATAAGTGTGGAACCTCCACAAATAGATTAATCATATGAGCAGGTTAGTTATCTCAAGAGGAGGCTGTTTATAAAGCAAGTTCAGTTTCTGGTATCTCTCTCTATCATAAGTGCTCTCTTCCACCTTTCACCCTCTGCAATAAGATGAGCCTCACCAGATGCTGGCACCATGTTCTTGGACTACTCATTCTCCAATAACCCTGAGCCAAATAAACTTCTATTATTTATAAGTTACCCAGTCTGTGGTATTGTGTTATAGAAGCAGAAAATGGACTAAGACAACTTCACTACCTGGCCAAGATGAACCTCAAGTATCACAGAAAAAGTAGCAAAGGGATGTCCAAAGCTAATTAAGTGTCAATATACTTGAGAGTTATTTTAAAAATGCAGAAATTATACTTTGTTGGACTAAACCAGATAAGGCACCCAATTGAGAAGTACTTCTGAGACATTTTATCTTTAAGTACTTGTTTTGATGATTTGGAAAGGTCTGGATGGAAATATAACTAATATTTATCAGGGTATTATGTGGGTTATTGCTCTTATCTGAAGTTGAGGTTAATAATTCAACTGATTATCAAATATGTTCCAAGAATTTGGATAAAATATTTACCAATTAATATATACAGATGGATAGATTTCATAACAAGTCCTGACATTTTTCCACATCCCCACTTATACTTTCTCAAATGTACTTAGCTCCTTGCAGCTCCTTGACAGTGCTTGGGGCTAAATGGTTCTTTCTCCATGCAGTGTGCTTTTCCATTCCCCACCTCGCCTGCCTTTCAAACCAGCTTGGAGGAAACCTATTTTACTGAGCTCTCTTCAGACACACAACACTCCCTCCCTCACCAGACACCCACAAAATCTCCTTACTTTGTGCTGATTACTTATTTCCCTAGTTCCAGTCACTTTATAAACTGAAGTTAATTTTTTTGATTATGGGCTTATCACAGGGCCTGGCTTACAGAAAACACTCAGAAAATGCAATAACCACAGGTAGGGAGTAGGGAAGGATTTCATGAATTTCTTCCTCCTCTGAAGGAAGTTTTAAGCTCCTGAAAGCCAGAAAACCAAACAAGAAACAAAATGAAATTCTCAGGAGCACCTTTTTGCTGAAAAGAGAACCCCAAATACCCAAAATTTAGTCAAATATTCATATCCATATCCTTTCAGGACTAGGTAGTTATATGTAATTTTAGGAATACTAAATAGAGAATAGGATCATAATTTCAGCTGGTCACTGACATTTAGCTCTTCTTCCTGCTGACATTTACAAAAGAAAATACAGAGGGTTAAAGTCTATGAAGTCTCTCAGGGTCTACAATACCTCTTTCTTCTAAGAGCACTCTTGTCTATTTATAGTGATATATCCAGGTGCAAATTACAAAGAAATCTTACTGTTTACACTCAGGCTCATGCTGTCCTGCTCTAAAAGAAAATTGGCTGCACATGGACTTGTCCAGTTGTTTTTTCCGGTAACTGCCTGTGTATGTTGTCACGGAAGAATCTGACCATCGTGTTTCATCCTGCCAAGATGCTCCAGCCTTGCGTCTGATCAGATCAAACTCTTGAGAAGTAAGAGGGCTAAAGGGCAGAAGAATTTGTGGAGTCAAGTAGAAGTAGTGTGACATAACTACGAACGGCCTCTCTGGAAAACAACTTGTCAAGTCCTCTGCATAATGAAGAATTAATTTCCTTCTAGTAGCAGGAAGCAATTGACTGGGCTCACCAAACTTTGTGACTCAACAGTTCACAGAGTGCAGAAGCTTAACTGTCTTAGATATAGTTGCCAAGCAACAGATCACAAAATTCCACAAATGCTATCCCCTTGCCTCCCAAGGGAGGTAAATTTTAACTAACAAATTTGTAAGTTATATAACTTTCTGGATTTTGCTCTAAGAAATATGAAATATGCTGCTTCATAATTATGGCAAGAAAGCAGGTGGCAAAATTATTTGTATTTTACTGCTATCATGAATAAAGCAGTAATTCTTAATGATGGTGGTTCAAGAAGTGGAAACAAGAGATGAAAGAACAGTGCCAAGCATTCACTTCTCCTAAAGACCTCCAAGTGTCTGGAAGAGAACATGAACTGCTTGTAATGTCAACAATAGCAGGTGACTCAACAGCTTCTCATATGTCACAGAGTAGTGGTGCTCTGGCTGGCTGCACACTAGAGTCACCCTGGAAGCTGTTAAAATAAGCAGGAGTCCACGCCCCCACCACAGAGATTCTGATTTAGTTCATGTGGAGTAGGGCCCAGGCATCACTATTTGTTTAAAGCTTAATCCTGGAGGATTCTAAAGAGCAGCCAGGGTTAAGAATTAAGGTCATGGACACGGAAAAAACATTTGACAAAATCCAGCATCCCTTTAGGATTAAAACTTGAGGCAAAATTGGCATAGAAGGGACATACCTCAAAATACTAAAAGCCATCTATGTAAAACCCACAGCCAACATTATACTGAATGGGGAAAAGTTGAAAGCATTCCTCCTGAGAACTGGAAAAGGACAAGGATGTCCACTTTCACTACTTCTATTCAACATAGTACTGGAAGTCCTAGCCAGAGCAATCAGACAAGAGAAAGAAATAAAGGACATGCAAATCAGTAAAGAGGACGTCAAACAGTTGCTGCTCACTGATGATATGATCATATACCTAGAAAATCCTAAAGACTCATCCAAAAAGCTTCTAGATCTGATAAATGAATTCAGTAAAGTTTCAGGATACAAAATCAATGTACACAAATCAGTAGCACTGTTATAAACCAACAGCGACCAAGTTGAGAATCAAATCAAGAACTCAACCCCTTTTATAACAGTTACAAAATAAATAAATAAATAAAATACTTAGGAATACAACTTACAAAGGAGATGGAAGATCTCTACAAGGAGGCTGGGCACGGTGGCTCACGCCTGTAATCCCAGCATTTTGGGAGGCTGAGGCAGGCAGATCACGAGGTCAGGAGATTGAGACCATCCTGGCTAACATGGTGAAACCCCATCTCTACTAAAAATACAAAAAATTAGCCTGGCGTGGTGGAGGGTGCCTGTGGTCTCAGCTACTCAGGAGGCTGAGGCAGGAGAATGGCGTGAACCCAGAGGTGGAGCTTGCAGAGATGCCAAGATTGTGCCACTGCACTCCAGTCTGGGTGACAGAGCAAGACACCATCTCAAACAAAAATAAAATATAATAAAATAAAATGAAATAAAATAAAATAAAAATCTCTACAAGGAGGCCAGGCACGGTGGCTCATGCCTGTAATCCCAGAACTTTGGGAGGCTGAGGCGGGCAGATCACGAGGTCAGGAGATCGAGACATCCTGGCTAACACGGTGAAACCCTGTCTCTACTAAAAAATAAAAAAATTAGCCAGGTGTGGTAGCGGGCGCCTGTAGTCCCAGCTACTTGGGAGGCTGAGGCAGGAGAATGGTGTGAATCCGGGAGGCGGAGCTTGCAGTGAGCGGAGATTGCGCCACTGCACTCCAGCCTGGGTGACAGAGCAAGACTCCGTCTCAAAAAAAAAAAAAAAAAAAAGATCTCTACAAGGAAAACTACAAAACACTGTTGAAAGAAGTCATAGGTGACACAAACAAATGGAAAAACATCACATTGCTCAGGGATGGGTAGAATTAATATTGTGAAAATGACCATATTGACAAAAACAATCTATAAATTCAATGCAATTTCCATCAAAATACCATCATCATTCTTCACAGAAGTAGAAAAAACAATCCTAAAATTCACATGCAATAAAAAAAAAGTCTGTGCAACCAAAGCAAGACTAAGCAAAAAGAACAAATCTGGAAGCATCACATTGCCCATCTTCAAACTATACTACAAGGCTATACTTACTAGAACAGCATGGTACTGGTACAAAAATAGCCACATAGACCAATGGAACAGAATAGAGAACCCAGAAATAAAGCCAAATACTTAGAGCCAATTGATCTTCAACAAAGCAAACAAAAACATAAAGTGAGGAAAGGACACCCCATTCAACAAATGGTGCTGGGTAATCGGTAAGCCACATGTAGAAGAATGAAACTGGATCTTCATCTCTCACCTTATAAAAAATCGACTCAAGATGGATCAAAGACTTAAATGTAAGACCTGAAACCATAACAATTCTAGAAGATAACATAGGAAAAACTCTTCTAGACATTGGCTTAGGCAAAGAGTTCATGACCAAGAACTCAAAAGCAAATGCAACAAAAACAAAGATAAACAGATGGGACCTAATTAAACTAAAAAGCTGCACAGCAAAAAATATAATCAGCAGAGTAAACAGACAACCCACAGAGTGGGAGAAAATATTTGCAAACCATGCAAAGTTTGCAACAAAGTTCTTTGTTCTAGACAAAGGACTAATATCCAGAATTGACAAGGAACTCAAACAAATCAGCAAGAAAAAAACAAATAATCCCAGCAAAAAGTAGACTAAGGATACGAATATACAGTTCTCAAAAGAAGATATACAAATGGTCAACACAACGTGAAAAAATGCTCAACATCACTAATTATCAGGGAAATGCAAATGAAAATGAGATATCACCTTACTCCTGCAAGAATGGCCATAACTTAAAAATAAAAAAAAATAGATGTTGGCATGGATGTGGTGAAAAAGGAACACTTTTATACTGCTAGTGGGAATGTAAACTAGTACAACCACTATGGAAAACAGTATGGAGATTCCTTAACTAAAAGTAGAACTACCATTTGATCCAGAAATCCCACTATTGGGTATCTACCCAGAGGAAAAGAAGTCATTATTTGAAAACGACACATGCACACGCATGTTTATAGAAGCACAATCTGCAATTGCAAAAATATGGAACCAGCCTACGTGCCCATCAACCAATGAGTGGATAAAGAAAATGTGGTGTATATAGATACCATGGAATACTACCCAGCCATAAAAAAGAACGAAGTAATGGCATTTACAGCAACCTGGATGGAGTTGGAGGCCATTATTCTAAGTGAAGTAACTAAGGAATGGAAAACCAAACATCGTATGTTCTCACTCATAAGTGGGAACTAAGCTATGAGGACGCAAAAACATAAGAACTATATAATGGACTTTGGGGACTCTGGGGCAATGGTGGGAGGCAGGTGATGGATAAAAGATGATACATTGTGTACAGGGTGCACCAAAATCTCAGAAATCACCAGTAAAGAACTTATCCACGTAACCAAACCCACCTGTTCCCCCGAAAACTATTGAAATGTTTAAAAAGCACATTTCCTCTTTAAAAAGAGAGAGGGAGAGAAAGAGAGAGAGAGAATTAAGGTCATGGAAATGCCACCGTGAACTTTTTTATGTTGAGAAGTCATAGCATTTGATATTCTATTCACTTGAATCCCTCCATCCTTCACTAATAATTACTGTAAATCTGATTATTATGTTTGCCCATCCTCAGTTCTCCAGATTAAAAAGCAATTCATTGGCAAATCAAAATGAAATAAATCTTTCAACATTTGTTCTTTTTTTTTTTTTTTTTTGAGACAGAGTTTCGCTCTGTCGCCCAGGCTAGAGTACAGTGGCACAATCTCGGCTCACTGCAAGCTCCGCCTCCCGGGTTCACGCCATTCTCCTGCCTCAGCCTCCTGAGTAGCTGGAACTAAGGCGCCCGCCACGGCGCCCAGCTAATTTTTTGTATTTTCAGTGGGGACGGGGTTTCACCGTGTTAGACAGGATGGTCTCGATCTCCTGACCTCATAATCCGCCTGCCTCGGCCTGCCAAAGTGCTGGGATTACAGGCGTGAGCCACTGCGCCCAGCGTTTGTTCTTTTTTTTTATTAACTGTTGGGGCAGTAGTTCTCAACCCCCAGTGCTCATTCAAGTAACCCTCTGAATTCTTTATAAACACAGATGCCATGTACATTCCCCGATTCACCCCAATCAGAAGTACCCATTAGCAACTCTGCAAGTGGAGCTATCATTAAGTGCTGAAAAAAAGCATTTTGATAGATGATTTGATCCGCACCAATAGGGCCCATTAAACTGGCAGAACTCTCAGCTCTACCTTCAGAGAGTGTAGGTCTGAGGTAAAGCCCAGGGATCTGCATTTTCATATTGTTACATGCTTCTGCTGCAATTGGTCTTTGAATACAAGTGACGCTGCTCCAGGGATTGAATTTAAAGTCTTTTCAAGTCAGGCTGACACACTATATGGTATGTTCCTCTGAGAATGAGATTATTTGCAAATACTTATTAGTATGTTTCCTTATGGTTCCTTCCTTAAAATGTTGAAATTTGGAACATAAGCACCTTTGCCCTAGAAAAAGAATTAGGCAGATGTTGGCAGACTTAGCTGCTTTTTATCATGGAGTGGAAGATTTTTTGGAGAAATCCAGATGAGATAAAAACATGACAGAAGCCAGGGGTGGTTGCACACACCTGTAGTCCCAGTTATTTAGGAGGCTGAGACAGGAGGATCACTTGAGCCTAAGAGTTCGAGTCCAGCCTGGGCAACAGAGTAAGACTCTATCTTATTTTTTTTTTTAAAAAAGATGATGAAGATAAAGAATGAAGGAGAAAAAGGAACACTGGGCTATCCAGGTCTTTTTAACCCATTCATTATCAGGTAGTGGCTGCTTGAGGAAAACTCTGCCAGCAATATGTATTATTTTGAGACAGGAAAATAAATAGATAAAATTGTGAAAGATTATTTGTAAAAAACGTTTTAAAATTTTCCTCTCAAAGTATGTGTTAGTCTATAAATGAATATGGAATAAAATAAGGTCTTTTAAAAATACATTATAGTATCAGTGTGCTTTGTTATCACTTTCCTGTCCTCTATAATATTTTACTTTTCCCATAATCAGTTATGATATCATTTTAACAATTATAACCTCAAAAACCAAAAGCAGTGAAACTTAAGGGAAAATGTCTACTCTTGGGTTTAGATGGAATTATGACTTAGTTCAGCAGTCCACTCGATGTTGAACAAGTCTGTTAAAAATAAATTGGACTGGCTGGTCACAGTGGCTCACGCCTGTAATCCTAGCACTTTGGGAGGCCGAGGCGGGCAGATTGCCTGAGCTCAGGAGTTCATGACCAGCCTGGGCAACATGGTGAAACCCCGTCTCTACTAAAATACAAAAAATTAGCTGGGCGTGGTGGTGTGCGCCTGTAATCCCAGCTACTCGGGAGGCTGAGACAGGAGAATCACTTGAACCTGGGAGGCGGAAGTTGCAGTATTGTGCCACTGCACTCCAGCCTGGGCGACAGAGCAATACTCTGTCTCAAAAAATAAAACTAAATTAAATTAAAATAAAATAATAAATTAGATTTCCAATTAGAGAATAAGTTAACAGACTAATTGAATTTATTATCATAAGTGTTTATAATAATTCTAGAGGACCTCATGCTCATTCTTTGTTCTGCACATTTTATCAGATACGTTCCTTCTCATGGGCACTGACTTGTATAGTCTGACTTTCTGGTTGGAAAATCCGCACTAAAATCTTCCCTTTTGTAACTGATTTATGGCAAGCTGTACTGTTTATTCATCAGTGTGTTAAGTATGACAAAAAAAATCAAGAGCACTGTGACAACAAACTCTAGGTTGTGAGCGTGATTTCGTGAAAATAGGAGTTTAATGAGTGACCTCATACCAAATAAAACTAGCAGGGGTTGTTCATTTCACCTGGTGCATGGGAGCCTTTGGTGACCTGGTACTGACTAGGCTTCTCTCTGAACATAAGCTGATTATTCTAATGAGATGTCAATAGGTATTAATTAAAAGGGTTTCATGGTAAGTAAGTTTAGAACAATTTGGGATAAATACGTTTTTTGTTGTAAGACTTCTCAGAGCCTTTAATGTCTGTTTGCATTGTGCGTCTTTCAAAGTGGCCTAGATTGTGCAGCATTTCTTAAACTTATTTGACCACAAAACTCCTTTTGTCACAAGCATCTCTGAGGATTTCTATTCTGTAGAAGAACCCAGGAACAGGAAAGGCCAGAGGTCTCTGTAGCTGACACAATGGCTGGTCTGCAGTTTCTGAAAGTTACTAGATCTTGACTAGATCACCAGCTTAAAGTACTGATAGCCTGCCAAAAGGGTGGATCAAGCCGTATTTTGTTAAAAAAAATTTAGAGATAACATCGAAGAGTAAAGTACACACATATATTTTACATATGTCCTTACCCGTGTAACTGTGACCCATATTCAGCATGCTAAAATGTTGTTCTGTGTTCCTTTCCAGTCAAAACAGCACACACACACACACACACACAGACATGTGTGCGCACACACACGCACACACGCACAAAACACAACATCTGGTAACCACTAATTCAATTTCTATCACCACAGACTAGGTATGTCAGGCTATATCCTGTGAAGGCAGAAGCTTATTGATATCATCACAAGATGAAACCTAGGAAGATACCAGATAAAGACCAGAGAAAGCAGAATGCCCTTGAGAAAAAAATCCCATAAGATGCTGAAATTTCCATCTCAGCCTGAATCCATCTGCTCCTCATAAGGTGCTGATAAGTTCTGATATTTGGATGAGTGTGGTTACGTACCTTAATGAGTACACATAATGTGTTACAGTTAATAACCGAGTCTGTCAATTACAATAGTATTAATTCTTAGTCCTTGATCTTGGAATAGTTTCTTCATGCTTACTAACCAATTGTGTGATTTGGAAATTTTTAGTAACTTATCAAAAACTGAGTAGTAGATGGCCTAAAAGACACGGGATACAAGGAACCAGTTACAATAAGACTTGATGGAAATAAAAGAAGGGGAAACTGCAAAGGAACAGGAAAAGGAAATTGATAAAATTTGTGAGTGAAAGACCAAAAGGAAGGATCTTTTTTCATTGATTTCCTGAAATTTATTTTTGGTTCTGTTTACCATTCAAAAACTGAAACTTATTGTCAACAGTGTATATGTTGTGATCCCAATTTCACTTAATAAAAAGTGTGTGTGTGTGTGTGTGTGTGTGTGTGTGTGTATTTTAGAAGAAAAGGTCTAGAAGGTTATATATAAATGTTAATACTTATTTTAGCTGAGTGGAAAAATACACATGATTTTTACATCATATATTCTTTTATTTTTTAAAAAAATTTACAATGAATATATGTAACATAATCAGAGTCAAAATGTTATTTTACAAAAGTTAAAGCAAATTGAATATATCAACATATAATCTGTATTAGGCTATTTTATGTTGCTATAAAGGAATACCTGAGGCTGAGTAATTTATAAAGAAAAGAGATTTAATTGGCTCACGGTTCTGCAGACTGCACAAGAAGCATAGTGCCGGCATCTGCTTCTGGTGAGGCTTCATGAAGCTTCACTCATGGAAGTGGAAGAGAGAGCAAGCACGTCACATGACGAGACAAGGAGCGAGAAAGAGAAGTGGGGGTAGGTTCCAGGATCTTTTCAACACCAGATAGACTGTAAACTGATTATGGCAGGGCAGGCCCTAAGCCATTCATGAGGAATCTGCCCCTATGACCCAAACACCTCCCAGGATGCCTGACCTCCAATTTTGGGGATCACATTTCAACATGAGATTTGGAGGGGACAAGTATTCAAGCCATATCATAATCAATCACTCACATCTTGCAAGAAATCTCTTGGGTTTGCATTTACTTTTCCACTTCCTTCTAGAATCCAGGCCTTAAGAAAAAAAAACTCTGAGGCATAGAGATTGGAACCAATTCAATCAAATATGATACTTCTGAAACTTTCTTTCCTTTTAGTTCTGGGTCCAGTAATCAGAGGTAGGAGAAAATAAGGTATACAGCTCTTTAGTGAGTGTGTGTGTGTGTGTGTGTCTGTGTGTGTGTGTAATGGGTGGGGAATAGAGAATAGGGAAATAGGGTGGAAAGAATATGAGTCCACTGAGGAAAAGACCAAGGTATACATGTGAGGAAACTTGAATGGTTGTTCTTTTTCAAGAAAACCCTGTCTATTCATAAATACCCATGATGAAATAGTCCACAAATTGTGTTCACAAATTGTGCCGTACACTCTCAGGCGAATAAGCCAAAAGGCTCATAATAATTGAAGCTAAAAAATAATCGAAGCTGAACACGGTAGCTCATGCCTGTAATCCCAGCATTTTGGGAGGCTGAGGTGCGCGGATCGCTTGAGCCCAGGAGTTGGAGACCAGCCTGGGCAACATGGCGAAGCCCCCTCTCTACAAAAAAATACAAAAATTAGCCGGGCATGGTGGCACATGCCTGTAGTCCCAGCTACTCGGGGGACTGAGGTGGGAGGATCACCTGAGCCTGGGAGCTCGAGGCTGCAGAGAGCTGAGATCAGGCCACTGCACTCCAGTCTGGGTGACAGAGCGAGATCCTGTCTCAAAAAAAAAAAGATTCATAATAATGGTCAAGGCTTCATGGATATCCTAGTGGTAACCCTGGGATAAACAGCACATAGTAATAGCTGATTTTGTCAGGTCACCTGGGGAGGGAGTGGGGGAAGTTGACTCACAAGTGGAGCTGGCCCATTTTTCCTGTACTATAAAAGTAAGCCAGTCCTATACAATTCTGCTTGTACACCAATCTCAGTCTCCTATATGCAAAACATTATTGGGAAAAGCAAAAGTCATTTAGAAGGATGTCTTAAAAGATATTTCAAAGTATTCTTGTTTAACTAACCTGAGTCTCATGTATACAATAATAATAATAATTGATAAATATAGAAGCAAATTACTTACACTTTCCAGGCACATTTCTTAGACTTTAACATTCATTTAATCCTCACAGCAACCCTATGAGAAAGGCACCATTATTGTCTTCATTTTGCAGAGGAAGAAACTGATCCATAAAAGGTTTACCCAAAGTCACATTGCTAAGAAGCAGTAGAACTGGGGTTGAAACTCAAGCAACATGGCTGCGGAGTCTGGACTCTTGCCTAGTGAATACTCCATCTGTCTCTCACCCTCCACCTATCTCTGCCCTGGCTTTCTCTGGTCCCACACTTGCTGACTATTCCCCTTCTTCTTAGAACAGTCCAAAAGCATCTCTGACAACCCATATATGACTGGATTTCATATTCAAAGAAGCTCCTAATCATGACCTAATAAATAAGTCCTGCAGAGAAAGACCAAAGAATGACATTCTTTATTTATTTTTAATGCAAATTGCCTTGTGTTCCCACTTGTTTACAGGAAAGAAGTGTACAGTCTCTTGTTACATGCATCATTGAAATACTTTGAAGATTCTGAAACCAAGTTTAAGAACCACACATCAAATATTATCAATTAAATATTAACAAGCAAAACCCTCACAACCCCAGAAATTATTCAAACTCAGAGGAAATATTCTAGAAGGCTATCACCCATGGTATATTTGCTAACTGGAATCCAAAAAAGTTCTCTGTTAAAGAGGAATTAATCCTAGTGAATTACAGTTTCTTAATGCTTGAAGACAAAAAATAATAGATAGATGAACTCCTCATGGCTTTAAATAAGTTGAATTCTACCCGGAACCTCATGGTAGAGGGTGGAGAAAGCCATGAAATAAAGTTGCTAAAATAGGTATTGTGTGAATGTTGGTAAACAGAGACCAGAGGATAAATCTTCTTGAAGTTTAACAGACAGACCCTTCATTCCCTCCCTATTTACCAAGGGAGCTTATTTGCCTATGTTGGTGGCTTAGTCAAATACATATCCAAGTTTGACTCTCCTTATCTCTTTTCTCACTATGTGCTAATTTGGGATCCAAAAGTTTCTAAGGATGCACAGAAAGAATGTGCCAGGACCTGGGAACAGACGATCCTAGAATGACCAAGGTTAATACTTCACCCCATGTCCTTTGGACATTTAGTCTGCATGGTGGCAGATTTATAATGTGCACTGGTATTTACATACCTGTTTCTGAATTTCCAGAGGTACACTGAGAGATGCTTTGAGCTAAGACACGCAATGTTTTGTTCTACAAAAATGTGAGTATCCTGACAAATGCCATTTTAGGGTATTTGGAAAATTGCATTAATTCAATATATTACTGCCCTTTGATTTGTCACTCTCTGAAGGGACTGTTTAATCTATGGCTTTGTCTCTTTGTCTCTGTGTCTACATATTAACTTTGCTCAGAATTTGTTCATTCATCCATTCATTCAATAAATATTTATTGTGCATCTACCTTGGGCCACTGAACAGCACCATTTATTATTTCCTGCCATACTGATCTACTTTCTCTTTTTTTGAGATGGAGTCTCACTCTGTTGCTCAGGCCGGAGTACAGTGGCACGATCTCCACTCACTGCAACCTCTGCCTCCCAGGTTCAAGCAGCTCTCCTGCCTCAGCCTCCTGAGTAGCTGGGATTACAGATGCCTGCCACCATGCCTGGCTAATTTTTGTATTTTTAGTAGAGACAGGGTTTCACCATGTTGGCCAGGCTGGTCTCGAACTTCTGACCTCAGGTGATCTGCCCACCTCAGCCTCTCTAAGTGCTGGAATTACAGGCTTGAGCCACCGCGCCTGGCCTGGTCTACTTTCTACAAATACATTTGAATAATATATACTATACCCATGGCATTTCCTCCTGCCACCCTGCTTAGGATTAATTCACTAATCAAGAGCCATTTAAGTAGAAAACTGTAAAAAGGCAGCATAAACAGCATACAAATTTCACTGGGTATACTTTCTTGATGTTGGAAAGTAGGTAAATTATGTGCCGTGAAGTATCTGTTGTTGTTTTGAGACACCAATACGTAGTACAATTTTTGAGCAAATTATGAAGATATTATTTTGAGCTAAAAATTTATAATGTAAATGCCATATGATAGAGCTTGATGCTAGAGAAGGTGAATGCACGTTATAAAAAGTTGAATAGAACTGAAATGAGTTTTATAATAGCAGAACACTTTATATACTATGCCTTTTCCCCACTCTCTGGTGAGTGTCAGACATTATCTCCTCAAGGCAGAATAGCTTGAGTGGCCAAACATTTCATAATGGCTTTTCTGTTGCTCATCACTAATTTTTTTAGAATGTCTCTAAAATTTCCTGAGCCCCTCTTATAGGGGAACTCAACCTCTCAGACTTGTAAACTTTAGGTATTTGGAATATTCAAAGCCCAATACTGAATTTAAGGCCAAGATGTGATATAAATCGTCGGATATAAAAGGAAACAAAGTACCCGGATAAGAAAAATACCAGGAATCTCATGTGTTCCTTTCATTGTATAGGTTTCCAAGGTGCTCAGGGAAGCAGAATTGGGAGGTGAAGGAGTATATTCTTATTTGGGCAGTGGGGATTGGCAGGGGTAGTTATAAAATCTTTGTAGAAGTTTCTCTCTCTGAAGCAGGCTCAGATAGTTTGACAGCTGTGTTAGTTCCCCAGGGTTCCAATTTCTTCACATCCTTACCAACACTTTCTGTAACTGTTACCATTACTTTCTGTTTTGGTAGTGGCTATCCCAAAGGGTGTGAGGAGATATCTCAGTATCTCACTGTGGCTTTGACTTATATTTTTCTGATGATTAGTAATGTTGAACATCTTTTTGTATGCTTACTGGCCATTTGTATATCTTCTTTGGAAAAATGTCTATTTAAGTATTTGGAATATTCAAAGCCCAATACTGAATTTAAGGCCAAGACATGGTATAAATTGTGGAATATAAACAGAAGCAAAAAGGCTGCCATTAAGAAGTACCACAAACTAGATGGCATAAAACAACAGAAATTTATTATCTCTCAGTTGTGGAGGCTGAAAGTCTGAAACCAAGGTGCTGGCCGGGCCATGCTCCCTCTGAAACCTATAGGAGAATCCTCCTTTGCCTCTTCCTAGTTTCTGGTGTTTGCTGGCAACGTTTGGTGTTCTTTGGCTGGCAGCTGGCTGCATCACTCCAATCTCTGCCTTCATCATCACATGACATTTTTCCTGTGTGTCTTTGCCACATGTTGCCTTCTTACAAGGACACCAGTCCTATTGGATTAGAGGCCCACCCTACTCTAGCATGATTGCATCTTAAGTAATTACATCTGCAACAACCTTATTCCCAAATAAGATCATACTCTGAGGTACTGGAGGTTAGAATTCAACATATTTTTTGGGTCACAAGCAGTAATATATATATATATATATATATATATAACAACAGTAATAATATATGACAGGCAATAAAATGTTCTGAGATTCATTGAGAAAAATGGTTTTTGTGTCCTCTATTATTTTAAGAGCCCCAAGTGACTGGAGCTAGTGGGAAGAAAGTTTCTGGCACCAGTAACACCACTGGTTTTGCAAAAGAGGTGGTGTGATTTCTCAGATTCTTGATTTGAAATAAAGATGTAGTATGTGTAGCAGATCTCTAGGAAGCAATGACATTTCTAGAATTAAATAGACTGATAACTTTAGAAGGGAAGAGCAGGAATAATAATAGTAATTTAAAGGTCTATATGCAAACCATATATCTGATAAGGGGTTAATATTCAGAATATATAAAGAACTTCTACAACTTTATAACAAAAAAACAATAACTTGATTAATAAATGAGCAAGGGAATTAAATAGACATTTATATACAAATGGGCATTAAGCATATAAAAACATGCACAACATTACTAATCATCAGGGAAATGTAAGTCAAAGCCAACACTTTACACCCTTTAGGATAGCCACTACCAAAACAGAAAGTAATGGTAAGAGTTACAGAAAGTTGGCTAGGCGCGGTGGCTCACGCCTGTAATCCCAGCACTTTGGGAGGCCGAGGCAGGTAGATCGCCTGAGGTCAGGAATTCGAGACCAGCCTGACCAACACGGAGAAACCCCATCTCTACGAAAAATACAAAATTAGCCGGGTGTGGTGGCACATGCCTATAATCCCAGCTACTCGGGAGGCTGAGGCAGGAGAACCGCTTGAACCCAGGAGGCAGAGGTTGCAGTGAGCCGAGATCGTGCCACTGCACTACAGCCTGGGCAACAAGAGCAAAACTCCATCTCAAAAAAGAGAAAAAAAGAGTTACAGAAACTGTTGGTGAGGATGTGAGGAAACTGGAACCCTGGTACACTGTTGGGAATGTAAAATGATGCAGCCATTATGCAAAACAGTATGGAGGTTCCTCAAAAATTAAAAATAGAACTACCATATTGATCCAGTGATATGGTTTGGCTGTGTCCCCTCTCAAATCTCATTTTGAATTGTAGTTCCCATAATCCCCACATGTCGTGGGAGGGACCTGGTAGGAGGTAATTGAATCATGGGAGTGCTTACCCCCATGCTGCTGTTCTCATGATAGTGAGTGAGTTCTCACAAGATCTGATGGTTTTATAAGGGGCTTTTCCCTCTTTGCCTGGCATTTCTCCTTGCTGCCATCATGTGAAGAGGGATGTGTTTGGTTTCCCTTCTGCCACGATTGTAAGTTTCCTGAGGCCTCCCCAGCCATGTGAAACTGTGAGTCAACTAAACCTCTTTCCTTTATAAATTAGCCAGTCTTGGGCAGACTTTATAGCAGCATGAGAACGAGTAATACATCCAGCAATTCCACTTCTAGCTATATATCCAAGAGTTAAAGATAAGGTTTCAAAGAGGTATTTGCACACCCAGCATTATTCACATTTGTAGCACCATTCACGACAGTCAAGAGGTGAAAGCAACCTGTTTATTGACAGATAAAGGGATAAAGAAAATATGGTATGGACAAACAATGAAATATTATTCAGCCTTAAAGAATGAAATCCTGTCATAAGTTACAACATGGATGAACCTAGAGGATGTTATGCTAAGTGAAATAAGCCAGTCACAAAAGACAAATACTGCATGATTCCACTTACATGAGGTAGCTAAAATAGTCAAACTCATAGAAATAGAAAATAGAATGGTGGTTGCCAAGGGCTGGGGGAAGAAACAGTGGGAAGTTTGTTCAGTGGCTATAGCATTTCAGTCATGCAGGGTGGGGGTGGTTCTGGGCATCTGTTGCACAACAATATGCATGTGGTTGATGCTTTTGTATACTTGGAAATTGAAAGGGTGAATTTTATGTTGTTTGTGTGTTTGTTTTCTAGAGAGGGTCTTGCTTTGTTGTCCGGGTTGTAGTGTAGTCCAGAGATCATATTTCAATGCAGACTTGAACTCCTGGGCTCAAGCCAACCTCCCCACTTCATCCTCCCAAGTAGCTGGGACTACAGCCATGAGCCACCACACCCGGACTAAATTTTGCTTTGTCTTGTGTAGAGATGGGCTCTTGCCATGTTGCCCAGGCTGGTCTTGAACTGTGGCCTCAAGTGATTCTCCCACCTTTGCCTCCCAAAGTGCCAAGATTACAGGTGTGAGCCACTGCACCCTGCCTACGTTGTGTCTTTTTTCCACAATTGAAAAAAAAAGGCCGGGCACGGTGGCTCATGCCTGTGATACTAGGACTTTGGGAGGCCAAGGCAGGTGGATTGCTTGAGTCTAGGAGTTCAAGACCAACATGGCCAATATGGCAAAACCCTGTCTCTACTAAAAATACAAAAATTTAGCCAGGCATGGTGGCATGCACTTGTAATCCCAGCTACTCAGAAGGTTGAGGTGGGAGGATTGCTTGAGCCCAGGAGGTCGAGGCTGCAATGAGCTGTGATGGTGCCATTGCACTTCAAGTCTGTGCAACAGAGCAAGACCCTGTCTCAAAAAACAAAAAGGCCAAATATTTTTCTTAACAGATTGTTTCTAATCCATGTCACAGTGAGATCACTGAGTAAATGCTAGTTAGGAGAGGTAGGTTTGACTGTAAGTCATACTGGCTGCTTAAATCAGTTAGTTCACGCCTCTGGAACTCACTGATCTACCTATTATTCTGTGGTGGAAGAATACATCATGGCCTGTTTTACCCATCGACCCCAAGAAAAAGTGCCTTCCAAAAGGTTCTTGATGAATAAGCAGGAAGCATATTTATGCTTTATTATCCCACCTCCTGAAACACAGATTGAGGTGAGCACCTGGTTCTGGGAAACCTACCCATAGATTCCTCAGTGACCCCTGCTGCCACCAGAAGATTTCTGTCAGGAATCCAAAATTTGGAACCAATAAACTGTAAAGTGCTAAAGTAAACTAAAGCTCTAAGGTAATGAGATAAAATTTAAGCTAGAAAGGCCTTGATAGTCCATATAAAAAAGTTATGAAAGAGTTAAAATCTAGAATGGTGCAGGAACAAGATGGAGAGAAGTATCATGACTGAGACTTTCTGGTTCACGTGAGAATGGCCTGCATTTTTTTGGTCTGGTTTTCTGCAGTTCAAATATATGGTTATGTGTGGGTTTGTTGTTGTTATTTATCCTGTTTAGTGTTTACTGAGTTTTCTGGCTATTTGGTTTGGTGTCTGTCATTAATTTTGGATAGTTTTCAGGCATCGTTACTTCAAACATTTCTTCTTTTTTCTCCTTTTAGTATTCCATAATTGTGTATCTTTGGGAATTTTCCAACAGTTCTTGAATGTTCTGTTCCATGCTTTTATTTTTTTATCTTGCATTTGAGTTTGTGAATTTCTAATGGCTTGTTTTAAGCTCACTGATCTTTTTCCTTGGCCATGTCGAGTCTACTGAGGAGTTCATTGAAGGCTTTTTTCATTTTTGCTAGTTTCAGAAATTCCTAGCATTTCCTTTTGATTCCTTCATAGAGTCTCCATCTCTCTGTTTACATTACCGATCAGTTGTTGCATGTTGTCTATTTTTCCATTAGATGTCTTAGTATATTAATCCGTTATTTTAAATTCCGTTTGATAATTCCAACATCTATGCCGTATCTGAGTCTTGTTCTGATTATTGCTTTGTCTCTTCATATTGTGTCTTTTCTTGCTTCTTGGCATACCTTGTAATCTCTTTATTGAAACGTATACATGTTATTGGGTAACAGAAACTGAAATAAACAGGCTTTCAGTGTGAGGATGCATATTAGTCTGGCTAGGAGTTGAGCTGTATTTAATATTTGGAGTAGGTACAGGTACTAGAGCCTTCAAATTCCTCATGTCCTTGTTTTTGTCTTTCCTCTTGACTTGAGGCTTCCTTAAGTACTCCTCCTCAGAGAGAGAGTCTGTGTCTGGCATCTCTTACAACTGTAATCCACTGTTACAATATTAAAGTCCTGGTGGTATGATGGCAAGGTTTAATGAGGGAGGGTCCTATAGTCTTAAAATTAAGTATCAGTCTTTTAATTAGTCCTGTGTTTCTGGGCTGTGACTTCACAAGTGTTTTTCCAGTGATATAGATTTCCCCTACTCCCACTCCCTTCTCCATTCACTGGCTACCGAGTTTTTAATCTAGTTGCCCCAAGCCCTGACTCCTATTGACTATGTTCCCCACCCTCTTTTAGGTGAGAAAAAAAGCATCAGCTGGGAATGGAGTGGAAGGAATGCCATTATCCCAGCTGGGAAAAAGCTCAGACAGTCTTTTGCCCTGGAGAGTAGGCCTATGAGAAGGCTCTGGGCTTATTACATAATGATTTCTCTTTTCCGCCTCCTGCCAGAGTCATGAGAGGGTTTTTTTTTTTTTTGGTTGAATCTCCACTGTGACAACACTGTTCTTGGAAGTACAGTCCGTGAAACTCTGGGGATTCCCCTAAGACTGCAAAGTCCAGGAGTTTCTCACTTTTGCACTAGTCCGAACTCAGCCTCCAGCAATCCTTCAAAATAATCACTTAATTTTTCAAAATAATCTAATAGTTCATGGCTCCAGTGGTTTCCACTCTAGATAAGCAGATCTTGGCTGTGACTGTCTGGGTGCACCTGTCTCCAGATTTTGGTGTGGTGGTTCCCTATGGGTCCAAAAGTCCTTGATTTTCAGTTTTGCCAGCATTTTCTTCTGGTAAGGATGAAGTGGTGATTTTCAAGTTCTTTATATGTCAGTTTAAAATGGAATCCTTATTGCCTCCATTCTTAAAGGCTAATTTTTGATACCTGTCCTTGGATTTTCATGAGATTCTCTAAAATAAACCATTTTTTCTCTAGAGTTGGCTTGAGTAGGTCAACCACACAATCAAAAGACCTGTGTCTAAAACTTATTGCCTGCCATGCATCATAGCTTCTTCAACTGTTCAAAGGGGCTGGTTAGGCTAAAATAACTCTAAAATCCCTATTAATCAGCTAGACATAAAATAAATAATACAAAAAAGATATCATGCTTTAACCAGTCCTCTTGAAGCTACTGATCCTTTGTTTGCAGATGCATCTTCACTATTAGGAAGGGTAAATAGTAATTTAGCATGGGGGGATAAAAGAAAAATATTTTACTTGTAAAACTGGATCAGGGAAGGATATTTCTAACAAATAAGGGTGTTATCGCCACAAAAGTTCAAATGTATGCAGCTGACAATATGAACCTCACTTGTGTTTCAGTGGGTATAGAGTTGACCCTTGAACAACATGAAGGTTGGGGCGCTGAAACCCCCCAGTCAGAAATCCATGTATAACTTTTGATTCTGCAAAAAGTTTACTAATAGCTTACTGTTGATCAGAGGCCTTACTGATAACATCAACAGTTGATTAACATATATTTTGTATGTTATGTGTATTATATACTGTATTGTTACAATAAAATTAGAGGAAAGAAAATGTTAAGAAAATCATAAGAGAAAATATATTCATCACTCATTAAGTGGTAGTGGATCATCATGAAGGTCTTCATCCTTGTCATCTTCACGTTGAGTAGGCTGAAGGAGGAAAAAGAGGGGTGGCTGGTCTTGCTGTCCCAGGGGTGGCAGATGTGGAAGAAAATCAACATGTAAACACACAGTTCAAATTCATATTGTTCAAGGGTCAACTCTATTACCAATAATTAGGTAATTAAACCTTTTCATGAAGATTGAATCTTTTAATGTAAGACACCAATCAATAATACTTATATCTCACTTTATTCCAAAACAGATTAAAGTATCTGTGATAGATCTCCGTTTTGTCTGCCTGGCATCCTATTTGATTCTGTGACTATCAAACCTCTTATTTTGGGGAAATGATCTTTCCTCAACTCCAATCAATCATAGAACCCACATCCCTGGCCATGGAGATGGACCTATGACCTGTCAGGCAGATCAGTGAGAATGCTCCCCTGAGACTTTCAGAATTAGGTCTATGGAGATAGGGGAAATCCTTCCTGTGGACCTAAGTGCTGCTGTTGCCATATTTCCAGCTATGTGGAGGAACCCAGGAGAATGAAGTCAATACACAGAGGAGAAAAGGCAGGGAGAATCCCCAGCATCATTTGTGTTTGTGAAGTTTACTGCACTCCTACTCTTCTCCTTGTATGATTAGATGATTCAGTATATTACTCTCTTTCCTAAGCTAGTAGATTTCTGTCATTTATAGCCAAAAGTTGGGCTAATACAGAAGCTGATATTAAGGGTTTCTCTTTGGTTTGATTTGAATGTCTAAAATATTATCCTTAAACATAAGCAAAAAATTCTACTGGAAAAAAAAAAACCTTGAGGTGTGTTCTCCACAAAAGCAAAATCAAGGATATTAGATTATAGAAGAAAGGCCTTAAAGTTAAAACACTGAACAGGATCTTACCATCTGAGTTATGTACAAATTCCTTAATTACTCTATATCACAGAGGTATCTATAATTGAAGATAACACCTGTCACTGAACTGTCTTTTTTTTTTTTTTTTTTTTGAGACGGAGTCTCGCTCTGTCGCCCAGGCCGGACTGCGGACTGCAGTGGCGCAATCTTGGCTCACTGCAAGCTCCGCTTCCCGGGTTCACGCCATTCTCCTGCCTCAGCCTCCCGAGCAGCTGGGACTACAGGCGCCCGCCACCGCGCCCGGCTAATTTTTTGTATTTTTAGTAGAGACGGGGTTTCACCTTGTTAGCCAGGATGGTCTCGATCTCCTGACCTCATGATCCACCCGCCTCGGCCTCCCAAAGTGCTGGGATTACAGGCGTGAGCCACCGCGCCCGGCCCCGAACTGTCTTATAGAAAGAATGAGGTTCATAGAGTGCTTTGAGCAACTTGGAAAATAGTAATGTTTGAATCTAATGTATATAATGCATCACATTTAGAAATGGTGAACTTTGAGTAATTTCCTAGTAACCCTGATGCTCAATTTCTTTTTCTGTAAAATGGGGGCAATACCTTTTTTGAGGGGTTGACAGAATTAGCAATCATAGCTACATGTGAAGCTGGGAGGTCACGATTCAGCCAAAGGTGATACTACCAGAAAAGGAAGGACAGCCAACTACTCAGGCATCCTTTGCAGGATTTGATTTGCATTTTGAAAAGTGGGCTTGTGTGGGGAAAGCCTTCTGTAGAGGTGTGTACTTAGGTGCTGGGGGAAAAGACAGGAGACCTGAGGACAATAAGAGATGGTAGTAGTTGGTTCCTATCTCAGAACAATGCACTGGCCCCTATGGGAAGAGAGGCAAAGAAGATGTACCCTGGAAACACAGCACTATTTTGGCAACTTAAGTGTTTCACAGTTTGGGAACATCTAAGCAAGGCAGCATTCTCCTACAGGAACAGCAGCAGTAGAAATAGTGGAGGCCCAACAGAAGCCTGGCACGAGTAGGCTGCACCCAAGAGTGTGAACTTGTTTGTGAATCAGTGAGGAAACCCCTGAGACTTCCAAAAATACTTGGGGAGAGGACTTTTCAGGCGACCGAGATCTCACATGTGATGGAATTCTGAGTCAGCAAAATCTGGGTGTAAATGCTAATGTGACTTTATAAGAGAACATTGATCCTTGAAATAGCTGGGTTCCATATATAACAAGATTTGGCATTTAAGTATGAGCCCTATAATGGCTATACTGTCATGCTAAGATTAACACCATGCAACAACATGGATGAACCTGGAGGACATTATGTTTAGGAAAGTAAGCCAGACACAGAAAAACAAATACTACATGATCCCACTCATATGGAAGACAAAAAAAGTTTTATCTCATAGGGAACAGAACAGTGGTTACCAGAGACTGGGGAGGGGAGAGTGGAAGGAAGGGAAGGGGGGTCAATGGGTACAAAGTTACAACTAGATAGGAGGAATAAGTTCAGGTGTTCTATTGCACAGTAGGGTGACTATGGTTCGCAACAGTAAGGTAGTGTATATTACAAAATAGCTAGAAAATAGGATTTTTAAATGTTCTCGCCACAAAGAAATGATAAATGCACGAGATGATAGATATGCTAAGTACTCCGATTTGATCATTACACAACATATACATGTATTGAAACATCAAATTGTGCCCCCATAAACATGCACAGCTTCAATGTGTCAAAAATTATTGTAAAAATTGAAAAAAGAAAAAAAAGAACTCTATCCACATCTTAAGATTGGCCAGGTGGATGTTACGAGCTTTGAGAATGAGGTCACATGATTTCTTCTGTGTTAGTTAAAAGCATAATTAATTTAGATTACGCCTTTGACTTTACTAACAGAATAGTTTACTGACTTACATATGCCCTCACCTCACTCTATCAAGAAGCTGAGGGGTCTAAGCAAAATAAACTGCCCCAAGGTTACCTTTATACACAAATTTTCAGGTAAATATTAATGAACTTTGACTCACATCATCTACATTTTCTAGTACAGAGTGAAATTTTCTCTAAAACAAAAGCATTCAATATAACTGCTTTTGTGCCACTAATATTTTTGTTATCAAACATACCACAAATGACAAACAAAGCAAATCCACAGAAGCTTCATGGGACAGGGACTATAAATAAGTATTCATCTCAAGTGGGATAAAAACGTTCATAAATTTAGTAAATTTTAAAATTTTAAAAATTTTAATTAAAATACTACGGAAAGAAAAACATTTGTTAAAGAGTTTTTCTGATTGTTCCTTTTAAAGGAAAGTTTTGACATGTTCATCATTGTTGTAGTCTTACCTGAATAACGCTAATGTTGAGAACATCTACCGTTGGTGCCAGCCACCACTCTGACACTCTACCTGAATTACAATGGCACCCTAACATATGTCCACTTGGATAAGAATTCAACTTTAGGAGGAGTTTCATAAAGTCTGGCGTAGGAAGCATTTGCATTAACGAAGCCACATTTGCATTTCTCAGGCTTTAGGAGCAGAAAAGCTCCACCATCTGCACAAACATATAGATCACAGGAGTTACTTCTGTCTTCACAGTTTACTGGTAGTTTACTAGTTTTTAGCAGTAGCATTAGGACTTCTATGATGGCAGTCTACCTGGTGAGCATAATGTTTGAATGATTTTCACTAATTTTTCCTTTTTTTTTTTTTTTTTGCCTTAGAGGTTCAACTACATAAATTATCACACGTATGTTGTTCGTTAGCTGTTGTCTTCAGTGTACACTGGGCAATAGCTATAAAAGCTTAGGGAAATGGCCATATGATCGAGTGATTCTGAAGAGAAAATGCCTTGTTAGGTTGTATTGGGATAGCTACTGTCAACTATTGAAATAACTGTCATCATTTTAATGAGATTTGATATTGTTTTAGCAAAATGTCTGTCAGTTTTGGAGCTCAGCACATTTTTTTCCTATCTACAGAAGTTAATGGTAATCATATTCTTGACAAGGCAAAGTGAACCTATGAGATTTTTTTCAGAATTATCTTTTTAAGATGGACACTGTAACTCGTTTAATCCTCATAACAGTTCTAAGAGATAACTACCATTTATTGTCAGATATGTATTTAGCACCTGTATTAGGCTGTTCTTTCTATAAATATCTGCGACTGGGTAATTTATAAATTTATAAAGAAAAGATGTTTATTTGGCTTATGGTTCTACAGACTACAGGAAGCATGGTGCTGGCATCTGCTCAGCTTCTAGGGAGGCCTCAGGAAGCTTACAATCATGGCAGAAGGTGAAAGGGGAGCAGGCATGTCATATGACGAAAGTAGGAGCAAGTGATAGAGTGAGGGATGGGGAGATGCCACACACTTTTAAATGACCAGATCTAGACCTCGTGTGAACTCGGAGCAAGAGCTCACTTACCACCCAAAGGATGGCCCAAGTCATTCATGAGAGATCTGATCTAATCCATACACCTCCCACCAGGCTCCACCTCCAAGATTGGGGATTACATTTCAACATGAGACTTGGGTGGGGACAAATATCCAAACTTCATCAGCATTTATATCCAAGGATTATATGTAATACTAAAATAGTCCTGCTCTAGGTGGACACTATTGTCATCCCCATTTAATAGTGAGGAAACTGAGGCACAGAGAAATTAAGTAGCTTGGCCAATCTGAAATTAATATTAGTCTGTTTTGTAGAACAAAGAACTGTCACAAGTATCTATGTAAAATATTTACACCACCACCTACCAATTATTGAGGCTAAGCACTGTACAATTTCTAAATTAATTCTTCCAACCCTGTAAAGTAGCTATTATCTTAATTTTACAGATAAAGAAACTACTGCACATAGAGAAAAAACTTGCCAAATATCATATAGCTAGTTAGTGATAGAGCTGAGATCTGCCCCCACATGTATCTAAGTCAAAACCTATGCTTTTGACCAAGTCAGAAGTCCAGTACAATATAATCACAGATGGGGAGAGGGAATAGGATTTCTGAGTTGAAAAAAAAAGCTATATTTCATTATTATTATATTACCTCCAGTATAGCAAATAACAGAAACAGAGGTGAAAAAATCTCTTAGAAATTGGTCTCTATACAATACCCAATGGTACAACGACAACATAAGGAGAAATGAGTTTTCTAATGATTTTTATGATGACATTTATAACATTTAAAAGTAGTTCAAACTGAGAAGAAATGCTTTTAGCCTTAAAATTAAAGCTAACAAAAGTCCCCCCACCTTTCCTACCTTCTTTACAATGCAGTATGTGTGCTCCAGCATTACTTACACTGTGCCACATGTGGCAGGAGATTTGTTATTCCCTGTAACAGCTTACTCAGGGAAATTATAAAATTCCTTCTCTCAGGTTTCTAAAAACCAGTTTTTTTTGTCTGATAGGGTGGTTTAATGGTAGTCCTTTCTAAAATCAGAAAAGTCAAGTGGATAACCTTTCAAAGTTTCTCCTAATCCTTGTATGAAATAGCTATGCCAATGGAGTACTAAAAATCTTTCCAAAAAATGTAAAGGGATGTTTGTTAAAATAATGCTCAAGAGGTTTGATTCCAGTACAGTAAGTAACAATGCAAGCTGCTATACTACATAAAATATTCTACAGGGTTCAGAATAGAATATGTTAGAAACTTCTATAAAGGCTTTTTGTGCAATGGCGAAATTTTATGGTTAGAAATTTTATTCAAATGTACACAGTTACAACTACCATCAAATAAGTATAAAACATATTCAAAGAATTAACTAGAAAGGGTTCTTCAAAGGTAATCCTAAAGTATCCTAAAATATCAAGAGTATGATGGTAGTAACAAGACCATGAGAGAAAACTGAAATTATACATCAGGTTTGTAGTTTCAAGATACCCATAACTTTAATGTAATAAGGATAGTAAGCAGCCTTCGAGTATTTCCTATCTTCACTAACCTTAGAAAGTTATTTGCCAATTTCATTTTACCAGGGAGGAAATGGAAGCTTAAAGAGATTAGCTCATGTAGCTAATATACAATTGATCTGGGTTTAAAGTTTAAACCCACATAGTCCAACTACAGAGCCCAAGCTCTTAATCACTGTGCTATGCCTCCTCCATAGCATAGGACAAAACTTGTTCACCATCAAGAAAAAAGATTTTTAAAATACTAAAATGAAGTGAAATGGCCAAGGAAGAAGAGAAGCAAAAGCCTTTGGTAGTCTTCAAACTGAATAATCCTTGAATCATTCTGACCTCACTTTGTCTTTTAGGGGTTTACTCCAATTGGCTACAAATATAATGGGTCCAAGAACTGGGGATTAGTCACCCATTTTATTTGTAGCTGATTTTTCCCAGTTCCCTTTTGCTCTCTTACCTATCATGTTGGGGGGTGGCGGAAGGGTACCTGCAAATCCAGACAAGCAGACTTTAAAATTGTGTTCACATCATCACATTATTCCAGTTGTTTCATTACTCATGTACATGGTAATTTCAGAAATTCTTAGAATAATCTGGTACACTAAATGTCAATTATGATTGTCGGCTCTTAGCAACCCACTGTGTGTTGTTCTGGCTTCAAGAAGGACTCCAAAAATATGGTCACTCTTGTTTACATCCTCTCTGGAAATTCAGATAATATGGAATCAAAATAAGCATTTTAAAGTGCAAGATATTTTCTGCTCTCCTCAGCTTTCTCTGTTCTTGACTATTAAGAAGAAACTACCCTACAGGCCACCATGCCAGGGTATAAGAAGAGAAGGAAACAGATATCAGTAACATAAAACAGGTACCTTATAAATACTGCCTAACTTTTGCCATTCATATCTAACTTCCTTCAAGTTTTCAAGCATGGGTCACAAACAAAGAAGACAAGAGCACCATACAATAATTACTGAAAATATAAGCATACAAGTGATTTTTCTATTAAAATACTTTATGAAATGATATGTAAAATTATTATACAGGATGAATTTTATTAGTCTCTGCTTTTAAAAGCTTTTAACAAGAAGTCTGCTGCTAGTCCTGGGGACAGGGCCCCAATGAGAACCTTTTGTTCCAGAAGTGGAATCTGTTCCCGGACTGTGGGGTGGGTCCTGAAATGCTCTAACACACTTTCCTGAATGAGATTCCACATCCAAACTTTCTGTTGCTTCCGTCGTTTGGCAGTCAGCTCCCCACTGGCAAGCATTAGGTCCTGGAAATCTTTCATTTTATCCCACATTTCAGAGATCCCCTCTCCACTTCGGGCAGAAATACGAATTACCTATCGAAAAGGGAAGAACCAGACCATTTTACTTAAAATGATAGAAAAAATTTTTACAGGGACGCTGATACCTGCCAGTTAATTCTTACGGTCTACAAAAATAGGCAATTGACAAGAGTGAGATTTTATTGCTGTGTCAAAGTAAATATACCAATATATATTCTGAGGTAATATACCTAGGATTACTAAGTGCATAGCAGAAATAAAACACTGATTCAAGGTCAAATTTTAAGCCCAGAGATTTATTTTAATTTAATTTATTTTATTTTAATTGCTCAGATGGTCAGGGGCATCATAGAGGACTTGTGACAAGGGCAATGCCAGGTAGGTTCCCCTGAGGACTGAGTGCCAGAAAATGAAGCTAGGTTGAGAAATAGCCTAATTCTCTCTGCCAAATTTGCCTGATTTAGCAAGTGGAAGAGCTGGGTATCTGACATCTGCATGTATATATGAGGTGAATCCAGACTCAATGCAGACAACATGATTGGGAAAAACTGGGATATGACAGTAAGATAAGTCATCATTGTCCTCATTATAATGATTACAGCTTATTCTTTAATAACATAGTGTCTGTCTACAGATAAAGATGACCACATCAATATTACTGCATCACTTATTACAGGATTAAAATTTTTTCCTTACTGAAAATGGCACCCAACAAACATAATGGGAATCAAATTCCAATATAGATAATCAAATCATTAACTGCTCCATAATCTTAATAAGGATGGTTCCTTTCAGAATGGATTTGCTATCACTTCCAAATGGCTCAAATCAAGTATTACAATCACATCTATCATCTCTGATCTAGTTTTTGACATCTAGTGGTTAAAGGATTATATTTAAAATCATGACTACACACTCCGTCTTTGTCATGATTTTTAAAACTATCATCTTCACATAGAAGCAAGATTGATTATATGTCTAGTTTGGGACTTATATCCTGTCTTCTAATGTACACAATCCATTCAGAGTGAAAGATACAGAATGCAAGCAAGCTTACCTTTGGTTTCCAGACTTGTGAACGTTTGCGGAGTAATTTCAGTGCACTCACATATTCCGCTTGTATCCTTCGAGCTGGCACAATCAAGTCTCCATCAGATTTAGTTACAGCTACCAGATCTGCCATCTCGATTATACCCCTTTTGATACCCTAAAGAGATCAGAAACATTTAATGACAACCAACATAAAAATGGGAAAACTAGTCAATGCTCAGATTTTGAAAGTCATACATTTCATTAACTTTTCATCCATATCCTCCTAAGCCCTGGATGCCAAGAATCACCATTACTTGACAGAAATTACTCAAAAGCATTGGCTATTGGAATTATAGAAGTCATCTGTAATATCTCTTCCAAATTTAGAGACTAACATGTTGAAATACATTCAGAATTAGGGTAAATACATCAAGTCACAACATGATTGAGTGGCAGGACAGTTCACATTATCTCGTGATGGAATGTGCTTCTCCTGAGCTAACACTGCAGGATGCAAAACCATTCATCATTAAGGTGCTTAAAAAGAAAACACCTATCCTTAACATCTGCATTTCCAGAAAAAAGTCTTTGAAATTTTCCTTAAATGTATATAGCATTTTATTTTCAATTTGCATTTGAGGAAAAAGAACCTGATGCCTAAAAATATGTCAATCTCTTTTTTTATTATTATTTATTTTTATACTTTGTATTTTTCTTATTTCAGCTTTGCGTGGACAAACCTCAATCTCTTAATTCAAATTATGTCACATAAAAATATTAGAAATAAAGGATGAAATCCAAAAGCCAAACCTTATTTAGTAAATACAGATTTTTCTACATAAGATTAAAATTTCTTTTCAAATATTTTTAAACAAAACATTCAATTATGAAATACTAATAGTTAATGTTTCTAAATAAGCAGCGATAGTCTGCAATCACTATGTTTTAGAATTATAAAATTGAAACAGAAGCATTGTATAACAAATAATTTGTCTGGGCTAGGTGTGGTGGCTCACACCAGTAATCCCAGCACTTAAGGAGGCTAAGGCAGAAGGATTGCCTGAGGTCAAGAGTTCAAGACCAACTCGGGCAACAAAGCAAGACTTCATCTGTAGAAAAAAAAATTAAAAAATTAGCCGAGAGTGGTTGCACATGGCTGTAGTCCCAGCTACCTGGGAGGCTGAGGCAGGAGGGTAGCTTGAGCCCAGGAGTTCAAGGTTACAGTGAGCTATGATCATGCCACTGCACTCCAGCCTGGGAAACAGAGTGAGACCCTGTCTCTGAAAAAAAAAAGGAAAAAATTTGTCTGGTTTTTGGGTTTCTGGGAGGTAATCTTTTAAGTTCTAAATTCCCAGAATTTCCTGAGTAACAGGAGTGTCTGTTATTCATGGGAGGTGCCTGGGGCTATACCTGGGTTTTTTTGTTGTTGTTGTTGTTTTGAGACAGAGTCTCACTCTGTCACCTAGGCTGGAGTGCAGTGGTGCGATCTTGGCTCACTGCAAACTCTGCCTCCCGGGTTCAAGCCATTCTCCTGCCTCAGCCTCCCAAGTAGCTGGGACTACAGGCGCCTGCCACCATGCCCGGCTAATTTTTTTTGTATTTTTAGTAGAGACGGGGTTTCACCATGTTAGCCAGGATGGTCTCAATCTCCTGACCTCGTGATCCGCCCACCTCGGCCTCCCAAAGTGCTGGGATTACATGCGTGAGCCACTGCGCCCGGCCTATACCTGAGTTTATGCAATGAGATCACTCAGGATGGGAGACTGACCATGGCAGAAAGACTTATCATGTGATTAGAGGGTTGGGGTTTTATGCCATGTGATATCAACCCAACTTCCAGGGAGGGGACAGGGGCTAGAGATCAACTTCAATTATTCAGTCAATCATGCCTACATAATGAAACCCCAAGAAAAACTTGGGACACTAAAGCTCAGGGGAGCCTTCTGGTTGGTGATACACATCAATATGCCAGGAGAGAAATGTGTCTTGAGGACACAGAAGCTTTGCATTTCGGCCCTCCCAGGCTTCTTATGTGTGTCTTCATTTGGATGGTCCTGATTTGTCTCCTTTATAAGCACGCTGCAATTGTAATATAGTGCTTTCCTGAGTTCTCTGAGTCACTCTAGTGCAAGGGTCCCCAACCCCCAGGCCACGGAGGAACTGGGCCTCACAGCAGGGGGGCAGCAGGGGGGCGAGCATTACTGCCTAAGCTCTGTCCCGTTAGATCAGCAACAACATTTGATTCTCATAGGAGCACAAACTCTATTGTCAACTATGCATGCTAGGCATCTAGGTTGTGCACTCCTTATGATAATCTAATTGATGCCTGATGATCTGAGGTGGAACAGTTTCATCCTGAAACCATCCCCCCTTACCCCCAGTCTGTGGAAAACTGTCTTCCATGAAACCAGTTCCTGATGCCAAAAAGGTTGGGGACCACTGTTCTAGTGAATTACTAAACCTAAGGGATAATGGGAACCCTCAAATTTATAGCCCGTTGGTCAGAGGTATGGGTGGCCTGGGAACCCTGGAGCTTGCAGCTAGTAGTGTCTGCAGTGAGAGGAGGCTTGTGGAGGACTCTGCCCTCACCCTATAAAGTCTGCACTAACTTTAGGTAGTTGTGCCAGAACTGCGGTGCAGAGGAGAGTAAGAATCTCATTGTACAACATATAAACTATGATAGTGGGATCCCACTCTCCCCAGAACTTTTGAATCAACGTACTAACAACATCTATGCAACAATGGTCTCTACTGGCTGGAGCGATCCATGTATTTCAGTCATGTTACAGATGGAAAAATTAATGTTGCATAATTTTACATTCTCAAGGACACATATTCTATTCCTGTAAGTTAGGAAAAAATATAGAGAATCTGCCTTTGATTCAGGTATTTTAGCCAACATGAATGATATTTCATTTTCTAAACCATTATCAACTTAGTTTACAAAAACACAACATTGGAAATTTTTATTTTCAGAGATATACATTTTATATTTTTGGGGGAAAAAATAAAAATAATTACCTGCAGCTCATCTCCTCCTGCTGGTGGCAGTAGTAAAACAAACATGTCAACCATGTCAGCAACAGCAAACTCCGACTGACCCACACCTGAAATTGTAAATCACAACTATATCCTAAAATACTCACCATTATTTGACTTTCTCAACTACATTGACCATTTCCATTCTACTTCATTTACTCATACTCATGGTCACACAGTCAACCTGGTCACTCCTTTAAACATCTCACTTCTGAAGAATGTATTAAATGTCATATCTTACCCTCTAAGCAAACCCGTTATCCTTCCCAGCTCTCCCGCTCCGTTCTTGGATTGAATGGAGAACCTAAAGGCTTCCATCCTCTCCTCACTCTCACAGCTCTTTCTTGGCTTCCTTTTCATCAGCGAGCAGCTTGAACACTGTGACTCTAATCTTGAATCATGCCTACAAATACTTTCATCTTTTTTGTCTTCTTGTCCTCATACTTGCCTGCAAACGCCCAATTATGTATGGATCAATCCAACTATGTGTGTTCTCTCCTCCATAGGCACGTGAGAGAAATCACTCAACTCTGTGGACAAGAGCCACGACAGGCAGCCTCTGCTACATCTTCCTTACGGCCTGGCAAAAGCAATCTCCCTAAATGCCCTCGGTTGGCTTCCGTTCCATTTCCCACAGCAGCTATTATGAACATTCACTGTCCCATAATCTCCCCGCTTGATGAGGACTACAGCACCTACTTCACAGAGGAAATAAAGGCAAGAACTTCCTAGGCTTCTCCCTCTCCCGTACTCCACAGGTAACAAGACACAAATACAAACTCAGCCTTACTGCCTCCTCTGCAGTCTCAGTGTAATAAGAACTATTTGACTGAAAAGGAATCTCTCATTCCTTTCCACTTCCTCTGGGTCCTTGCTGATTATTATCTTTAACCTCTCATTTATCTACAGGCTCTTGCCCCCCGGCACAATACATAAATTGTGCTCAAATCTTTCTCATCTTAAAGCCACATAAAACAAAAACAACAACAACAAAATAACAAGACAAAAACTCACAAACTCCTCCAACTATCACCACGTTTCTCACTTTTATTAAAATACTCGTTTCTGGAAAAAGGTAATTTATGCTGACTCCTTCCACTTCACTTCATGTTCATCTCACCCCACTTAAAACTGTCTTCCAGCCCGGGTGATGTAGTGAGACCCTGTCTCTACAAAAAATACAAAAATTAGCTGGGCATGGTGGTATACCTGTAGTCCCAGCTACTTGGGAAGCTGAGGTGGAAGGACAGCTTGAACCTGAGCCTGGGAGGTTGAGGCTGCAGTGAGCTGTGATTGTACTGCTGTGCTCCCACCTGGGCAACATGGTGATACCCCACCTCAAAAAAAAATCTACTTCCACCAAAACTCTGGAAACTCTCTCCCTTTCTCGGTGTGATGGACTTCTAGTTGCCTATTTAATATTTATTCTTCCCTATTTTCTTATTCCAATGTTATTAGGAGTATCAGTGTATCAGATGAAAGACCACATTCACAAGATCTCCTTTCAGCGAGATATGATGAATGAGTCAAAGCAACAGTCATTAGATGGGGTTCCCAGAAAAGTTTTTTAAAGATGGCTAATTCAGCTATACCTCTTATGCCACCCCTCTCTGCTTCCTTATTTCCCTTTCCTTCTTCCATCTATGTGGAACATGGAAGTGTCAGTCAGAGCTTCATCAGCCATCTTTTAACCATGAGCAAACTGGAGGATGGAAACTGAGTGCTAAGAATGGTAAGCAGGCAGACAAAAGAAACCTGTGACACCGAGGGCACTGTCAAAGCACCATACCTGCTGTGGACTGCCTGCCTCAGGCTCCTTTGTATTTTAAAGAGAGATTGGGTCTTGCTCTGTTGCCCAGGCTAGAGTGCAATGGCACGATCGTGGCTCACTGCAGCCTTGAACTCCTGGGCTCAAGCCATTCTTTCACCTCAGCCTCCTGAATAGATGGAACTACAGGTGTGTAACACAATGCCTGGCTAATTTTTTTTTTTTTTTTTTTTTTTGATAGAACCAAGGCTTGCTATGTTGCCCAGGCTGGTCTCAAACTCCTGGGCTCAAGCAATCCTTCCACCTTGGCCTCCTGAACTGCTGGGACTACAGGTGTAAGCCACCATGCCTGACCTCAGGGTTCTTTTATTTTTTGAGACAGAGTCTCACTCTGTCACCCCAGCTGGAGTGCAGTGGTGCCATCACAGCTCACTGCAGCCTCAGACTCCCCAGGCTCAGGTGATCCTCCCACCTCAGCCTACCAAGTAGCTAGGACTACAGGTGCATGCCACCATGCCCAGCTAATTTTTTTATTTTTCTGTAGAGACGGGGTTTTACCATCTTGCCCAGGGAGGTTTGGAACTCCTGGGTTCAAGCAGCCTGCCTGCCTTGGCCTCCCAAAGTGCTGGGATTACAGGCTGGGGCCACAATGCCCGCTCTAGGTCTCTTTTATATAGAAAATAACCTCTTTCTTGTTTGAGTCACTGTTATTTTGAGTTTCTGGGAAAGGTAGCTAAATATAACCAGGTAATATATTTGGTTTTTAAGGTGCTCTTCTCCTTTGATTCTCCTACTACTACTCAGGCAACTAACTCTTCATTCATCTACTTTTTAATGGTGGAGTTTCTAAAGCCCTGTCATGGCTATTGTTATAAACTGAGCTGTGTTCCCCTCATCTAGAAACATTCCTAAGTTAGGCCGGGTGCGGTAGCTCACACCTGTAATCCCAATACTTTGGCAGGCCGAGGCGGGCGGATCACAAGGTCAGGCACTGGAGACCAGCCTGGCCAATATGGTGAAACCCCGTCTCTACTAAAAATACAAAAATTAGCCGGGTGTGGTGGCGTGCATCTGTATTCCCAGCTACTCGGGGGGCTGAGGCAGGAGAATCATTTGAACCCAGGAGGCGGAGGTTGCAGTGAGCCAAGATTGCACCACTACACTCCAGCCTGGACAACAGAGCGAGACTCTGTCTTTAAAAAAAAAAAAAAAAAGGCCAGGCACGGTGGATCACACCTGTAATGGGAGGCTGAGGCAGGCGGATCACAAGGTCAGGAGTTCGAGACCATCCTGGCTAACACGGTGAAACCCTGTCTCTACTAAAAAAAAAAAAAAAAATTAGCTGGGCATGGTGGCAGGCGCCTGTAGTCCCAGCTACTGGGGAGGCTGAGGTAGGAGAATGGCGTGAACCCGGGAGGCGGAGGTTGCAGTGAGCCGAGACCCCGCAACTGCACTCCAGCCTGGGAGACACAGCAAGACTCTGTCTCAAAAAACAAACAAACAAACAAACAAACAAACCACATTCCTATGTTAAAGTTCTAAACCTCAAGGTGACTTTATCTGGAGATAGCGCCTTGAAAGAAGCAATTAAATGAGGTCATAAGGGTAGGGCCTTAATCCAATAGGACTAGTGCCCTCAAAAGGACAGGAAGAGACACTAGGAGAGTGAAGTGAACAGGAAGAGACAAGGGAGAGTGAAGATGCAGCAAGAAGGCAGCCATCTATCTACAAGACAAAGGTCCGGGGTCTTAGGAAAAACCAACCCTATGGGCACCTTGATGTTGAACTTCCAGTCACCAGAACTGTGAGAAAATACATTTCTGTTGTTTAAGCCACCCAGTCTGTGGTATTTTGCTATGGCAGCCCTAGCAGATTAATATAAATATCTTCCATTTTTGTCCCATATTTTCCCCAGTTGATCTGAACCAAATTTTTAACTTAAACTATGAAACTATGAACCATGCTGGTAACTGTTAAATCTGTATTTCTCATTCAGTCCTTTTCTCTTGAGACACACAGTCACTCGGATACCTAATAAGCATTTAACACTTAATATATTCACAACTGAACTCATTGTTTTCCTCTCTGCAAATCTACTTTTTCTACAGTATTCTCTATTATCTGCAATTCCCCTTCCTTCCTTATCTCACATCTTATCATGGATAAAATCCTGCCCATTTATCTTCAGTGTTTTGTTGATCTATCTCATCGCCATTCCTACTTCCTTTGCTTGGTTCAGACCTCCACCATCTCCTTCTGGGATTAGTACAGTGGTCTCCTGATTCTATTCTAGCCCTCCTTCTAATCATTCTATACTCTGCTGCCAGGGATCTCTCCAAAATACCTATCTGGTTTTCTCACTCTCCTGCTTATCCAGCAGGATCTTCCTGCTCCTTTCAGGGTAAACTCCAGAAGACTCCTTGGCATGGCATGTAAGGTCCCTGACAATCTGGCCCTGGCCTACTGCTCCAACTGACCTCCCTTCATTCCCTGCCTTCACACTCTTTGCTCTAAGTATCCTGAGCAAACTGTACTTCTCTGGATGGGCCATGTTTTCTCACTCCCGTGTATCTTTGCAAATGCCCTTTATCGCATACTTTGTTTATCTCCAATTCTTCCTTCGAAACTGAGTTCAGCTGTGACCTCCTCTAGGAAGTCTTCACTGGACCCCCACATCTGAGTTAGGCTGTATCACAAACATTTATCCCACAGTAATATAATAGACTGTCTCTCCACAAGAAAGAATTTATTAGGGTTTTCATTTCAGTGTCTTCATCACATGTAACTATATGCTAAGGATATAAAACAATGAAATAAAACATATTTGCATTTTCAAAAGGCACCCAACTACATTAATTTTCTTGATGAACACAGTAGACATATGAAATGTACTTAAAATAGGTGTTGTGCCAAAGCATCATTTACACAGATCATCCTAATGTTTACAGTTCTCCTCTGGCATGTATAATATACCACCTGTATAACAGTTATCCAGATAGATGGCTTATTTTTACTTTTTAAAATAAGATCTTGGAGGGTAAAGATTATAACCTATACATTCATATCTTCTAGGGAGTATGGGATATCTTGTATTTAATTATACATTTAGCAAATATCTGCTGAATGAACAAAAATAAGTTGTCACTCATCTTTATATAGCATTCATAAAATAGTACATTGTTATGAAATAGAATATCACACTCACCAACGGTTTCAATAAGAATTATGTCATATCCCGCTCCTTCACACAACAGAATAGCTTCATTTGTGGTCCTTGTCACGCCTCCTAAAGTTCCTCTAGTAGGAGATGGCCTGATGTATGCATTCATATCTCTTGATAACTCAGTCATTCGGGTTTTATCACCTAAGAGTGATCCTAAAACATACAGTTACATTTTATAATCATGGAACAGTTTTACGGGTCAATTATCAGCCAGTTCCTAGAGGGAAGTGCTTTATGCCATTTCTCCCTAAATCTCAAACTGCATTTCATATTACTGAGCTTCTCTCCAACTCATTGTATACAATGATGTCAGATTAATCTTAACATTTCAAGCCCCTCAAAATCTATAATTTATAGCTTCCCCCTGACCAAAGGTTCCAATCTAGATTCTTCAGCCGCACCTTACCTGTCCAACTCTGGCTTCTACTAGTCCCCACACCAATCCTCTGTTCCAACCAGGGTGGTTACTTTACTGTCATCTTAACATCACTGTGTTTGCTTCGTCCCATCTTTTTTGTTTGTGCTCTCATGCCAGAAGTATCTCTCCTGCTTCCTCACTGCTAAGTTACAATGTGTCAAGCCCAGGGTCTGTATTCTGGCTCCACCATTTCACACTATTCAATTTTGAGAGGTCACTTTACCTTCCTGAATCCTCTTTCCTCAGCTACATCACAAGGGTAATATGCTACTGGGAGAAGCAAATGTAATTATATACAGGAATGTGCTTCAAAAACCGTTAATAACAAAAACACAGAACTTATCCACCTTATAAAGATCAGTAAAAGTCCTTGCTCCTTCATATAGTCTGCCTGGAACCTTTTCAGCCCATGCCCATCTCTGTGATTTTCTAAGGTACAACAGCTCTGCAATGTATGCCAGCATCCTGGAGGGCATAAGAGAACTTTAGTGTCCCTCCCCTTTCTATTATCTCCATGAGCACCCTCCACTCCTCATTCTTTTATTTTTGCAAATGACATTTTCTCAACCTTACGTAAATGCTACACAAATATATCTTCAAGCTGCCCCTTCTGCCCAGTCTGTTGCTTCTAATCGCCTACTACTTAGAAAATTTGGAGCTCTCACTGAATGCAATGTAAGCTGAGTTAATGGATGGAAAACTATTCATACAACACATTTTTTGGTTTCATATTTTTAATTCTTATCTCTTTCACACAGTGGTTCTCAACTGGGGGCAATCTGGCAATGTCTAGAGACATATTTACTTGTCACAAGTGAGGGGTAGGGTGCTACTGGCATCTACTGGGTAGAGGCCAGATATGCTGCTAAATAAGCATCCTTCAATGCACAGGACAGCCACCCACAACAAAGAATGATTTGACATAAAATGTCACTACCGCCAAACTTGAGAAACCATGCTTTAAATAAGTCTTTGCCTACAGGACCACGTCTTACATAGGTTGTACACTAAATGCTTAACAAAGTGTTAAGAGTAGGCACTCAATAACTGTGGAATAAAACTGGTTATGTTTTTGTTTTCATTGTAGTATAATATTTTGACAAACATCAATACTTACAAATTCTAGAAGACTGAAAGTCCTGGGACTATTATGTTTTACTACTTTGCTTTAGTCATATACCAACATTTGTAGGTGTACTGCTGTTCTAATCTGAATATTCATTTTCCCTCTTTCCACATAATGTTTCCACATATCTTTCCACATAATGTTAAAGATTGAAAAGTTTCTTAAAGATATGCTCTTTTACCACTAAATGCCAGTTCAGAGTCTTCTCATAGGTTCTAATTCTAGACCACACATGTACCCCATACATCAACTTCCTTATTTACTTCACATACAACCTTTTTCTAAGGTAATTTTCTGCATGAAATAATCTCTGTGTAAGTAAACAATCTGCCAAAGCTATACTTTAAATTACTATCCTATAGATCCCATCACACTGAAGTAAACATTAGGAAATTACTTTCCTATGTCTTAGCCAGAAATTCCAAAACTGTTAATTGTAGACTCTCACGAAGGTCTCAAAGCTATCACAGGGGGTCTGTGAATTTAAAGCACAAAAAAGATTGACTATAGACCAAAAAACTAATGCTTCTCAAACTTTAATGTAATGCTGTTTTTCAAGTGTATGCACTGATACAATAAGGTAGAAATTTATATTCATAGTGTTTTGTCTATCCTTGTATTTTTTTCTTTCAAAGTCTATATAATTTTTTGCCTGAGAAAGGGACCACTATTTTTTGAGAAAGGTTAGGAAACACATAGCTATGTAACTTTAATCACAGGCTATTTTATGACATTATTTTTGTCTATTATTATCTCAAGCTATTATTTTTTTCTATTGTTAAGTATTCTAGAATATTGTGAAAATGGGGGAATGGCCTTCTCACCTATATATAAATGAGGGCCACTTACTAAAAAATCCTTCATTAAGTACTTACTTTTAACAAAGTTCTAAAGCTGTAAATGAGACAACATATTGACATGGATTTAATTTTGAACCTTGTGAGCAAAAATTTTATTTTACAGTTAACTTTTTTTATTATAGTGACTCAAAAATTTTGAATGTTCTGAGCTAGATTTCTCAATGGGATGATAATAGGAATGGGGTGATAATAGGAATTGTCCACGTCTATATTAACCTAAGTCCCTAAAATATGATTACATCATCATTCTGAATACTTAGTATTAAACCCACATTATAACACAGTATGCAAAAACCAAATACTTCCATAAAGCATCTTGTATTTACCCCTTCACAACACACATTGTATTGTAATGGCCTGTGTTTGTGTTTCCTGCATAAGATGTAAACCTCACTAAAGCCAGGACTGTATCTTGTTCACCATTATATAACACAGTTTAAGAACCTTCCATGTACAATGCCTCACCTATAGTAGGCACTCAAATACTTGCTAAGTGAGTAACTGTAATATGAAAAGCTTAAATCATAAAGAGGGGTAAGGGAAGAAAAAACCTTTCCTGTTTATATGGTATGCTTTCTGTTTTCTTTAAATGATCCTTTGGGGAACTAAGTTTATATTCATTTTATCGCTGATGAGCTGCAAATTAAACTTTGAGTGACTTCATGACATCAAATCAGAAAGTAACTGCTTAACATTCTGTGCAACGTACAATGTACTATGCTAAATACTGTAAGGGGAATGGCAGTATATTACAGTGCCCCTCTAAGAGCTTTCTGTTTAACTGAACATATTATATAAACAGTTGACAATTATAAACAGCAGTAAGGTTTTTCTAAAGCTTAAGAGATGTTAAAACATTATGAGGAAAATGACACATGAGTAAGGACCTATTTTCTGAATTGCACAGGTGCTAATGCAGCCAGGAAACACAACAGGAGCAAAGAGGGGCCTGGCCTTATGCATGGAAGCTGAAGGACTGAAATTTGCATTTGATCATCTTCAACTTCTGGCACCTGTTGTCGCAGTTTTCTGAGTGCCCACTGAGCTATCCACAAGCTGGCCTCCTCTGAGGAGTACAACACTCCCAAACTACTTCTCTCAGCTTCCACCTAACTCTGCAGAACTCCCTTCCTTTAGCGAGACCAAACTTAGCTAGCAGTTAGAGGTCACCCAACTGTGCCAATTCCTACTAAATTGTAACAGAAAGCCCCCAGACCTCTGCAATTGAAAAAGAATCAGCCATACTTACCACCACTAGTACAAGAAGAAGGGTCCACAGCTAGCACAGATAATTTGTGCCCTCTCTCAGTAAGCATTTTTCCAAAATATTCTATAAATGTTGATTTTCCAGCACCAGGGGGCCCAGACAATCCTACGGTGGAAAGAGATCTTCTAATTCAATGAAACAAATGAAATCAGAACTACGATCAGTTTTACTGAGTAAAATATTAGACTACCTTCTATTTCCCCTAATGTATTAAAACCACAATTAATATATTTCAACATGTCCTAAAATGGCAAATAAAAATCTGTTTCTTTAATTCCTGAGTAATGGGGCTATAGGAAGGAAACACCCTGGGTTCCAAATGTTCACAAAATTCACTTTTAAAAACTACAAAACATGCTTTGCCTTTGTACTATAAAGTAGATCTTTCTGGACAGACTTCATTGTCTCCATTGTTAATGTGCTCAGTTTCTACATCTGCCCACCTCTCATCATGATCAGTAATTATTCTACCTACCTCAGTTCTGTATACTTCTTCCCACTGGAAAAACAACTCATTATTCTAGAAATTCCCAGTGATTGAGAAAGCAATTTTCTATTTATAAGGGATCATCTTTTTTCTTCATCTCACTCATAACTCAAAGAATATAAACTGAATTCTGAAAAAAATAATTTATGTTAAGAAAAGCAGAAAACTCCCCCACTTGGAGAGTTGGCAGTGCACGGCCGGTAAGAGCACAAACCCTGAAGCCACGCAGCCAGTTCTCATTCTAGCTCTGCCTCCCACGAGCTATGTGATCTTGGGTAAATTACTTAACCTCTTTCTATGCCTCAGTGTCCACTGCAATAAAATAGATATAGTAATAGTACCTCTCTCTTCAGGTTGTTTTAAGAATTAGATGAGTTAATGTCTGCAATATGTTTAGAACAGTGCATGGCATAAGAGACATATAAGTGTATGTTAAATGAAATATATAAAACATAGACATTTAACTAACTACACTCAAAATATGTATAGTGTATGGGATGCCTGACTCTTTACCACAATTCTTGGGGCAGATCCAATACTATCTTAAACACCTTTTTAGGTGCTGAATAAACATTTGTTGCTTTTACTTATGGTGGTGAAAAAAATAACTGCAATAAAGACAGGTTTATCTGGCCTCATAAGATCAAGATGGAAGAACTGGAATAGCACTACAAAGTTATCTGTGAACTGCTAGTTAATTCCACACATTTCTGAGACATTTTTTCACAGATTCTCTAAAATCTTAGTAAGTAGGCACTTTGTCATACCTAGAATTTCTCTGCGGGAGTTTGCTATTATCTTTGTTTACCATACATAAAGATTATTAACATCCAAGGTAGTACTCTCAAAATGAGAATCCCTCAGTAAGGGCAGAAGATTAAGAAGTCTGAAAAATGGGGACTGGTATAAATATTGGTTGGTGAGCTATTTTGAAATTATCTTAAAGCATCTATGCCCATTAACCTAAAAACTAGGAGGCTTTTGTGTCTGCATTGCCAATAAACTGTGAGACAAAGGTGTAATGTAACATGAAATTTTAAAAGTATTTACTCATTCTCCACAAAATTTTTGCACTTTAACCACCAAGACAAGTTGTTTTTAGCACGAGGGTTGGTTCAAATCACCTAGTTCACCACCGTGGGACATTCTCATTCCACCTAAACTGGCTTGTTTAATTCCTGCTGGTCAAACATATCTAAATTGTTTTACAATGCACAATTTCAAAAACAATTTCAGAACCAAGTCAAATTGTTCAAGAAATCAAATGAACATCTAATATACAGACAATAAATAAATATGATCTCTTTCTTAAAGTACATTTTGATAGGCTGGGCATGGTAGCCCATGCCTGTAGTCCCAGCACTTTGGTAGGCCAAGGTGGGAGGACTGCTTGAGCCCAGGAGTTTGATACCAGCCTGGGCAACATAATGAGACCCCATCTCTACAAAAAACTTCTAAAAAAAATTAGCCAAGGATGATGTTGGAGGCATGATATTGGAGCCAAGCATGATGTCAGAGCTATGATCACCACTGCATTCCAGCCTGGGTGATAGAGTGAGACTAAAAATAGCTGAGCACAGTAGTTCATGCCTGTAATCCCAGCACTTTGGGAGGCCAAGACGGGTGGATCACTTGAGGTCAGGAGTTCAAGACCAGCCTGGCCAACATGGTGAAACCCTGTCTCTATTAAAAATACAAAAATTAGCTGGGCATGGTAGTGCATGCCTGTAATCCTAGCTACTCGGGAGGCTGAGGCAGGAGAACTGCATGAACCTGAACCCAGGAGGCAGAGGTTGCAGTGAGCCGAGATCGCGCCACTGCACTCCAGCCTGGGCGACAGAGCAAGACTGTCTCAAAAAATAAAGTACAAAAATAAAAAATAAAAATAAATAAAATACATTTTGGTATTGAGAAGGCTGGGTTTACAGTCACTCCGAGAAACTCAATAAAAAGTACCTGAAGGAAGTGAGACTTGCCTATAGAAAGACTAATGAAATACCTAAGAGGCAGAATTTTCAAACGTGATAATTATAGTTGATACGACAACAAAACAGGGAATTCACTTTAAACTATTTAAGCAGAAGGACTACTAAAAGAAAAAGGAGTAAACTCACTAGTAGTTCTTCCTATGAATATTTCTGTCCTGGGATCCAGAGCAAGATTCTTGCCAAAGTAAAAATCTTATATTATTTTCTTAAAATACATAGCCTTGGTTCAAATGTCATGGCAATTTTTTCAACTTAACAAAACTAATATTTGCCAGGAAAACTCATTTAAAATTCATCCAAATATTGTGAAAAAAGTCGCCATTCGATTGCAAACTATTTAGACTTTTTTTTAAAAAACAGAATACAGAGAATTTGTAAAAATATTTACTGAGAAAACACACAAAAAAGACTGACCTACTCGAAATGCTAGTGGTTTTCCTTTATTTGATTGTTCTTGTTCTCTGTGGTAAAGTAATACTTTCTGAAGAAGCACCTGGGCTAACTCCTTTTTCCTGCTGTGAGTTGATTCTACAAGAGTTATGGCCTCTGCTAAACAGGCCCTTTGCCCTTGGATTAAACCAGTATAAAGTTTATCCACAAATCTTTGCTCTTTATCAGAAAGTCCTTCTGTGTGGTCCTTTAAGGTTGTTTGTACACATAATTTTCTCTTTAAGCCATCTGACAGCAGCATCCACTTTGTACAATGGAGTCCAAGAGAATTAAACGGCTGAGCACATGGGATTCCTGATCCGAGATGAGTACTTGAGTGAAAGATGAAGTGGTAACATCGGAAAGGTGCTCTTAAAAGGCCTTTTAGGAAATGCTGGTGAGGATGTGGTAGCAGCATGGGCATATTCGTTTTATTTGTAACTGGAGAAAACACTGGATGCGTTTTGGCTCAATGTGATTGTGACCTCCCTAGAAGAAAGAAAAACATGTTAGCCAGTTCGATATATAACTAAAATACTGAAGTAGTAAAATTTGAAAGCCTAGTGTTTCCCCCATATTCTAAACCACACATAATCAGAGTTTTTGGTAGTACAAATGGGTGAAAGTTTTCTTACTAAATAAACTTAAAAGAGAAGACTCCCTCCATGGCCACAGTTAATATTCAGAGTAACCCGAATAATGGAACTACTACTCTACTGCGAAGTGGAATTTACACTTTTTCTTCTAATAAAAACAATATATAAAATACCACTAGGGTAGAAACTTTATGTTATGCTTTCTCTTAAATTCGTCTTAACAGTTTCCTCAGGTCAATACACCAGATTCTGAAGCTCATACAAAAGGTTAAAAAAAAAAATGAATCTCTCTGATGCTGGCCTTGTATTCACTCTCTACAAAAAGAAATGTGATTACTACGGTGGGCACTTCAGGTGTAAGTTTAGATACATGTTTGTATTCAGTAGACTCATCCTTGAACACAGATGTATGCAAAGAGTAGCCTAACTTAAAGCACACAAACAAGCCATAAGTGAACTGTAGGTGTATCTCAAAGCATAGTCAGAGCCACCTGGGTGCTTATTTAAAATGCACATTCCCAGCCCCACTAATCAGAATCCCTGTAGATTCACACTAAAGTTTGAACCACTACGAAATTAGATAAGGATCTTTTTTTTTTGAGACGGAGTCTCACTCTCTCGCTCATGCTGGAGTGCAGTGGCGTCATCTCGGCTCACTGCAAGCTCCGCCTCCCGGGTTCACGCCATTCTCCTGCCTCAGTCTCCCGAGTAGCTGGGACTACAGGCACCTGCAACCACGCCCGGCTAATTTTTTGTATTTTTAGTAGAGACAGGGTTTCACTGTGTTAGCCAGGACGCTCTCGATCTCCTGACCTCGTGAGCCGCCCGCCTCGGCCTCCCAAAGTGCTGGGATTACAGGCATGAGCCCCCACGCCCGGCCATAAGGATCTTTTTTATGATGATATACTGATATTCTCTACTTCAAATTGTATTAAAAAATGAAAGTTGACATGGTATGCCGAGTCAGGGCAGTGCAGAGGTTATGAGCCGCGGTCACTATGAATCTCTGCCACTTAAGCCAAAATAACCTTAGGCAAGTTACTTGACCACTCTGTGCCTCAGCTTCCTCTTGAGTAAAGAGAATAGGTAAGAAAGCAGAGTGGTTGTGAGAGCAAAATGACAATTCTTGTAAAAAGCTTAGAACAGTGTCTACCATGCAGTAAGAGCTCAATTAACCTTAGCTTTTATTTTAATTACACCAAGTTATGAAACACTGGTAATAATTCTTCCAGTAGCAAACTAAAATTTACAGTTATATATAACTCACCCAGTTTGGGTTTATGAGTATTTGTAAATTTTGGTTGATTTTCAAGCACCTTGTGGCATGGTGGAATAAATTATTGCTCCAAGGTATACCTGTAAATGGCACTTCAAGGCCGATGAACATGAAATTAATTTTAGCTTCTTAACATTCTATTAGGGAAAAAAGAATAGTTTAAGATTTTTTAAACTGGTAGAACTATAAGTGCTCATCAGTTTTCCAAAAACAACAACTTTTTCTCTATGGGGCGGTGGGGTGGGGGGTGCATTATAATGTCTATTTGTACAAAATTAGCCTTATTCTAAAAGGACAATTAAAAATGTATAAAAGTGTTTCTAAAAAACAATTTTAAAAGATCTAATGTCACCTTTCACACAAACACACAAAAAGACATTTAAAACAAAACTTTAAGAGGGAGTCTACTTTGGAAGCTCTCTTTCAATACCACCTTTAAGCACAATTCTCATCAGCAGCACTACCACTACCAATAGACTGGAATCCCACAGGCAAGAACTGTATTTTTATTCAACCACTATTTTCTAAGAACATACTACTTTTCAGGTCCCATGATAGGTGATAAGAGTAATGGTGACTATAGCAATGGTACTGATGGTGATGACAATAGTATTTGATTATGTTCCAGCCATTATACCATAACCTTCTATTAATATATTAGTTCCCTATGGCTGCTGTAACAAATTACCATAATTACTGTAACAGAATTAGTTACTTAATTACATTGCAAAGACTCTTTTTCCAAATAGGGCCACATTCACAGGTTCCAGGGATTAGGATGTGGACATATCTTTTTGAAGGCCATCTTTCGACCTGCTACACTTTCTTAGGTACAATGCCTCGTTCATTATCTTATCTTAAATAACCTAATCCTAGCACTTCAAGAGCTCACAGAATAAAATACGTGACATCAAAGAAAGAACAAAGTGCCATGGGCACAGACAAGATTACAGGAGCTCACTCTCCTTGGGGAATTCAAGTCACAGAGGAGTTGAAGTCAAGACCGAGTCTGAAATAACAAAAATGTTGAAGAAGGTTGAGGCAGGCTTTCCAGTCTGAGGACTTAAATGTGCAAAATCAGAGTTGGGACTTGGTCTCTTCCCTGTCATCTCAGAGAAAATTAAGAAATTCAGTAAGGCAGAAGCCTAGGGTATATGGAACTACTGATAGGAGATGAGGCTGGACCGGAGGTAAACTGAGGTCAAGAAATTAAATTTTGTCTTGTGGGCAGTGGACAAATGACAGAGACCTTTTTGGAGGTGACATAATCAACTTTGCTTTTGAAGAGATAACTCTAGAAGCAGTGACACGAAGTCAAGAGTGATGAGACTTTTAAACAGAGCCCAGTTCAGGAAGCCTAGCAAGGAACCAAAGGAGATGATGAGGACCTAGACTGAGGCAAGGTATTAAGGAATGGAAAGGAAAAGCCTGATTTAAGACCTTCTTGACCTATCCTATTTTATTAGAATCCTCAGAGTTTGACATGGAGCCTGGCACACTGCAATTGCTTAAATAAAAAGAAAAAAAGAGCTGCTGCTGATCTGAACTTATTTCATTCCCCAAATGCCTGGCACATTAGAGTCTACCAGCCACTTTCAGATATTTTATTTCATTTTATTCTCCAGTTAATTCCATGAGGACAGTACAACAGTTATTATTTTCATTTAACAGAAGGGGGAAAGAACACTGAGAGAGCTGAGTGATCACAGTCATAGCCAGTGGCAGGGCCAAGATTCAAACCCAGGTTGTTTGACTCTCTATGGCAGGCATTACTTAATAAATTATATTAAAATAACAAAGAAGTCCTTTGGCTAAAAGGGAAGTAGATATTAGTAACTCTGCCCAACTTCTGAAGTGAGTAAGAAGTCTTTTCAGTTGCAGTGATGCTGGTGGCATGAGGAGGAGCCAAAGAACAGAGAGAGGAAATCTGCAGGATAGAAAACATTCTTATTACCAAATCTAGTCCTATTGTCCCATAGGGAAGATGTTGTCATATGTAGTCTAAGAGCAAATTAGAACTATTTAAAATATGCTCCTTAATTAACAAGTCCTTACCATGACTACCTCCTATTACCAAACAAGCTGTGTTCAAACAAAGAGTGACAGAGGTGGTCAGGGTCAGAGCACGATAGCAGAATACAAGGCTTCACCAATCATTTTCTACCTGGTTTTAACTTTGTATCACTCAAAGAGGCACAGAAGAGGTAGGAAAAACTGTTTTGAATCCCCAACACCACCCCTCTCCCATGCCCTGGCAGCAGTGGCATGATGCAGAGAGCATTTCTGTGAGATGGGGAGAGGGATAGCAATTCTGAGGCACTGAACTCAGTGCCGCCCTGTTATAGCAGAAAGCAAACCTGAAAAACTCAGCTGGCACCACACACAGAAGGAACTATTAACCACTAAACCAGCCAGAGAGGCCTGGCTGTTCCCAGAGCTTGAAACTTGAGTTTCCTGAGCTCACAGAAGCCTAGCCACTGTGGGTTAAAGTGCTCTAGTGTCTCAATTAAACTTTAATGGCAGTCTAGGCCACAAGGACTGCAACTCCTAGGCAAGTCCTAGTGTTGAACTGAGCCCAGAGCCAGTGGACTAGGGGGTTTCAGGGAGGGGGAACACAACCCAGTGAGACACCAGCTGGAGCAGCAAAAGGAGTGTTGGCATCACTCCTTCCCTAATCCCAGGCTGCATAGCTCATGGCTGCAAAAGAGACACCTTCTTTCTGCTTGAGGAAAGGAAAGGGAAGAGCGGGGAGGACTTTATCTTGCATCTTGGATATCCTCAGTCACAGCAGGATGGGGCACCAGTTAGAGTCATGAGGTCCCCCTTCCAGGCCCTAGCTCCTGAACGACATTTCTAGACACCCTGGGCCAGAAGGGAACTTGCTGCGTTAAAGAAAAGGAGCCAGTCCTGGCAGGATTCATCACCTGCTGACTGAAGAGCCCTTGGGCCCAGCAGCAATACCAAGGTACTACATAGAGGGCCTTGGGTGAGACTCTCAAACTTGCTAGCTTCAGGTAAGACTCAGCGCATTCCCAGCTGCACTAGATACAGGGCGAGACTCCTTCTGCTTGAGAAAAGCAAAGGGAAAAGTAAAGAGGAATTTGTCTGGCATGTTAGGTACTAGCCTGGCCACAGTGGGGTAGAGAAACAAATGGGCTCTTCGGGTCCCCAGTTCCAGGCCTTGGCTCTTGGATGGCATTTCTGGACCTGCCCTGGGCCAGAGGGGAGCCCACTGCCCTGAAGGGTAAGTCCCTGATCAGCCAGCATCACCACAAACTGACCAAAGAGCCCCTGGATCTTAAGGGAGCATCAGCAGTAGTCTGGTAGCACTCTTCATGGGCCTGTGGCAGTGGCAGTCATGGGGTGAGGCTCCTCTGCCTTTGGAAAAGGGAGGAAAGAATGGGAAGGATGCTGCCTTGTGGTTTGAACACCAGCTTAGCCACAGTAGAACACAGCATCACGTAGATTTCCAGAGTTTTTGACTCCAGGCTTTTACTCCTGGATGGCATCTCTGGACTTACCTGGAGCCTGGGGGAACTTACCACCCTCAAATGAAGGACATAAGCCTGTCTGGCTTTGCCACTCGCTGACTGTATAGCCCTAGGAATCTGAGTGAACATAAGTGATAGTCAGGTAGTTACAGTGGGCCTTTGGTGAAACCCAGTGCTGTGTTGGACTCAGGTCTGACCCAGTACAGTTACAGTGGTGGTGACCACAGGGTTGCTTGTATAACCCTATCCCCAGCTCCAGGTGGCTCAAAACAGACAGAGATTCTGTTTGGGAGAAAGTATGGGAAGAGAACAAGAGTCTCTGCCTGATAATCCAGAGAATTCTTCAGGATCTTATCCAAGATCACCAAGGTAGTACCACAGTGTTACTGGGCTTGGGGTGCCCCAAAATGCAGATATGGCTTAGATCAGAACACCCAAGCCCTTTCAAATATTTGGAAAGCATTCCCAAGAAGGACAGGTACAAACAAGCCCAGACTATAAAGACTCCAATAAATACCTAAGTCCTTAATGTCCAGATACAGACAAACATCTGTAAGTATCAAGACCACCCAGGAAAACATGACCTCACCAAATAAACTAAATAAGGCACCAGGCACCAATCCTGGAGAAATAGAGATATGTGATCTTTCAGACAGAGAATTCAAAATAGCTGTTTTGAGGAAACTCAAGAAATTCAAGACACGACTGAATGTGGTAGCTCACATATGTAATCCCAGCACTTTGGGAGGCCGAGCTGGGCAGATCACCTGAGGTCAGGAGTTTGAGACCAGCCTGGCCAACATGGTGAAACCCCGTCTCTACTAAAAATACAAAAATTAGCCAGGTGTGGTGGTGGGTACTGTAATCCCAGCTACTTGGGAGGCTGATACAAAAGAATCACTTGAACCTGGGAGGCAGAAGTTGTGGTGAGCCGAGATCGCATCACTGCATTCCAGCCTGGGTAACAGAACAAACTCCATCTCAAAAAAAAAAAAAAAAAAAAAGAAAAAGAAATTCAAGATACCACAAGAAAGGATTCAGAATTCTATCAAATAAATTTAACAAGGAGATTAAATGCAACTGGCATACTGAAGAATGCATCAGAGTCTCCTAAGACAGAATTGATCAAGCAGAAGAAAGAATTAGTGAGCTTGGGCCAGGCATGATGGCCCATACCTGTAATCTCAGCACTTTGGGAGGCCAAGGCATACAGATCCCTTGAACCCAGTTCGAGACCAGCTGGGCAACATGGCAAAACCCCATTTCTACAAAAAACAAAAAAATTAGCTGGGTGTGATGGCTGTAGTCCCAGTTACTCAGGAGGCCGAGGTGACAGGATTGCTTGAGCTTGGGAGGTAGGGGCTGCAGCAAGTCCTGATCACACCACTACACTCCAGCCTGGGTGACAGAGCAAGACCCCTGTCTCAAAAAAAAAAAAAGAATTAGTGAGCTGAAGACAGGCTATTTGAAAATACACAGTGAGGGAAGACAAAAGAGAAAAGAATAAAAAACAATGAAGCATGCCTCCAGGATTTAGAAAATAGCCTCAAAAGGGCAAATCTAAGAGCTATTGGCCTTAAAGAGGAAAAGAGGAAGTAGAAAAAGAGATGGGTAAAATGTTTATTCAAAGGGATAACAGAGAACTTCCCAAACATAGGGAAAGATATCAATAGTCAAGTACAAGAAGTTTACAGATCACCAAGCAGATTTAATCCAAAGACTACCTCAAGGCACTTAATAATCAAACTCCCAAAGGTCAAGGATAAAGAATGAATCCTAAAAGCAGCACAAGAAAAAGAAACAAACAACATACAATGGAGCTCCAATATGACTGGAAGCAGGCTTTTCAGTGGAAACTTTATAGGCTAGGAGAGAATGGCATAACCTACTTAAAGTGCTGAAGGGAAAAAAACAAATGTACACTAGAATAGTATATCCAGTGAAAATATCCAAACATGAAGGAGAAATACTTTCTCAGACAAACAAAAGCAGAGAAATTTCTCAACACCAAACCTTTCCTACAAGAAATGCTAAAGAGGACACTTCAGCAAGAAAGAAAAGGACATTAGTGAGCAATAAGAAATCATCTGAAGGTACAAACTCACTGGTAATAGAAAGTAAGCAAAAGAATATTGTACCTGTGGTGTATAAACTACTGTTAAGTATAAAGACTAAACAATGAACCAATCAAAAATAACTACAATAACTTTTCAAGACAGTAATATATGAACAGAAACAACAAAAAATTGAAAAGCCAGGGATCACGGTAAGGCAGAGTCTTCATTAGTTTTCTATTCATTTGTTTATATAAACAGTGTTGTTATCAGCTTAAAATAATGGGTGACAAGATAGTAAGATAAGATAGCAAGTCTTACAGTAATCTCAAACCAAAAAACATACAACAGATACACAAAAAATAAAAAGCAAGAAACTAAATCATATCAGCACAGAAAATCACCTTCACTAAAATGAAGACAGGAAAGAAAGAAGGGAAGACCAGAAAACAAATAACAAAATGGCAAGAATAAGTGTTTACTTATTAATAATAACATTCAATGTAAATGGACTAAACTCTCTGGTAAAAAAACATAGAGTGGTGGAATGGATAAAAAAAATAAAAGACCCAATGATCTGTTGCCTATAGGAAGCCCACTTCACTTATAAAGACAAACACAGACTGAAAATAAAGGCATGGAAAAAGTTATTCCATGCCAATGGAAACCAAAAAAGAACAGGAGTAATTAAAATTGTATCAGACAAATAGATTTCAAGACAAAAACTGTAAGAAGAGACAAGGAAGGTCACTAGATAGTGATAAAGCAGTCAATTCAGCAAGAGGATATAACAATTTTAAATCTACATGCACCCAACCTTGGAGCACCCAGATATACAGAGCAAATATTATTGGAGATAGAGAGATAGACCCCAATACAATAATAGCTGGAGACTTCAACACCCCACTTTCAGTATTGGACATATCTTCCAGACAAAAAATTAATAACAAAACATTGGACTTAATCTGCACTACAGACCAAATGGACCTAATAGGTATTTACAGAACATTTCATCCAATGGCTGTGGAAAACACATTCTTCTCTTTGGTACATGGATCATTCTCAAGAATAGACTACATGTTAGCTCACAAAACAAGTCCTGAAACATTCAAAAAATTGAAATAAGATCAAACATCTTCTCTAACCACATTGGAATAAAACTAGAAATCAATAACAAGAGGAATTGTGGTAACTATACAAATATATGGAAATTAAACAACATGTTCCTGAATGAACACTGGGTCAATGAAGAAATTAAGGACATTGAAAAATGTCTTGAAACAAATAATAATGGAAACACATCATACCAAAACCTATGGGATACAGCAAAAGCAGTACTAAGAGGGAAGTTTATAGCTATACGTGCCTACATTAAAAAAGAAGAAAAACTTCAAATAAACAATGCATCTTTTTTTTTTGAGATGGAGTTTTGCTCTTGTTGCCCAGGCTGGAGTGCAATGGTGCGATCTCGGCTCACCACAACCTCCGCCTCCTGGGTTCAAGCGATTCTCCTGCCTCAGCCCCCCAAGTAGCTGGGATTACAGGCATGTGCCGCCATGCCCGGCTAATTTTGTTTTTTTAGTAGAGATGGGGTTTCTCCATGTTGGTCAGTCTGGTGTCAAACTCCCAACCTCAGGTGATCCACCCACCTCAGCCTCCCAAAGTGCTGGGATTACAGGTGTTAGCCACCGCACCCGGCCTAAACAATGCATCTTAAAGAGCTAGAAAATCAAGAGCAAGCTAAACTAAGGAAAAAAGAGAGATGATCCAAATAAATAAATGCAGAGATGAAAAAGGAGACATTACAACTGGCACTGCAGAAATCCAAAGTCTCCTTAGTGCTTATTATGAGCAAGTATATGTCAATAAATTGAAAACATCTAGAAGAAATGGATAAATTCCTAGACATATATAACCTACCAACATTGAACAATGAAGAAATCCAAAACCTGAATATACCAATAACAAGTAATGAAATTGAAGCTGTAATAAAAAGTCTAATAGAGAAAAGCCTGGGACCTGATGGCTTCACTGCTGAATTCTATCAAACATTTAAAGAACTAATACCAATCTTACTGAAATTATTCTGAAAAACAGAGGAAAAGGGAGTATTTCCAAATTCATTATATGAGGCCAGTATTACTCTGATACCCAAACCAAAGACATTCCAAAAAAAAATACCTAGAGGCTTGATATGGTGTGGCTCTGTGTCCCCACCCAAATCTCACCTTGTAGCTCCCATAATTCCCACATATTATGGGAGGCACCCAGTGGGAAATGACTGAATTATGGGGGTGGGTCTTTCCTGTGCCGTTCTCCTGATAGTGAATGAGTCTCACAAGATCTGATGGTTTTAAAAACAGGAGTCTCCCTGCACAAGTTCTCTTTCTGCCTGCCGCCATCCACGTAAGATGGGACTTGCTCCTTCTTGCCTTCCGCCATGACTGTGAAGCCTCCCCAGCCATGTGGAACTGTAAGTCCAATTAAACCTTTCTTTTTTAAATTGCTCAGTCTCAGGTATGTCTTTGTCAGCAACATGAAAATGAACTAATACAAGGCTAGTATTCTTTTGAATACTAAATAAAAAAGAATACCTCTAGTACTCTTTTTTTAGGTATGTCATTAGTTTTGGTATCAGAATAATACTGGCCTTATAGAATGAATTTTGATAACTATTGAGGCAAAAGTCCTCAATAAAATACTAGCAAACTGAATTCAACAATACATTAAAAAGATCATTAATCATGACCAAGTGGGATTTATCCCTGGGGTACAAGGGTGGTTCAACATATACAAATCCCATCCTGGCTAACATGGTGAAACCCTGTCTCTACTAAAAATACAAAAAATTAGCCAGGCGTGGTGGTGGGTGCCTGTAGTCCCAGCTACACGGGAGGCTGAGGCAGGAGAATGGCGTGAACGCAGGAGGCAGAGCTTGCAGTGAGCTGAGATCGTGCCACTGCACTCCAGCCTGGGCGACAGCGAGACTCTGTCTCAAAAAACAAAACAAAAAATATATATATACAAATCAATCAATGTGATATATCATATCAACGGAATGGAAGGCAAAAACCATATGAGCATTTCAATTGATGCTGAAAAAGCATCTGATAAAATTCAACATTCCTTCGATGTTTATATGTCATTTAAATCCACGAGACCAGATTACTAAAAAAAGGATTCAAGATTAAGAGGAAGTGTGACACCTTTTTCAAAAATGTTAAACACACATTGACACCCTCCCCATATACACACACACACATAGAATAACTATATATATATTGATGTGTATATAACTTCATCTACAGAGGAGTGGTATTATGGTGCTTTTATGTTGTTTTTTGGCTGACCACATATTTCTGCTTTTTTAAAAACAGCATATGTTACTATGATAGGCAGAATAATGGCTCCCCAAACATGTCCACGTCCGAATCCCTGGATCCTATGAATATGTTATGTTATATGGCAAATAGGGAATTAAAGTTGCAGATGGAACTAAAGTTGCTAATCAGCTGACAAGGTAAAAAGATTATCTTAGATTATCCAGGTGGACCCAATGTAATCACCAATGTCCTTTAATATGAAAGTGGGAGGTAGAAATGAATAGCAGAGTGACATCATGTGAGGATTCAATCCACTCTTCAGGTCTTTGAAGATGAAGTAAAAGGGCCATGAACCAAGGAATGAGGACAACCTATAGAAGATGGTAAAGGCAAGGAAACTGATTCTCTTCTAGATCCTCCAGGATGGAACAAAGATCTACTGACACCTTGATTTTACCCTAGTGAGACCCGTGTCAGACTTCTGACCAATAGAACTGTAAGATAATAAATTTGTGTTAAGACACTAAGTTTGTGGTAATCTGTTACCAGAGCTATAGGAAACTAATACAGTTCTATGGTAAGAAAAAGTAACCAAAAAAATCTTTTTTAAAAGATAAAATTCAGAATTTTTAAAATTTAATAAGAAATGCCTAATAACTACTCATGATTTAATTATTATCTTTGCCATAACCTGTAACTTGCTTCCTTTTGCATTTAGATTTCTTCCTAACATCAGAGTCAAATTTGATGAATCCTTAATTTTACCAGTTATTGTGACTATCAGTGTTACATTCAATGCATTTATACGTCAGTTTCTAAATTAGACATAAAGCCAGCATATATACTAAAAAAATTTAGTAAAAAGAATTATGTGCAAGGTGAAATAAGCAATAATCACATTTTACCATTTCTTCCATGCACAGATATTTTATCAGAATCATGTTAAATTTGAAGTTCAAAAGTAGTCTGAAATAACATGATATATATGAGATAGTAACCATTTTTGAGCATGGTAGATTTTTTAAAACTATATATATACTATAATAAAAATTAGGTGTCTGTAGTGCATATCGTTCACATTTTTGCTGACAAATGCCTACTCAGTTCAAATAGCACCTCCTCAGAGATACATCTTCCCCCACCTTCTCCAGGCAGTTAAGTGTTCTATTCAATGCTCCACAGTCTTTTGTTCCCACCTCAAAAATAGTATTTGTCTTCTTGTTTTCTAATTTATCTACTTATAGACCGCTCCTTACCAATTCTCATTGCTCAACTCAACTGATTCTCCCAGAAAAAGGGCATATTTCCTCAGAAACTATCACAGTGCCTGGCACACAGTAACCTTCCAATTTTTTTTTTAGGTTCATGAATATATACTCCATCTACTCTATGTTAATCTACTAAACTATAAAGAAAAGTTTGGGTAACAATCTTAACCTGTGTGACTGAAGGACATTTACTAAAACATTTTGCCTTCTAAGTTTCCTGTTTTGAATCAAGACACCTTTGACATGCAACCAACCTTCCAAACAGAAAAATGGTAAGATAAGTTTGCAAGGAATCAAAACTTAGTAACAAAAGCTTTACTACATGAAATTATGTCCATTTATAATAATGTAAGCAAATATTCTCTAAATAAATATTCTAGATTGCTTTAACATTTAAAATAGTGGTTTCTTACAACAATTTAATTGCAATCTTTCTCAGAAAATCCACACCGTCTGATAAGCTTATGATTTATACTGCAGGTTTTATCACAATTGGGATTGCAGTTCTCTGCCTTCTGATGCCAATACAAATCTTAAAAGGACTTTAAGTGAAAAGAAAGAACGAGAAAAAGGATGATACCATCTTACTCCAGTTCTTTTGCCAAAACCAAAAAGCTATCCAGATGTATGTAATTCTGGATTTGATATCCTCAAACTTCTTCCCAGGGGACTAATTTTCTTGCTTCCCCCCAACTCTTTGGAGCATCTGAATGGCAAGCAGCAGCTGCTACCTTCTACTGAGTGTTTATCATGTGTGAGGCATCGTGCATGCATTTTTTCAGCTAATCCTCACAACAATCCTACAGTGGATGACATCCTATTTTAAAGGTGAGGCTCAGCGGCATAAGGCTGATTCACCAAGGCCTCAGAACTAGTGGCAGAACTTGGAAAAAACTATGGATTTCACAAATCCAGATTTATATGGTGTCAACTCTAGAGAAAATAAAATAATCCTGTATATCTGAATATGCCTGATTATGGCTGGCTATTTATCTTTTTATTTATTTATTTTTTGCTTAGGCCAAAATGAAAAATTAGTTTCTATTTCGAGTGCTAAGTTTTTATCAGTAGATCTCGATGTGTTAGGTGACAGAACAGACCACATTTTAAAATGTTTTTTGCTCCACGGACAATAATTCACTCCTGATAACTAAGTTCATAACATATTTAACCCCATGAATTTATCTAATTAACCAGATTTTAAAGCAGCCCATAAATTTTTTAAGAGCCAATATAACTCAGCCTTGTATGAGCAGCTTTCTACCTTTATATACTGTCACAGGCAGAACAGACTAATTCCACTAAAATGGCAAAATTATGTAAGTAGAGAGAAGGATTATTTCCTACCTGCTCATGTAACTCAGCATCTTTTCCTGCTTTCTCATGGGAAGAAATCAAAGAACTAGATCAATAATCGAATCAGCTTTGGGCCCTAGGTTTGTGTGGGGCCGTGTCTCAGTCCACCCAAGGTCCCCTCCGACTGCCCCAGAGAGGCACTGGGACCTGGAGCTGTGAGCAGAATGAATACCTTCCAAGACCAGAGTGGCAGCTCCAGTAATAGAGAACCCCTTTTGAGGGGTAGTGATGCACGGAGGGACTTGGAGCTTGCTATTGGTGGAGTTCTCCAGGCTGAACAGCAAATTAAAGATAACTTGCGAGAGGTCAAAGCTCAGATTCACAGTTGCATAACCCGTCATCTGGAACGTCTTAGAAGCCATGAGGTGTGACTAAATGAACAGGTGGACCTCATCTATCAGCTTAAAGAGGAGACAATTCAACAGCAGGCTCAGCAGCTCTACTGGTTATCAGGCCAGTTCAATTGTCTTATTCATCAACTGGAGTGTACCCAAAACAAAGATCTAGCCAATCAAGTCTCTGTGTGCCTAGAGAGACTGGGCAGTTTGACCCTTAAGTATGAAGATTCAAATGTCCTACTCTTTGAAGCTGACACAACTGCTCTGTGCCAGACCATCACCATATTTAGGTCTCTCAAAACAATTCAAATTTCTGAGCACTTGATGGCTTATGCTAGTTCATCAAATATTGGGCCCTTCCTGGAGAAGAGGCTATATCCCTATGCCAGAGCAGAAGTCAGCATCCAGTATTGCAGCTATCCCTCTCAGCAAATGGCTCCTTGGAAGCAAACCTGCCAGTGGTCATTAGGCTCCTTACATACCCAGCACCAACCCCCAGGACTGGCTCACCAAAAAGCAGACCTTGGAGAATAGACAGACTTCTTCCAGAGCCTGCAATTTCTTTACTAATGTCTGGGGAAACCTAAAGGGCTTAGAAAACTTGCTCCTCAAGAGTCAGCAACAGGAAGTTCCTGAAAAACCAAGTTATCAAAAGTGTAACAGCCATTCCACTACTAGTTCTTTCTCCATTGAAATGGAAAAGGTTGAAGATCTAGAGCTTCCTGATCGAGATGAGATGAACCTATCAGATTGGCTAGTGACTCTCCAGGAATCCCATAAGCTGGGGAAGCCCGAGAATGGCAGTCATGAAACCGGTGAGAAGTTTGAGCTCTTGTTCCAGTCCTATAATATGAATGATTGGCTTGTCAAGACTGACTCCTGTACCAACTGTCAGGGAAACCAGCCCAAAGGTATGGAGTTGGAAAACGTGGGCAATCTAAGTGCCTGCATGACCACTTGGGGGCCAAGAAACCATTGTACACCCCCAGCATGGTTACAGAGGATTGGCTTGTCCAGAACCATCAGGACCCATGTAAGGTAGAGGAGGTGTGCAGAGCCAATGAGCCCTGCATAAGCTTTGCAGAGTGCGTGTATGATGAGAATTGTGAGGAGAAGGCTCTGTATAAGTGGCTTCTGAACAAAGAAGGAAAGGATAAAAATGGGATGCCCATGGAACCCAAACCTGAGCCTGAGAAACATAAAGATTCCCTGAATATGTGGCTCTGTCCTTCTAGTAAAGAAGTAATAGAACTAAAGCACCAAAGTCAATGGTTCCTTCTAGAATTGCTGGTTCCTTCTAGAATTGCTGATTCCTTCCAAGTCATAAAGAACAGCACCTTGTCAGAGTGGCTTATCAGGCCCCCATACAAAGAAGGAAGTCCTAAGAAAGGGCCTAATACTGAAGACAAAGCTGGCAAACAAAAGCTAAAAAGCCCCATGAGCACTTCCTGGTGTTCCTTTAACACAGCTGACTGGCTCCTGCTGGGAAAGAAGATGGGCAACCTCAGCCAGCTATCCTCTGGAGAAGACAAGTGACTGCTTCGAAAGAAGACCTAGAAGTATTACTTAATTCACCTCTACAGGAGGAATATAACTTCCCCCCAGACCATTATGGCCTCCCTGCAGTTTGTGATCTCTTTGCCTGTATGCAGCTTAAAGTTGATAAAAAGAAGTGGTTATATCAAACTCCTCTACAGATGTGAAGGAGTGGACAAGAGTTGAGCAGCCTTTCTGCTGATTATCACACATCATGAGCTGAGTGACTGTGGCTTGCCAAATCATTGTGTTTCTGGGTCTGACCAGTTAGCTTAGTTCTTCTCCTGCCTAATTTTGAACTAGTAAAGTGAAGTGAGTCATCAGATTATAAGTTACTGTTTAAAAGAAAAATGTTGTGTATTGATGCTGAGCTGATTCAGTTCCTTCCTTCTTACAGAAGTGTTAATTCACCCCCACACCAGAAATGCAGCATCTTTGTGGGTATGTCTTTTTCACAAGCCTCCAAGGCTCCTTAGATCAGGTCGTTACTAAAAGTACATTAAAACACTCAAGTTTTAAAAATGAAATATTTCTGTAATCGAAGTGTATTAATGTATTCTAAAGCTAGTAAACTTCCCTAACGTTTAATTGCCCTATAGATGCTTCTCTAGCTGTGGGTTTTCTTCTGTTACTGGTCTGAAATAATGATTTTCCTAGTCTATTAATATACAGTGTATTTTGCACAAAAAATTAACCTGGCCAATAGTGATTACCAAAATATATATTAATAATCTTGGAACTTTTGACATTAATTACCAAACATTTTAGACTACATGTTCTACATTATTATTCTTCACTTGAAAGAAACTCAGCTACTGCAAATTTTGTCTTTCTTTCTTTCTGTAAATGTTATTAAAATATCCAGTGAGCTCTTTTAGAAGGGCTCGGTATTATTTCAAGACTATTTTTGAGGTAGTTCTAGCCTTTTAAAATATTCTACACACCTGTGGGGTTCAAAAGAACCCTAGTACCAACTAAGCAAATAGGCAAAAGACATGTTGGAAATGTAGTATAGTACTTGAACCATTCACTATCATAGGGATTATTGGTGCATCCTGGGTAATGGAAGTGGAGCTTGACACCTGGTGCTTTTAACCAGGGATAAAGTCATCCTCTCACTGTAAGTACAGTATACCTGTACCTCCAAAAGTGACATTTTAGTGAACAGGCCATTTTCAACACTTGTGCCTTGGGGTGTTCATTGAAGCTTTATGAAAACTACTGATGTTTTCTCAATCTCCTTAAAGTTATGTCCATGCTTTAAAATGTCTCTGTAAGAGAGAAGTGGGTTTTATATTTATAATGTTTTTAAATTCTCTAAGATATATTTGCTGCTTTCCAGACTTTGAAACTATTAAGCTTCTTAACTGCCTCTTATTGAAATACTTCTGGGGAAACTTCATGGACTCACAGTGTCATTGCCATACAGCTTCACTAGAGTTCTCTGAACCACAGCTGAAAGAGCTTTGTATTATTTTTTAATTCCCTCCCCAGACATCATATAGAACTATTATAATAAAGGTGGTGGGCAAAAAACAATGTAAGGAGCCTTTCCAGTTATCTTAAGTTGCAGCTAACTCTGTAGTTTCTTTTTTGAGGCCAAACACACTGTATTTTACATTGTCAAAATATAGTTTACATTAATCACTATGTTAATGAGTATGTAAAACATTATTTTGCATTGATGAATTTTGTATCTGCCTCCATCAAAAGCATAACAGCCATAAAATAATAATAATCAAATCAAAATGTTTCAACTAATTTTCATGATTCCCGAGAATATGGCTTCATCCTACAATTTGTAAGCTAAGCACTATCAAAATACAAGAGAAATTCCCCAGCTTTACAAGATTCAGTAAGATATCTCAAAAGTAGGCCATATCTAGTATATTAGTCTGATTTCAGGCTGCTGATAAAGACATACCCGAGACTGGGTAATTTATACAGGAAAAAGGGTTTAATGGACTTACAGTTCTATGTGGCTGAGGAAGCCTCACAATCATGGCTGAAGGCAAGGAGGAGCAAGTCATGTCTTACATGGATGGCAGCAAGGAAAGAGAGAGCTTGTGTAGGGAAACTCCCATTTTTAAAACCATCAGATCCCATGAGACTCATTCACTATCATGAGAACAGCACAGGAAAGACCTGTCCCCATAATTCAATCACCTCTCACCAGGCTCCTCCCATGACACATGGGGATTGTGGGAGTTACAATTCAAGATGTGATTTGGGTAGGGACACAGCCAAACCATATCAGTTATCTTTGTATTTATAGCACAATTATTTGCTCACAGAATTAATGAATGTACACCATAATTCTGCATGGGTCAATAACTCCACTACACTGATTACTCAGTTAATTGATGTTTCTAAAATGTACATTTTTTTCTAGATTTTACAGTAATATATTTTAAGGACTTTCTTTTTAAACTGATTTCAATATATGGATATTTTCCTTCATTAAAAATTTGCTCAGCAGCAGCCAGTCTGACTTGGGATATTTATCTTGAAATTGATCCAATGAATATTCTCAATTTCAATAACTACTCTGGCAAGAAAAAGCATACAGAATTTCCTAAATCAATACAGTAGATCAGTGTCTGCAGCACAGCACAATTCGTACAGGCAATGCAGTGTTGTACCAAGTGTTTCCATTTCTCAATGCTAATCACTTTTGATTTGAAGATAAGCTGTCAAATGCCATTAATCTGTTTACCATATTCCACCCCCCCCAACCACAGAAGGCTTTATTTTCTCTTTTTCAAATAATTTCAGGAAACTTTTGTAGAGCAGGATGACTTCTTAAATAAGCAACTTTTAAATAGGTTTTAAATAGGTCATCATGAGTTAAGAGTAATAAAGAACAAATACCAAATTCATGAAGGGATTCTCTAAAGTTCTCTGTCCACTTTACTTTTTATCACTTTTCCAGTAAGATTCAGATTTCCCAATTCCTACTTTTAGGCTTAAATGTGCTTGAGAAGTCTCTATTTTTCTAAATTCCATCACCATTAAATGTTTTGATTCCCACTGCTACCACCCTATTTCAAATCCAGGCTTGAACTAGGAAGCTCTGAGACCAACTATGGAACCTGGGTAATTTCTCATATTCTCAAAGTTCCTTCACTTACAAAATGAAAACATTAAGATCTACGTATCAGGATCATGGTGAGTATAAATGAGTATGCATGAGAGAGCCTGGCACAGGGCCTGGCATCAAGCAGGTGCTAATCACCTCTAAGAAACTTTCCTCTTTTCTCTCTCCCTCCTCAGTCCTCCTTTCAGACTTCACAGCAAGACTCATTCTGAAAGGTGAATGTGATCTCCTTAGCCTCCTACTCAAATTCCTCCAAAAGTTCACCGTACCCTAGGACAGTGGTTCTCAAAGTGTAGTCCCCAGGCCAGCAGCACCTCTTGCGCTTGCCTTTCCAAAATTCCTCTAAGGAGAGTTTACTATCTTCCAAACCTGCCAACTCTCCCAACCCCAAGATTTAACTCATCTTTTACATCCTTCCCCCTCTATGATATCTCTCCTATACTACCCAGCTTAAAATCTTTCCTGACCATCCCAGTCTCTAGGACTTTTTCTGACCTCTAATTCCAATTATTTCTGAATACAAAGAGTCTTCATCTTACAATCGGGTCTGTGTCTGGATAAACCCACTGTAAAGTCAAAAAATCTTTAACTGAACCATTGTGTAAGTGTAGGACTGTACTAAGGTGAAAATCTGCAGAGGTCACAAACTAGTTGCACCTGGCCCACCCACAGAAGGTGTGTGTTAACTAAATTGGTTGCAAGTAACATTAAAAATCAAGAAAAAATACGTAAAAATACAGATCTTTGGCCTGTGTTGGAGAAAATCGGATCTGCGTTTGAGAGACCCCCATTCCCACATGGCAACAATCAGCTAAATGGTAAATGTTTCGAGCATTCACCAGCTCTTTCCATTCTAAATAAAGGTTTTCTTTTGACATCTTCAAATATCTCAAATGGTGATTTACATTTCTTATGGATATGTAACTTTTCATGCTTGTTTTGTCTCTCCTAATAGAATACAGCCCTTAAAAAACCTGTCCTTGTCTTTGACTTTTTAAAAACCTCTTGTTACCCTGAACACAAACCGGTATTTAGTGCAAAATTATTGTAAAAGAATATTCTGAACATTGTAGACAACAGCAAAATGCTGAATAATCCACACAGTTTTTCTGGAAACTTTTGGCTTTCTACCAAGTTGGAAAAGTTTTATTAGTTTATGTTTTCTAAACATATGGATTAGGGTACAACTCTTAAGACAGATAATAAAAAATTTTTATATTATTTTGGTTTAGGTCGTCTTTCATTTTCTAATGAGAAATACATATGAAGACAGCATGCCCTCTGCTGAAAGAGATTTAGACCCTGCCCGGCACGCCATGTGACGGAACCTAGATACTGTTTGTAACTTTTAGTTTGAATCCAACTTTTATATCCTGGATTTGATTTCCCAGAAAAGAGTTTCAATTTCACTCTTTGGTAGGAGTCATAGTGGCTTTCTCTGACGCGGCCTCAGGTTAACCATTTACCGGGTTTGGCAGCGACAAGGGAAGAGCCACCTTAACAAAGCTGCCTTGCTGTGGCTCAGAGATAACCTGAGAAACCTAACCAAGATGAGAATTTTAAAACACTGTTTACGTACAGGGCCTTTCTTTGTTAAAGCTTCCATTTGAACCCATTTGCCGACTCCTGCCTGTCCACACATATCCGCACCCCGAACATCAATATTAGGAGAATATTCGATAATACTCTCCTTTTCCTTCCCCCACCCCAAATCCTCCAGGGGGCGCCCCGGAGGACCGCGCTGGCCCCCCGGCGGGAGGGCGGCCGTAGGCGGGAGCCCAGTCCCGACTCCTGGACGCCGCGCGCACTCCCCATACTCACCCGCCCGAAGCCACGGAAGTGCCACCTGACCCCGCCCCTTCCGCCGGATCCTCCCACGCAGGCGCAGCGCCGACTGCAGGCGCGTGGGGCCCGGGGATCGCCTGGGGCTGGGTGGCGGTGCGGGGCATGGCCAGGGTCCCCGTGGACGTGGCCGCGCAGTTCCGGCGTGTGGCGGAGAGCGAGTGAGCGTGAAGGTCTCCCGGCCTGCAGCAGGCTGCGGAAGCTCTGCGCCGGGAAGTTCTCTGGCGGGGGAGGGGAGGGCGGTTTACGGCCTTTGGGGTAGGTTTTGCCCTTTTTAAGATCCACATGAAATCTTTCGCCTCCGAAGTTCGAGGGTAACTTTCGTTCCCTCCTGGCCTTCGCGACACCCTCGAGTCGGACGGAGGCCGAGTCGTGTCCTCACCCCCAGCAGCCTGCGGCGGCCGGGACCCCCGGAGGCCCTTCTTCCGCTCCTTGGAAACTTAAAATGTGGGGTGAGGGAGAGACGCGTTACGTTTGACAGACCGGTGAAATTAAAGACACTCAAGCTTCTCAGAGTGATTTGAAGAAATGCTCAGCGTTCTGCCGAAATATAGTTTTAAGTTTTTAAACCACGGCATGGTTTTTAAAGGCTGAAGGACCCACAGTTTTTTTCTCTTAAAGGGCACGCATTCATTTTGATTAATATTTCTTAACATGCAGCCAAAGCCAGGACTCGGGCTCACTGCTGCAGGGGTGTCCTCGGGAAGTCCCGAGGGGGGAAAGGCGCGCAAGCCTGAAATGGAGATGAAAATAAACAGGCATAATATTTGCTACCTCACTGCGTTGGGCGTAGTAGTAACTAATTCTTAAAAAACGTCTTAGATGACATATAAGTAGTAAAGCCGTTGTATGCTAATCTAGAATTTTTGAGAAAAACTTAATCACCCAAATGTTTGCTATAATGTGATGAAGATAGCATCCATCGGCAGTAGCCAGGATCAAATGACGAGTAGATATGGTTATAAATGGGGCCCATGCAGTATAATTAGTATATGAAACCAAGATGTCAGTCCTCACACAGAATTTGTGTAATGATATGCATTTGGGAGGCTTCAGGCCTTTTCAGCTATTTGATACAGGTTGATTCTTACTGAATACAGAATAATAAAAAATGAATTACTGGTCTCACCATTTTCATTATTACTATTTGGACCAAAAGACTACCACTTTTACTCCAAAGATTGATTGTAGACTCAATAGCCAATGACAGAAAATTAAGCACAAGTCTAAATGAAGCCGAGGATCTAGTAGAAAGAACACAGAATCAAACCTTTCAAATCTCAGCCTATCGAACACAAACAGATTGACAGTTCTTGAGACGGTTTACTTCCTTTCTTTAAACTTGGCGTTGCTCATCTGAACAATTGTTTCGGTAAGGGTTACGTTTGATGAAAGCTCAGTTTGTGCTACCTTAGAAGTGAAGAAGTTTGTTAATTTTAAAATTGAGTTTATCCTTACCTGCTTTTCGTTCTACAAACTCAAACACTTTCATGCATGTCACTTTTTTATTCAGAAGTTTTCTAAACAGTACAGCTTAGGGAACACATTTCCATGGAACATTAGTGTTTTGCAAAATGTTAATAGATTCTTCATGGGAAAAAAATTGCTAGCATCACCAATACTGGCGAAAATATGAACCTGTCATTATGAGGCTATGGGAAATACACTTTTGTAGAGCTCTTGCCAAAAATGTTTAACCTGAATCTGATTGTGAGGAAACACTGAGATAAATTCTGAATGTGATTTGTTCGGACTTTTCAATAAGGTTAATAAGGAAGACAATAAAAAAAGGCAGGAGGACTGATCTACATTAAAGACAGCTGTCAACTAGATAGCCTTAAGGATTTAAAAAATTTGAACCTGGGCTGGGCGCAGTGGTTCACGCCTGTAATCCCAGCACTTTGGGAGGCCGAGGCGGGTGGATCACCAGGTCAAGAGATCGAAACCATCCTGGCCAACATGGTGAAACCCTATGTCTACTAAAAATACAAAAATGAGCTGGGTGTGGTGGCACGTGCCTGTAGTCCTAGCTACTCCGGAGGCTGAGGCAGGAGAATCGCTTGAACCCGGGAGGCAGAGGTTGCAGTGAGCCGAGATTGCGCGACTGCACTCCAGCCTGGCGACAGAGACTCCAGTCTCAAAAAAACAAAACAACAACAACAACAAAAAAGTTGGTAGTTTCAGGTGAATAGTATATGAATGTTCTTTTAACTCATCTATAGATTTGAAAATTTTCAAAATAAATAGTTGAGGACAAATTGTAGCTAGCAATGCTGGAAACCCATTTCTGCCTCCCAGCAGGTGGCAGCAAATTAATACTCCATAACGTACAAGAAAATCATTGCAATTTCCTCGTCTTGGTAAATGTTTTGGATGTTGCAGACTGGCTTTTTTTAGGGATAGGAGCCAAAAGAATATTGTTGCCAGATTATGGATGTTTATGTTAATTTATCAACTAGTTGGGAAAGTACTTACTGTTCTTCATTGCTCATCTCACACAGAACCAAAAGTCTGTTTGTAAGCTCTTTTGTTGGAATAACAGTCAAGCTCATGTTACCTTCATAAACACTCACCATAACCATTAATTGGCTAATAACCATCAATACAACATTTCAAAGTTTATGAAATACAACTAAAGTATTCTCAGAGGGAAATTTGTAGTTTTTTCATACCTTTATTAGAGAAGAAGAAAAAAAATCAGTGATCTAAGTCAGGATCAGCAAACTGTGGTCTACAGGCCAAGTCCAGTGCATAGTCTTCTTTTGTACAGCCTGCAAAACTCTAGAAAAACTCATTTTAAAAATAGAGAAATTACCAGTATCTGGAATGAAAGAACACTAAAGATTCTACAGACATTAAAACATGGGTCTCAACCAGAGGGTTTTTTGCCCCCAGGGAACATTTGGCAATGTCCAGAGACATTTTTGGTTGTCACAGTTGGAGAGTCTGCTATCAGAAGGCAGAGGTCAGGGAAACAGCTGAATATTCTGCAATGCACAGGACAGTCCCCCACAGCTATTTTGCTGGCCTCCAATGTCAGTAGTGCTGAGATTGAAAAATTCTAATTAAAATCACAAAAGAATAATATTATAAACAAATTTATACCAATAAAATCTGATAACTTAGAATAAAAAGTTTTGGGGGCCGGGCATGGTGGCTCACGCCTGTAATCCCAGCACTTTGGGAGGCCGAGGCGGGTGGATCACTTGAGGTCAGGAGTTTGAGGCCAGCCATGTCAACTTGGAGAAACCCCGTCTCTCCAAAAATACAAAAATTAGCTGGGCATGATGGCACGCACCTGTAATCCCAGCTACTTGGTAGGCAGAGGCAGGAGAATCACTTGAACCTAGGAGGCAGAAGTTGTAGTGAGTTGAGATTGCACCACTGCACTCCAGCCTGGATGACAGCGAGACTCTGTCTCAAGAAAAAAAGTTTTTTGAAAAAAAAAAAAAAAACTTATCAAAACACTGAAGAATAAATAGAAAATCTGAGTATTTGTACATCTGGTACAGAATTTGAATTCGCAATTTAAAAATACAAAGAAAACCATCCACGTTAGTGAATTCTATCCAGCATTTAAAGAACACACAATGTCAATTTTATGTAAACTCAGAGAATAGAGGAGGAAGGAATAACAGCAGAACCTTCGGAAAAATCTAACAGACATTAGAGGGAAAAAAAACACAAATTAATATTACTCACTAATACAGATGCAAAATTCCTATAGAAAATACTGGCAAATTGAACCCAGAAAAAAATAAAATAAAATCGCCAATTGCAGTTTATCCAGAATGCAAGATTTGCCCAACATTAATCAACAATAATTTACAACATTAATAAAGGAGAAAATCTTAATAATGGCGGAAAAAGCATTTGACATATTTTATTGCTAACTCATGATGACAACAATCACAAAACTAGAAATAAAAGAGAACTTTATAAAGGACATCTATGAAAGATCAATAGCTATTATGCTTAATGGTGAAATATCCAATCCTAAGATTGGGAACAAGGTAAAGCTGTCGGCTCTCATCACTTCTATTCAGCTTTGTATCAGAAATTCTAGACAGTACAATAAATAATTAAAATAATAAAAGATAAATATTACAAAAGTGCAAAACTGTCTATTCACAGTGGTCTATGTAGAAAATCTGTTTTTCAAAGCTACTAAATAAATTGTTTTTGTAGACTGTACATGTGGAAAATCTTCAACGTCTACTGGATGTTGAAGTCATGGGGTAAAAGCTCAGTATATATTAAAAAAATACTTTATATACTAGTAAGCAGCAATTGGAAAATGACATGTTAAAATATGCCATTTATAATAGTACAGATGATCCCTGACTTATGAGGGTTTCACTTACGATTTTTTTTTACTTTATAATGATGTGAAAGTGATAGACATTCAGAATGCTCCTCAGGTTACAATGGGGTTACATTCAGATAAACCCATCATAAGTTGAAAATATTAAGTTGAAAACCCCCCTACAATTTACAGTATTTTCCATTTAGGATGGGTTTATTCAGACATAACCTCATCATAAGTTGAGGAGCATCTGTATTATAAATACCTAGGAATACGTTTAATGAAAGACATGCAAGAGCTGTACCCTAAAGTGACAAAACATTGCTTAAATGAAAGAGCTAAATAAATGGAGAGATGTGCCATATTTATGCATACTGAACATGTGCCAAGAAAGACCATATTCTGGGTTATAAGTCTCAATTTATAAGGATGAAAATCATACAAAGTATTGTTCTCCAACCACAATGGAATTAGCAGTCAATAATAGTTCTTTGGAAATCTCCAAATCTCAATAATCAAAGGCACAGATTTTCCAGACTGCTGGCCTCAAAAGTTCAGATTGACACTGAAGACATTCTTCTCTGCACAGCCAAGCCAATTGATTCACATGGGAAATAATTATGGACATATTGCCACATTCTAACCAACTGCACTAACCTGGCACTGCCCTGAGATTGGGGTATGCTGGAAGCAACTGCAGACGGCGGTTATATATTTTATTGTACTAAAACAGAGTTACAGCATATTTAAAATTCATGAAATTGTTCCCATTTCTTGCTTTCCTTCCCTCACAGTCTGAAAATACTGATGAAAAATCTGGGAACAAGATTATGGGTGTAGTTGACAAAACAGAAAATCTGTTCCTGGACAGCTTTTGATGAATTTAATAAGTACAGAGATAATGAACATAGACTACATTTGCATAATGGCATAACAAAAATTCATTGAACAATGCTAACTATCTGGGGGAAACTACAGTTTGGAAACTGAATGTAAGATTGTGGTTCTGGCAAGATTACTCATTCTATTTAATGATTATACATGGTGTTGAAGGGGTTGGGGGAAATAGTCCATTTTGTGCTGCTGTAACAGAATACCTGAGACGGCGTAATTTATAAAGATTAAAATAAACATTTACTTCTTAGAGTTCTGGGGGCTGAGAAGTGCAAGGTTGAGGGGCTCACTTCTGGTGAGGGACTTAATGCTGTGTCATTCCATGGCAGAAAACGGAAGGGCAAGAGAGGGGAAGAGGGGTGGGTGGGGAGGGGACTGGCTTCATCCTTTTATGCGGAACTCACTCCTGTGACAACCAACTCATTCCTGTGAAGTGGCATTAATCAGTTTATGTGGGCAGAGGCCTCATTACCTAATCACCTCTCAACACTGTTGCATTGGGGATCAAGCCTCTAACGTGAATTTCAGAGGACACATTCAAACCACAGCATTCCACCCCTAGTCTTCAAACTTTATGACTTCTCACCATGCAAAATACATTCATTCTATCCCAATTGTCCCAAAAGTCTTGTTCTACATCAGTCCAAAAGTCCAAAGACCGAAGTCTCATGTAAATCATGTATGGGTGAGATTCAAGGCACAATTCACCCTGAGGCAAATTCCTTTCCAGTTGTGAACCTGTGAAATTTAACAAGTTATCTACTTCCAAATATATATATATGTTGTGACAGCATAGGATAGACATTCCCATTCCAAAAGGGAAAAATAGGCAAGAAGAAAGTAACAGGACCCAAGCAAGTCTAAAATCCAATAAGAAAAATGAGTTTTAAAGCTGGAGAATAATCTCTTTTGACTCCATATCCCACATCCTGGGCACACCAGGATGGGGCAGGGTCCCTAAGGCCTCGGGCAGCTCCATTCCTACCGCTTTGGTGGACTGTCTACCCAGCAGTGCTCAGATAGAAATTTCATGCCTCCAGCTTTCCCAGGTTGGAGTTGCATGCTGGTAGCCCTACAGTTTTGTGGTCTTGGGAGCTGCCCCACTCTCAAGACCACTAGGCATTGACCTACTGGGCTGTCCACATTCTTTGAAATCTAGGTGGAAGTCACCATGTCCCCACAGCTCTTGGATTCTACACATCTGCAGAATCAGCACCACATGATGCCACCAAGGCTTACCGCTTGTGTCCTCTGGAATGGCAACCTGAGCCACAGCCAGGCCTGCTTGAACCACTGCTGGGGTGACAGGATTACAGCACTGGCATACAGGGAGCAGAGTCTGGAAGTCGCCCTGGGCAGCAAGCCCACGGAGGGCACTGTGGGTTGTCCCCCCAAACCATTCTGTTCTAGAGCTCTGGGCCTGTGATGGAAGGGAGCCTCAAAGATGTCTGAAATTCCTTTCAGGTCATTCTCCATGGTCTTGATGAATATCACCTGGTTTCCTGCTAGCCATACTAACCTCTTTAGCAAATAGTGGCTTGGCCATATCCTCGGTTTGCTGTCCTAAAGACACTATTTTACTTGTGACCTGAGAAACCAAAAGAGATGCCCCTTTATCAACTAAGACAGACCCCAAGTTTAAAGAAACAGATACTTTTCTTTGAGGGTTCAGTGCTCAGCTGACATGATAACTTCTAAATTCCTATGGCTATAAGAATAAACACACTCTTATTAAACTCCCTAACAATAGGAGCTTTCATGTAAATTATCAAGAGCCCTCATAAACTCTGATTTACAACTCAGACCACTTCAACTCTGATTGGACAGAAGACCTACCTTATAAACACACTTTCCTAATGAGTAAGTATAGACCTTAAGCAAGTTTCAGCAAGCTTATAGAGACTGTGCACAGTCTTCGTATCCTACAGTTCACCTTTTAACATGGAGCCAAATTTCACCCCATTTTAATGCCAAAACCCCACCCCAAAGTGAACATGGGTTATACATTATATATGCCTGCCTATTGCACATGCACTCAACTCTCCACATAAATATGTATAGCTTTTCCCCAAACCTGCCGAATATGTATGACTGCACAAGCCCTTTGAGGCATAAGGGCCAACCTGCCCTTTTCATCTTCAAAAAAGAGCACCTTCAGCACATGCCATTGATTCTTCTCAGTTTGCAAACTGATATTGCCAATAAAGCTCTCCTTTCTACCATTTAGGCATTCTGGTGGTGTTTTGGACAACACACTCTCCATGCCCAGGCTGCAAATTTTCCTAATCTTTCTGCTCTGCTTCCCTTTCGGTATAAATTCTAAATCACCTCTCTCTCTCTCCCTCTCTCTCTCTCTCTCTCTCTCTCTGTGTGTGTGTGTGTGTGTGTAGCTTTCATATCTTACATTTTATCTTATTTTGCTGTATACAGTTAAACATATCCATGCAACTCCTTCAATAATTTGCTGCTTAGAAACTTCTTCCACCAGATATTTTAGTTCATCTCTTTTAAGTTCTGCCTTCCACAAAGTCCTAGGAAATGGACACAGTTCCATCACAATTTTCTGCAAAACACGGATAGCTTTTAATCCAGTTTCCAATGCATTGTTTCTTATTTCCATCTGAGACTTCATCAGAATGGCCTCTACTGTCCATATTTCTACCAGCCTTCTGGTCATGACCACTTAAGTAATCCTTAAGAAGATTAGGCTCTCCTCACAGTTCTTGTCTTCTCACCAGAATTGCCCAGTGCTCCATTCACAGCAGTCGAGGCTTTTCTATTTGCTCCTCCAAATTCTTCCAGCCTCTATTTGTTACCCAGTTCCAAAGCCACATCTACATTTTCAGGTATTTGTTGTAGCAACAGCCCCACTCCTCAACACCAATTTTATGTCTTAGTCTGTTTTGTGCTTCTATAACAGAATGCCACAGACTAGGTAATTTATAAAGAAGAGAAATTATTCCTTACAGTTCTGGAGGCTGGGAAGTCCAGAATCAAGGGTCCCACACCTGGTGAGGCCTTCTTGCTCCATCATTCCATGGTGGAAGGCTTGGAGGGCAAGAGAGGGAAAGAGTAGGCAAGGGAAAAGAGTAGGGAAGGGGGCTGAACTTATCCTTTTATCAGGAACTCCACTCCCATGACAATTATGCACTCCTGCAATAATGGCTCCATTCATCCCTTAATGAGAGTAGAGCCCTCAGGACCCAGTCACCTCTCAAAAGTTTCACTTCTCAACACCATTGCATTGGAAATGAAGCCTCCAACACATTAACTTTGGGGAACACATTCAAATCACAGCAACCCTGCATGCTTTCTTCTACTCTCACTATTATCGTGATAAAATAATTTATTTTTTAATAGAAAGATTTCCAACATACAGATCTGTCCCACATGTATCTCTTTCAAGGATTTATAAAATTAAACATTTCTCTTTCAATAGATCATTGAGAGGATTGGGGACTATAAATCACTTTTAATTTTAAAAAGTATTTTTGACCCTTAAAAAGGTTTTAAGTTACTCATCTTCACAATTGTTTATTTTGACTGTCGATTATGCTTAATATAATGAGATTAATTTTCAAATTTCACTTGGTAAATAGAGTTCATAGACCTTTCTTTCCAGAAGTTGCCTTTTTAAAAAAATGACTTTTATTTAAATGTTTTTTCAACCTTTATCTTTTACAGTTTTTAACTTCATGTTACTTCTAATAATTCTGAAAACAATTATTCCATTTTGGTATAATTTTCTAAACTCACAGGGGAAGTCTGATTTTCTTTTCTTGGTATGAACATAAAGGGAAAATCAAATGTGATGGCATGGTAACAACTAATCGCAGCTGATATTATTAAACTATTTTATGGCTATTGTCAACATCCCTGTGAGATAGATGCTACTGTTATCCCATTTTACATACAGGGAAACTGAGACTCAGGGAGATTAACCAATGTGCCCAAATGTTACATGATAGTATAAAAGTCTGGCTTTGAGCTCATGTAATTGACTTCAGTGTCCACATACTTAATCATTGGTGCTTACTTTTCTGTGAATTTACTAAAGTAACAGGATTATTTCAGATTCCCTAACTTATTATGATAGTTCCAATTTCAGTGTTATCTATACATAAGATGTGATGAAATGGCACCATGTTGGCAAATGTTTCGATGTAGCGCACAATTTCACCACATGATGGTGCCAGTGAAGTGAGAAGTCATCTGCTGCTAGTATTTGACATTAGGCTCAGACCTAAATATGTCAACAGAATGTAGTAAAAGATGTTTAAAAATTTTTTTAAAGAGCAATCATAAATAATTATAGACTAGAGTGTCTTTTGAAAACATAAGGAATGAAAACATCACAAATACAAAAAGGGTAAGAGTAATTGACTCATAAAACTTAAAAATAAAAAAGATGAGCTTTTGTATTCATAAGGAAGTATGTAGGACAGATGTCAGAGACTTTCCACAGGAAGGAAAACACCAAAGGAAATGAATTAAATGAGGGCAGGTGACTTAAAAAAAATGAGACCAGCTGTATAGTGATGTAGCTCCAGGGTCAAATGGTTCCAGTAAGATTCCACAATCAGTGCAAACGAGTTAGCAAAAGCCAATGACTAAAAGATTTTTAAAAACCTTTAATAGACATTACTACTTCCTTTTCTAATCTAAAATAAGTATTATTTTTCCCTGCATTATCAAAGATGGAAACAACAATAGAAGGAAGAAGCATTGCTTTTCAGAAATTATTGAAACAAATCCTTACATGTCATTATTACAGTGATTCTCCAAGTTTGGTCCCTGGACCAGCAGCATTGACATCACCTGAAATGTTAGAAATACAAATTATTTGGCCACGCTCAGACTTTTACTGAACCTGAAACTTGGGGAATGAGGCCTTTCAGGGCTTTTGGATGCACCCAAAAGTTAGGGATCCACTGTGTTACTTATGGCCCACGCCTGTAATCCCAGCACTTTGGGAGGCTGAGGCAGGCAGATCACGTGAAGTCAGGAGTTCGAGACCAACCTGGCCAACATGGTGAAACACTGTCTCTACCAAAAATACAAAAATTAGCGAGGCATGCTGGTGGGCACCTGTAATCGCAGCTACTTGGAAGGCTGAGGCAGAAGAATCACATTAACCTGGGAGGCGGAGGTTGCAGTGAGCTGAGATCGCGCCACTGCACTCCAGCCTGAGCAAGACTCTATCTCAAAACAAAACAAAAAAAAGGATAGAAAGAAAACAAATTCACCAAAGCATAATTAATAATACAAAGATATTGGAAATGCCAGTTTAATATTAAAGAAATATTAAGTAAATAATAGTATATTGTCAAGGCATTTAAACATGATTCTGTTAAATAATTTTTAATAATGGAAAATGCCTATTATATAATAGCAGAAGAGTCTCAATTATGTAAAACAATTCTAGAAGAAATATTAGAAGGAAAGAAGCAAAACTAGTTATTAATGGTTGCCTTGGAGTGATGTGATTAAATATACCATTTTCCTCCTGCCTGATTATATTGCAGATGCTGTTTTCAAATTTTATATGAGAAACTATTTTACTCCTATAAATAAGTCTTATAATGATTAAGGATGTTGGGGGGGGGGGTACTTTCCAAAGTCCTACTCAGAGGTTACACTCTTGCCCATTTTGTTCTAACTGTATGGTTGGTAAGAACAAAATATGACACAGATGCCAGTCCACAACATAACCCACCTTCCCCTTCCACATACACCAAAAAACCCCACGGTCATCATGTTGCTTACTGGAGAAAGAAGACATAGAAAGACCATTCTGGCGTAGTTTATATGTATTCAATGTTGAAAGGGAAGTAGGGGATTAAAATCTGACAGTGAGAAAAAACAATCTTGTTATAGACACTAATCACATGCTTTGCCAAGTATTGTTAGTTAATGAAAATATTAAATATTCTGAAGTAATATAAGGGAAAATATCTTTATGTGTAGATAACAACTTGCTTAGACATGTTACCCCTAAGAAAGATTCTCATTTTATAACTGTGTCATTTGAATTAATGACCTGACAAATCAAGTAGTCAAAAAAATTCCAAGATTATAATTTAAAAGATTAATATCTATCTACCTATTTATGTTCATGTATATCTTGAATGTTAGACCCTAAATATGATTATTTCTTTTTGACAAAGATCTGTAGAATATATGCTAAAATTGATAACATTAGGCCATTAAAAACTCAGTATTTAGAAAATAATCTAAAACTTAGATCACATTCTCTAAAAGTAATAAAATACAATAAAAATGAATAACAAATGATTAAACAAGGGGAAAAAAGCAATCATTTAGAAATTTGGGAAGGAGATTATCCCAAATAAGTTATATGACAAAAAGGAAATAAAAACAATAATTATTGCTCCTTTAGAAAAGAAGTATATAAAATTACAAAACAAATGGGATGCATGTGAAGATGAACTCAAACAAAATATATTATTTAAGGAAAAGGAAATTAGAAAAATAAAGACAAAAATTAAAGAATTATTAAATAAAAGCCATTACAGTTATAAGTATACCAAAAGTTGTGTCTTTGAAGGAAAAAATAATACAAAAATGCCCTGAAGACAGAGGGCGGTGACTCATGCCTGTAATCCCAGCACTTTGGGAAGCTGAAGTGGGAAGTTGCTTGAGCCGAGGAGTTAGAGATCAGCCTAGGCAAAATAGTGAGACCCTGTCTCTACAAAAAGAATAAAAATAAATTAGCCAGGTATGATGGCATGCACCTGTGGTCCCCCAGCTACTTGGGAGGCTGAGGTGGGAGGATTGCTTGGGCCTGGGAGGATGAGGCTGCAGTGAGCCATGATTGTGCCACTGCACTCCAGCCTGGATGACAGAGTGAGACCCTGTCTCAAAAAAAGATAAATGCCCTGGAGATTTCTAATTAAGAAACACACACACGCAGAGACACAGACCCACAAACACACACACACCACAAATACACACACACACACACACACACCACAAATACCTAATACATTAGGAATGAAAAGGGGGATAGAAACACTTGGATATGCTTTTATAATTACAAAAGAAGATTTCCACTTCCAGCTGTATGGCAGGCTGGGTTATTCAGACCAACATTCCCGGCTGAAGGAAAGAATAACTTAAAATGCTGTATAGCACATGAAAAGTGAATCCTTTTAAGCAATAAAGATATGATAAGGTAGTAAGACATTTCCAGGGCAAAACCTAAAAAGAGGAAAGACCCAAGGTAGGAGCACAGCATTGAAACTGCTTTTGCCCTAAAAGCATTTGCTAAACCAAGCGAATTTGGTTTCAGTGGCCTTGTAGAGCACGGAAAACAGAACTCAAAGCCTAGTGTGTACTTGAGATGAACAATGTGAAGATCTAAAAGGAGGCCCTTCTGCCATAAAGCCAAGATACCAAAACGATATTCCCTCAGGAAAAAAGATAAACCAGAAATGAACCTGCTCCACCTCTGCCAGGAAGGTTAACTTGGCTCTAAGCAGAGCAGGGCTGGAAAATAACCACCCCTGAAAAGTTGTGAGCATATGAATGCATCAGGCTTTTTCACACAGTATTTACAACACCAAGGTAGTCCAAAAAACTTTAAACCATAATTTTAAGTTGTTTCCAAACTGATGGTGTTTCTATGCACTAGTCAGAGGCAAAGGCATCTTGACTTTAGGCCTCTAAGACAACTCAAAAATAATTTTCCAAGGAAAAACAAAAAGCAACTCACAGACAAACGTAACCAAGAACCACAAGGAAATAAGTCACTATGCACAAGACCCAGCAAAAAACAACAAAGAGCAGAAACAAATATACAATTAATTTAGATATTGTAATATTCCAGTTACAGGAAATAAAATGACTATGCTTTGAAAATGAAAAACCAAGTATTTTCAGGGAATAGGAAACTATTTTTTTAAAAACCTAGCATATTTAAAAGAGAACTAAGCAAACTTCTAGAAATAAAAAATATAACAATTGAAATATAAAACTCAATGGATAGAATTAACAACACACAAGAAGAAGTTGAAAAGAGAATTAGTGAATTTGAAGATTGGTAAGAACTATTCAGAATACAGAGACAAAAAGAAGTAGGAAGTATAAACCAGAGTTTATGTAACACAGAGCTTAGAGCTTCTTCATTTAAGAGTTTCTTAGGTTAAGAAGATCTATTATACATCTGATAAGAGTTCCAGTTGAAGAGAAAGAAAGATATGGAACAGAGATAATAGCTGAGAATTTTCCAGGACTAATGAAAGAAACCAAAAATAAATATACATCTTGACACATACTGAATTGCAGAAAAGCAAGGACTTAACACTTAAAAAGAAGCCGTAGGAAAAGAGAAGACTGATTATTTTCAAAGGAACCTCACTTAGACCAACAATAAACACTGGAAGCCAGGAGCTGGTGAAATATCTTTAATATGTTGAAAGAAAATAACTGCCATTTAAAATCTTATATTCAATAAAATCGTTTTTTAAGAATGAGGGTAGAGACATTTTCAGACCAAAAACAAACAAACAAACAAACAAAAAAACAACAAAAAAAGAGAGTTTACCAGCAGTGCAAAACTCAAAGAAGAAATGATAAAAGATGTAATTTGAACTGAAGAAAAGTGATTTGAAAGGGAGGGTCTGATATGTAATAGGAAATAAAGGGTAAAGGCTGAGGCAGGCAGGATCACTTGAGGTCAGGAGTTCAAGACCAGCCTGGCCAGGATAGTGAAACCTTGTCTCTACTAATAATACAAAACTTAGGGCCAGGCGCAGTGGCTCACACCTGTAATCCCAGAACTTTGGGAGGCCGAGGTGGACGGATCACGAGGTCAGGAGATCGAGACCACAGTGAAACCCCGTTTCTACTAAAAATACAAAAAATTAGCCGGGCACGGTGGCAGGCGTCTGTAGTCCCAGCTACTCAGGAGGCTGAGGCAGGAGAATGGCGTGAACCTGGGAGGTGGCACTTGCAGTGAGCTGAGATTGCACCACTGCACTCCAGCCTGGGCAACAGAGCCAGATTCCATCTCAAAAACAAAAACAAAAACAAAAAAATAACAAACTTAGCCAGGCGTGGTGGCACATGCCTGTAATCCCAGCTACTTGGGAGACTGAGGCAGGAGAATCGCTTGAACCTGGGAGGCGGAGGTTGCAGTGAGCCAAGATTGCGCCATTGCACTCCAGCCTGAGTGACAAGAGCGAAACTCCATCTCAAAAAAAAAAAAAAAAAAAGAATGCTTGATTCAGAATACCAACCACAAAAAATTATGAGAAAGATGGTGTCCTAAATAAATGGAGAAAGGAAGCATTATTTCATTAATAGTCTAGGGAAAATTGGTTGATTAGGTGAGGAAATGACAGCAAAGGCATGACATGAAGCTGGGATTGTGACAGAGGCATCTCTTTTCAGGTGCCTTGGTAGAAAATAGGAAAGACAGAAGATTTGAGGGTTTTCTGCTTGCATTATCAAATCTAGTAATGTGTGATTCCTAGATCTACATCTATCTTTATTTATTTAGATGCTGGAGGAAATGCACAACATGTTAGCAGTGTCTGTCTCCCACTTTCATATTTTAGTTAAATATGCAAAGAGGACTTTTAATTGTTATGAAAAAAACTAACATTTAAAAATGCCCCATGATCTTAATGTGCAAAGTTTAGAAAAGCTAATCATTGTTTTCAGTTGCTTAAGTATGCTCCATTTTACACAAAGCTCCATAAACTGAATACTATAAATTTCCAAAATAATTACCAAAATCTAAGTTAATGTCTCTAAACACATGATCTTAACAATAGTATATGCAATATAGCTAACGTGACCACATCATTTTACAGTCTGCCTATTTTTCTTCTTTTTGCTGCGTTTTTTCTACAAATGTTCAAGCTTTCTTTCCTCTCATTCAGGAGAAAAATAACTAAAGGTAGTGGTGTAAAAGCAAGCAACAGCTCTTCCCTAGGATGAGACAAAAAGAAATACAATGTATTTTTAAAATGATATTTGGTAATGGACTTTAATTTCAAAGTAGAAGGAAAGAATTTTTTTAAAAAAAGATTATATTAAAAGCATGAGCAGTTGCCCTGAAGCGTAATTCAATATTTATCAAATTCTTTGTGTATTTTTGCTGAACTGGAAATGAGTAGATTTGGTCTCAGATGAGTAATATTCAACTGTCTATGATAAATAGTCTTCTTTACACCAAATTCAAATGTGCTTATTTTGTTTCTTTTCAGTTTCATAAGAAAGGGAGACAAGACTGAATGCTGAATGTTTCTTTTTGATCTTATGCACTATTTCAGCTGACAGAATAAAAGAAATGTCTGTTTACTTAATTTATTAATTTATTTGAAAAAAAAAAAACCCTGTTGGCTGCGTTAGCCTGTCTTCTTCCTTAGAGAACAGCAACTGCATTTATAAAAGGATAAAAAATTGTGGGTTCAATTGCTCCAACATTTTCTAGCCTATTTTGATAGCACTTGGGAATATCAGCCAATCTTTTAAAGATGGTTTTTTTATGAAGCCTTGAAATAACCATTCCTGTCTGACATTTTAAATCATTATTGTCTTTCTAGGGATAGTTGATGAAATATCTCAAAAATATCTCCTGATAATTGATTAATTCAAATTGCTGATTGGAAAAAAAAAAAAACTAACCCTAAAGCCAGTAGTCTCAAGGGGAAAGCTGCCTGGCCAGCCCAATACAGGCCCTGGGGGCACTACTTGGGGATGATGGCCCCGCACTCAATCCAGAGCCAGTCCCTGGCCTAGCAGGCTCAAAGCTTAATTTATAGTCTCCTCAGGTAAAGATTCATGGAGATACTTTCCCAAACACTAATACATGTGACCAAAATGCCAACAGCATATCCAGTTCTTATTAATAATTCTCTCCACAGGCAAATTTCTATTTGAGGCCAAATTTCAATCAGAAGAGGAGTAAGGTGATAGTAATGGCTAGTGTCAACAATCTGTAATACCTACTACACCAGCTCCATGTGAGCATTTATATTCTACATTGCTAATCACTACTTCTGATTGATATATGCCCTTTTAAAAAACAGATTATTAAATATTCAGTCTGGCTACAGTCAAGGGTTGTTGGGCACGAGTGTATTTCTTATCCCCATGGTGAACTTCATAAACTTTTTAAGTAGTTTACTCCAGAGTTTAGTTATATTTTTCTCTTTCCATATTCTGAAGAGGAACATCTCACCTCTAGAACAAAAACTACATAAGCACAGAAAACTTGTCTGTCTTACTCACCCTGTGCCCTATCTGCACCGCCCTGCCCCCAAGTCTAGAAAAATGTCTTAATATTGTAAGCACTAAAAAAAAGTAAATGAATGATAGAAAAAGCATCTTTTATTTGCAGGCATTCCTATACTACACAAATGTTATTAGAAAAATGGCATATACTAAGTACCTGTATTTAGTACTTGTGGATTATTCCTCCGACGGAGGAGCTCAAAGGAAAGAGCTCACACAGTGCTTGCCTTTGACCCAACAATTTAAATTAGACACCCTTCTTCACTTTATTATTCTCTCTTAACTTTCTTTTCCTTCAGCACTTACTACAGTTGGTAGTTTGCAGTTTATTCATGCTTATTTATTTAAGATCTGAATCATGCTCTGGGAAGGCAGGGACTATGTCTATTTTATATGCAGCTCATGTCTATAGGCTGCCTTTAATGGTATAGGCTCCATGATATTCATAAAAATTGCCTTGAGTATTTTTTTTAAGACAGAGTTTTGCTATGTCACTCAGTCTGGAGGGCAGTGGCTATTCATAGTCACAATCACAGCTCGCTGCAGCCTTGAACTCCTGGGCTCAACTGATCCTCCTGCTTCAATCTCCGGAGTAGTGGGGACATGTTATGCAATTGGTTCACACAGTACTTACATGCCTTGAGTTTTATGAGCCAGATCTATCTTGCAGTCACAGGAAGAAAAAAATAACTTGATGGCTTTAAATAATGAGCTATTTTGGAGGACAGGCAGCCATCCCAATACCCCAAAATCATACCATATGGGGAAATGCTGATCCCAGGTAGACTATGGGTCATTGGTGTTTCCCAGGCTAGCTATAGGAGGAAACAGCAAGGAAACGATTTAGTTCATGTTTATTCTGTAAACTTGAGAGTTAAGATTAACTTATTATGTTTTATAGAAAGCTAGTCACATGCTTAATAATCACTGTGCTTCTTCCTAAAAGTTGCTCATTTCAGCTAATAGTTAATGGTGCACTTTGCCTTGACTATTGGATTTTGCACATTTAAATGTCATTTACATCTGTCAGCTTTAGACTTTTTATTGTGTCATGATAGCCAATTCACAGAAATAAATCAGTTATTTAAAAGTAAAGTATAAAAGTAGTGACGAAAATTGTAATATAAATAGAACAACACTGTAAATGTAAACAGGGAACAGGAATTCAATGCAAATATCAAATATGAAGCTGTATTTGCTAAAACAAGTGAATCTTGATGAATATGTGAAAATTGGATTTTATCAGACCAGCAATCAATTTGCCTCTAGTTTCTATTGCATTGTCTGTTACAAAACTTTGTTAAAGAATGGCAAGAAGCCACAGGAGCTTTTGCATTGCTTTCATAGTTCCGTGACCTTTCTGATAAACCAATTGAATTTTTCCTGAACAAGCACAAAATAATGCTTTCTAATATGAAATTGATAAATTTTGTCATTTAAAGATGGAGAAGAGACTAAAACTAAATAAACATTATTCAAAGTTACACATCAAAAAAAGAAATATAGAAGTCACATTATCACTAAGAAATTTCTGAAACCAGCTCTAAGGTTAATGATCATTACCATGCTCAGGAAGAAACTTTAATTAGCTACTGGCAATTTCATAATCCAAGTGAACTACTGTACATCATATAATATTAATGGCATACAGCACAGAAGAACAATGTCTTATCAGGAGTACATGCTAGCAGATACTTGGCTTACATTTGGAAAGAATCAGGTGTGCAGAGTATCAATCAGCGCTTGACAGAAATATGCAGAAATATATGAAAGAAAAGTGCTCAATGACTTATTGGCTAGTTTATGGCTCCAACCCCATGCTAGGGGAGGTTTTCCATGTGGTTAACAATTATTCTGTGAACTATGATTTAGGCTAGAAAGACATGAACAGCAGTATGTGCTCAACAAGAAAATATTTACATGGATAAAGATGAATGTCCTTTATGCATTGCTTTGTCCCCAGAAAATAGTTGGTGAAGTAGTTAATACATTCAAACTGTGGCCCCAAGTGTTTATCTTTTAAGCATGCTTTGTGAAGAAATTGGCAGCAAGCATAAGTCTCCTTTTCTACACAGAAGTAAACTATTTATTGAGGTGAAAATTTTTACACAAATTTTTGAAACCAGGGTTGAGATAAAAGCATTTCTTTTCTTCATGACACCAGTAATGCCATTTTTTTAAAAGTAGTTTTTTCAAGTGGCATATCTCAATGGTATATTCTACCTTTTAGTAGCCTTATGTCAAAGTGTAAATTTAGTCATTTTAAATATCGTGTCTGTCAGAGTTTCTTAAGAAAACTAAACTATGGTATAAATATCCTAATCAACAAGTTCCATTTTAACACTTGATTGTCTCACTCATCATATAGATCAATGACATTACAGGACATATTTATACATCATAGTAAAAAGACAATATAAATAAAAACAAACAAATTCAAATGCTGTTCACAAATCTTCAGAAACACCTTCCAGAGCCAGATGGAATCAAAGTGGAGCAGGACTGCATTCATCATCAACTCTGAGGCTATAACAGAGGACATTCCAGTTATTAAGTGTGATGTTTTCCCCTCTAGTACCTGACTTACTGCTGAGAAAGAAATACTATGCTTTCTGGGTACATGTTTAAATGATATATTTAGAATGATCAGACAGAGGTCCTGAACAATTCTACCAATCCCGATGACCAATAATTATGATTAGGGCTATTTCAGCAGAAATAGAGTCAGGAAAGAAATGGACTGCATTGGGCTCTTTATCTTGGAAAAAAGTTACAGAAAACATCATCCCTTTCACTGATATGAAACAGTCATTATTAAGTGAAAAATATTATGTTTTGGATGAACCTTGAGGATAATTATGTTAAGTGAAAAGAGCCAGACATAAAGTGACAAATATTGTATGATTCAACTTATATCAGATACCTAGAATAGCCAAATTCACACAGACAGAAACTAATATAAAGGCTACTAAGGGCTAGGGGGAGATCAGAATGGAGAGTTAATGTTTAATGTGTGCATAATTTCTATATGGAGTAATGAAAAAGTTATGGAAATGGATGGTGGTGATGGCTGCATAATATGAATGTATATAGTGCCACTGAATTGTATACTTTAAAATGGTCAAAATGGCAAATTTTGTTACAGTTTGCCACATTAAAGTAATTGTTTTATTACGATTTTTAAATTGTGATTAAAATGTACTTAAAGCCAGGCGTGGTTGTGTGCACCTGTATTCCCAGCTACTCCGGAGTCTGAGGTGAGAAGGTCGCTTGAGCCCAGGAGTTAAAGTCCAGCCTGGGCAACATAGTGAGACCCTATCTCTTAAAAAAAAGTACCCCAAATTGTTAGCCTTGTGGGTACCAAACACCCAGTTACTGATCTGTTAATGCTGGAATCCAGCTCTGGAAATTCTCATTAGGACTTTTGAAGCATCATTTCTACCAACTGGAGGAAGTGAGAGTGGATTGGAAAAGACCAGGAAGAGGGCTAACCCTGAGAAATTAGGGCTAGGAGGTGAAAATTGAAACTCCTTGTAGTTTGTTGTGGGGTGTCCACTTTCCTCTTACCTGCAGAGACAGAAGCCAAAAAGAAATGTAATGTAGGGTTTTCTTCTTACCAAGGAAAATTCTGTGGTAGGCAGCAGAAGCACATTTGTTGCTGTTTGATAGTTCTGTACTTATTTTGCACTTTTACTCATTCGGTATGTTAAAAAGAAAGCATTTGGCTGTAGAATCCCTTCTTTAGGCAAAGTCATCAAAATAAGAAGCCTTTGGAACTTCAATGAAAGACAGAAATTCTTCTCAGACTGAAGACGGCACTATGGTTTAAGTGTGTCCCCCAAAGTTCATGTGCTGTAAACTAAATCCCCAATGTGACAGTGTTGGAAGGTGGGGCTTAATAAGAGGTGGTTAGGTCACAAGGGCTCCGCCTTCATGAATGGATTGTTGTTGCTAATGTGGGAGTGGGTCAGTTACCATGAGACTGGGCTTGTTATAAAAGTGAGTTCAGGCCTCTCTTGATCTTGCTTTCTCTGGAGCATCCTTTCTTGACCTTCCACCTTCCTTTTCCACCTTCCACTATGAAATGATGCAACAGGAAGGCTCTCCTTAGATGCTAGCACTTTGATATTGGACTTTTAAACCTCCAAGACTGTAAGAAGGAATTATTTTTCTTTATAAATTACATAGTGTGTGGTGATCTGTTATAACAACACAAAATGAACGAAGATGGCATTTCCTAAAGTGGGGACCATGAAATATTAATGGGTGTTCCATGAAAAAAATAGATCTGTGGTCAAATAAGTACAGTTGACCCTTGAACAACCTAAAAGTCAGGGGCACCAACTCCATACAGGCAAAAATCTTCATGCAACTTTTGACTCCCCCAAAACTTCACAAAGAATACCCATATTGTTGGAGGGTCAACAACTGAAATTGCTGTAGAGGTTTCTCTACTGCAGAACATTCCATAGTGCCTTTTGAATTTACAAAAGATTTAGAGTCCTTTTTAAAATGTTGCCAACATGGCTATAGGTCTTAAAAATCAACCCTGTTTATGCTTTTCACAGAGAATTTTGTGAATGTGTGTTTTCAGGAACACACTTTGAGAAAGGTTGGCCTCAAGGAATTTATTGTTATTTATTTGCTTCTCATGCATGCTTCTGTGATCACTGCAAATATCAGTGGCTCAGTTGCTGACAAGTGATCATAACACTTTTTGTTATACAGTATGTTTAATATTTATTTTTCTTATTAAAAAGACAATGCAACCTTGTTGAAGAAAAACTAGGAAAAAGGTCAGCAAGAAGAGTAACATAAGATACCCATGACCCCACTGTCTAGGGGTAATCACTGTTAACAGCTTCTGCGTATCAACTCAGCTCTCTTCTTTTTAATAAATATATATACACTTATCCACTACAGTGGCACCATTCACTACAAATTGGTTTTTCACCTGATTTTTAAATTATCAGTCTACTACAAAGTTCTTCCCATGTCAGTAAATATTTGTCCTCAATATGGTTTTCAATGATAAAAATATTTTATATGTGTAACTATATATGTAGAATGTTAAAATGCAGGTCTGAACTATCAGCACAAATGTTGTAGGTTTAGGAAATTCATACATGCTTTCATTCATTTTTTTTTCTTCTGTGTTACATTTTAATGCAATTTTTAAGAAAGGATTTAGCCCTTCCTTAATCCCTTCACAGCTGCATTTTGACTAACATAGCCACAGCTGATCAAGGCTGTGTGTATTGTTAACACATTTGCCTATAAGGTAATGTTGACATGAACACTTGAAAATGACTGTCCTTTTCTAAGACACTTATTAGCAGTTCACAAGTATTTATTTATGCATTGACTGCCATCTCATTGCACATTCTGGACTGTAAATGGTGGTTAGCAACTAGAACACAAAGTTCAATACAGAAAACGGGAAAGACACAAAACTCCTTTTGAAAGGAATTTGGCCTTTGAATTGAAATTTATAGGAGAGGTTCCAAGATGGCCGAACAGGAACAGCTCCAGTCTGCAGCTCCCAGCGTGAGTGATGCAGAAGATGGGTGATTTCTGCATTTCCAACTGAGGTACCGGGTTCATCTCACAGGGGCTTGTCAGACAGTGGGTGCAGCCCACTGAGCAGGGTGGGGTATCGCCTCACCCAGGAAGTGCGAGGGGTTGGAAAATTCCCTCTCCTAGCAAAGGGAAGCTGTGACAGATGGTACCTGGAGAATCAGGACCCTCCCACCCTAATTCTGCGCTTTTCCAATGGCCTTAGCAAACAGCACACCAGGAGATTATATCCTGCGCATGGCTTGGTGAGTCCCACGCCCACGGAGCCTTGCTCACTGCTAGCACAGCAGTCTGAGATCAAACTGCAAGGCAGCAGCAAGGCTACGGGAGGGGAATCCACCATTGCTGAGGCTTGAGTAGGTTAACACAGTGGCCGGGAAGCTCAAACTGGGTGGAGCCCACTGCAGCTCAACCAGGCCTGCCTGCCTCTGTAGACTCCACCTCTGAGGGCAGGGCATAGCTGAACAAAAGGCAGCAGAAACTTCTGCAGACTTAAACGTCCCTGTCTGACAGCTTTGAAGAGAGTAGTGGTTCTCCCAGTGTGGAGTTTGAGATCTGAGAATGGACAGACTGCTTCCTCAAGTGGGTCCCTGACCCCTGAGTAGCCTAACTGGGAGACACCTCCAGTAGGGGCCGACTGACACCTCATACAGCTGGTGCCCCTCTGAGATGAAGCTTCCAGAGGAAGGATCAGGCAGCAACATCTGCCATTCTGCAATATTTGATGTTCTGCAGCCTCCACTGGCTGCAGGCAAACAGGGTCTGGAGTGGACCTCCAGCAAACTCCAACAGACCTGCAGCTGAGGGTCCTGACTGTTAGAAGGAAAACTAACAAAGAGAAAGGACATCCACACCAAAATCCCATCTGTACGTCACAATCATCAAAGACCAAAGGTAGATAAAACCACAAATATAGGGAGAAACCAGAGGAGAAAAGTTGAAAATTCTAAAAATCAGAGTGCCTCTTCTTCTCCAAAGGAATGCAGCTCCTCGCCAGCAACAGAACAAAGCTGGACGGAGAATGACTTTGACGAGTTGAGAGAAGAAGGCTTCAGACGATCAGTAATAACAAACTTCTCCGAGCTAAAGGAGGATGTTCGAACCCATTGCAAAGAAGCTAAAAACCTTGAAAAAAGAATAGATGAATGGCTACCTAGAATAAACAGTGTGGAGAAGTCCTTACATAACATGATGGAGCTGAAAACCATGGCACGAGAACTACGTGATGCATGCACAAGCTTCAGTAGAAGAAAGGGTATCAGTGATTGAAGATCAAATGAATGATATGAAGTGAGAAGAGAAGTTTAGAGAAAAAAGAGTAAAAAGAAATGAACAAAGCCTCCAAGAAATACGTGACTATCTGAAAAGACCAAATCTACATCTGATTGGTGTACCTGAAAGTGACAGGTAGAATGGAACCAAGTTGGAAAACACTCTTCAGGATATTATCCAGGAGAACTTCCCCAACCTAGCAAGGCAGGCCAACATTCAAATTCAGGAAATACAGAGAACATCACAAAGATACTCCTCAATGAGAGCAACTCCAAGATACATAATTGTCAGATTCACGAAACCTGAAATGAGGGAAAAAGTGTTAAGGGCAGCCAGAGAGAAAGACTGGGTTACCCACAAAGGGAAGCCCATCAGACTAACAACGGATCTCTCGGCAGAAACTCTACAAGCCAGAAGAGAGTGGGGGCCAATATTCAACATTCTTAAAGAAAAGAATTTTCAACCCAGAATTTCATATCCAGCCAAACTAAGCTTCATAAGTGAAGGAGAAATAAAATCCTTTACAGAAAAACAAATGCGGAGAGATTTTGTCACCACCAGCCCTGCCTTACAAGAGCTCCTGAAGGAAGCAAGCACTAAACATGGAAAGGAACAACCAGTACCAGCCGCTGCAAAAACATGCCAAATTGTAAAGACCATCAATGCTAGGAAGAAACTGCATCAACTAACGAGCAAAATAACCAGCTAACATCATAATGACAGGATCAAATTCACACATAACAATATTAACCTTAAATGTAAATGGGCTAAATGCTCCAATTAAAAGACACAGACTGGCAAATTGAATAGAGTCAAGACTCATCAGTGTGCTGTATTCAGGAGACCCATCTCACGTGCAGAGACACACATAAGCTCAAAATAAAGGGATTGAAGATCTACCAAGAAAATGGAAAACAAAAAAAAGCAGGGGTTGTAATCCTAGTCTCTGATAAAACAGACTTTAAACCAACAAAGATCAACAGAGACAAAGAAGGCCATTACATAATGGTAAAGGGATCAATTCAACAAGAAAAGCTAACTATCCTAAATATATATGCACCCAATACAGAAGCACCTAGATTCATAAAGCAAGTCCTTAGAGACCTACAAAGAGACTTAGAATCACTCACAATAATAATGGGAGACTTTAACATCCCACTGTCAACATTAGATAGATCAATGAGACAGAAAGTTAATAAGGATATCCAGGAATTGAACTCAGCTCTGCACCAAGCAGACCTAATAGACATCTACAGAACTCTCCACACCAAATCAACAGAATATACATTCTTCTCAGCACCACATTGCACTTATTCCAAAACTGACCACATTCTTGGAAGTAAAGCACTCCTCAGCAAATGTAAAAGAACAGAAATTATAGCAAACTGTCTCTCACACCACAGTGCAATCAAACTAGAACTCAGGATTAAGAAACTCACTTAAAACTGCTCAACTACATGGAAACTGAACAACCTGCTCCTGAATGACTACTGGGTACATAACGAAATGAAGGCAGAAATAAAGATGTTCTTTGAAATCAATGAGCACAAAGACACAACATACCAGAATCTCTGGGACACACTTAAAGCAGTGTGTAGAGGGAAACTCATAGCACTAAATGGCCACAAGAGAAAGCAGCAAAGATCTAAAATTGATACCCTAACATCACAATTAAAAGAACTAGAGAAGCAAAAGCAAACACATCCAAAAGCTAGCAGAAGGCAAGAAATAACTAAGATCAGAGCAGAACTGAAGGAGATAGAGACACACAAAAACTCTTTAAAAAAATCAATGAATCCAGGAGCTGATTCTTTGAAAAGATCAACAAAATTGAGAGACCGCTAGCAAGACTAATAAAGAAGAAAAGAGAGAAGAATCAAATAGACGCAATAAAAATGATAAAGGTGATATCACCACCAATCCCACAGAAATACAAACTACCATCACAGAATACTATAAACACCTCTATGCAAATAAACTATAAAATCTAGAAGAAATGGATAAATTCCTGGACATATACACCCTCCCAAGACTAAACCAGGAAGACGCTGAATCCTTGAATAGACCAATAACAAGTTCTGAAATTGAGGCAATAATTAATAGCCTACCAACCAAATAAAGTCCAAGACCAGACGGATTCACAGCTGAATTCTACCAGAGGTACAAACAGGAGCTGGTACCATTCCTTCTGAAACTATTCCAATAAACAGAAAAAGAGGGAATCCTCCCTAACTCATTTTATGAGGACAACATCATCCTGATACCAAAGCCTGACAGAGACACAACAAAAAAGGGAATTTTAGACCAATTTCCCTAATGAACATCAGTGCAAAAACCCTCAATAAAATACTGGCAAACTGAATCTGGCAGCACCTCAAAAAGCTTATCCACCATGATCAAGTAGGCTTCATCCCTGGGAGGCAAGGCTGGTTCAACATACACAAATCAATAAACGTAATCCATCATATAAACAGAACCAAAGACAAAAACCACATGATTATCTCAATAGATGCAGAGAAGGCCTTCGACAAAATTCAACAGCCCTTCATGCTAAAAATTCTCAATAAACTAGATATTGATGGAATGTATCTCAAAATAATAAGAGCTATTTATAACAAACCCACAGCCAGTATCATACTGAATGGGCAAAAACTGGAAGCATTCCCTTTGAAAACTGGCACAAGACAAGGATGCCCTCTCTCACCACTCCTATTCAACATAGTGTTGGAAGTTCTGGCCAGGGCAATCAGGCAAGAGAAAGAAATAAAGGATATTCAGTTAGGAAAAGAGGAAGTCAAATTGTCCCTGTTTGCAGATGACATGATTGTATATTTAGAAAACCCTATCATCTCAGCCCAAAATCTCTTTAAGCTGATAAGCGACTTCAACAAAGTCTGAGGATACAAAATCAATGTGCAAAAATCACAAGCTTTCCTATACACCAATAACAGACAAACAGAGAGCCAAGTCATGAGTGAACTCCTATTCACAATTGCTTCAAAGAGAATAAAATACTTAGGAATCCAACTTACAAGGGATGTGAAGGACCTCTTCAAGGAGAACAAACCACTGTTCAATAAAATAAAAGAGGACACAAACAAATAGAAGAACATTCCATGCTCATGGATAGGAAGAATCAATATTTTGAAAATTGCCATACTGCCCAAGGTAATTTATAGATTCAATGCCATCCCTATCAAGCTACCAATGACTTTCTTCACAGAACTGGAAAAAACTACTTTAAAGTTCATATGGAACCAAAAAGGAGCCCGCATTGCCAAGACAATCCTAAGCAAAAAAAACAAAGCTGGAAGCATTAGGCTACCTGACTTCAAACTATACTATAAGGTAACAGTAACAAAAACAGTATGGTACTGGCACCAAAACAGAGATATAGACCAGTGGAACCGAATAGAGCCCTCATAAATAACACCACACATCTACAGCCATCTGATCTATGAAAAACCTGACAAAAACAAGAAATGGGGAAAGGATTCCCTATTTAATAAATGGTGCTGGGAAAACTGGCTAGCCATGTGGAGAAAGCTGAAACTGGATCCCTTCCTTACACCTTATACAAAAATTAATACAAGATGGATTAAAGACTTAAACGATAGACCTAAAACCATAAAAACACTAGAATAAAACCTAGGCAATACCATTCAGGACATAGGCATGGGCAAGGACTTCATGACTAAAACACCAAAAGCAATGGCAACCAAAGACAGAATAGACAAATGGGATCTAATTAAACTAAAGAGTTTCTGCACAGCAAAAGAAACTACCATCAGAGTGAACAGGCAACCTACAGAATGGGAGAAAATTTTTACAATCTACCCATCTGACAAAGGGCTAATATTCAGAATCTACAAAGAACTTAAACAAATTTACAAGAAAAAAATCAAACAACCCCATCAAAAAGTGGGCAAAGGATATGAACAGACACTTCTCAAAAGAAGACATTTATGCAGCCAAAAAACACATGAAAAAATGCTCATCATCACTGGCCATCAGAGAAATGCAAATCAAAACCACAATGAGATACCATCTCACACCAGTTAGAATGGCAATCATTAAAAAGTCAGGAAACAACAGGTGCTGGAGAGGATGTGGAGAACTAGGAACACTTTTACACTGTTGGTGGGACTGTAAACTAGTTCAACCATTGTGGAAGACAGTGTGGCGATTCCTCAAGGATCTGGAACTAGAAATACCATTTGACCCAGCCATCCCATTACTGGGCATACACCCAAAGGATTATAAATCATGCTGTTATAAAGACACATGCACATATATGTTTATTGCGGCACTATTCACAATAGCAAAGACTTGGAACCAACCCAAAAGTCCATCAATAATAGACTGGATTAAGAAAATGTGGCACATATACACCATGGAATACTATGCAGCCATAAAAAAGGATGAGTTCATGTCCTTTGCAGGGACATGGATGAAGCTAGAAACCATCATTCTGAGCAAACTATTGCAAGGACAGAAAACGAAACAGCATGTTCTCACTCATAGTGGGAATTGAACAATGAGAACACTTGGACACGGGGTGGGGAACATCACACACTGGGGCCTGTAGTGGTGTGGGGCAAGGGGGGAGGGATAGCATTAGGGGATATACCTAATGTAAATGACGAGTTAACGAGTGCAGCACACCAACATGGCACATGTATACATATGTAGGAAACCTGCATGTTGTGCACATGTACCCTAGAACTTGAAGTACATATATAAAAAAAGAAATAAAGCTGCAATGAACATTAAAAAAAAAATCTGTAGAGAGCACCACCACTTTCCCAAAGATGATGCTAAGTATTTCCTTGTGCCACCCAAAACTCTATTTGTAATTATGTTCATATTTCAAAAGCTCTTGGAGATCAATAGAGATGGACAATTACACTCTGCTGGTGGAAACACTGTTTCTCAGGGAGGAAAGAATATTGGTGAAAGACAGACATTTCTTCTTTAGCCTTTTTCAGTGATCCAGATGAGATTTCTCTCTCAACTGTTAGTCATATCTTACCTTTATTTTCTGCCTCAATACCACCCAAAGAAATCATAGTGGAGTCAGGTTTTCTGTGAATTTAGCTAAACCACACCTGAGTACCAACTCTTTGTCCAGGGGAGAGGGACGGCCCCTCTGATGAAATAATGAACTCACCTAGACTTGAGGACCAAGTGGATCAATGACTTGAAGCTCCTGAAGGTAGAGAGTTTACTCCAAATTAGGAATTAAAACTATGAGCATAATCAACGATAATTCAAAAATAAATTAAAAGATGGAAGTGTAATTTTATTTTAAAAATACACGAGCATTTAATTCACTTTGAGATAGTGTTTCCAAACTATAAACATTTTCAATCAAGCGCAAGAATAAGCACAAACTGATAAACAAGGGATTAAAGATAACATGCTTCAAGAAGCAGAGCTAGCCTAATTCTAAAAATCATTTTGGGGTACTGACCACATATAAGTTCCTCTTTCAATCTGCCAAATCACTCAGGCAACCTAAGATATGTTATCATTTCTAGGGACATTTTTATAGACAAGAAAATAATCTTGTGTTTCCTCAAGGAGGCTTTTATTGCCAATAAATACAAAACACACACACACACACACACACATACACACATACATACACACAAACTTCCACCCAGTTTCATGAAGGATATTTTAAAAGCAACAGTTAACACTATTGCAAATTAACATTTTAGAAACTTTCACAATTTAAAATGAGTCCAGGAGCAAAAATCCCAAAAGAATACTTAATTAATGCTCAAAAATAATTGTTTCTTGAAACTCTGTTCTTTAGCCAACACATCTCCCAGAAACAAGACCAATGTATATTTGTCAATATGATGTCATTTTAAGTGCAAACAGAAATATACAAAGATATGAGGTCATTTTATGTGAAAACACAATATATTTCTGTGTCTTACTCATCACTTAACAGATTATTTCATCTGATGTCTTCATTTTACAGATGAAAAAATCCGTCCCAAGGAAGCTGAGTTGAGTTGCCCAGGGTCATATAGTCATCTGTTGACAAATCTGAAACTAAAATGTCTCCCAGGTCTCCTGATGCCTAGGCTGGATTTAACTATCTTTCACGATTAAACCTATCTGTGTAATAACAGTATACATACATATTTATAAAATGCACAATGGCCCTTATTGAAAATTGTGCTCCTCATAAGTCAGATCCTCCTGAAAACCTTCACCTATCCTTCAGACTTGGTCAGCTACCCCTTATTCACTCTTACAGATGTATGTATTGTTTCAGCAAAGCAGTAACCCCAGATGTAATTTTACATTTAATTATTGTATTAGTCTGTTTTCATGCTGCTGATAAAGACATACCTGAGACTAGGCAATTTACAAAAGAAAGAGGCTTTTTGGACTTACAGTTCCACGTGGCTGGGGAAGCCTCATGATTATAGCAGAAGGCAAGGAGGAGCAAGTCACATCTTACATGGATGGCAGCAGGCAAAGAGGGAGCTTGTGCTGATCAAACCACCAGATTTTGTGAGATTTATTCACCATCACAAGAACAGCACAAGGAAGACCCTCCCCCACAATTCAATTACCTCCCACCATGTCCCTCCCACAACACGTGGGAATTCAAGGTGAGATCTGAGTGGGGACAGAGTGAAACCATATTAATTATATAATCATAAGATTGTAAACTCTATGAAGCCAAGAAATATGTGTGATTTTGTTCACCATTATATCTCAAGCACTTGGCATAGTATCTGGCATGAAATAGATGCTTAATGAACTATTTGTTTAATGGATGTTGATCATTTGTGTTGGTGACTTTACAAGGTTAACATTTTTTTCCATGTTGAGGACATGGGCAAACTGTCCTATGGCTTGTGGCTGTGATGATGCATGGCAGCACTGGGGTGCTTCCGACTGGTCTGCTAAAGACTATTAATAATTTTTCTATATCTGCCAATAGGAATCTTATTTATTTTTGTCTGTGGCTGTGTTTCCTGTTCTTCAGGGCACAGTGAAGCCCCATTTGCCTCAAGTTGTTTTTCTAATGATTTTCCTTTGCCCATATCCTGAACCAATTTCTGGTGTATCAAATTTCCACAGAAGACTGTACTCAAGATGGCAGACCAAAGCACACATGCTGATCTACAGCTCCCCTTGAGAGTCTATTAATATTATAGTAATTTAAAATGAAAAAAAGAATTTTCCAGCAATAATAATAATAATAATAATAAAATGGCAAGGGACACTTCCACTGATAAGAGAGCTCAACACATTTCTGAAATGTGTGAAGAGAATGGCGAGTGTTGGCCATGAAGCAGACAGGAGGCAGGAGCCACCTAGAAAATAGGCAGTGAGGGCTGCAGCTGTGGTAAGGAGACTGGAAATGACATATCACAGCACAGAAATGAGAAGTGAGGCAGAGAACAGAAGGATTAATATAGAGTACAATTCTCCCACCTCCCTCCCAATTCCATCAGAATTGCTTGCAGAACTGTGACAACCCAGCAATTACTCCAAGACAAAGATTCTTCCCCAACAAACTCTCTGGGAAGAACTAGGGCAGCCACCACGGAGCTTAGAACCCTAGAGCAAAACCCTGATAATTTTGGCCTTAGGGATCCCCTAACAATGGCTGTGAAGGGAAACTTGATGGTCAGAAAGTCCCTTTGCCCATATTCAGAGCTTCTAATCAGCCTTTCTATCCCTCATTCTTTAGGCTGGCCAGGAGACTGGGGCAGAATACTAGAGAACAAGTACAGTATAATAAGATAGTAACATAACAACCAATCCCTAATTAATGTCAGAGGGCGTATTTCCCACTGCCTGACATCTCAGGCGCCTACCTCTTGCCCACTTCACCCACAGTCAGTGCAAATGGAGCATCAACTTGACTGCTGTGTAAGGGAACCCGGGAAAAAGGACCATTTTGCCAGTGACCCCAATTCTATTTGAGTGTAACCACCCACTGCTGGGGATTGAGGCTGTTGTTGGAAATGTCCTAGGTTTTATTTCCTCATTGCAATTTCCTGGCAGCCCTGCTCCAAGGCTAGATGAAATCTTCACTCTTGCCAGAGCCATTCTCAATAAACATTTGCTGAAGAAATGCTTGCTACCTGAATGAATGATCAGAAGCCGGAAAAATCAGCTTTCAAAAGGAGCTTAGGAACAAGCAGGTCAGCAATTGGAGGTTGGGGGAAGGCTGGGAAATTGAGGTGGGTACCTTGGGGAAATAGGGAGGTACAGATAACAACTGCATTCTCCCAGTGTTTTCCTTCCTTCTCCTCCTCCTCCACTCCCTACTCCTGCTTCCCTACTTCCCCTTCTCCCCATCCCCTTCTCCTTCTTCTCCTTTTTCTTTTTTTTGTTCTTGTTGTCATTCCTTACCCCTCTTCATTTTTCCCTCCTTTCTTGTCTTCCTTTGCCCCTGGCCTGGGCTGTGAAGCCTCCTCGAAGATCACCCCTCCTGCTCCACTAGTTTTCCTCTGTGTTTGCAATTTACATGCATTTGCCCCTCCTGTGTACATAATGCTAATGCTTTACTATATTTGCATAATGCTCCTAGACTTTCCTTCTGATCGTTTCCCCTCCAGACTATCTTTTTTTTTTTTTTTCCTTTTCTTCTAAGAATTCCCATGGAGGGAGGACTGGTTCCATCCTCCCTTCTCCCCACTAGCTCCTCCCCACCACTCCCCAAGGTTAGATGTTTCATAGTGATAGTAGCATATGTCAATTAGCTCTTCTGCAACTGGAAGCTTTTTCACCTTCCCTTACCGCATTTGAGCACTCTGAGTGAGATTAGTTCTGCAATAATGCCATACTTTAAGCAGAATCACTGTAGGCAGTGTGCAACCTGGGAAGAACTTCCTGTTCTCCTTTAGTATTGTAGTTGAACCTCTGAACTGTATATAGTTGAACCTCTTCTTTAAAATCTTACAAATAAGAAAACAATGTAGTACATTTATTTTATAAATTAAAAAATACAGCATAACAACTATTTACATAGCATTTACATTGTAGTAGGTATATAATTAATCTAGAGATGATTTAAAGTACATAGGAGGATGTGCATAGGTTATACACAAATACTATCCATTTTATATAAGGGACTTGAACATCTGGGGATTTTGATATCTGAAGGTGTCCTGAAACCAATCCTTCTGCTATATGCCTCAGATACGGAGAAACACTGTATTTAAAAGCCAAGAAAATGGTTACAGCAAATAAAATGGTTACAGGACGATAGGCTGTTTTCATTGATACATCAGCAATTGCATCAAGGCTGTAACTCTAAAAGGGGGGCATATTCCATGATAAACAGAAACACATAACCTCTTTTTGCTATTCTAAATCAAAAAGCAATGATGTTTTTCTTTCCAAAAGCATAAAAATGGAATTGAAACAGGAATTTCCCTGGGGAACTTCTGACTGTCATTTCCTACAGAGAAAACCAAATATTGAAATGCATAGTTCCTTTTAAAGAGTTAAATAGCTTAGCTCGTGTATAAATAAAGCAAATCATCACTATTTTAGAAAGAGCCTATGAAACTACCATTTTAAAAGCTCAAACGCAACTCAGTAATTTTATTATAAAATTTGCATTCTGACCTGGTACAAATGTAAAAGGAATTTAAAAGCATCTTCAAATTGTAGAGAGCCAGGGAGATATAGGTATCATAGTATAGTTATATAATCTGGTGTCAAACGGAGATCAAATATAATAAGCCTAGTATTTACCCCTAATTTTAAAGTGCTACCCTTTGATATTATATTTAACTTAGGACAAATGGAAACACTGCCATCAATTTCAGAAGCCTTTCCAACAGAACTGCCAGAGCCTTCAGGCTTCTTTGGTGGGACAACGACGTGGCCAAGAAGTGGAAAGATCCCTGGACATTGGGATCTAGACACAGATGTGACACTAAAGTGCCGTGAGGCCTGGGAGAAATCACCTAATTGCTCAGGCCTCAGTTTCCTCCATAGAGGTGGGAGGAGTGGATATTGGGCCAGATCTTAATGTTTTATCGTCACAGATGGCTTTGGGAATTTAATGAAAGCTATGGGCCTATCCACCCCCACCCTTTTAGGGAAAAGACACCTTGATATATACACAGAATATTTTACATGCAATTTCAGGGTCTCATTTTCTGGCCATTAATGCCTCCCAGGGACCATCAAGGGATTGTAGAGCTGCATCATCTCTCTGGTCCCTTGTTCTCTCTCCTATGCCTGTATACTGGGCCTCCTCGGTTTAACTGTGACCGAGGCTGGGCCACATCTTTCACTCTTTTGAGAACTCCATGATAGTGTTAAGGTTGAAAATATCCTTGGTAAAATCTTATCAAGTTTAAGGACCGGGAGTGGTGGCTCACACTTTTGTGAGGCCAATGCAGGAGGATCACTTGAGGCAGAAGTTTGAGACCAGCCTGGGCAACATAGAAAGACCTTGTCTCCAAAAAAACAAACAAAAATCTTGTTGAATTTAATGCATGTAAATATTCACCTGAATTCATGTATCTCCTGTTTTTGCTGAACTGTATTCTAAAGAGATAGAATCTAAGAATCCCAAGGAAGGAAAGTTCAGATCTCACATTCAGACTGAGTGAGCCTTCCTTGCAGACAAATTGAGTCATGTTCAACCCTAAAAAAATGGAAATCATATATATATTTTCTGAGGTGGAGTCTCGCTCTGTCTCCCAGGCTGGAGTGCAGTGGTGCAATTTCGGCTCACTGCATTCACCGCCTCCTGGGTTCAAGCAATTCTCGTGCCTCAGCCTCCCAAGTAGCTGGGATTACAGGTGTGTGCCAACATTCCTGGCTAATTTTTGTATTTTTAGTAGAGATGGGATTTCACCATGTTGGCCAGGCTGGTATCAAACTCCTAACCTCAAGTGATCCACCTGCATCAGCCTCCCAAAGTGCTGGGATTACAGGAATGAGCCACTGTGCCCAGCCAAAAATCATATTTATAATAGCCTTTTCTGAGAGGTCTGTCTACTCCTGCACAAAGAGTTTATATAGCTTCAGGTGAGTCCACTTTTTCATTCAAACAAACATTTATTGAGTGCTTATCATATTCTGAGCCCTGGAGTAGCACTGGGAATCCTAAGATAAATGAGATATGGCCCTGGATTCAAACAGCAGCTAGCAGAGTGGGAGAATATGATTAGAAAATTACACAAGGACTGTTTATTGCTTGGAATGGTGCATGTGAAACGGAGAGCACCCACCACTGCCTGAGACAGGCATCAGGGAGGCCTCAAACATTTTTTAAAGGATGAGTTAGAATTTTCCAGGCAGCAGGAGAAGAACCTCTCGGCTGTGTAAGAGCCAGCGGTTGTTAGTACAGCCTGGGTGAGGTGTGGCTAGAGCTTAGCCATGTGTGCGGTCATGCTAGGAGGATGGGAGGACTATAAAGGGTCCCTACACATTTTGCAAGTAAATGGCATTTTTAAAATCTCATTGCACATGACATATAGAGGGACAAGACCTTACTGAAGGATTTTCACCACAGTAGAGTGATACAATTGGCATTTTGGAAAGATGGTGTGAAGGATGGACTGGAGATGGGGAGGCTGGAGCAGGTTAACACACTTTACTCACATCTCTTTGTAGATCCCCTTGAGGAAAATATCCACTTGCCTGAGCACTATGCTTATACTTCAATTTTTGATGCTGACAAGCCTTTTTGTGCTAATTGGTAACCAGGGTTTGCTGGGAGGAATCTGACCTCATATCCATCCACTATGATTGGTTGGTTTTTATCCCCAGTCTTGATAAGATATCACATAAGCTTTTATACCTCACATTTGTGCCCACAAATATGTTTTAACTAATTGGTATAAAAGAGCTTGCAAATATATTGTGAATGTCAGCTTCAGTTAGCCTTAATTTGCCACCTCTGAAATGGTGGCCTGGGTACCACAGATGCTATAGGTTGGCTCAAATGTTTTAACACTTTAAACACTTTATTTCACTGGGCAAAACTTGACAGTTTTCTATCTTATAGAATTAGGAATGCTATTTATATATTACCAAGAGGATGCTCACTACATTGCCTCATCTTATTCATTCTTTCATTCCACAAATATGCACTGGGCCCCTACTATATTCCAGGCAATGTTCAAGGCACAGTGGACACACTGTTGTGTAAGACAAAAAAGGTCCTTTATCAGGTGACAAGTGCCAAAGAGAATTCAAGTAGGTGATGGGATGGAGAGTGCCTCAGGGTGATACTCATGAAGGAGCCATCCATGCAAACTGTCGGGAGGAGCACTGTAGGAAGAGGGAATAAATAGCTTGCGCAAAGATTTAGACTGCTCCCTTGTGGTTTGCATTCATTTCTGTTGATTTTGCCTTAAGATTGTTATGACAACCATACTCTATGCATTGGGAAATAATCTGTGGCTTCATACAGAAATGCACTCATCCCTCAATGGATGAGTATAACTAGTCCAAAATTTTTGCTCATAATCCTGGACTGGTATTGTCAATCAACCATTAGTTATTGTTAAAGGAGTAATTTCATAAAGAAATTTATAATAAAGTGCTTCGTATTGCCACATGTCAATACTCAGGCATGTCTTCACTAGAAAGAATGAGAAGCCATCAAATGATTGCCCGTTTAGGTGGAATCGCTGTGCATGTGCAGGAATGTTGCAATAGTGGCTCAGATACAGCCAGTAGCTCCTCTAAGGGTGAGGTGATTTTCTGAAATAGTAAACATTTCTAGACAAATTTTGAAACAAAACGAAGTACATCCTTTTCTACATTGACACAGTCATTGCATTCCTGGAAAATTCCATGTAAGTACTTTGTATTTAATATATAATATTGCATAATGATCCAGGCTCAGATAATGATTGGCAGGCAAAATGAAGGACCTTCTCACTATAGTGGGATATCTAGCATTCCTGACCCTGCCTGCTAAATGCCAGTTGCAGCCCCCCTTTCCAATCATTTCAACAATAAAAATTGCTCCCATGAAATTCCAAGCACTCCTCAGGAATGAGAACCACTGAACCACTGGAAGGAGTTTGGATTTATTCAAAGTACTATGGGAATCCACTGGAAGATTTTATTCTGGGAAGTAACATAAACTGATTTGCATTTTTCAGAGTGCTCTGGATGTCGTGTGAGAAGTGATGGTAGCAGGGGCAAGAGTGGTGGCAGGGAGACTTTGGCAACAGATAACTAGCCTCAGGCAAGGCAGCAGGCAAGGAGCAGAGATGGAAAGAAATTCATAGATTAAGGATGTTTTCAGGGTGGAGGCAACAGGTTTTACTGATGGTGTTGATGTGAGATGAGAAAAGATTTTTGGCTTTAGCAACGGAGAGAATGATACATACCTTTATGGAACCTAGAAGAAATCCATGGCTTTTGTCTTCTTAATGTTTTTAAATTTAACATGGCCCACACTGAACTCATGATCCCCATGCCACTCCCAAGTTTGAGATGACAGCCATGTGGAGATGTCAAGTTAGATATATGAGTTCCTGTGAGATGCTCTGGCTGGAGACACATCTGGGAGTCAATGGTACACAGAAGGCATCCAAAACCACGGGATTGGAGACGTGAGGTCACCTTGGGAGGGTGGGTGGATGGAGGAGAGAAAGGCAGCCAGGACAGAGCCTCGGGGACCTTCAACACTACTAAATGAGGCACACTCTTCTATTAATTACTCCATTAAGAGAAAGACTGAGGTTTTTAACATTAATTTTAATGGGAATACTCAATGATTGATGACACCAGTTTTGGCTTATGAACAGAAATTTTGGAACTAATTATACTCATTTATCAAAGCATGAGGATGGACTTCTTCATGAATTTCAAATTATTTCCCAATGCATAGAGTATGGATATCATAATAATCTTATGATACCAAAGTAGTAATTAATGTTTGGATTAAGAGCAGGCTACATAAGGGAGGTCTTGGACTTACGGTCTCATGAAAAATTACAGATAAAGTCCATTAATCAGTATTTATTGGTCACCCACAGAACAGGCTGTGAAATTTTTCAGTTTAAAAATTACTTTCACATTTTCTAAGGGAACTTGATAGATTCAATTTTCTAAATTAAAAAAAATTAACAGCCTTATTGAGGTATAACTCTCATACCATACAATTTTAATCTTTAATTTGAAGTGGTTACAGTGCATTTTCAAATAGACATATGTAAGTTAGAAACTAAATTACCCTGCCAGCTTAACAAAACATAAAACAGCAATTACTGTTTATTAGGCATCAACTTAGGTGACAGGTACGATAAGCAGCATTTAATTGATCCCAATCCTCCCAGCATCCCTGAAGAGTATATCTTCCATTTTACAGAGAGAAAATCCCACCTCAAAGGATCTGGAGAACTGGCCAGAGATCACCCCAGAAGAGAGTACAGGAGCCAGGATTTGGACGCAGGTCTCTCTGACTCAAATCCTTTTCTCTTTCCCTTACTTCATCCTCCCCCTCATCTCCTGAAAATTAGAAGCCGGATCCTGGAATACACACAGAAAACCCTCCACCCATTTTAAGGATACATCAAGATCAAAACTCATTGATATTGTAATCTTACTAGTTTGAACTTTAAAACATTTTACTGCCATATGGGGACTGGCTTCAAAGAAATGTTTTAGTGGTGTTACGTTTAATGCCTTGTGTTTATGTAGAATTACATATCCTATAAATGTTAGTTTGGCTTATCTTGTCTCCTCCCTCTCAAAAGGACCTATGCCAATTTAAGATTCTAAATATATTTAGGCAAGTGTTGGAGGGTGGGTAGGAAAATTAGTAGGGACATGAGTTAATGGATTTTACTAGGTACAAGTGAGTTAATATATGCTGACTGGAAAGGGTAGAATCTGCTGTGTACTTAGGCAGACACCCAGGGCAAAGTGGCTGCCAGTTCACCTAGTTATGAATCATACACTTCCAGAAGTAGAAGAGGAGACTTTGATGTCCTGACCAAAGGAGACAAAATTACACTACCAAAATAAATCCTTGCCTGCGAAGGACTAAAGAAGCCTATGGGATGTGGAACTCTACAGAAAAAGAATGTCCAAAGTCACGGTGAAGCCACATACTGACTGTGAATTCCTGGTGGGGTGAAAGGATGACTAGCATGTGATTTCAGCAGCAACCGTGGGATGTGGGTGACAGTAAGAACTGAAGAACAGCTAGAATCTTTTGAGGTTAGCAGTGCTCTGAGGCCGAGGATGGGAGTCATGGGTCTGAGATCAGATGTAGAAATAATTCAAGGTAGTATAACTGTGGATGGAACCAAGAATAAATAAATTATTTTAATATTGGGAATGACAAGGGTAAGGGATGCCCTAAAAAGCAGCTGACTAGTCTGTAAATTAAAGGTGGGGTAGGGAATGGTATAAATGAAAATTTACATTTGGAAGTACCCTGAGAGTAAAATTATTAGCAAATAGGATAAAACTTGCAAAATAGTCACATCATTATCTTCAAGTCAGGAATCTATGGATGAGATTCCTGTTGGAAGCATTAGGGGAAAATTGGCAGGGTCTATTTTATTAACATCAGCTATATTCATACCGAGCACTGCTTTTTTTTCTTTTTTTTAATCTAAATTTTTTTTTCTTTATACTTTAAGTTCTAGGGTACGTGTGCACAAAGTGCAGGTTTGTTACATAGGTATACATGTGCCATGTTGGTTTGCTGCACCCATCAACTGGTCATTAGAAATACATTAGGTATTTCTCCTAATGCTATCCCTCCCCCAGCCCTCCACCCCACCACAGGCCCCATTGTGTGATGTTCCCTGCCCTGTGTCCAGGTGTTCTCATTGTTCAATTCCCACCTATGAGTGAGAACATGCAGTGTTTGGTTTTCTGTCCTTGTGATAGTTTGCTGAGAATGATGGTTTCCAGCTTCATCCATGTCCCTGCAAAGGACATGAACTCATCCTTTTTTATGGCTGCATACTATTCCATGGTGTGCATGTGCTACATTTTCTTAATCCAGTCTATCATTGATGGACATTTGGGTTGGTTCCAAGTCTTTGCTATTGTGAATAGTGCTGCAGTAAACACACATGTACATGTGTCTTTATAGTAGCATGATTTATAATCCTTTGGGTATATACCCAGTAATGGGATTGCTGGGTCAAATAGTATTTCTAGCTCTAGATCCTTGAGGAATCACCACACTGTCTTCCACAATGGTTGAACTAATTTACACTCCCATCAGCAGTGTAAAAGTGTTCCTATTTCTCCACATCCTCTCCAGCATCTGTTGTTTCCCCACTTTCTAATGATCGCCATTCTAACTGGCATGAGATGGTATCTCATTGTGGTTTTGATTTGCATTTCTCTGATGACCAGTGATGATGAGCATTTTTTCCTGTGTCTGTTGGCTGCATAAATGTCTTCTTTTGAGAAGTGTCTGTTGATATCCTTTGCCCACTTTTTGATGGGGTTGTTTTTTTCTTGTAAATTTGTTTACGTACTTTGTAGATTGTGGATATTAGCCTCTTGTCAGAAGGGTAGATTGAAAAAATTTTCTCCCATTCTGTAGGTTGCCTGTTCACTTCTTGTGCCATGCAGCAGCTGTTTAGTTTAATTAGATCCCATTTGTCTCTTTTGGCTTTTGTTGCCATTGCTTTCAGTGTTTTAGTCAAGAAGTCCTTGCCCATGCCTATGTCCTGAATGGTGTTGCCTATGTTTTCTTCCAACGTTTTTATGGTTTTAGGTCTAACATTTAAGTCTTTAATCCATATTGAATTAATTTTTGTATAAGGCGTAAGGAAGGGATCCAGTTTCAGCTTTCTACATATGGCTAGCCAGTTTTCCCAGCACCATTTATTAAACAGGGAATCCTTTCTCCATTTCTTGTTTTTGTCAGGTTTGTCAAAAATCAGATGGTTGTAGATGTGTGGTATTATTTCTGAGGCCTCTGTTCTGTTCCATTTGTCTATATCTCTGTTTTGGTACCAGTACCATGCTGTTTTGGTTACTGTAGGCTTGTAGTATAGTTTGAAGTCAGGTGGTGTGATGCTTTGTTATTTTTGCTTGGGATTGTCCTGGCAATGTGGGCTCTTCTTTGGTTCCATATGAACTTTAAAGTAGTTTTTTCCAATTCTGTGAAGAAAGTCATTGGTAGCTTGATGGGGATGGCAGTGAATCTATAAATTACCTTAGGCATTACGGCCATTTTCACGATACTGATTCTTCCTATCCATGAGCATGGAATGTTCCTCCATTTGTTTGTGTCCTCTTTTATTTCATTGAGCAATGGTTTGTAGTTCTCCTTGAAGAGGTCCTTCATATCCCTTGTAGGCTGGATTCCTAGGTATTTTATTCTCTTTGTAGCAATTGTGAATGGGAGTTCACTCATGATTTGGCTCTGTTTGTCTGTTATTGGTGTATAGGAATGCTTGTGATCTTTGCACATTGATTTTGTATCCTGAGACTTTGCTGAAGTTACTTATTAGCTTAAGGAGATTTGGGGCTGAAACGATGGGGTTTTCTAAATATACAATCATGTCATCTGCAAACAGGGACAATTTGGCTTCCTCTTTTCCTAATTGATTACCCGTTATTTCTTTCTCTTGCCTGATTGCCCTGGCCAGACCTTTCAACGCTGTGTTGAATAGGAGTGGTGAGAGAGAGCATCCTTGTCTTGTGCCAGTTTTCAAAGGGAATGCTTCCAGTTTTTGCCCATTCAGTATGATACTGGCTGTGGGTTTGTTATAAATAGCTCTTATTATTTTGAGATACATTCCATCAATATCTAGTTTATTGAGAATTTTTAGCATGAAGGGCTGTTGAATTTTGTCGAAGGCCTTCTCTGCATCTATTGAGATAATCATGTGGTTTTTGTCATTGTTTCTGTTTATTTGATGGATTACGTTGATTGATTTGCGTATGTTGAACCAGCCTTGCATCCCAGGGATGAAGCCTACTTGATCATGGTGGATAAGCTTTTTGATGTGCTGCTGGATTTGGTTTGCCAGTATGCTATTGAGGATTTTCACATCAATCTTCATCAGGGATATTGGTCTAAAATTCTCTTTTTTGTTGTTGTGCCTCTGCCAGGCTTTGGTATCAGGATGATGCTGGCCTCATAAAATGAGTTAGGGAGGATTCCCTTTTTTTCTATTGATTGGAATAGTTTCAGAAGGAATAGTACCAGCTTCTGTTTGTACCTCTGGTAGAATTCGGCTGTGAATCTCTCTGGTCCTGGACTTCTTTTGGTTGCTAGGCTATTAATTATTGCCTCAATTTCAGAGCCTGTTATTGATCTATTTAGAGATTCAACTTCTTCCTAGTTTAGTCTTGGGAGGGTGTATGTGTCCAGAAATTTATCCATTTATTCCAGATTTTCTAGTTTATTTGCAGAGAGGTGTTTATAGTATTCTGTGATGGTAGTTTGTATTTCTGTGGGATCGGTGGTGATACCCCTTTTATCATTTTTTATTGCGTCTATTTGATTCTTCTCTCTTCTTTATTAGTCTTGCTAGCAGTCTATCAATTTTGTTGATCTTTTCAAAAAATCAGCTCCTGGATTCATTGATTTTTTTGAAGGGTTTTTGTGTCTCTATCTCCTTCAGTTCTGCTCTGATCTTAGTTATTTTTTGCCTTCTGCTAGCTTTTGAATTTGTTTGCTCTTGCTTCTCTAGGTATTTTATTTGTAATGTTAGGGTGTCAATTTTAGATCTTTGCTGCTTTCTCTTGTGGGCATTTAGTGCTCTAAACTTCCCTCTACACACTGCTTTAAATGTGTCCCAGATGTTCTGGTACTTTGTGTCTTTCTTCTCATTGGTTTCAAAGAACATCTTATTTCTGCCTTCATTCCATTATTTATCCAGTAGTCATTCAGGAGCAAGTTGTTCAGTTTCCATGTAGTTGAGCGGTTTTGAGTGAGTTTCTTAAACCTGAGTTCTAATTTGATTGCACTCTGGTCTGACAGACAGTTTGTTGTGATTTCTGTTCTTTTACATTTGCTGAGGAGTGCTTTACTTCCAATTATGTGGTCAATTTTAGAATAAGTGTGATGTGGGCTGAGAGGAATGTATATTCTGTTGATTTGGGGTGGAGAGTTCTGTAGACGTTTATTAGGTCTGCTTGGTGCAGAGCTGAGTTCAATTCCTGGATATCCTTGTTAACCTTCTGTCTTGTTGATCTGTCTAATATTGACAGTGGGGTTTTAAAGTCTCCCATTATTATTGTGTGGGAGTCTAAGTCTCTTTGTAGGTCTCTAAGGACTTGCTTGATGGATCTGGGTGCTCCTGTATTGGGTGCATGTATATTTAGGATGGTTAGCTCTTCTTGTTGAATTGATCCCTTTACCATCATGTAATGGTCTTCTTTGTCTCTTTTGATCTTCGTTGGTTTAAAGTCTGTTTTACCAGAGACTAGGATTGCAAACCCTGCTTTTTTTGCTTTCCATTTTCTTGGTAGATCTTCCTCCAACCCTTTATTTTTAGCCTATGTGTGTCTCTGCACTTGAGATGCATCGCCTGAATACAGCACACTGATGGATCTTGACTTTTGATTCAATTTGCCAGTCTGTGTCTTTTAATTGGAACATTTAGCCCATTTACATTTAAGGTTAATATTGTTATGTGTGAATTTGATCCTGTCATTATGATGTTAGCTGGTTATTTTGCTCATTAGTTGATGCAGTTTCTTCCTAGCATCAATGGGCTTTACAATTTGGCATGTTTTTACAGTGGCTGGTACTGGTTTTTCCTTTCCATGTTTAGTGCTTTCTTCAGGAGCTCTTGTAAAGCAGGCCTGGTGGTGACAAAATCTCTCAGCATTTGCTTGTCTGTAAAGGATTTTATTTCTCCTTCACTTATGAAGCTTAGTTTGGCTGGTTATGAAATTCTGGGTTGAAAATTCTTTTCTTTAAGAATGTTGCATATAGGCCCCCACTCTCCTCTGGCTTGTAGGGTGTCTCCCGAGAGATCAGCTGTAAGTCTGATGGGCTTCCCTTTGTGGGTAACCTGACTTTTCTCTCTGGCTACCCTTAACATTTTTTCCTTCATTTCAACCTTGGTGAATCTGACAATTATGTGTCTTGGGGTTGCTTTTCTCAAGGAGTATCTTTGTGGTGTTCTCTGTATTTCCTGAATTTGAATGTTGGCCTGCCTTGCTAGGTTGGGGAAGTTCTCCTGGATAATATCCTGAAGAGTGTTTTCCAACTTGGTTCCATTCTCCCCATCACTTTCAAGTACACCAGTCAGACGTAGATTTGGTCTTTTCATATAGTCCCATATTTCCTGGAGGCTTTGTTCATTTCTTTTTACTCTTTTTTCTCTAAATTTGTCTTCTTGCTTTATTTCATGAATTTGATCTTCAATCACTGATATCCTTTCTTGCACCCGATCGAATCAGCTATTGAAGCTTGTGCATGCGTCTTGAAGTTCTCGTGCCTGGTTTTCAGCTCCATCAGGTCATTTAAGGTCTTCTCTACACTGTTTATTCTAGTTAGCCATTTGTCTAACCTTTTTTCAAGGTTTTTAGCTTCCTTGCAATGGTTTAGAACATGCTCCTTTAGCTTGGAGAAGTTTGTTATTACCAACCTTCTGAAGCCTCCTTCTGTCAACTCGTCAAAGTCATTCTCCGTCCGCTTTTTTTTGTTGCTGGCGAGGAGCTGTGATCCTTTGGAGGACAAGAAGCGCTCTGGTTTTTAGTATTTTCAGCTTTTCTGCTCTGGTTTCTCCCCATCTTTGTGGTTTTATCTACCGTTGGTCTTTGATGTTGGTGACCTACAGATGGGGTTTTGGTGTATATGTCCTTTTTTGTTGATGTTGATGCTATTCGTTTCTGTTTTCCTTCTAACAGTCAGGTCCCTCAACTGCAGATCCGTTGGAGTTTGCTAGAGGTCCACTCCAGACCCTGTCTGCCTGGGTATCACCAGTGTAGGCTGCAGAACAGCAAATATTGCAGAACAGCAAGTATTGCTCCCTGATCCTTCCTCTGGAAGTTCCGTCCCAGAGGGGCACCCACCTATATGAGGTTTCTGTCAGCCCCGAGTGTGTAGTATCTCCCAGTTAGGCTACACGGGGGTCAGGGACCCACTTGAAGAGGCAGTCTGCCCATTCTCAGAGTTCAAATGCCGTGCTGGGAGAACCATTGCTCTCTTCAGAGCTGTCAGACAGGGATGTTTAACTCTGCAGAAGTTGTCTGCTGCCTTTTGTTCAGCTATGCCCTGCCCACAGAAGTGGAGTCTATAGAGGCAGTAGGCCTGGCTGAGCTGCAGTGGGCTCCACCCAGTTCGAGTTTCCCGGCCACTTTGTTTACCTACTCAAGCCTCAGCAATGGCAGATGCACCTCCCCCAGCTGGGCTGCTGCCTTGAAGCTCCATCTCAGATTGCTGCGCTAGCAGTGAGAAAGGCTCCGTGGGCGTGGGACCTGCCAAGCCAGGCATGGGAGAGAATCTCCTTGTCTGCCAGTTGTAAGACCTTGGAAAATGTGCAGTATTTGGGCCAAAGTGTCCCATTTTTCCGGGTACGGTCTGTCATGGCTTCCCTTGGCTAGGAAAGGGATATCCCCCAACCTCTTGCACTTCCTGGGTGAAGCAATGCCCTGCCTTGCTTTGGCTCACCCTCCATGGGCTGTATCCACTGTCCAACCAGTCCCAAAGAGATGAACCAGGTACCTCAGTTGGAAATGCAGAAATCACCCATCTTCTGAGTCGATCATGCTGGCAGCTGCAGACCAGAGCAGTTCTTATTTGGCCATTTTGGAATGGATCTCTTTTTTTCTTCTTTTCTTTACCATAATGCTTATTATTGTTACAGGGATTTAAAAAATTCTTACTGGGTTTCAAGTCATCTCTCATATCCCAGGGATACTGAAAACCCTACCACTTCCACTTATTTTGTATACACTAGACCTGTATTAATGAACCTGTCTAGGTCACCATGACTATTGCAGCCAAGCCACTATTAAGCACTTACTGTGTGGCTCTGTGCAAGTATTTAATGTGCATCACACCATTACGACCTCACCTATGAGAGAGTGACTGTTATTTTTCCATTTTACAGATAATGAAACTAAAGCTCAGGCATTAATTCACTTGCCTGAGATGATACAGCTAGAAAATGGTAGAGCTGGCAAGTCTATATAAGTCAGTATCCACTCCTAGCCATTACATCTGCAGTATAATTAAAAATCCATGGGATGGAAATTAGGTGTAGGTGACTCTTGTCTAGTCTCTGTCAGACACAAGACCAAAGCAAAGATGAAAATGTTCTCTCTCCAGCTAGGTGTGGTAACTCACGCCTGTAATCCCAGCACTTTGGGAGGCCAAGGTGGGCGGGTCACTTGAGGTCAGGAGTTTGAGACCAGCCTGGCCAACATGGCGAAACCCCGTCTCTACTAAAAAAAAAAAAAAAAAAAAAAAAAGATAATAATAATAATAATAATAATAATACAGACATTAGCCAAGCATAGTGGTGCATGCCTGTAATCCCAGCTACTCGGGAGGCTGAGGCAGGAGAACCGCCTGAACCCAGAAGGTGGAGGTAGCAGTGAGCTGAGATCATGCCACTGCACTGCAGCCTCAGTGACAATGAGAATCCATCTCAAAAATAAATAAATAAATAAGAGGTGTTTTTTGTTTGTTTGTTTTTAAAAAGAAAATATTCTCTCTCATGTTCTCACAGGGTTTGTAATCCTAGAGTAACAAGGAGCACTGTTGCAATTTCTTTTCTTTCTTTCTTTCTTTCTTTCCACTCCATTTTAAAAATTGTCTATGTTTAGAGATAAAGAGAGCCATGTTCCTTTGATATATTTGTTTTTTGGATCAAGGGGAAACTTACAAATTGTCAGTTTTTCACAAAGTATTTCTTAGAGACCATGCTCCCAAGCTTTAATTTTATTATTTTATTTTTATTATTTTCTCTTGCTGGTTTTTTTTTTCTGTTTTTTTTTTTTTTTTTTGAGATGGAGTCTCGCTCTGTCACCCAGGCTGGAGTGCAGTGGTGTGATCTCAGCTCACCGCAAGCTCCACCTCCTGGGTTCATGCCATTCTCCCACCTCAGCCTCCCGAGTAGCTGGGACTATAGGTGCCCGCCACCACACCCACCAAATTTTGTTTTTGTATTTTTAGTAAAGACAGGGTTCCACCGTGTTAGCCAGGATGGTCTCAATCTCCTGACCTTGTGATCTGCTTGCCTTGGCCTCCCAAAGTGCTGGGATTACAGGTGTGAGCCACTGCGCCTGGCCTCTCTTACTGTTTTTTAAAAACTTTTATTTTAGGTTCAGGGTACATGTCCAGGTTTGTTATATAGGTAAACTCATGTCATAGGGGTTTGTTGTACAGATTATTTCATCACCCAAGTACTAAGCCTAATACCCAATAATTATTTTTTCTGATCCTCTTCCTCATTCCCCCCCCCCACCCTCAGGTAGGCCCCAGTGTCTATTGTTCCCCTCTTTATATCCATGTGTTCTTATCATTTAGCTTCCACTTATAAGTGAGGACATGTGGTCTTTGGTTTTCTGTTCCTGAGTTATTTTGCTAAGGATAATGTCCTCCAGCTTCATCCATGTTCCTGAAGAGGTTGTGATCTTGTTCTTTTTTATGGCTGCATAGTATTCCATGGGTTATGTACCACATTTTCTTTATCCAGTGATATGATTTGGCTGTGTCCCCACCCAAATCTTATCTTGACTTGTAGCTTCCATAATTTGCACGTGTTGTGGGAGGGACCTGGTAGGAGATAATTGAATCATGAGGGCAGTTTCCCCCATACTGTTCTCATGGTGGTGAATAAGTTTCACAAGATCTGATGGTTTTATAAGGGGAAACCCCTTTTTCTTGGCTTTCATTCTCTCCTGCCTGCCACCATGTAAGATGTGCCTTTTGCCTTCTGCCATGATTGTGAGGCTTCCCCAGCTGCATGGAACTATGAGTCTGTTCACCTCTTTTTCTTCATAAATTACCCAGTATTGGGCATGTCTTTATCAGCAGTGTGAAAACAGACTAATACATCCAGTCTATCATTGATGTACATGTAAGTTGATTCTGTGTCTTTGCTATTGTGAATAGTGCTGCAGTGAACATATACATGCATATGTCTTTATGGTAGAATAGTTTATATTCTTTTGGGTATATACCCTGCAGTAGGATTGCTGGGTTAAATGAGAGCTCTGTTTTTAGCTCTTTGAGGAATTGCCACACTACTTTCCACAGTGGTTGAAGCTAATTTATACTCCCACCAATAGTATATAAGCATTTCCTCTTCTCTGCAACCTCACCAGTATGTTATTTTTTTGATTTTCTAATAATAGCCATTGTGACTGGTGTGAGATGGTATCTCATTATGGTTATGATTTGCATTTCTCTAATAATCAGTGGTATTGAGCTTTTTAAAATATGCTTGTTGGCTCCATGTATGTCTTCTTTTTGAGAAGTGTCTGTTCATGTCCTTTGCCCCCACTTTTTAATGGGGTTGTTTGGTATTTTCCCTTGTAAATTTGCTTGTAAAGTTCCACATAGGTGCTGGATGTTAGACCTTTGTCAGGTGCATAGTTTGCAAATATTTTCTCCCATTTTGTAGATGTCTATTTACTCTGTTGATAGTTTCTTTTGCTACGCAGAAGCATTTTCATTTAATTAGATCCCAATTGTCAATTTTTTGCTGTTGTTGCAATTGCTTTTGGCACCTTCATCATGAAATCTTTGCCAGTTCCTCTGTCCAGGTTGGTATTGCCTAGATTGTCTTCCAAGGTTTTTATAGTTGTAGGTTTTACATTTAAGTTTTTAATCCATCTTGAGTTGATTTTTGTATGGTATGAGAAAGAGCTCCAGTTTCAGTCTTCGGCATATGGCTAGCCAGTTATCCCAGCACCACTTATTGAATCAGAAATCCTTTCCCCATTGCTTGTTTTCATCAGCTTTGTCAAAGATCAGATGGTTGTAGGTGTGTGGCCTTATTTCCAGGCTCTTCATTCTGTTCCATTGGTCTATGTGCTTTAGGACAAGTAGCATGCTGTTTTGGTTACTGTGGTCCTGCAGTATAGTTTGAAGTTGGGTAATGTGATGCCTCCAGCTTTGTCCTTTTGCTTAGTATTGCCTTGGTTATTCAGGCTCTTTTTTGATTCCATACGAATTTTAAAATAGGTTTTTCTAGTTCTGTGAAGAATGTCATTGGTAGTTTGATAGGAATAATATTGAATCTGTAAATTGCTTTGGGCAGTATGGCCATTTTAACAATATTGATTCTTCTCACCCATGTGCATAGAATGTTTTTCCATTTGTTTGTGTCTTCTCTGATTTCCTTGAGCAGTGTTTTGTAATCCTCACTGTAGAGATCTTTCACCTCCCTGGCTGGCTGTATTCCTAGGTATTTTATTCTTTTTGTTGTAATTGTAAATGGGATCGGTTCCTGATTTGGCTCTCAGCTTGGCTATTGTTGGTGTATAGGAATGCTAATGATTTTTTGTACATTGATTTTGTCTACGGAAACTTTGCTGAAGTTGTTTATCAGCTTAAGGAGCTTTTGGGCCAAGAATATGTGGTGTTCTAGATAGAATCATGTTGCCTGCAAACAGGGATAGTTTGACTTTCCTTCTTCCTGTTTAGATGCACTTTATTTCTTTTCTTGCTTGACTGTTCTGGCCAGGACTTCCAATACTATGCTGAATAGGAGTGGTGAGAGTGGCTATGGGCATCATTGTCATGTGCCAATTTTCAAGGTGAATTTTTCCGTTTTTTCCCAGTTCAGTATAATGTTGGTTGTGGGTTTGTCATTGATGGCTTTTATTATATTAAGGTATGTTCCTTCAATACCTAGTTTATTAAGATAATCATGTGGTTTTTGTCATTAGTTCTGTTTAAATGATCAATCATATTTATTGATTTGCATATGTTGAACCAACCTTGCATCTTAGGGATAAAGTCTACTTTATTGTGGTGGTTAAGCTTTTTTGATGTGCTGTTAGATTTGGTTTGTTAGTATTTTGTTGAGGAATTTTGCATCTATTTTCAAGAATATTGGCCTGAAATTTTCTTTTCTTGTGTCTCTGTCAGGTTTTGGTGTGACGATGATACCAACTCATAAAATGAGTTGGGGAAGAGTCCCTCCTCCTCAATTTTTTGGAGTAGTTTCAGTAGGAATAGTACCAGCTCTTCTTTATACAGCTGGTAGAATTTGGCTGTGAATCCATGTGGTCCTGGGCTTTTTTTGGTTGGTAGGCTATTCATTACTGATTCAATTTTGGAGCCCATTATGGTCTTTTCAAGATTCAATTTCTTCCTATTTCAGTCTTGGGAGGGTTTATGTGTCCAGGAATTTATCAATTTCTTCTAGATTTTCTGGTTTGTCTGCAAGGTTATTTGTATTTTTGTGGGGTCAATGGTAACATCCCCTTTGCCATTTCTTATTCTATTTATTTGGATCATCTCTTTTTTCTTTTTTATTAGTCTAGCTAGCAGTTTGTCTATCTTATTTTTTTTTTCCAAAAAAACAACTCCTGGATGTATTGATCTTTTGAATGATTTTTCTTGTCTCAATCTCCTTCAGTTCAGCTCTGATTTTGGTTGTTTCTTGTCTTCTGCTAGCTTTGGGGTTGGTTTGCTCTTGCTTCTCTAATTCTTTTCATTGTAATGTTAGGTCGTTAACTTGAGATATTTCTAACTTTTTTATGTGGGCATTTAGTGCTACAGATTTTCCTCTTAACACTGTCTTAGCTATGTCCCAGAGTCTGATATATTGTATGTTTGCTCTCATTAGTTTGAAAGAACTTCTTGATTTCTGCCTTAATTTCATTATTTACCCAAGTCATTCAGGAACAGGTTGTTTAATTTCTAGGTAGTAGTATAGTTTTGAATGATTTTCTTAGTCTTGACTTCTATTTTTATTGCACTGTGGTCCAAAATAGTGGTTGGTATAATATCAGTGCTTTTGCATTTGCTGAGGAGTGTTTTACGTCCAATTGTGTGATTGATTTTAGAGTATGTACCATGCAGCAATGAGAAGAATGTATACTCTGTTGTTTTGGGGTAAAGAGTTCTGTAGGTGTCCATCACGTCCATTTGTTCCAGTGCTGAGTTCATGTCCTGAATATCTTTGTTAAATTTCTGTCTTGATTATCTGTCTAATACTGTTAGTGAGGTGTAGAAGTCTCCCTCTGTTTTTGTGTGGGAGTCTAAGTCTCTTTGAAGATCTCTAAGAACTTGCTTTATGAATCTGGGTGCTCCTGTGTTGGATGCATATACATTTAGCATAGTTAGGTCTTGTTGAATTGAACCCTTTACTATTATGTAATGCCATTCTTTGTCTTTTTAAATTGTTGTTGGTTTTAAATGTTTTGTTTGAAATTAGGATCACAAGCCCCACTTTTTTTCTGTTTACTTGGTAGATTTTTCTCCATCCCTTTGTTTTGAACATATGGATGTCATTGCATATCTTCTCCTGAAGACAGCATATCATTGGGTCTTGTTTCTTTATCCAGCTTGTCACTCTGTGCCTTTTAATTGGGATATTTAATCCATTTATATTCAAGGTTAGCATTGATACATCTGGATTTGATCCTGTCATTGTGTTGGCAGCTGGTTATTATGCAGACTTGTTTGTCTGGTTGCTTTATAGTGTCACTGGTCTGTGTACTTCCAGTATGTCTTTGTAGTGGTTGGTAATAGTCTTTCCTTTCCATATTTAGTGCTTCTTTCAGGAGCTCTTGTAGGACACATCTGGTGGTAACGAATTCCCTCAGCATTTGCTTGTCTGAAAAGGCTCGTATTTCTCCTTCACTTATGAAGCTTATTTTGGCCAGGTATGGAATTTCTTGTCTTTAATAACGTTGAATATAGGCCCCCAATCTCTTCTGGCTTGTAGGGTTTCTGCTGAGAAGTCCACTGTTAGTCTGATGGGCTTCCCTTTGTATGTGACCTGACCTTTCTCTCTAACTGCCTTTAACATTTTTCTTTCATTTTGACCTTGGGGAATCTGATGATTATGTGTTTGGGGATGATCTTCTTGTGAAGTATCATGAGGGGGTTCTCTGCATTTCTTGTATTTGAATGTTGGCCTCTCTAGCTAGGTTGAGGAATTTCTCATAGATGATATCCTGAAATATGTTTTCTAAGTTGCTTCCATTCTCTGCATCTCTTTCAGTGATGCCAATGAATCATAGATTTTGTCTTTTTGCATAATTCCATGTTTCTCGGAGATTTTGTTTATTTTCATTCTTTCTTTATTCTTGTCTGTCTTATTTCAGAAAGCCAGTCTTCAAGCTCTGAGATTCTTTCATCTTTCATCTTGATCTATTCTGCTGTGAATACTTGAGATTGCGTTATGAAATTCTTGTAGTGTGTTTTTCCAGCTCTCTTGGGTTGGTTACATTCTTTTCTGTACAGGCCATTTTGTCTGTCAGCTCCTGTATCATTTTGTTGTGATTCTTGGCATCCTTCAATTGGGTTTCAATGTTTTCCTGAATCTCAATCATCTTTGTTCCTATCCATCATCTGAATTCTATCTCTGTCATTTCAGCCATCTCAGCCAAGTTGAGAACCCTTGCTAGAGAACTAGCGCAATCATTTGAGGAAAAAAGGCACTCTGGCTTTTTGAATTGTCAGAGTTCTTGTGCTGTTTCTTTCTCATCTTTGTGGGATGATAGTCCTTCAGTATTTAAAGTTGCTGTCCTTTGGATGGTCTTTATTTTATTTTTTTATTTATTATTTTATTATTTATTTTATGGTTTTTATTTTATTTTATTTATCCTATTTAATGACCTTGGGGGTTTGATTGTGGTATAAGGTGGATTCATTTGACTGGCTTCATTTCTGGAAGATTTTAGGGAGCCAGGCCTCAGCTCAGGACTCCTAGACTGCATGCTGTAACTCTGGGGGACTGGTATTGGGTCCTGGCTTTGTTCTCTGGCTCCTTGAGGTTGGAAACCTGCTGCACTGGAGTGGCTGATGTATTCTTCGGCTGCTAGTCACAAGCTAGTCACAACACTCCAATGGGTAGTGCCAGCCAAAGCACTTTGTAGGGCACTAGCAGTGGGATCTATCCTTGTTTGCACAAGCCAGCAGCAGCAGCAGCAGCAGCAGCAGCAGCATGGCGGGGTGCACACTCATTGGCTGCAGAAGGTTGCTAATGGATACCAAGGTGTCTGTCTCTGTGTGGGCATTTGCAACAGCAGTGGTGGCAGCATGGCTGAGAGGTGCTGGTGTGGGGGACGTGAGGGATTCTGCCGGTGACTGTGCATACATTCCTGCCAGTGGTGGTGTTAGCATGGGGGCAGGGCACTGTTGGGCACAAGACTATGTGCCTTCTGCGCACATTCACACCAGCAGTGGTGGCTACTTAGGGTGGGGGCACATCCACTGTTTTCTGTGCCTAGTTTTGCACCAGTGGCAATGACAGTGCAGGGATGAGGCACTGGTGGGGTCATGGCTGGCAGACTCTGTGTCTGCCAACACTTGACAGCAGTGGCAGTGTGGTGGGGGAAAGGGGCAGCGTGCACTCATGCCAGCAGCAGTGGCATGACAGGGTGCACACGCACATGCCTGCTGGTGGGGAAAAGGAAGCAAGGTCTGCTGATGCACACATGCACTGGCGTAGTGATGTTGGGGGTGGCTGTGTGTGAATGCGTGCAGGCAAATCAGCGCAGGGGAGGCTGCAGTGAGGAAAGGGTGTGAATGGGCTGGAGCTGCTCTGCTCCCACTGGAGCTGTCTTCCAGTCAGGCATGGTCTGCCAGCACAGGAACCATGATGTGGGCCCCCAGGAGGTATCCTCCCTGGGCACCTGAGGCTGCACTGCAAGTGGGCATGGCCAGGCTGGGGTACCAGGAGAGGCCACTAGACTGAGAGGTGCTCAGGTCAGGCTGGCCCCATCTTATGGGCAGGATCACCCTGCAGAGTTCAGGCCTGACAGTTCTATTGGAGCTAAAGTCCCCTGTGGGAGTGAGCAGAGCCTATGGTCATGGGCATCCCTGGCTATGCTCCACTATATGTACTTCTGCACAAAACCCTCTGGGCTCTGCACCAGCTGGAGTTCTGCCCCCACCACTTCTCTGAGCAGCTCTCCTTGTCAATTCAAGTGGCCATGGTGGTCATGGAGTCTCCTGCTGTCAGGATTCTGGAGGTCTATGGTGAGAGTGGGTTGCTCCTTGCCTGTTCAACTCACCCTTTCCCCAGGAGTCACTGGGGGCTAGGACCAAGTCCCAGTGTGCGGTGGCCCCGTGCAGGGTTCCCAGCTTCCTCCCCCTTTAGCCCAGCATCTGTGTCTTCTCAACATCCACTCTCAATGCCTTCCTTCTGAAGATCTGTTAGAAATATGCCAGTCTTCCCAATGTCCTGGTTTCTCGGTGGCAGATATTCCTCCTGGCTGTGTCTAGTCAGCCATCTCGCCATCTCTCCTCAAGTTTTAAATATGGAAATTCCCTGCCTTTTAATTATCAGCCAACATTTAGTCTGAATAGATCATGGCCTTTCAGTTGCAAACACTGAGCTTCCAGATCTGTTGAGGTGGTTTTACAGTTCCAGTGCTTGAAAACTGCAGGCCTGAGGTTTCCCTACAGCACTCTCTGGGGAGCCATTGCTTTTGAAACCACTTAAGAATTATGAAACTACACATGGTACACGGTTACCAGACACAATAAAAAGTAGACTTTTCAGTAAATTGCCTACAATTTGTGCAATCCCAATTATCCCAGAAAAAGTAAAAACAAACACTTGTATATGTAACAATTAATATTGTGGCCTACAGCTCATCTTTTATGTTGGGTGAAACCTGAATCTGGCTCTTTTCTTTTCTTTTCTTTTTTTTGGACTGAGTCTTGCTGTGTCACCCAGGCTGGAGTGCAGTGGCGCAATCTCAGCTCACTGCAACCTCTGCCTCCTGGGTTCAAGCAATTCTCCTGCTTCAGCCTCCCAAGTAGCTGGGATTGCAGGCATGCACCACCACGCTCAGCTAATTTTTTTTTTAGTAGAGACAGGGTCTCACCATGTTGGCCAAGCTGGTCTTGAACTCCTGGCCTCAAATGATCCACCTGCCCTGGGTTACAGGTACTGGGATTATAGGCATGAGCCACTATGCCTGGCCAAATTTGGCACACTTTTAAGACACTCAGCAGATTATTTCTTTTTAATAAGTCCTGGTAGTACACAAAAATGCAGGCATAAAATGAAACATTCTTTTAAGAAATACCTACTGTTCTAAATGATTATATTATATCAGCCCAGGAAATACCAAATGTCCTATGCTTATGGTCCCTAGAGTTGGCAATAGACAATGAGCTTTTCAGAGATTCACTATTGTTTCACTTGTGGCTAGAAATACAGTGTGCTTTGGGAAGAAGAGAGGTCTGGCTGAGATGAAAAGATCTTGTATCCCCATCGCCATATTCCTTTCCTGCTATTCTCTCTATGACCTTCTCGCTACATTCCATTCATTCCACTTGCTGGATGTGCTCTTATTCTGCATATTACTGACATAGTAACATATGGGGAAGCAACTAGTTCATACCTGAAATATGAGAAAGAAGGAGACTCTCAGGAGCCTGGGAATTCTCAGCCAGTATGCTTCACCAACCTAATTTTCTTCACCCCACACTTCTTTCGTTTTTCTTGAGTTCCTACTTTATTTAACAGTACCACAACCTCTGTGAACTCAGCTAGAAATTCTTCAGAAATCCTTCTAAAACCTCAGGTATAGGGAATCTTTAAAAGATACACAAGACAGAAGATGAATGTCTACTGAGCTCTGGTATAATACCTGCCTCTGCCAAGCATGTGGAAGATCATTCTGATCCCAGGATGACAGATGTTGCTGATTTGCCCTGGTTTTCTTTCTCATTTATCTTCCTTTTCAGACCCTTGTTCTGGATTGTTGATGGTTTAACTTTTGTTTCTTCACTACGGTGGCTCTGCCCCTCCCTTTCCCTAATTCCACTGTAACATTCACAGTGTCTCCTGTATCACCATAGATAACTCAAATGTCTATGAGACTAGACAATATCATTCATTCATTCTTTACTGAAAGCCTACTGTGAGTTAGGCACTACCTGGTGATGCAAGGAGGAGCAAAAACACTTCGCTCCTCTCAGCCTACTTCTTGGTTCCTTGATTTTCCTCTCCTCCAATGACTTTTGCAACTCTGTTTCATATTAGCAACCCTCGTGAAATGGCCTTGGTTCAGGATTTATTATCTCCGAGAATTTCAAGATGCTTGTCTTCTCAAATTTCTCTAGGGGGAAGTAATGATTGAAGACTGCGGACACTCAAACTGAATGCACGCTTTGCTGTCATCTCAGCTTCCCAGCAACTCCCTTTGGCTTCTTGTTCCTAGTTTGATTCTTAGCCTGCTCCACATAGGCCATCATTCCAATCATGGTCATTAGTCTGACAGAATTTCCCCAGGACTGCTTTGCCGATCCTCAACTCTAAGCACTTTACCATTCTTTTTCTCTGATTTGGTCCCCAAATTCCAGAGACTTTGTATGATTATGTGGACTGAATCCACATCAAGGTCATATCACCCAACCTCTGCAGTGCATATTGATACTTCTTGGCAGTGCTTTGCTTTATTACTAGTGGACTCCTCTCATCACAGTTGGCTGCTCCGACCTTTCTGTTCTTCAGCCCGGTCTTAATCCCCTTTGAGTGGATGACCTCACCAAGAGGCAGACATCATTGAACAGGCATGTCCATAGCTCCTTGTTCTAACAGAGCCTCTCTCCATAGCTACTCATCTCTCCAGCCAACTCATTCTATCCTCTTTGTGTCCTTCTCATCAATAAACTTTTCTAGAATCAAAATGCTTTTGAGCTGGGCACAGTGGATCACACCTGTAATCTCACCACTTTGGGAGGCCAAGGTGGGAGGATCACTTGAGCCTAGGAATTTGAGACCAGCCTGGGCAACATAGTGAGACCTCATCTTTACAAAAGAAGAAACTCTTTCCTCCACTTTTTTTAGTCCCTTGTAATCTGGCTTTATGCCGCACTCCTACAAAACTTTAAGGTTATCAAAGACTTCCTAGTTACTAAGTGTAAAGTTCTTCTAAATTCCATCCTTCTCTATCTTGTAAATCAAGCCCTGCTTGTTGAAATGCTTTCCTTGGCTTCTATGATTATTTCTCACTCTGTTAGCTCCTTTCTCCCCCTTATGTGTATGCTTGGCTGTTGGTTTTCTCCTGGCTCCTGTTCTGTTTGATCCTTGGGTTGAGATCCCTAGGAGCTAAAATCCTTGGGAAACATCCCATTTCTTAGCAGAACATACACAAGATTCTTAATGGCTTGGCCCCTTCCTACCTCTCCATTCTCTTACTTACCATTGCATATAATTGTCCTACACCCCAGCTACGCAGAATTACTGGTTGTTCCCAACAGTCTTGCCTTATTTTCTGCCTGGTACACATTTCCTCCTCCCCATTCCTTGCTGTGTAATACCTATTATCACAGCAAGACTCAGTTCTGAGGCATTACTCCTCTGAGAAGTCTCCCCTTACTCCTGTCTGGGTTATGTACTGTTCTGTGCCCCTTGCTATCATGGCACTGTGCCATCAGTCTATTTACTTGTCTGTCTTTCCCATTAGAGTTCAGGCCCCTTGAGGGCTGGGCTGAGATTTATTCACTTTTTTCACCTAATACAGTGGCTAACACAGGATTAGTACTCAATAACTGCTTTAAAAATGGAGTCAATCATCATCTTTTTACTAAGCAAGTAATCCAACTAACCTCTAGACTTGCATTTCCTATAGCATGCTATCTCTATGCCAGGTTATCATCACCTAGTGCAAGGATAAACTAATTCAATTATCATGGGTTAATACAGGTAATTTTAGGTTTCTTCTTTTTGTTCATCCCGTACTTTATGGGCCTGGTACGCTTCCGCTGCGTGACTCTGCTTGTTTATTCCATACTTTAAAAATCTTTCATGAACAAGTATTATTTTGGTTAAAAGAAAATGATCTATTTAAAAAAGATCTTTTTTTAAAAAGTCAAACATTTTCATACTGTATTACTTAATCCTCATTTGCTTCTAAGGAACAAAAACCCAACTGAAACTACACTAAGCAAAAGGCGAGGGGAGGGGGGCATCTGTACAGATTCTGGTGTATCCAAGGACAGCAAAGAACAGAAATGTGGCAGGTCTTGGTAAATCCTAGGCCCAGGACACTGGATGCCCTGAGATTTCTGTCTCTTCTTTCTTGTCTCCAGCCCATGTAGCAGGTGAGATGACAGGGGACAATGCCTAAGGTTTACTGTATCTTCAGCCATGCAGAGACTTTACTTCTAGCTCCAGAATTCCCAAAGAGCAGATTCCCAACAGTAGCCAGAGGGGATATGTCATGCAGTATGATAAATCCCAGTCACCCTGAGGCCGGGAGGCACATCTTTAAAAATTGGGGGGTAGATGCTGGGGCATGGCAAACAACAGGTATCTGTCTTGGAGTCTTCTCCTGCCCACAAGTTCCTCCAATTATCAAAATGCTTCCCATCATTCAAGCTCAATCTTAAATGCCACTTCCTCTGTAAAAACTCCACTGATCTCCATCCAACCAAGTCTGAACTACTTCTTCTTCCCTCTGTGCTCTTCATTCTACTTTATTTTATAGTAAGTACATGTGACTGTAAACTCACGAGAAAGAAGAATATAGTATTTAATAGAATTAACTCTAGATTTTAAAGTCAGATCTGAATTGAAACTCTTCCACACTAACTAGCTAGGTGACTTTGGGCAACTTATTTAGCTTCTGAGTTAAATTTCCTCATTTATAAGAAAAATGACTGCCAAGTGCAGTGGTTCATGCCTGTAATCCCAGCACTTTGGGAGGCTGAGGCGGGCGGATCACCTGAGGTCGGGAGTTCAAGACCAGCCTGACTAACATGGAGAAATCCCGTCTCTACTAAAAATACAAAATTAGCCAGGCATGGTGGTGCATGCCTGTAATCCCAGCTACACGGGAGGCTGAGGCAGGAGAATCACTTGAACCCGGGAGGCGGAAGTTGTGGTGAGCCGAGGTTGCGCCATTGTACCCCAGCCAGGGCAACAAGAGCGAAACTCCTTCTCAAAAAAAAAGAAAAAAAAAAAAAAAAAAAAAAAGCAAGAAAAATGGTATAAGGAGTTGGGGACAGAGTAGTATCTCATATGTCCTTGGGAGGATGACAGACAATGTTTGGGAATCCCTTGCAGAGTCCTGGAACACAATAGGCTAGGCACTCAAGCATTGCTAGTTTTCTTTCTCCAGGTTTCTCTCTCTAGACTCTGAGTTCCTCAAAGATAAAATCTTCCACTGTGTTTATTAAATACTTCAAAGGTAAGTAGGTCTTCATCAAACATCTCTTGAATGAAATTCCTTTCAGGTGTCTTCCCAGCCAGATTTAGCTGGCTGTATTAACACTTATTAAGAGGTTCTAATTGCTTTGCATGTATCGGCTTAAACTTCATGATAACCCCAGGAGGTAGGCTTTATTGTCTCCATTTTACAGATAAGGAAACAGGTGCAGAAAAACTAAAAAACTTGATGGAAGTCAAATACTATTAAATCAAGAATGAGGCAAGAGCTCTAGGGCCCTCCACTTCTAATAGTTGATTTTTTCCATTCCTTTAATTAAACCTTTCCAAGAGACTTAATAGCCTCCTATGGCTGATGACAATGGTCTTCCTAAGATTTCACCAAAAATACATAGAGTTGCACTTAACCATGAGGGACCTACTTATGCACCATGTTGCAAACTCCACAGGTCCCCAACCAGGAGATTTCAATTTACTGGATGATCCTGGTGTTTTATCTGATAGAACTTCAAGCTGGCTACCAGCATTGCTACACCCAACTAACAACTTGCCTAACTGTCCCACCAGGCAACCATGGGAACTCAAAATTGGCTTTTCACTAGGAAAAGGATGAGGAATCCTAGCCTGCATTATCTCTTTACTTCACTGTTAAGCTTAATAATTTTAATATCAACTTTTATTATATCTCACCAGTCACTATTATCTAGATTGACTGAGCTTGAAATGACTTAGGTAAGTGGAAAATAGAGCGTATGGGAGAGTTCAAGTGATCCCCATACTTGCATGGCAGATGCATTTTTAAGGCATCTTCACCTCAATTTTGTGACAAGGCACAACTATATTATTTCCACTTGACAAATGAAGAAACAGAGATTCACAGAAGTTAAGTGACCCAGCAAAGATGTGCATGAATTTGTGTTATAATGTAGGACCTCTGTCTGGGGCGTTCTCTAATTATATCATGATGTTTTTTGGACACAAAAAGCAGCAGTAGAAATTTTTCCTTGGTCATAGTTTAGGGAATAAATGTATTTTGGGGGTGAAAAAGCAAGGCATTCTTTTCTTTAAAACTAGGTTTAAAAAGGGATGGTCCTTAAATTTCAGGTCTCATAAACACACTCCAGGAAAGACACATAAAAATGTAAAGGAGAAAGAATAGCATCTATTGGGCCAAGAAATAATCTAAGTGTCCTTCAATCTGTGTCCCTCATTGGTAAACTTTTTTGTGGGGGAATGGGTAGTGTTGGGATCATCCCAGCCTTAAGTAGACTGCAAAGGTAGTCATCTTCTCCTGCTGCAGTGTGAGTTCTCATCCCTCCCCCTTTATTACCTCCTCCCACAGTCACGCTTGTATCTTCATCTGAAGTTTAGAAATTGCTGCTTTGGTTGACTGCATGGTACTAACCAAAAAGTGCTGCTGCTGTAATTTCTAAAATTAAAAAGTTTATACACTTAGATTTTGGTAGTTTTTCTCAATTTTTCAAGGTGTACATGTCCTTTGTTTTGATTTAAATTGGCTCCGGTCTCTTCATGCTGCTGTGTTCGAGTCTCTGTATTAGTAATTTCATTCATGTTTGGTGGAGGATATTTGAGAAAAAAATTCTCAGAAGAGTAGCAAACTTTACTGATCCTAAAATCTAGTAGGTGAATAAAGGAAATGACAAATTTTTAATCAAAGTAAGCAATAATGACAGGTTTATTGAAAATTTCCAGTAGAGAAAACCCACTAGTTTTGGAATAAAAGTACTCAATGTACGAGAGCATAAGTGAATACAAAAGATTAACAGAAGGAAAATAAAACCAAACATAGTACAAAAAAATTTAAAAAGTTTGAAATGAATTCAAACTGGGATGTTCTTTAAATCCTCCAAATATTTAACAGAGTTACTAAGTTTGGCAAAAAATTCACTTGAAAATTAAAGCCTATTTCTGTACTGTAAACTCCGTAAAAACTGCTTATTAAATTCAAGCACTCCATATAACTGGTATTGAAACATGTAGGCAATTTCAGAATAGCAGGAATTATTCATTTGCTCTCACAGTTACATGAATTAACCAGCTGCAGAACTGCTTTTTGAAGAGTATGAGAAAAAAGAATGCCGAGAGAGAAAAAAATGATAAAAATCTCTAAAAAATGGAAACACAGCAAAATTCAGGTATCAGTTTGTTTCTTTAAAGCAACAAACTGAATTTTTACAGTATAGTCTACATTTGCAGTTGTCATTTCCCTCTTCCCCCCACCCACCTCAAATACTCCTAAATTCACTAGTCTAATCAATTCTTAACTTCCAAATACTCTGTACATACATATTTAGCAAAAAGCATATGCCTAGCATTATTCTGACAGCAAGTATGGTCAGCATACAATTTTAGAAAGATTATTATGTATATCATCAAGATTAACCTTTACTTAAACGAACAAAACCATCGCTAAACAAATAGTTTTAAAATATTATGAAAACCCATGAAAAGAAGACTCAACATGGGCTCTAAACCTGATAAAACACGTTTCAGAACAACTATTAATGCTAAACTTCTGCCCAACGATGACCTTAAAGTGCCAAACACCAAAGAATCTCTTAGGACCGTTTTCTAATAGACAATTTGTCCCTGGCTTGGCCATCTCTCCTTTAACTGTACACAAAGTCCTGCTAAAAGTCTGAATTTTAGTTGATTTTACAATAGAATGTTACAATGTAAACTAAACAGGTTCTTGATATCAACAGTATGTTACCAAGGTGTGTGTGTTTTTTTTTTTTTTTGTTTAAATTTCTGAATCCAACAGTTGGTCACAGAGGTCAAGTATTATCAAGGCTCCTTTGTCAGTTCTCAATCGTGTCTGACTCATCCATCCTTCAAGTACATGCAAGGCTCAATAGTTTTCCAGAGGCAGATGCCTGGGGCCATTTAAGATACAGATGAAATAGGATTATGAGGTGAACCCATTTGAGTAAGAACTTTATCCAGCCACTGGAGGGGGCCGTGCAGATGTATCTCAATCCAGCAGGGGGTGCTAGTAACATCCTGGCGGTGGTATTCTGCTCCCCAGCCCTAGGAAAAACATACTGGAGGTCATTTAACTTGTTTAACTCAGTGGTTAAACTTATTAAGTAAGAAGAGTTCACATAACCAAAGACTCTGATTAAAGCTATGCATCTTTCCTCCCTGACCCCCCCGCCCCTGGGGAGAAAAAAACACACATGCACAAACGCACGCATAATTTCGCAGGCAATTTCAAGGGATGGATGTTAGCTCCCCAGGGTCCATCCATGGATTCCAATAAGAATTGCTGGTCTTGAGGAATGAAGGTTTTAAAATACATTATAAAGTTATCTTAATAAAGACACTTTAAAACTTTTAATTGCCCATTACTGATAGTAATGTAATAGCTATTATTAAATTCTCATTTTATCATCAAGAAAATAAAACAAAAAAGCTATGCTAGACAGAATGACATTCAATTTCTTCCCTATTCAGCCACTGAAGGTCCCCCTATCAACACACAGCTCTTGATCTTTCAATCTCTGAGCAAAACGGGCAGGAGTACATTCAAGTATCCAAAAAGCTATTATTGACACCTAGCCATTGCCATGAATCAATACATTCTATCATTCATTTGTACAAGAAGGTAGCTTGGCAGAATTAGTGCATTAAGACAATACAGTTCCATAGAATAAAGTCACTATGAAAAAGAGAAAAGTAACTGCTACTGCAAAGATCAAAAACTCATTGGTGAGGGTGGACAATGAATGTGAAGTTCTGATTAATCCTTTAATCACTGTTTCATGAGGAATATCAGAGAAGGTTGGGTTCTATTTATTTCTGCTATCTATCTACTCCCGTAGTTTTAAGAAATACATCTGGGGCCAGGCGCGGTGGCTCACACCTGTAATCCCAGCACTTTGGGAGGCCGAGATGGACAGATCACCTGAGGTCGGGAGTTCGAAACCAGCCTGGCCAAAATGGTGAAACCCCGTCTCTACTAAAACGAGGTGTGGTGGTGTATCCCTGTAATCCCTGCTACTTGGGAGGCTCAGGCATGAGAATCACTTGAATCCAGGAGGCGGAAGTTGTTGTGAGTCAAGATCACGCCACTGCACTCTGGCGTCGGTGACAGAGAGAGACTCTGTCTCAGGCAGGTGATCACTTGGGGTCAGGAGTTTGAGATCAGCCTGGACAACATGGCAAAACTCTGTCTCTACTAAAAATATAGAAATTAGCTGGGTGCGGTGGCCACACGCCTGTAATCCCAGCATGCTTGGGAGGCTGAGGCAGGAGAATTGCTTGAAGCTGGGAGGCAGAGGTTGCAGTGAGCCGAGATCACACCATTGCACTCCAGCCTGGGCGACAGAGCGAGACTGTCTTAAGAAAAAAGAAAAAAAAGAAGAAAAAAGAAAATATATCTGAACATCAGAACTTGTATGAACTACATCTATGTAGATATATATATATCTACATAGATGTATGTACACTCATGCATTTGTAAATATAAACAAACTCCTAAAATTAATTTACAGGCTTATGTGCAGGTTTCCTCCATCAGATAGCAAGATCTTTGAAGGCAGGAATTTATCTTTACCTCCAATATACAGCATAATGACAGAAAGCAGAAGCTCTATAAATATGTGTTCAGCTGAGCTGACTTGGAATTTTCAGACATAGAATTTAAAGTACAAATAATTTATAAAATGTGTTTTATGTTAATATCCAAAAATGATCATTTTAAAAACAGCACAAGATTGGCTATTGTTAGTAAAATGTTCTAATTTCTTTAAAATGTTGAATGGGAGAGGACAAAGTATGCAGTCCTTATAATAAAGAACAGTTTTGTAAAAACAGTGTGCAAATTTTTTGTTGCTAACATATGATAAACAACTTTTCTTTAACATTCAGCAGGATTTTTAAATAATATTTACCTTCAGCTCTCCAAATCCAACTTCCAGGCTAAGTTCATTATATCTTGTATAACTCTCCATTCTAGTGCTTATCAGATTATAATTAAAGATATACTAGGGCATAAGGATCTTGATGATAAGAGACTTTAGGTGCTTTTTCATCTTTGTATTACTTCTCTGAAATAGTGCTAAAATATCTGCTGAATGAATGAAATCTAATAAATTTTGAATGCATAACTTTGCATTATAAATACCTTTTATTAGTGTAAAGGTTGTTTTTACTTGTGTAAAAGTAAATTATTAAAACTCTACAAAAGTAAAATAATTAAAATTGATTGGGTAAACAATAAGAAATGAGTTTGAGCAGAAAGCTAATTGGAACATTAAAGTAATAAATTCTCTTAGAGTGGTCCTTCAATAACAGACTCACTGAGGGACCTCAGTAATAATTACCACAGTTCTCAACTCCATCCACCCCCATTTCAAAGACGATAAACCTGAGAACCAGAGAAGAAATCTGTGCCTTAATCACACAGTTAAAATGGCAGAAAAAACTGGAAACCGCATCTCGACTCTCAAGAGCTGTTCTTTCCTCCATACCAATTAAAACAATAAACAAAAACACTTCTGGCAGGTCACTGTTCTTATTTTAAAAATCATTTGAGCCAAATGCTAAGTCAAAAATTAAACAGCACATGTTAACAATGAATAAGATAGTTCTTTGTAGTCCCATATGTACATAACATATAGGTTAACCTCTTTAAAGGGTAAAAAAATTTTCTTAATACTAACAAGGTACCAGACTCAACTACAAATAACTGTTGAAGTATACTGCAAAAAGCAAACAAGCAAACAAACAAACAAACACACAAAAACAAACACTAAGGGAACACACTGAAAATCTAAGATGCTTTAAATAAGTAGGAAAAGTAACTATATTCAGGAAAAGATATCTTTGATCTAAGGGATGATTAACAAGTAAGGCTCCAAAATTATCCTCAGTAATAAATACATTACAAAACAGGTTTAACAACAAGTTTGGTGAGCTTCTGAAGAGAAGACATAAAAGATAATTGCCTCACTCAAACATATAATTAGTTCTGTTTCTCAAAGTACGAGAGAATGAAATTTATTTTTGAGAATTCAGAGACAGGTCAGTTACTAGAAAAGTCACTGACTCAGAAATCTAATCAGACATTTAAGGTTTTTAAGATTTCAATGGCATCTTAAAAATTTTTATTTCTCAGAGGCAGAACATGAGACAGCAAAAAGATCAATTATTATGAGCAATGTCTTTAACCTCTTCCCTCATCAAACCTTACAATGCAATCTTTGAGCTAAGGCATCTATTTATCTTGGGCAAGGGCCTTATTAACTTCTGAATTGTAAGAAAATCATGAAGCTTACTGAAACCACTAAAAAAAACCTGACCAAACACAATTTCCAATGTGATGAACTTTAATTTTTACAAAAAGATCACTTGCTTACTGTTGAAACAAAAACAAGCATTACCATCATAAAAGTACAAAAAACAAAGAATGAAAAGGAAGGAAGATATGCTTACTCAACTGATCTCGTAAAACAACCATGTATTTAAATTATATGTTAAATATATAACATAACATATTCTACTGGTAATACAATAGCTAAAGCGGTGCTATCTGAATAAGGAAAAGGCTAGTAAAACCTACTGCTATTGATATTTAATACAAGTACTCCTATGTTCCAATGATATTTTCCTAATAATTGAAATTTTTGTTAAAGTTTAAAAATGCCTAGATAATAAGTCAGCTAATATGATAATATGTTATCAAGAGGATATAGATTCATATATCGCCAAAAAAAAAAAAAAAAAGCACAGCAAAAGTATGTTAGGCCCTAAATGGAGGAGTCGGAGCTCACTTACCTTCACAAAGCTCATACGTATAGTACACATTTTTGTAAGCTCATAGACTGTCTCAAATCCATGGTTCACAGACTGTGCCAATAACTGAGCAAATTCTTGGTTGTTAAAAATTTTCAGACTACACCCACTAGGGATCTTGCAAACAGTAGTAGGATGAAATCCATGATGGTAGTTGCAGTTCCGACTTTGCACAAAGATGCTACTGTCACTAAGGCATTCGGCATACACCTCCCCTCCAACATAATAAAGATGAACTCCTATAGGAAGACAAAGCATACCATTTAGTTATTATTAATTTTTACAGCTCAAAGGCACCTGTGCAGCTTCAACACAGAAACTTAAATATACATGGATTTAAACTTTGGCTAGTTAGCTAGCTATTCTCTAGGTCCTGTACAACAGGAGTTCCCAACCCCCGGGGCCATGGACCAGTATCAGTCCGTGGCCTGTTAGAAACCAGGCCACATAGCAGGAGGTGAGTGAGCAAGCATTACAGCCTGAGCTCCACCTCCTGTTAGATCAGCGGCAGCATTAGATTCTCATAGAAGCATGAACCCTATGGTGAACTGTGCATGGGAGGGATCAAGGTTGCGTGCTCCTTATGAGAATCTAATGCCTGATGATCTGAAGTGGAACAGTTTCATCCTGAAACTATCCCTTTCCCATCCCCTGTGGAAAAATTGTCTTCCATGAAACTGGTCCCTGGTGCCAAAAAGACTGGGGATGGCTGATGTATGACTGATAAAAATCTTAGTTAACCGCATTACTTAATACAGTATCTAGGAGGTTTCTAGAAAATAACATAACAAAATGTTTTAAAAATAGTAATAGGCCAGGCACAGTTGTTCACGCCTGTAATCTCAGCACTTTGGGAAGCCATGGTGGACAGGTTGCTTGAGCTCAGTTCAAGACCAGCCTGGGCAGCACGGTGAAACCCCATCTCCACAAAAAAAAAAAAAAATACAAAAAATTAGCCAGGCATAGGGGTGCACACCTGTAGTCCCAGTTACACAGAGGCTGAGGTGGCAGGATTGCTTGAGGCAAGGAGGTTGAGGCTGCAGTGAGCTGTGATTGAGCCACTGCACTCCAGACTGGGTGACAGAGTGAGACCATCTCAAATAACAACAACAACAACAACAACAACAACATGTAGCAATTTCATTTTGGTAAGTGATTAATGTCCTATTTGGCCACACATTGAAAGTATATTTTCACTCTAAAAAGATAGCATAATAAAACCTGGATGCTATGTATTTACTATAAAGCGCTCTTGCATTTATTGTACAGCTAAGATGTTTGGAAAATTTTAGAAAGGGAAGAAAGGAGAAAGAGAAGAGAGGAACTGGAAAGCCACAGGTGGAAGAAGTATTGCCGAAAGCTGTAAGATATAAGATCCAGTAAAAAAACATGAAAATGAAACTAGAAAAGTCATACTGTGTGTGTAAAATTAGATCTCACTGAACTATCACCTGCTCCAAACTTCTTCCTGTGAGACCCAGAGTGCTTAAAGTGTAGGAAATTGGGCCTACCCTGCCTTTAAAAAAAGGAAAGTAGGGGTAAAAAAACCCATTCTCACAAAGCCCCACACCATTATGGAAGATGACTTTATACAGGTCACCCAGCAGCGTTAGATCCCATGTGGGTTTAAATGATCCACCTTGTAGGTAACTCTGGTATGGCTTAGTCAAGGCTATATTGTGTCTCACAGAAAACATTACAAGTTTTGTTTATATGTATACACAGCGGTTAGGATTTCTGTAATAATTAAATAGCTGCTAGAGCAGAAGGCCATTTTTTTGGCCTGATATAGAGAAAACAATTTAAGAGTGTGTGTGCTACTAATTTTTCCTGATGATAAAAATGACAAATTTTCATCCTGAAAAATCAGAAAGTAAATCAAAATATAAAGAAGCAGAAAATATTATCACTCTTTTAGTGACTCAGAGGCAATAATTATTAATAGTTTGATACACTGTATTCAGTTTTGGGTATCATTAAAATGTCTTTGCAAACATTTAAAATATCTCCATGATTGTATGAATGTTTTTTAAATGATTTTCCCATTAGTGGACCACTGGGATGACAGCAATGTTCTGCTTTTATAGTTAATGCCATGATAAATGTCTCTGGACAATTTTTGATAATATCCTTAGGAGAGATTCCTGGAAGTTAAATTACTGGATCGAAGGCTGCTGATTAACTCTGCCAAATGACTTTCCAGAATGCATCAATTTACACTGTCACCAGCAGTGTAGGAATGCTTTTCTCATTTCACCCATGCCAGTACTGAATTTGAGTGTAGAGCAAAAACAAAACGTCCCTAATTTATAGTTGACAAATAATTGTTTAATTTGCCTGTGAGGCTGGATATGCTCTCGTAGTTTATTAGCCATCTGCGTTTCTCTTGTGAATTCACTGTTCACATTTCTTACCTATTTATCTCACTGGGGTCCTATTTGTTTTATTTTTTAATGAACTGTTCATGTAAGAAGGATATACTTTCTTATTTGCTTCCCTGTTAGTCCTTTGTCTTTTAATTTTATTTGTGACATATTTTTAACCTACAGAAGTTTGCAATCTCTTAGTTAAACCTCTTATGGTCTTTTGTTGCTTTTTATGCTTAAAAAATTTCCACCTCTCTGATCAAGCATATTTTCTTCTAGCTTTTTAATTGTTTGACTCTTGAAAAACATTCAACTCATTAATCTGTTTGCATATATGGTATGAGGTCAGGGTTTCTCTTTCCCAGCCTCACCCAAACGCTAACTTGGTTATTGTAGAACCATTAGAAGACTCTACTGATTTGCTATGCTTCATTTAACATACATTATATTTTTATAACAGTATAGTCTGAGTTTAACTCATTCTGTTTTGTCTACACACTGGTTTACTTGTAGTTTTACAATGTTTTATTAACCCTAATGCCGATAATTTTTTCTTTACTTTTCCATTTACAAAGTTAGCTAGCCTCACTTGTTTATCCTTCCAGGTAATATTCAGAATATTCAGAATACATTTTCCAATTTTCAAAAAAATCACATTGTGATTCTGAAAAGAGTTGTTTTAAATTATAAATTAAATTAGATGGAATTAATATGCTTAAAATGTTCTCACAATATTAAGCCTTCCCTTTAAGGAACACAGACTGCCTATTTATTCAAATTTTCTTTCTCTCAGTAAAATTTGGTTTCTTCATGTAATTCTCACATATTGCAGGTTCAGATTATTTCCAAGAAACTGATGTTTTCTGTGGCTATTGGGAAGGGGATATTTCCCCTTTCATTATATTTCTAACTGGTTATTACCAGATTAAAGGAAACTGACTTACATAATTTTTAAAAGATAGATTCTTTGGAGGTTTCTAGATAAATAATCATATCATTTGAATAGGCACAATGCCCAACTATAATACTGGCATGGATGAAGGGAGAAAGGCACTCATATATTTCTGGTAGGAGTGCAAATTCATTTTATGTATGTCTGTATTTATTTATCTCTTTTGTTTTAATTAATTAATTAATTTATTTCAAGACAGAGTCTCTCTCTGTCACCCAGGCTGGAGAGCAGTGGCTTGATCTCAGCTCATTGCAACCTCCGCCTCTCAAATTCAAGTGATAACTTTGCCTCTGTCTCCCGAGTAGCTGGGATTACAGGCGTGTGCCACCACACCTGGCTAATTTCTAATTTTTAGTAGAGACCCGGGTTCCACCATGTTGCCCAGGCTGGTCTCGAACTCCTGACCTCAACTGATCCACCTGCCTTAGCCTCCCAAAGCACTGGAATTACTTTTTGGAAAGTAATTTGGTGAAATATATCAATGGATTTTGATATACTAATTTCACTTCAAGAATCTATCCCGAGAATACTGTCAATCAAACATATCATCTACACATAATGATCATCTTGCCTTATTTCCATTATCTATAATTGTATATTTGAGTACACTACTAAGGGCATCTGGAACAATTTTAAATAACAGCATTCCAAGATTCTTTATTTTCTTAATAATGTTTTAGGAGGAAATGTCCCATAGCACAATTTTTCTTTGCTACTTTGGGATAAGAGTCATCTTTAGAGTTTAACGAAAAGTATGTCTTTCCCTCCCAAATGTATGCAAAATTGTGTTTACATACAATTTCAGAGGTTTACAGACCACAGAAAGATATCTATGTATGTTATGAACCTAGGTTCTAGCATTTCATTATTAAATTTACAGTCAAGAGTTTTTTCCTTTAATTATATAAGAGAATATCTATCAATTCCTAATTTAAGAGTTGGAGTTTTCTTCCCCTCAGGATTAAATGTTACACTTTATCTTGAGTGCTTTTAAAGCATCTAATAAATAACCTTTTAATCTGGTCCACTGTTCTAAATTTCATAGTAGGTCACTGTTTCATACTTTTACTCTGGAAATAATTTCAAATTTGTAGAAAAGTTTGAAAGGGAACAAAGAAAAACAGAACAAAGAACACCCATATAACCATTATCCAGATGCATCTATTGTGACAATTTACTCCATTTGCTTGATCACTTGGGCTCTCCTTCCCCACTGCTGCTGCACACGCACCGTGCATGTGTGTGTCTGTCTGTATGTATGTATTGTAACACAGGTTTTGGATAGACAGATGGTGAGTAGACAGGTATCTTTATACACTAATTTCTTCCTGAACCACTTCCTTAAATACTTAAGTATTTCCTAAGAATAGGGATAGTCTCTTATATAGCCATAGTATAGTTGGCAATGCTAATACATTTAACATTGGTCTAATCTACCATTCATATTCCAGTTTTGCCTGCTGATCTCAATAATGTCCCTTACAGTATTAATATTTTTTCTCCTGTTCAGCACAGGATCATGTCCAGGGTCAGATATTGCATGCAGGTGTCATATCTCTTTAACTGCTTTTAATCTGGAACATTTCCATACCTTTGTCTTTTCACATTGATATTTTGAAAGAATTACTCCCCCTTCTTCACCCTTTTTAATAGAATGTTTCTTGCTTTGAGTCTGTCTGATATTTCCTCAGGATTAGATTCGGATTTGCATTCTCAGCTGGAATCCTGCGTAGGTGATGTTATGGCCTTCTCAGGGTATGACATCTGGAGGTATATGATACCCATCTGTCTCTCATTGGTGATGATAATTTTGATCTCCCAGTCAAAACAGGGCATCAATTATACAATTACAATTAAAATACAAATGATACGGTTTCTCCACTGTTTAGTTAATGCTTTTTATTCTCCCTTGTACTAACAGGCAGTTTGAGGGTAAACACTCTTAAGACCATGCAAATAAACTGATTCTCATAAACATTTTCTTTATATTTAGCATCCATTGATGATTCTTGCCTGATCCTTACTATGATGGTTGCAAAATGATATTCAAACTTTAGCACTGACTCTACATTTATCAACCAGCCTTCCCCATTCACTTATCTATCTATTTATTATGAGTATGGACTTATAAATTTGTATTGTTTTTCAATGGTGTAAAATTCAATACCGTACTGAGGCCAGGCACAGTGGCTCACACACCTGTAATTCCAGAATTTTGGGAGGCCAAGGCAGGCTGATCGTTTGAGGTTAGTTCGAGACCAGCCTAGCCAACAAGGTAAAACTCAGACTGTACTAAATATACAAAAATTAGCCGAGTGTGGTGGTGCACACCTGTAACCTCCCAGCTACTGAGGAGGCTGAGGCACAAGAATCACTTGAACCTGGGAGGTGGAGGTTGCAGTGAGCCAAGATTACACCACTGGACTCCAGCCTGGGTGACACAGGGAGACTCCGTCTCAAAAAAAAATAAAATATAAATAAATAAATAAATAAATAAATAAAATGAAGTAAAATTCATCACTGTAATTATTTTGGAGCTCAAATTGTCTGAGAGTTGGCCAGTGGAAGGCCCTCTAAGTTGGCTCCTGAGGCATGCCCCATGAGTTCCATAAGCACTTCTTTACTTTCTGCCACAACAAGATGCTCCAGGGTCCTCCTATGCCTACCTATCCCAGCCTAGGGGTAAGCCATTTCTTCAAGGAGCCCTAGTTCCTTTTAGTGGGACATGGTATTAGCGATGATGATCTGAACACTAGATGTGCTTATTGCTACTGGGTATGTATGCTTCTGGGCCCTTTCAGCAGGCAGATCAGAAACTATACGCAAGTAAAAACGCATATACATACCCATGCATACACACATACGTAATACATGAGAACATAAACATGCATACATACATACACATATGTATTACTAAAATCAGAATTTTGCACTGATACTTCTATTCTCCTTCACAGGGTTTACTTTTTGCTCCCCTCCGCATTTATATGTCTGTTTTCCACAGTGGAAACCCAAGCTCCCAACAATATCCACACATTTAGTCATTTGCTTCATCTTTACATATGAAAGTTTCAGAATGGTTTCACTCATACTGCTATGAAATAATCAAGTTTACTAAAAAGAGTTCGGGATTTATTTGAAATCCTACCCCTACTCTATCTACTCCACTCAGCCTAGGCTGAGGATATATAGTCACTTACTATATTCATAACTTACTAGGCTTGTTTTTTGGTCTTTATTTTTTCTTATTATAAATATATCCATGCCTGATTTTTTGTTCTTTTGAAGGTGCTGTCTTATATGGACAGTTGTTCAATTTGGTGTCCCTGTGGGGGTACAATCACTGCAGGGTTCTATCGTGCCACCTTGCACGATGTTTGTGCTAAAATCTAGTTCTTTCTTTTCTATTTACTGAGTTATGGTATTCATTTGAAATACAATTAAGCAATTAACTGTAATTTGCTTTTAATTTTAGGTTGTGATTCATTTTATAACAGCCAATTTATTCTGCAGCAAAATATCATACAGAATAGTGTCTTAAAATGGCAAATCATAATTTCAACTAATTAATTTCAATATTATGAGTTGATCGACCACAAAAATCACTGACTGCAAGAGCTTCCAGATAGCAGAAACTGGAAAAATATTTACAAACTGCAGCAAGTGAACATTACCTGGTCTTTGCTACAACAGTTTGTTACAGGAATGATTTTAAGTCAGCTCTGGAGGAACAGGGACACAACAGATAAACATCTGAAAGAGGTTAAAGCAAAAACTCACCTTTTCCAATATGCCGCCTGGTGTTTTCAATAGTGGAATTCCGGTTAACATTGGAGAGCAGCCCAAGGCAGAAACGGTTCTTATTGTTGGAAGGATCAGTGAAACCATCCACCAACACACTTGTGGAGGAGGCATGGAACGCTTCACCCACACGATTGTTGAGCTCATAGTAGACAATAGAGCACCAGTGTTTTGGTTCCTCATAAGCAACCGCCTGAACATCTAGAGGAAAGAAAATGTTATATCAACCAAGGTTAGTGCCTCAGGCTCTCAAAAACTGAAACCGTGTTGTTGAATTGGCTCAGGATCATGGAATGAAGACACTGGAAAAGCAATTGCTATTATAATGTATACAGTTTTTCTATGATGTTTAAAGCAGGTACTTCTTAATATGACACTCTCCTTATTCTCCTAATTGGAGAAAATTGGAGAACAATTTTCTCCAATTACTATCAGATAACCAAAACACCAGCTAAGGAAGCACAGCAAAAACTTTTGCTGAATATTAACAATATGCTAATTGCTCTGTAATATGCAGAAATGGAAATCACCCCTACCACAGACTTTGGCTCACCATCTAAAGAAACACAAGTGACAAGTGAAAAAATAAGTGGGAAGAGAACAATAGAAGACTGAAAATATGCCAAAGGTACTGGCATAAAAATGAATTACTTTTGGCAAAGACTAAGTATGCCTATGCTTATTCAAAGCCATGAAAATCAGTTTCTAATTATTGATAAGAAGTTACTTTACCTCATATTAAGTTGCCAATAACTATCACAGCTACAGTGTTGCTCCAGTTCTCAAACTCAGGAAGAAATCTTGCCAGCTGGCCATTCTTACAGAATGAATCATATCTTTCTCATCCAGATTTCATGCTAACTTCCTTATATTTGCTTTAAGTCATGCAGAGCAGGTGTGTTTTGTCTCTCCATTCCCAGAATGGGCCAACAATGGAAATTACCCAACTTTACTGACAGGATGCAGCTTGTTAAGTCAAATCTCTTAAGACTAACAAATCTCCAAACAGAACATGGTTCTAAACATTTGCAACTAAAAGGTTTTAAAGATGAATTCCTTCTGTAGTAAAACCTCTTGTACCACTCCTTTAGAGATTCCAGGAATACAAACCATATATTTCCAGCATACCAATATATAATGATCTGAGGTTTATGAAGTCTTGGGTGTACAATAATAAAAGGAGGAAAAGAAAGAAAGTCCACATCAGAAGCCCAGACTACAACTGCTAAGGGAGAAGCACCTCTGTGTTCTTAACATCAAATTCCACAAATACTAAAATGCACTTTACTTTAGAATTTGGTAAAAAACAAAACAACAATAACAAACACACACACACACACACACAAAAAAAAAACAAGGAAAATACTCATGAAAAAACCCACACATAAGTTAGTCGCTTTACATATGTAAGTAGTTAGCTAAAAACATACACTATCTTCCCTGCTTGCTAAGCAACTCTACCACATCAATTTGCTATAATTCAAAGAGCAAAACTTTAGTGATTTACAAGTGCCAAATCTTAAAGCAGACTGCAACATTATTAGCAGAAGGCTTTTATCAGCTATCAGGATACTTCAAAATACTATTCATCTAGGTCAGAGGTTGATGAATTTTTTCTGTGAAAGGCCAGCAAGATTTTATGGGCTGTATAATCTTTATCACAACTATCCAATTCTGCCCTTGTAACACAGAAGCAGTCATAGACAATATGTAATGAATGAATACAGCTGTGGTCCAATAATGCTTTATTTACAAAAACAGATAGCAGGCTGAATTGGCCTGTGGGCTGTAGTTTGTTCACCCCTGCTCTAGGAAAATCACCAAAGGTTAAAAACAAGTTAAAAAAAAAGCGGGGGGAAGAAAAAAAATGGCCAACATTCCTTCCTCGTGAAAATATTAACTGACTATAAACTATAAAGGAAAAAAAAATTAAAGCTATTTAAATGAAAAAAATCTTAAAGCAATTTAAAGATCTGTTTCCTGAAATCAGACATTTTGGGTTTAGTAATAATAGTTACTGGGTCCACATGCTCCTAATAGTGTGGTACTGTGCCTATTCTCTCCTGGTATCCTGGTCCCCAAATATAAATTCCACAGATGTGTGAGATAGGGGTTATTTCCCCCAACCAGAGTGTTCATTGACTCAGAATTATGTTTGATAAGATGTTCAAGAGATAATCAGGAACCATAAAATACAGAGGCAATAAAAAAGATTTAAAAAATCATAATGATTAAAGTGGTGTACATTCCAATTTATGACACTGCACATCCAAGAAAGGTCCTTTGAGTTTATCACCAATTTTTTTTTTCTTTTTTTTTTTTGAGACTGAGTTTTGCTCTTGTTGCCCAGGCTGGAGTGCAATGGTGTGATCTCAGTTCACTGCAACCTCTGCCTCCTGGGTTCAAGTGATTCTCCTGCCTCAGCCTCCCAAGTAGCTCGGACAACAGGGGCCCGCCACCACACCCAGCTAATTTTTGCATCTGCAGTAGAGACAGGGTTTCACCATGTTAGGCAGGCTGGTCTTGAACTCCTGACCTCAGGTGATCCACCTGCCTCGGCCTCCCAAAGTGCTAGGGATTACAGGCGTGAGCCACCGCGCCCAGCCTTCATCACCAGTTTTTAAATCGATGTTTAAAGCAGTTTTAGGTTCACAGCAAAACTGAGTATAAGACAGAGTGATTTTCCATATGCCCCCCACCCCCACACCTTCCTAGCCTCCCTCATTATTAATATCCCCCACCAGAGTGGCACATTTGTTTTAACTGATGAACCGACATTCATCCTACAGACCTACAACCAAAGTCTACGGTTTGCGTCAGGGTTCACTTATGGTGTACATCCTATGGGTTTGGATAAATGTATAATGACATGCAGTTACCACTGTATAATGTGTCATAGAGACAAAATCAATTTTAAGTACTTAAAAATATAAGCAACTCCTATTTTAATAAGTATCTCCTATTTTAATAAAAAAGCACTAAAATGAAACAAGACATACCTAGTAACCAAACTGTACTTTAACTTCAATTTGCATAAACATTATATAAATTGCATGACCCATGCCATGTGTTGAGTGCAGCAGCAAAGCACTTTCTTTCATGAGAGGTTATTTAGGAGCAGTTTTATTTGCCAGGGTGGCTGTGGATTCTAACAGATTTCTCAGAGAGTCTACCGAACTTATTTACCTGAGTTCTCTGCTCACTTAAGTCTATCCTACTTGCCTATGTAGAGCTGGAAGAATGATGGCATCCTCCACTCGGTCACTGCTAAGGATATATACAGCGCTGGAATCAAAGACCCACCCTTTACTAAAGGGGGAAAGAAATTTTTCATTTCTGCTTGCAAGTTCTTCAGGCTGAGAAGGGGAAAAACTTGTGCCTCAATTCCTTTTAGTAACAAAGTTAGAAACAAATAGCAAGAAATTCTATTAGTTTGTTCCAGTTGTAGTTGCACATACATAAGAGCTGAAAAACAGACGGGGTTTATGTGTATCTATCCTAATTACAGAAGAAAGCCTTTGGACAGCCCAGTTATACCAACTTCCAACTTTGGAAATCACCAGTGAAAACTCTACTTCAGTACTGTTATACTTATTGTTTCTAAATACCATTTTGTTCATTTAAAAATACTCTTTTTGGCTGGGTACAGTGGCTCACGCCTGTAATCCCAGCACTTTGGGAGGCCAAGGTGGGCGGATCACCTGAGGTCAGGAATTCGTGACCAGCCTGGCCAACATGGTGAAACCCTGTCTCTACTAAAAATACAAAAATTAGTCGGGCGTGATGGTGTGCACCTGTAATCCCAGCTACTCAGGAGGCTGAGGCAGGAGAATCACTTGAACCTGGGAGGTGGAGGTTGCAGTGAACCAAGATCGTGCTCCAGCCTGGGTGACCAGAGCAAAACTCCGTCTCAAAAAAAAACAAAAAAAAAATTTTCATCATCAGTTAAAAATTATTAAGTATTAAAGATCTAAACAGATAACTGCAAAATTATTCTCAGATCTTCATTAGTTAAGTCAGTGTATTTGTTCTTTAAATTAAAGACTTACTTGTTATCCAGCAATTGTAGTGAGCTTCTCTTAACATTGGACTCTATTTTTCTCAAGTAGCTCTCTTTTTAAAGACTAATAAAAATTTGTGAGAGAAAGTAACATCTGGACAAACTTTAGACTCTAAAAAAGGGAACAGGCAGCAATTAGTTTTACCTCCTCTGTTGATTTCTGAGGGCAGGGGAGGCGCCATCATGTTTGTGTCCATCGGCTGAGAGCCATCCTGGGTCATGGGGTCTTCAGGAGGCAGGTAAGCAGGTGGGGGCGTATCAGCTACAAAGTTTTTAAAGAAGTTATTTCTTAACCCTTAGTAAACATACATGCTCAAAACACGTATCCTCTTCTGTACTGAAATTCTCAAGAGATCAAGTTGTCATTTCAATCTCCCCATTAAAAGACTAAAGGCTACAGGCACTGCCTTGATGTACAATTTCTGAAAAGTATTAACCATGCCACAATCATATACATTTTTGTGAAAATTCAGTGGGAGGAAAAGAATTATACTATATGCCAGTTCCAGAAGCTGTTTGCCTATGCAGGATCATGCTGTTTAAAAGCAATCAGAAGAGTATTTTAAGCACACTTTAATATAATCTGCTTTGAGAGGACCTCTGCATTTCAGTTTCACTGATAGATGGAAAACCTCTGAAAGCTTCACTGGACTTCTTAAGAAAAGGAGCTTCAGGGTCTTTTGCATTAAATCTATGGGCTTTTAGAAAATTCACCAAGTTTCATTATAGCCTACTGATTTGAACTGTTAATTTTCCATGACTTTAGGGAATCTGTTAGGACCACACTCTCCCTACTCATTTAAATAATCACTAGCTTTAAAATCTCTAGTAACAGAATAACAGAAAATGAATCAGTTTATCACAGCTATCTCCTATTTCAGAATTTACATATATGTTTCTTCTGGCAAATAAGAGGCAAACATGATTTTTTAAACAAAGAACACTAACACAAGTCTTGCATTTTCTTAATATAAAACAAAGGGTATAGGTTTCTCACAAATAATCCTTTTCCATCCAAAAGCAAGCTCCTCACTAGCTATCATGAGCCCATCTAGCATATGTGTCAGAGCCTTGGAGACAAAATTTTACCTGAGGGAATCGTGAATGTTTGGATAAGTAATCGAGACCACTCAGAGCAACTGTCAAATACAAACAACTCATGTTGTTCCTTCAGAGAGCCCCAGTGATTTCCAAGACTCACTCTCCAGCTGAATCACAACCTGGTAACTTCACATCCAGCTGCTAACAAGCAACAACTCATAGTACTGAGATGGGACTACTGGGACCTTCTCTGGATGCCTCTTTTGCCCCTTTTCAGCTTCTTTTAATTCAGCCTCTTCTCTGCAGCTGTAAGGCTGACTCGGCTTTATCTCAAGCCAGGAACAAAGACAAAGAGCCTCCTCTGAGCCCAAGTCAATGAATTTCTGCCAAGAAGCTGGTGAAAATTTCATTGGCAACCTATGGCATCAGCACAACCAAGAGGAACCCGATAATTCTTGATACTATTCTACTATTCCTACAGGCACCTCCTCCCATCCCTTGCAACTGTTTTCCATATTTCCATTACTTGGCCTTTGCCTTAATCCCTGACATTTAGGGACAAAGTGTAAATTCAAGCAATAACCTTTAATTCAATCTTGGGGCCACTCTGGGCTGCCACTGCTCAAAAGTCTTCTGAAATGTATCTCCTCACCACTAACCTGCCCATCATACAGGTTAGTGGTGAGGAGGAAGGGAGAGAGGTAGACAGGAAGTCACCAGTTACTTTGATTTTTAAACTAGTCTGTCTCCCAACCCTCATCCCAAACAGCTTTGGACTGAAAACCGGACAAAACAATGTGAAATAAACAAGATTTAAATAAAAGAAGGTAATAAATACATAAATAAAAGAAAGCAATATAAATGTGGACCACTTTTCAATTTTTGAAGGCCTAGCACTGATGTTGAATTCAAATTTACTTAAAAACATTTCAAGCAGCCCAATAAACACACTTGCCCAGTCATTTTCCCTTCCGAAAACATTAATAGATGTTAAGTATATTTTTGTTTAGGGTATCTTTCTTAAAGTCTACTGGCAAGAAATTTGGCACTCTTTTTTTTTTTTTTTTTGGAGATGCTTGCTCATTAACCTGTAACTTAAAAATATATAATGTCCTTATTAATCATTTATTTTGATAACCATTACACCAACAGTTATGTCTAGAAAAAGAGGATAATTGTTTTTTGTCTTTGCTAAGTTGAACAAGCAGATGGTTTCCAGTACTTCTGTTGTAATTCCTTTGTTGTTAAAGTATACGTTTCTTGGGATTACATCATCATTTGAATGAATTTAATTAAGTAGGGGGTGGGATCCCTCAGGAAATATTTTTTCTGAGGTTGCACTTGCAACAGGAGTTTTTTCCATGTATGAAAACGATGCTGATTGAGGTTGTGTTCTCATAAGAGCAAATGTGTGTAACACGGTATTTTTCTTTTTATCAAGAGTAAAGACTGTAACAATTATGCCACTCCCAGAAGGATGCAGCTGTTTCAAAACCTTTTAAAAACAAGGGGAAAATATAGCTTATTCAAGCATCTGTGCCTGACAAATAAAATAAGACATTTGCTTACTTGACTATGAGGTCTCCTTTCACCAAAAGTTGTATCCTAAAAGTGCGAGAGCACTATGTCATATACCAGGGCTGAAAACCTCCCTCCACTGCAGGTTGACCCAGCTTTTCCGTGACACTGTGATAACACTGTCTGATATGACTACAGAACATCACTGAACATTCCAACCTACCTGGCATCTGGAAAGGGCTTCCTGGGTCTGAGCTGGTGGGAGAGTGAGGGTAGGTGCTGCTGCTGCTCCCAGGAGAGTTTGGGTAACTGCTATTGGGAGAGTGAGGAAACGGGTGGCTGTTGGGTTGCTGGAAAGAATCTGGAAAAGTGGCGTTGAGTGGCATGTGAGGCTCATTTTGTCCTAAGTTACGGAACTGAGCTAAGAGGCTGTGCTGAGGATTATATTCGCTGTGTCTTGGAACCAGCACAGGAGGAAGTACTAGAAAAAGGAAGGGAAAAAAGAGAAGGACAAACATGAGAATTATGATCTATAATTACATCACAATAAAGTAAAACATAATCTGTAAACAACAACAAATTATCTGATCCCTGTCCTGCTGCCAACTCAAAAGCATCATTCAAATGAAAAGCTATTTTACCCTCAAGAACAAATGCAGGAACAAATACAATCCCTTTAGAATCACTGATGACATATGCCTGAGATTTGCAGTATTCACAAATTGCCCAAGGAAAGTTGGCAAAATACAATCTTTTAGGTTAAAAATGTTAAGGTTCCCTCATTCTTAATTTTTTCATTCACTAAAAACCAAAGCATAATTGTTTATCACCATTGACAATTATATTTCACAGCCCTGGCTGATAAGACTTCACATTTAAGAGTTAATGCTTATTGAATGATATGAATTATTCACCACAAGTGTTTTAAGCTGACACACTAATTCACTTTAACACAAAAAAGCAGCATAGTAAATAAAGCTGAAGAGGTAAAATCAGTGAACTGTAGAAAATGCAAATGCCATGAAGATAGTTAATTATACAAAATATGAGGTGCTTTGTGGGACAGAATTTATCTTGTATCCTGTCCTAGGAGTCACACTTTATGAACATCTTTTTTCTAAGGATCTTACCCACTTTTCAAGAATCCTTACCACCACCTGTGAGGTCAAGGAAGAATTAGTTCATACAATTCACATTTTGCTAACTGAAAACTCAAGGTACAAAGGCGGCCCAATAGGTAGGCACCTGTTGAGAAGCAAAGAAAACAACTCCTGTCACTCCTAAATGTTCTACATTAGGAAGCTAAGGAGTTAATAATTGGCATGGTCATCAACCTCCAGAAACCTCCTGAGGCAAAGCCACTATAAATATAATTATCCTGGAGAGGCAGGGCTGGCTAACAGTCAGTTACAGAGCCCTAGCCAGATCCTAGGGTTAGATCCTAAGTTTCCCTGCCAGGGTCACCAGATGGATGCTCTAATAAAGGTCTTTGCAATCCCTCCAGCTCCTGTGGCCTCAGCTACAAACAGAAAAGCAGCCCGTTTCATAAACTGCATGAGAGGAGAGAGGAGAGATTTAAAACTTATGATTATTGTTGGTTGTTAGGAATCAGAATATATTTCCCCAAAGAAACAATATTTGGTGGCAACAGGAATTTAGCAGACTTTTGAGGGCTTTCCAGGGAATCTATGCATAATTTATATCATTTCTACAGTAAAAAGTGCTCTTAACACTTGGATTATCACTTTTTTATGAGCTGAAAATTGCTTTTTAGATAAAAACAGGTTTTTAAAAAAGTATTAAAATTTCTCATGTGCTATATTTTATACTCCTACATAATCCCATAGCATCAGATTTGTTATTTCCCTATTTGATCCTTCAGGAACAAATCTTTTGAGTATATAATAAATGTATTTTCTTTTTAGTACAGTGATGGAATCTTCCCAAACCAAACCATTAAAAGCATAAATTCTTCTTCTACCTTTCAATAGTCATCTGAACTATAAAATGCTTTTGTTTTGTTGAAGAAACATTCCTGATAAGGGATCCCCAATGCCAATAAAAATTTATATTCCAAAACAGTCCAATACCTTTCAATTACCTTTGCAATGACAAACATTCCCTTTTCTTTTAGCTGCTGTGACTTGAATTACCATTTCCCAACTTGCCTTTTACAGGCATCTAGCTATGGTCTCAATTATGATTTTTACCCTTAAAAGGGGGAAACATTGGCCCCTAAACCACTCCCCACAAATGCAGCACCAGACAGCAATCCTTCATGTCCTCTATCCTTCAGAGGACCCCTCCCTCTCACAACACACACGCACAGAGTCCATTAAGGTTGGTGCAAAAATAATTTCAGTTTTTGCATTTAATGGCAAAAACTGCAGCAACTTTGCACCAGCCTAACACTTAGTGGAGCATCTGTTTTAGCAGCTCTTGTTTCCTAACAGTTTTAGAACTGGGGACTTACTTGTTCCTACTACTTGCAGATGGGGGCAGTGAGGGAGGAAGAACTAGCCTTTGCAATAGCCACAGCAAAGGGCAATGTATTTCTGCTTCCCAAGTTGAAAATCTGCATATGTATTCCTCAAAATGTGAGACTCATCCAATGCTGTGTGTGTGTAGCATCTTGTTATATATATAAACTACAATTTATCTGATGATACAATTTTATCTTCTGCTGCTAAATACTTGGGTTGGGGGAAAAAAAACCAACTCAATGCTTGGGTTATTTCCAGTTTGAGGCAGTTATAAAAACTTCTATGAACTTTAAAAAATTTAACTTATTTTGAAATAATTTCAAACTTACAGAAAAACTGCAATACTACAAAGAACACTCAAATACCCTTTACCCAGATTCACCAATTTTTAACATCTTGCCACATTAACTTACTCATTCTCTCTCCTCCATTCCCCAGCCCTAGAACACAAATACACTTCTTCTGAATTATCTGAGAGCAGGTAACATACATGTCCCTTTACCCTATAGCATTTCAGAGTAACTCCCAAAAGGAACATTAACTTACATATACACATTTGTTATCAAACTTGGGAAATTTAACATTGATGATTTTATCTAATATAAAATCATATTCCAACTCTGTCAACTGTCTCAACCATGTCCTATGTAGCAATTTCCTGATACAGGACCTAAGGTAGAATCACATATTGTACTTCGTTGTCATATTTCTTTAGTGTCCTGTAATCTGGAATAGTTCTTCAGCGTCTTTTTTCCTTCTTGCTTTCATGCTACTGACATTTTTGAATACAGGCAGTTATTTTACAGACTGTTTATCAATTTGGGTCCCTCTAATGCTTCCCCGTGATTAAACTCTGAGATTTTTGGTTGGACTACTAGATAAGTGGTATCATTCCCTTCTCAGTTCACATGCACAGAAGCACACGATGTGTCTGCCTGTTTGAGGTTTAATCCTGATCACTTGGTTAAGGTATTGTGCATTTCTTCCACCGTAGACAGTCTCTATCTTTCCTTTTGTAATTAATAAGTAGTGAGAGATACCACGAGACTGTGTAAATATCCTGTTCCTTATCAAGCTTTATCCCCTATATTTAGCATCCATTTTGCTTGAATAAATTTTTGCTATAATGGTTGTGAACTGAATTTTCTTTAACTCCATTATTCCTTCATTATTAGTCAGAATTCTAATATGAAGACGTGCTTTTCCATCTCTTGTGTCTATATGCCTATATATAACAGTCATCAGTATGGCTTCATGGATTCTTAATCAATGAGCTATAATCTATAAATATCTTTATCTATTTTGATGGTCATATTGTCTTAGATTTGGCCATTGGGTGCCTGTTCAAGCTAGTCCCTGTGCCTTTGTAACATGTTCCAATTATTTGAGTATTTCTTAATTTCTGGAACAAGACATTCCAGGCTTATCTCTTACCTTCCCTTTCCACCACTCCAGCAATCTCTGGTTCCCTTTAGTGAGGAATAGTATTTAGAAACCAAAATCTGGGATTTGGCTGTCTTCTGTATGTCTACTGGAGCCACATTGATTCTAAGCCCTGTGTGTGTGCGTGTGTGTACTGGAAATTGGGTTATGCTGTTACATCCAAGTGTTAAGCCAACTCCACAGGGTTTTCATTTGCCTTTCTCTATTTCCTATCTGTATCTCCTTATTTCAACAGTGAGAACCTTGGCTACCAACATCAAAATATTTATGAATGTGCTTAATTCTACGATACACTGAAAAAATTTCAGAAATTATAAAATAAACCTACTAAGACAAGTTTTGGGTTTATTCTCTTTAATTTTTTTTTTTTTTTTGGTATACTAAGAACTTGGATTCATTCAAATTCATTCAAAATCTACTTGGATTCATCCCTCTCTTCTCTTCAGTGTTATTTTATTACTTTGAAATTTTATTCAATTTCTCCCTTTCACAGTTAGTTTATTTGAATATATCTGTTGCTATTTGCGCTTAGTTTTAGGAGTTCCCCTCTCTCATTCTTATTGTGTGTATTTAAAAAGCAAAATTAAATCAACATTAACATGATTTTAAAGTCAAAACAATATACTCCCTACCACATCCCTTCTAACTTAGTCCTCCAATTTTAACATCCTCCTAGGGTCACCAATTTCATTTTTTTCTGGCTTATCCTGTGTTTCTTCTTGAAAAAAGCAAGCAGATAAATGGATGCTTTCTTATTTCGTCTTTACTGCTAAAAAGAAAGATAGCCTACTATATAGGCTCTTTTGCACTTTGCTTTTTTCACCTATATATGAGAAAAACTTCATATTAGTGCACAGAGGTCTTCCTCATGTGGTTTGACAGATAACAACACCAAAGGTGATTTAACAATCTCCCATATCTGGCCATTCAGGTATTTCACAATATTTTACCAGAAAATGTAATACTGCAATGACTGTGCATATATATGGTAGCACTGTCAAAGGTGTATCTTCAGGGCAAATTCCTAGATGTGGAAATGCTGGGTGAATGGGTAAATGTATATATAACTTTGTTATTGTCAAGTACCCCTTTCCAATGGTTGCACCATTTTGCACTGTCACATAGGAGTGCCTTTTTCCCATACCTTCCAGAATAGAGTCTGTCAAGCTTCTGAATCCTGACAACCTGATGGGTGACAAATGACATTTTGGTGCAATTTTAATTTACATTTCTCTTATAGTGAAAGTTGATCATCTTTTCATGTATTTCAGACAGCGCTTTTCTATCTTTTTCTTTGAACTGTTGGCTTATGCCTTTTGCCTATTTTTGGTATTTTCATCCTTCATTAAAAAAAACAACATACTAGAGATACTAGCCTGTGATATATGTTGTGGATATTTTACCATGACTATCATTTGTCTTTTCACTTATGTATATTTTTTGGTAGGCACATTTATCAACATATTATTTTATTGCATATTTATTTTTGAGTCCTAGAAAGCCTTCTCCTATACCCAGATTATAAGGAGGAATTCATCCATGCATACTTCTAGTGCATATAAAGTTTCATAATTTATTTAGCTCTGTGATCCCTTTGGAGTTTAGTTTTATTTGTGGTATGAGGAATGGATCTAATTTTATCTTTCTCTAAATGGTTAGCCAGTTAACCCCAACACCATTCATTAAAAGCCCATCTTTGACCCAGTGATTGGAGTTGCCGCTTTAAAAAAGTTCCATAAATGTTCGAGTCTTTTAGACATTTAATTCCACTACATTTCATCCTGTTCTAGTCTGTGCCCCAGTACCACTCTGTTTTAATTATAAAGGCTTTATAGAGATTTTAATATCCGATAGGGGCCAGCCCCTCTCACAGTTCTTCCTTTTCAGTGTTTTGTTTGCATGCTTAAGCTTTCCATATGACTTCAGTTATCACCTTGTTTACCTCCGGTAAAAAAAGTTATTAATACTTTTATTGAGGTCACATTATATACATAAATTAAGTAAAGATTAATATCTTGATGATGCTGAAATGCCCTTCTGAAGATGTAGGAAGGTCTGTTCAAGCCTACTTTTGTGTTCTACAAGTATTGTCTGCATTAGTTGCTAGCACTGCTGTAACACAATACCATAGACTGGCGGCTTAAACAACAGAAATTTATTTTCTCACTGTTGCTGTGAAGGCTGGAAATCCAAAGTCAAAGTGTTGGCAGGTTGGTTTCCCTGAGGCTTCTCTTCTTGGCTTGCAGGCAGCTGCCTCCTCAGGGTGTACTCACATGGCCTTTTCTCCTGAGGTCTCTGCATGTTTCATCCCTCTTCTTATAAAGACCCCAGTCAGACTGCATTAGGGCCCATGCTCATGGTCTCATTTAATTTAATTACCTCTTTTAAAGGCCCTATCTCCAAAAACAGTCATATTCTATGGTGCTTGGGGTTAGGGCTTCAATATATCAATTTTGGGGCATGCAACTCAGTTCCTAACACCACATATAGGATTTGCACATTTCTTGTTAAATTTATCAAGTTGTTGCTATTTTCAATGAGATTAAATGAGGCTTCTTCTCCAATGTATCTTCTAACTGGTAATTACTACCACATGGTCCACAGCAGCACTTACAAAAACTTCCTTATTTGCTTTTTTAAAAACAAATTTTATTATTATTTTTAGAGCTGGGGTCTTGCTATGTTGCCCAGGCTGGAGTGCTGTGGCTATTCACAGGCATGATCACAGAGCAATTCAGCCTCAAACTCCTGGGCTTAAGCGATCCTCCTGCCTCAGCCTCCTGAGCAGCTAGGACTACAGATGCCTGCCACCATGCGCAGTTAATTTTTATTTTTTGTAGAGACAGGGTCTCGCTATGTTGCCCAGGCTGGTCTCAAACTCCTAGTCTCAAGCTATCCTCCTGCCTCAGCCTCTCAAAGCACTGGGATTACAGGCATGAGCCACCACACCCACCCTGGAGACTGTATAAGTAGGGTGTCTGTAAGTTCTAGCTTGCCTGGGATAGTCCCAATTTGTACCTGTTGTCCAATGTAATTAGTAATAGGTGACTCTTGTCAATTTCAAGCCTCCTGGCTTGGACAATAAATGTTCACACTAACTATAAGCGATGACTAATTAAATTCAGGAAAGTAAAGAGACAGGTCTGGAACAGCTGCCAGCCCTAGAAAGAAGTATTAATGTGGCAGAGAGGAGACACATAGAAGTTAGTCAGGCTGGGTTAAGCCTACACACACGTGCTGCTCTAAAATAACAAGGCCCAGGCCTCTCTCCCTGTGTGGAATCCTGAAGGACAATGCGTGGTTCTCTCCCAGATGTCTCTCGCTCTACCCCCACTTCATGCTCCTTTCATTTCAGCAAGATTTCAGTAAAGAATAATTAAAATATGTTTTCTATTAGGCAAAAAGGAAAGAAGAAACATTCAGATAATTATTCATGTTTAAGCACACTTTCTTTGTGCAATTCTCATTTCTTGGGTGAGAGATTTACCAGCCTAAAGAATGAGGATTTGCAAACTGCAGGCCCAACTCAGATCACCAATAGGAAGGGAGAGAGGGTGAGCAGTGTTTCCCTCTGACTTGTTCTATGTCTCGGGCTGTTCCTATTTTATGGAAAACAAATATGGGAACGTAGACTTTTCTGGGGAACCACTTTCTTAGTGCACTAAGGTGACCCTTGTTTGGTAACTTCAAAATATGGCTAAAGTGTGGGACTTCCCTCTTTAAGGGCTGCTCCTATTGGTTAATTTGAATAAGAATCTGCTTTCAAAGAAGAGCCCAATGTTAAAACATCTTTCTTTGTACACATGAATTTCTTCCGAGTTATTTAAAAATCAGACCATGTATGTCCTTCTTGTATCCTAGGAGCTCTAACTCTGGTAAAAACCCAAATCTTTTCTCCCACCCTAACCCCTCAAATATATTCTGAAAAAACGCCCCTAGGTGATTTCACCAATCCTCTCCACCCATTTGAAAATGTCTAATTGTGTTATGTCTTTAAAAGGCTGAAGCTATCTTCTTTTCCTGATCTCTTTTCCTTTTCTCTCAGGAGAAAAAAATCTTCAGATTTCTGCCTTTTCTCAGTGACGTTAACTCTGCTTTTCAAACTGTGCATCTCTGTTAAAAATAAAATCCCTTTTCCAGTCAACAGGGAAACCCAACTAAGAATGTTTCAGGAAGCAAAAGTTTCAGAGATATTTGTGATTCTGCTATTATACTCAGCTTTTCAGCGTTGCTAAGGTACACGGAAAAGCATGAAAAAGAACAGTTAAAATTGTAGAGAGGGGCTGAGCTCTGGAAAGGATTCCTGTAAACTCTAGATGTGAGAGCTTTTTTAAGATTTTGAAGTACTGCTTGAAATTCTATCACCAAGTTGTCAGTGGTAAAGTAGTCTAGTAATGAGACAAAGTCTGACAAATCCCCACGTGGGCTGTGACCCACCAAATGTTCGTGAGAAAGCAGCTTTTTTCTTTTTTAAACACGCAAGAGAGTTCTGATATATGTTTGCCCATATAGAAGTAACAGAAAAAAAAAAAAGAAGTAACGGACACAAGCTACCTGTTACCTGGCAGTACAGAAATGCTTTCTAGTTCTGAGAAGGTGGTAAAGGCATTTAGGTTAGAGTCAAGACACCTTAGTTCTAGTCCTGACTCCCGTAACCACCTTTGTGACTTTGAGCCAATCACTTAATGTCTCAGGGACTCAGTTTCCTCACACAAAAGAGCAAGAAACTTGCTCTCCACAGGGTCTTCCTGCTCTAAATTCTGCAAGTCTTCTGATGGATGAGAATGCTGCTCATGTACACCTGGAGTTTTGTAATGTCCAAAGCTCAGCCCCAGATGGCATCTAAGTTGAATCTCAGGACATTTCAGTGAGGCCACCTACAAGCAGAAAGGAGGCCCAGGGCTAGGGACAGAATGGCCCCAGAGCCAGTCAGCTGCAGCAATTCTTGTGAGAAAGGGAGGGCAAGCTGCCAGAGCAGCTGTGCCCAATATGATGCCTACACGAGACAGATGTCCCCAGTAGAGTGTGTTCAGTGACCTTCTAAACAGAGACACTTCAAGTAGGAAGTGCCGGAAAGGGTAAGAGTAAGAACACTTAAAATTAATAGTATACACATTTATGAAATAAAATTCCTTACCTCAGCATATGTCAGGGAAACTTTACGCTGAAGAAATGATTCTTGGAACCTCAATAGAGGTTAAATTTTAATGAAAATATATAACAGCCTAAACCCCTGAGTGGTGGCACTTTTTTGTCTGCTTATTGGTGATGAGGTGATAGTACGGAGGGTCTATAATATAAGGTTCACTGGGTACCATATATGCCTCCATCATGCAGGGCACTGCAGGTATGAGTCAACAGGACAGACACTGTCCTTGCCCATTGGGAAAAGTGTCTATCACTAAATCCTCACAGCAGTTATCTCTGTTTTACAGGTGAAGGATCAGGCTCAGCCTAGCTAAGTAACCCATGCAAGGTCACACAGCTGCTAATTGAGGGCCAGGATGTGAATCAAGGTCTGCTCATAACCACTAGACAATCACTCAGTACTATAAAACTGGAAAGAGACTGTGGAAGTTGTTTTTTAAATTCTTTTTCCATCCTTCTGTTTGTTTTTTTGGGGGCAAGATCTTTTTAAAAGGTATGATAGTTTTGCCTAAAGGTAGCAACACGGTAGTATTTACTTTCTGGGAGTATAGTTACTCAAGTACAAATATATTAAAAGACAAAGATGTGAACATAATTTGACATAGATAAATGAATTTCATTCAACAATATCATAAAGCATTAAACAAAAGCCACTAAATTTACCTAAAAATCACCTAAATCTAACTCAACTTCTGAGAATCCAACTTCCTAGATAATGCCAGGCCAATGATTCTTTTTGTATACCACAGATTATTTTCTTGAAAAATACCTTCTCTGGGCACCCACAGAACGTCTGCTATGACTCCATAACCTAGTTCAGATTCCTGCTTCAACCTATCTTTGTGGCTTTTTGCAGTTTTCATCTGCTAGTTTCATACTTCTGCACCTTTGCTCACTTGGCCATATTTCCAAGTCTCAGTTCTAACAGCACTCCCATGGTGCCTTTCCCGGTCTTTCTATCCACCCCTGGTAGAAAAGAATTCCTCCCTATGCCTCAGTGTGCCCTACACAGACTTTCATTGTAGCATCTGCAACATTTTATTGCTAAGTTGACTTTACTTCACCTGGACTGTAATGCCTTTGTGGGTAGAACTGATTTTCTTTCTTTTGAAAGGAAATAGGTGCCAGTGTCTGGCACCTAATAGGTCCAGAATGAATGTTTTTTCAATATGTTTGTAAATTGTATTGCTATTCCTGACCTGTCTACTATAAGTGGGTTCATATAAACCAGTCTTTCTCAAAGTTCAGCCCTCAGACTCTTTGCACCTGAATTAGATACTTATTTAAAAAGGCAGATTCTTATACCTCATCCCAGATATAACAAGTCAAAACCTTCAGCAATTCTGGGTGAATACAGCCTAGGTACAGGAAGACAAATGGTTACTACATGCACTGGCAAGAGAGCTAGGTGTCTGGCCCTATCTATGTCTCTAAGTAGCTGTGGAACTTGAACTTCAATTTTTCTCATCTTAAGTCAAATTTCTAGAGATCATCCCTTTCACTTACAAAAAACTCTACACAGTATTGGTCCTGATTCTTTGACAGTATACAGATATAAATCCAAATGACATGGAAAAGGCTGGCATGGCCTTATAGTAAGCTTACAGAAAATTTACAGGGCCCAGTTTTTTTGGTCAAGAGGCATGTTGTCATGGAAAAAGCACTGGCTTGGGATCAAGATAGCCCACGGTCTTAGCTGTATGAATTTAGGTGGCATAAATTCCCACCTCAGTTTCCCCAAAGGGATAGCAAGCCCTTAACAGCACTCTGAGAATCAAGAATGGTGGCACACAGCAGTTTGTCAAACCTAGTTCCCTCTCTGTCTTTTCTCTTCCTACTTTCACCCTGGTAGTTTCCTTTCTTTTGCCAAGTATTTATCTGCTTTACTTCCACAGAAGGAAGGTGCTCTGTTATTAGAGACTTCGAGAGTTGTTAGAGGTAGAAAAAAACTTCAGGGTATAACCTAAAAACATCAGGAGAAAAAAAAATACCTTCAAAAGCCACACATGAAGTATAGTAACAGTCAGAAGCAGGTTTTAGTTTCTCAGTTCCAAAATTGGAAATTCTGCTTATTTACTAGCCGATTAACTAGGGCAATTTACTATTTAAACCTCACTTTTAATAATAAAATAGGAATAATAGTACTTCTCAGATTTTCTTTTAATATGGTGCTTATACATGTGTGTACCAAGTGCCACATACCAAGCTGTACCAGATATTAACTCATTGAATCCTCTGAACAACTCTGATCCTAGGTACTACATTACCTCTACTTTATAAAAGTGGAAAATGAGATATAGAGAATGAGATAGAGAATGTATCACCAATAACCAGGGAAGACAGGATTCAAACCTAGGCAGCCTGGCACTGCAGTCCAAGTTCTTAGCCACCGTGCTATGGTGTCTCTCAACGTTGCACAAGTTAGTTTTAACAAAGTTCCATAAGCACACAGTAAGAGGTAGTCATTACACAAAGAGCAGTTAGCCTATGGTGTCTATTCATCTATTGCACGATTGATATGTAAATGATTAACCTAGGTGTCACCCAGGCATCTTTAATTTGTAACTGCAGCTGAATTAATTATATTCAGCTCATTCTGAGTTTATATTTGATGCAATTAAATATATTCCACGAAAATGAGATACTTGGTATCTAATAAAGAACATTATGGTCAGGCGCGGTAGCTCACGCCTGTAATCCTGGCACTCCGGGAGGCCAAGGTGGGTGAATCACTTGAGGTCAGGAGTTCGAGACCAGCCTGGGCAACATAGTGAAACCCCCCGTCTCTACTAAAAAATACAAAAGTTAGGCCGGGTGCAGTGGCTTACGCCTGTAATCCCAGCACTTTGGGAGGCTGAGGAGGGCAAATCACAAGATTAGGAGTTCGAGACCAGCCTGGCCAACATAGTGAATCCCTGACTCTATTAAAAATACAAAAATTTAGCTGGGTGTAGTGGCGGGCGCCTGTAATCCCAGCTACTCAAGAGGCTGAGGCAGGAGAATCACTTAAACCCAGGAGGTGGAGGTTGCAGTGGGCCAAGATCGTGCCACTGCACTCCAGCCCTGGTGACAGAGTGAGACTCAATTTCAAAAAAAAAAAAAATATATGTGTGTGTATGTGTGTGTGTGTGTGTGTGTGTGTGTGTGTGTACAAACAAAAAAATTAGCCGAGAGTGGTAGTGCATGCCTGTAGTCCCAGACACTCGGGAGGCTGAGGCAGGAGAATAACTTGAACCCAGGGCCGGGGCCGGGGCGGGGAGCGGTGGAAGTTGCAGTGAGCCAAGGTTGCGCCACTGCACTACAGCCAGGGTGACAGGGTGGGATTCTGTCTCGAAAAAAAAAAAAAATTACTGATCAATGGGAAATAAACAGAAGCCTCCATAAACACTTCAAGGGCAGATGTGGACTCGCAATCCAAAACTCATGCAGCTGGTGCACATATGATCACATTCTCTACTACCAAAAACTCTGGATGCCCCTCCTTTTTGTTGAGAGAAAACTGATTAAAGACTTCTTTTGGGAAGCAGTATAGCACAGTGGTTAGCAGCATGGATTTTGCAGTTAGGCTTTAATTTGAATCCTGGCTTTCCAGATACAAGTTGTGTGAAAAATTTACTCAAATTCTACATATCAGTAGCCACATTGGTACCATCTTCCGGCAGTCGTTGTTAGAATTAAATGAGAATAGGGCCGGGCGCGGTGGCTCACGCCTGTAATCCCAGCACTTTGGGAGGCCGAGGCGGGCGGATCACGAGGTCAGGAGATCGAGACCATCCCGGCTAAAACGGTGAAACCCCGTCTCTACTAAAAATACAAAAAATTGGCTGGGCGTAGTGGCGGGCGCCTGTAGTCCCAGCTACTTGGGAGGCTGAGGCAGGAGAATGGCGTGAACCCGGGAGGCGGAGCTCGCAGTGAGCCGAGATCCCGCCACTGCACTCCAGCCTGGGCGACAGAGCAAGACTCCGTCTCAAAAAAAAAAAAAAGAATTAAATGAGAATAGATGGTAAGTGATAAGCACAGTGTCCAGCACACAGAAAGCATAAAAAGTCACTATTTTAACTTTATTAATATTTTATTCTAATAATATCATTCCTTTTCTGAATATCTGTTTAATGAAAAGTTGCTTACATTACAAATTTTGTTTCTATTCTAAGAAAGATACACAGAAGTGATGTTCCTTGTATCACTATTTCAGTCATATTGTTTCAAGAATGCATTAGTACATAAAGCCTTTTCACATGCATTAACTTTATCCTCAACCTGAAAAGTAGATGTAACCACTCCCCCATTTTATGGGTTAGCAAACACAAGCTCAAAGAGGACAAATGACTAACCCAAGGTCAAAGTTATCAAGTGCCAAAATTCAATCCAGCCCTTCTAACCCTAGATTCTTCCCATCATATTTTAACTACTAAAGAGAAATAAATATCTCCTTTAAATGGCCTTATTGTCCAGAATATCCTAAAGAACTCCACATTTACTGGTTGGCAATGGCATTCTACTGTGAGCAAGAGCCTTTTCCTTCTCCCCCATTCATCTTCAGCATGGATTCCTGTTTTTCTCCCAGTGGTTTATAATTCACTTCTGTCCTTAATTATTCCGTTGATCAAATTGTCTCAGATTTGTCACAAGCTGGCCTCTGGGTCCTTGTGACATGCTCCCATCAGTTTTCTCTTAAATAACATTTTAAGATTAGCTATTATTTTTCCTATTTAAAAGCTGTAAGTTATATGTGAATAGACATTTATCCACAACTTTTCTCCCAAGTTGATCATCTTACTTAAATATCTGTCAAGCACACCACCATACCCTGGGTAAACTTTTCAGGTGCTCAAAGAAAGGTATTGTCACACACAAAAAATACTGCAAAATCTGCTACAAAGCTAGCTAGCTAGAACTGATAGGGAAACTACAGGGAAACAAAGGCAAAAACATATAAGGCAATTTCACTCTGTTATTTATATGTTTATTTTTAGTTTACAATAAGCTGTCCAAATGCTCCTTATAAAATCACTCTTCTTTTACTTTATTCTCACTGAACATCCCAGACAGGCCACTGGGCAATTAGTCAAGTGAAGGTGATGTGCGACCACATAAGCCAGACCACGCCAGGCCACAATTTAGATAAAAAAATGTCTTTTCTCATGCGAAAGAATAAAGAACTAAGAAAAGCAGCATCTCTTGGAGAGCTGTTTTAGAACCAGGGTAGTGATATAGCAGAATATAAACCTGATCTTCCATTTTTAAAACCTGCTAAGATTCCAGAGCATGAACATTACAATTTAGAGAACTGGAGGAAAATTGCCAAACACTCCTTTGTTGACCTAAATCTTGATTTAAGCCACAGAATGTGTTTCCAACACCCTAGATCTTTTATCAAGGAAATTACACTTACCTCTAGTTACATAGTTTTATGTGGAGCAGACCTGCAATTGAGTATTATGGTCAGGCTTCAGTGCTAGAGAAATCCTGTTGAGGACTGAGGGCAATGATAATTAGAAAAGTGGAGTGGGTAAGCAGCAAGTGATTATCTCTCCATCTCCCATACACCAGGAGGCCTGGCCCAGCTCAGCCCAGCTCAGCCCAACCCACCCCAGCCCAAACCCAGAGGAAACGAGTCTGCATGCAGACATTCAAACTAGATTCAGCACCAGTATCAAACAACTACACCAATCCCCAGCCAAACTGGCAAATTAACAAAATGTGGGGGTTTTAGCTCTACTATTCTGCAAGCCCTCTTAGATTTTTACCACAGTGCTCATGGTATCCACCCTACAGCTGCTCCAAATCCTCCAGCTCTGCTTCTTCAAAAACAAATAAACCCTTGTTGCTTCCCCATCTCCTCCCCAAACAAATCTCATTTTTCCAAATATCAGGGCAGAGGTTTGATGATCTGGCTAATTCATGCTTATTAGTCATGATGCTTAGTCTTTCCGGAGAACATTTTCATTTTAAGGGGAAAATGGCAAGGGGATAGAACATATATTTGAGAGAAAGCAATCTCTGGTCTGTTCTCTGGCCTTTTGATATCTAGCACCAAAGAGGCTGAAAGTAAAACCAAATTAATCAGCCTGAGATCATTACATAAGCCGACCATCCTCTTCTATTTCTCTCCTTTTTCCAAGTATCCAGCAAGGCCACCGGGCACTCCCACATGGGGCAAATCACCTGTGACTCCTCCTAAACTCAACCACATATAAAACTTACTCAAACCTCCAAGAAATCATTGTTTCAGGATGATCCACATGTGGGAATAATAAGCCAAAAAGCACAATTCAGAAGGTCTTAATTATTATTTCACCCTAAGCTAGTCTTGGAAACATTGGCCTGGTTTTTTTCTTTTAATTTAAAATATTATGACAAATGTTTTTCTATGGTTTTCAAAACTGCTGTTTTTCTTCAGTCACTTTTTTTTTTTTTCGTTTTCTTTTTAACAGCTGCTGGCTGGCTGGTGTTCTTTCTGCTCTATGAACCAGCAATGGAGGGTGGAAGACAGCTGCACTTTAAATGAATCTGAAAGATCTGAAAATATCTTCTCTTGCCCACCTAATACTGCAGAAATAGAATAAGAAGAAAAATAATAAAGCAGAAGACAAACGTCAGGAAAGCAAAAGTATGAGAAAGGTACTTTGTATGATCTATAGACTACTGTCTTAAAATTTCAAATTAAAGTAGATTTGGCAATAGAAAAATTCTGCCCAGAAACAAATCACATTGTAGTTGTCTAGATGTCTGCTTCCATCGATGTATAACAACTTATGTACTTTTACAGTTTATGTAAAAGTAACATACAGTAATGGCTGAAACAGTATCTATTCATCAATTAATAACCCAAAACAAATGCCACAAATGCATTTAAGAACAGTTGCTCAGAAAAGAAAAAAAAAATTAAAATAACAAGCTTCACATTTGCCTAGGATTTAACACTGGAATCCACTAAAAGATCTGGGTATAAAATCCTACTCATGACTATATTATTTCATGTTTCTAGTAATATTATAGATGAAAATAATAAAATTATCAACCATAAGCCAATGCCAATGATAAAATCCTGGAAAGCGTTCACTGTCTTATCTCCATGTCCACTAGGCTGTGTGGATAGAAATCTAAGTAGTGACCTTGTGCTTTTTCAAAAAAGAACTTCCAGACTGAGCATGGTAGCTCATGCCTGTAATCCCAGAACTTTGAGAAGCTGAGGTGGGAGGATGCCTTGAAGTCAGGAGTTTGAGGCTGCAGTGAGCTATGACTGCGCCACTGCACTCCAGCCTGAGCAACAGGGCCAGATCTCGTCTCAAAAAAACAAACCAAAACAAAAAGCCAAAAAAGAACTTCCATGTAGACTGAAGAATGAAGCCCTGAGAGGACTGTGGAAGAGCAACTGCAAAAGCCAGAGGGCACCCACCCCACCCTAAGGCACCCCTCCTGCCAGAAGCCTCTGCAACCGCCTCAGTGGCTCTGCCCGGAACCCAACCTTCAAGCGCAAAAGCTGATTTGTATCTCCTAACTCTTAAAACTTTCTTCCTTCATCTCCAAGCTATTAATACATACACCTCTCCCCTACACCAAAACTATTACGAGAAACATGCAAACTAGGATTACAAACATATAATAACGATAGTTATTTTTGTTTATAGTTATACAAATATACATAGTATATTTGTATTATAGTAACTCCTATGGAACACCTTTGTGCTAGTTTTTCTCAGTCTTGATCTTTCATTGTATTTTCCCTGGTCTATTTTATTAGTAATTCTTTTCTATTTTATTGTATGTCCAAAACCTGTAAACTGATTTAAGTCCTTTCTGCACTGAAACATACACATATATCCCATCACCACACAGATTGCAACACCATGTGTTATATGTGTCAGAGTGAGCAAGCTTTTCTGTGGTGACTCCTGGGTGTGTAAGAGTTAGCTGCAGCCTCTATCCAGTGTGTAAGAGTTAGTCGCAGTCTCTGTCCACACCTCTATTCAATTTAGAATACAGTGCTGTAATTACATGCTAACCTTCTGGGGCAGGCACAGTTCCTGAGGAGTTAGTTTATCATGTGCTTTAAATGTCTGAATAAAAAGAAATTTAGACACGCAGGAACACACGGCATAATGCCTTATTTTAATTTTTATAGTTAATATTATTGCTAATTAATCCCAAATATTTAAAAACTTAAAAAAAACTTGAACTAGACTGAAGTTTTTTGTTACCACACACATGTCATATAAAAACACATTCACAGCCAGGCACGGTGGCTCACGCCTGTAATCCCAGCACTTTGGGAGGCTGAGGCGGGCAGATCACAAGGTCAGGAGTTCGAGACCAGCCTGGCCATATGGAGAAACCCCGTCTCTACTAAAAATACAAAAATTAGTTGGGCATGGTGGCGGGTGTCTGTAATCCCAGCTACTGAGGAGGCTGAGGCAGGAGAATTGTTTGAACCCGGGAGGCAGAGGTTGCAGTGAGCTGAGATCATGCCATTGCACTCCAGCCTGGGCGACAGGGCGAGACTCCATCTCAAATTAAAAAAAACAAAAAAACAAAACAAAACAAAACAAAACACATTCACAATGTGGTGAAGCAAGACATTTTTTAAAGATTTCCATTTGTTTTTTTGGAGACAGAGTTTTGCTTTTGTTGCCCAGGCTGAAGTGCAATGACACAATCTTGGCTCACCACAACCTCCACCTCCCAGGTTCAAGCGATTCTCCTGCCTCAGCCTCTGAGAGCTGGGATTACAGGCCGTGCACCACCACGTGGGCTAATTTTGTATTTTTAGTAGAGATGGGGTTTCTCCATGTTGGTCAGGCTGGTCTCGAACTCCCGACCTAAGGTGATCCACCCGCCTTGGCCTCCCACAGTGCTGGGATTACAGGCGTGAGCCACTGCACCCAGACCATTTTTTTGTTTGTTTTTTTGAGACAGAGTCTTGCTCTGTCGCCCTGGCTGGAGTGCAGTGGCGCGATCCCGGCTCACTGCAAGCTCCACCTCCTGGGTTCACCCGTTCTCCTGCCTCAGCCTCCCGAGTAGCTGGGACTACAGGCGCCCGCCACCTCGCCCGGCTAATTTTTTTTTTGTATTTTTAGCAGAGACGGGGTTTCACCGTGTTAGCCAGGATGGTCACCTCGTGATCCGCCCGCCTTGGCCTCCCAAAGTGTTGGGATTACAGGCATGAGCCACCACGCCCAGCCTGTTTTATAAAATATTAATTTTATTACATTTCCTCTCGTCTTTTTAATATTCTGTGTGACAAAATGAAAAGTGCACAAAGAGCACCAGTGTGAGCTGAACTAGCTGCTTTTTTTTTTTTTTTTTTACAGAAAACCATTTGTTAAATCAAGGTAATTGTAGATTCACATGCAGTTTTAAGGATAACAGAGAAATCCTACTTACAGAATCAGAATATTACAGACTATCACAGAATATTACAAAATTATCACAATCAAAATATTGACATTGATACAGTCAAGATACAGAAAATTTCCGTCACCCCAAGGATCTCTCACTTTGCCCTTTTATGGCTACACCCACTCCCCTTCCCCTCTTTCCTCTTCTTGGCCCCTGGTGAGAACTAATCTGTCCTCTATTTCTATAATTTTAAGACTTTCTCTTCAAGGTAAAATTTACCAAGACACGAATTACACAGTGACTGAGGCAGCCAAAGAGTGAAAACATGCATTCAGTCAACAGGTGAAGAGGATTTTACGTGAATTTTAAACAGCTGGCAGCCATCATGCTGAAAATGAAAGCACCTGGAAGCTAATGCCTTAAAGATCAAAACTGAAATCTCAGAATTTCAAGCTCAGATTTAATATGCCCTTTCAAGCTGATTAAGTTCAAAGTGCAGAAGATAATTTTCAAGAACCATGTGAAAAACATTAAAAAAAAAATGGCCAATGGCAGGTAATCTCCATTAAGGCATTTTTAATAGCAGAAGATAGCAACTGAATGGTCTTCTCAATACCACAGTTAGATTGCTTGCTTAACCACTGTCAGCATTTACTCTGGTAAGAAAGAATAAACCCTACATTTAATTCAACCACTAATAAGTAGCCCTGATTCTGAAGGCTAGTAAAAGTCCAAGTAAACAGTCCACCTGTTAAATCATCAGCAGGGACATAGTCTTCAGAAGCTCCACGAACTTTCTCTTTCCTGTAAGTATTCACACATTTGCAGAAAAAGAAATTCCTAACATTTTCTACTTTCCCAAAGATCTATTTTTCAGCAATGGTCAAAGTGGCAAATTTCAACAAAAGGAAGGTTTTTCTCCTTGCACATTTGTCATTGTTAACTATAATAAACACAAGTTGTAGCAAAGTGTTTTCATAAATTTGTTTTTCCCCACTACCATTTTTTTACACTGTTTTATTTATAAGAAAATAAATGGCATAGGTTAAGGAAAAGCAACAATTATTCCCGTCCGTAATATTACTTTTGTCAAAGAGATAGAGATAGTACACTCTAAAGAACAATTCCAAAACTTGCACTGAGCCGAATAACAAAAGCATAGACTTCTCCCCAACTTCCCCGCCCACTTAAAGACAACTTATCCCATCTTGTTAGAGGGCTCATCTTAATGAATATCAGAAGGAAAACTCTGGAAAGAGCAATTTTCTATCTGTATCCAAACATGCAAAATTAAAAATGCTGGAGGATTTAAAAGACTAGCTCATTAGCATCTCTTCTGAATTCAAGACAACTTCATCCAGACAATCGGACTTGATGACTTGCCTGGATACCTTAAACCAGTGGTTCTCAAACTTTTGCAGTATCAGTTTCACTTGGAGAACTTGTTACAACACAGATGTCTGTCCCCATCTCCAGAGTCTGATTCAGTATTGTAGGTCTGTGGAAGGGTTTAAGAATTTGCATTTCTACACATTCATCCACTGAAGAGCACTCAGGTTAACTTCATACCTTGGCTATTGTAAATAATGCCACAGTGAACTTAGTAGTGCAGACATCTCCTTGACACACTGATTTGACCTCCTTTGGACATATACCCAGTTGTGAGACTGCTGGATCATATGGTAGTTCTATTTTTAATTTTTTGAGGAACCTCCATACTGTCTTCCAAAATGGCTGTCCCCTATCTCTACATCCTTGCCAACACTTGATATCTTTCATCTTTTTGATAACAGCCATTCTAACAGGTGAAAGGTATATCTTACTGCAGTTTTTGCATTTCCCTGATGATTACTTATGTTGAACATTTTTTTCAAATTAAATACTATTCAGCCTTAAAAAAGGAAATTGTCACTTGTGACACCTGGCGGACATTATTGTTAAGTGAAATAAGCCAGGCACAGAAAGACGAATACTGCACAATCTCACTACATGTGGAATCTAAAATAGACTCATAAAAGTAGAGTGTAGAATTAGAATGGTGGTTATCAGGGGCTGCAGGGAGGGGTGAACATGGACAGAGGAAATGCTGGTCAAAGGGTACAAACCTTAAGCTAGAAGTAGTAAGTTTTGGTGATCTATTGCACAGCATGGTGACTATAGTTAATAATACATTGTATATTTCAAAATTGCTAAAAAAGTGGGTTTTTTTTTTTTTTTGATACAGAGTCTCTCTCTTACCCAGGCTGGAGTGCAGCGACATGATGATAGCTCACTACAGGTTTGACCTCCTAGGCTCAAGTGATCCTCCTGATTTAGCTTCTGAATAGGTAGGACTATAGGCACATGCCACCATGCCTCGCTAATTAAAAAAAAAAAAAATTAAGACGGGGTCTTGCTATGTTGCTTAGGCTAGGGGTGGATTTTAAATGTACTCACCAAAAAGAAATTAGTATGGTGAAAAAAAAAAAGGTTCAGCTGGGCTCAGTGGCTCACGCCTATAATCCCAGCACTTTGGGAGGCCAAGGCAGGTGGATCAACTGAGGTCAGGACTTCGAGACCAGCGTGGCCAACATGGTAAAACCCCATCTTTACTAAAAATACAAAAATTAGCTGGGCGTGGTGATGCACGTCTGTAATCCTAGCTACTCGGGAGGCTGAGGCAGGAGAATCTCTTGATCCTGGGAGGCAGAGGTTGCAGTGAGCCGAGATCATGCCACTGCACTCCAGCCTGGTCAACAGAGCGAGACTCTACCTCAAAAAAAAAAAAAAAAAAAAAAAAAGCCAACCAAACAAACAAAAAAATGGTTCAGAGAATAGGCAGTAAAAAAAAGAGAAAAAAAGAAAAAGAAAGAAATAAGCAAATACACATGGGAGGTGACAGATATGTTAATTAGCCTCATTTGATCATTCCACAATGTATACATGTACCAAAACATAACACTGTATTCCACAAATATATACAATTATTTGTCAATTTAAAAATAATAATTAGCTTTTCTAACAAGTTCCAAGGTGGTACTGATGCTACTACTCTGTGGACGACACTTTGAAAACCACTACTCTAAACCTAAATATTCTCAATTTTTGAGTTTTTTTCAAGAGTCATTGAGACCTCAGCAGAAGTCACCAAGTTTGGGAGACTTAAATATGTTAAACTGCTAAACTGTTCTTTGAGATACTTCATCAGAAGTAAAATAGTGACAAAGTTCAAAATAATTCAGTGTTGAGCTGTGTATATGTGCAGCTTAGAATTCCAGACCCCCTTTTTCTGATTTCACAAAAACAATACCCAGGTGTACTCTGTACGGCTTTATAGAGGGCTTCAATTCTGGCAGTGTGAGGGGCTAAGTCACCTTGCACATTTTTATTTTTTTTTTTTGAGATGGAGTTTCACTCTTGTCCCCCAGGCTGGAGTGCAATGGCATGATCTTGGCTCACTACAACCTGCGCCTCTCAGGTTCAAGTGATTTTTCTGCCTCAGCCTCCCGAGTAGCTGGGATTACAGGCGCCCCCCACCTCGCCAGGCTTATTTTTGTATTTTTAGTAGAGATGGGGTTTTACTATGCTGCATTTTTTTAACTTTATTTTTCTGAGACAGAGTCTCACTACACTGCCCAGGCTAGAACGTAATGGCTATTTACAGGCATGATCATAGTGTGCTGCAGCCTTCAACTCTGGGGCTCAAGTGATCCTCCCACCTCAGCCTCCTGAGTAGCTGAGACTACAGGCATGTACCACCACATCTGGCTGCCTCTTGCACTTTGATTTAGTAGAGTTTCTCTTCAGAAGGTACAGGGACTGCTTCATAGTGGTCTCTGGAAAAAGTCCTTTGTTCCAATTCCCACATCAGTCACTTCATAATGTGAAAAATATACATAAAATCTTGATATGTTCAAATTAAATAGATCTTAGCCTCAGCCTCCATGTTTTCCAGAACTGTTCTATTCTATCCATGACTCACAAGATTCCTGGGTAAAGGAGAGGCTGAAATGGCATTTGTGGAGTCTCAAAATGCCTATGTAAGCCAGTTTTCCACCTCTTCCCCATTATTTTATTAGCACATATGTTATTAAGAGTAACAAATTCATCTCAGTATTGGTTTTAACTTTTCACCTTGTATCAGAGGTGTAATAGCCATAAAATGACCAAAGAAGGGAAGAAGATGGTCAAAAGGTATAGATAAACTGAAAATTCAGCACTAAAAAAATGGCCAAATGACGATATTAAATTAAAAATCAGCATCACCATTTAACAGCAAAAATTTATCAAATTATGCTTGTTGCTAAAAATAGAGATGTTAATTATACACATAGTCCCTGCCCTCATGGAGCTTTATTTACTATCTTGCAGAGAAGACCAACAGAACAATCATTATAAGTGTGAAGAACATTCTAAAGAAATTCAGGTTGCTATGGGAAATGAGACCTAACCTCCCCAAGCAGAGTAGGGAGATATGTGTGAAGTAGGAGGTATCAAGAAAGGTTTCCCAATGAAACTGACCTCCATCACACAATTACTTAGTTTATTAAGTAATGACCATGTGCTAGACACAAACGATAAATAAGAGTGGGCTAGACAAAGAGGGAGGAGAAACAGGTACAGATAGAGGAAACGTGCATGGAATGTTTCCAGAGAACTCAAGCACACAAAGCATGCAAGAGTACAAAGGAAGTTGGAAAGGGAGGAAAGGACCAGAATGTGCAGACCTCTCTAGAGGACTTCTCAAGAGTAGGGAAAAGTAGGACAACAAGAGGATCATGTCTGCATCTTAAAAGATCCCTTTCTGTAGACAATGGACTGAAGGGGGTGACCAGTCAGGAGGCAGTTGCTGCATTGCAAGATGAAATGCTGGAAGGTTAGCGCAGGGTGAGGGGGAGTATGGATGGAGAAGACATATTCATAGTGTCTTTTAAATAGTGAATTTTGCCTTTCATGTCAAATGCCTCTATTTTCTAGTTCTAACACAAGGCACTTAACTTGTAGGGGCCTCAGTTTCATCGCATATGGAGTAGAATTAAAATCTTACCTATGTATTAATACATTTTAAGGTTACTACGAGGATCAAAAAAATCATGTGCCTAAATAATATTGCTGGTACATATTACTTATCTACTACATTTTACTCTCCAAAACTCTTAGCTCCATTTCCATTTCTGGCTAGAAGAGGGACATGTACCTCTGTGCTGAGTTTAGAAAAAAGAACACTGCATCACAGCTGATATAACAAGCAGTAAAGAACGTCTATATCCAAACTGGTAAGGAGAATTCAGCACAGTTGTTAGAAAAAAGGCAATGCTCTCTTAACCAAGAGCAACTGTAACAAAATGTAACTTTTAAAAGGATACAATAAAAACCAGTTATCTAGAAATAAATCTAGTAAGTGCAGGAGCTGTATGGAGAAACTTAAAAGTGCACTAAATAATATTATGCTCAAGAGCACAGTAGGCCAATCTTCCCCAAATGAAATCAACGAAATTCCAATAAATTCCCAAAGTGTTTTTCATAGGACTTAACAAGGTAATCCTAAAGTATATAATCTAGAAATCACAAAAACGTAATGTTGGATGAACATAAGTTGTACAAAGAAACTCCAATATTATGTAACATTTTTAAATATATAAAATATTACATATTGTCATGGACTCATACATATGTAATAACAGTATAAAAACATGCATGAGAATGATAAGCGTCAGATTCAGAACAGTGGTTACCAAAGGGAGCAGAATCAGAGGAGCAAAAACAGGGGTTCCAGTTTACACGTAATCTTTTATTTCTTAAAATGAGTAGGGGATACAGAGATGTTTGTTATACTACTGGTCTTTAAAATCTTTTTTTAAAATATGTCTTAAATATTCCACAAAAATACAGAATGCCTTTTATTTGAAAACCATGTTATTACATGATCTAGTTTAGTAATTCCTAAACACCAATCCAATAGCTACATCAGTAACACCTGAAGTACTTGTTAGAAACAAAGATTACCAGGCTATCCCAGGATCAGGATTTCTGGGAGGAGAGCCATGTGATTCTAATATACAGCCTTAGTAACCCAGGAACTATTAACAGCCAATCCATCAACAAAATTGGTCCCAATCGACAATGAGACATTTAAGTGCTTGAATATCTAATCACTTTCCAATGATCCAACTCTCTAGAATGTAGATTCTAACTTGAGGGCAAAACCGTATAAATTTTAAAATATATCCTTTACCATACCCTCCCAAAAGACTATACATGTAAAAACTGGGTATATTTTATAAAGTAATAGCATCAAATGATTCCATAGAAGGATATAATTCCTTCATATTCACCATAGGAAATATGCCACAGCAAAATTCCGCCAGAGATGATAAAAAGTGCTGTTCTTAAGTTCAGAATGGTTTAAGTCACTGGCAACTACCCTCATGATGTACTTCCCTTAAGCATATAGACAGCAATAATGCATTTCTTTCCTAATTTTCTTCCCTTAGAATACAATTCATAGCTAATTTTATCTAGAGAAATGCAGAGAACCATGTGAGACATAAAAAATAAATTTAGAAAGAAAACAATTTATTAAAAATTAGAGGTATTAGTACTGCAATGACAATTGTCATAGCCTGCTCCCAAGACATAATGTTAACTAGAGATGACTAAGCTGTTAAAATGTATGAAACACTCAGGGGCTTTCTCTCTTGCATTCACACAGACACACACACACACACACACACACACACACACACACACACACAGTTTCCCCAAATATTTTTAAATTACAACTAAAAACAAGCAAAGGGATTATTTTCATGTTCTAAACAACACAAATCTGGTACTGGGCACACAAAGCACATCAACATAAAATAACTCACTTACCAGGGCTTTCTACTCTCTTATAGTGGTAGGGATTGATGCAGACCTCCTTCTGCTTGGAACCAAAAGGAAACTCACAGCATTCCAGTGGTTTTAGTTCATGGTGGCTCTGAAGATCGGGCCAGCGCCACACACGGCAGTAAATGACATGAGGCAGTCCCTTCCGGTGGGAGACTTGCAGCCTGCCATCCAGAGAGCGGGGAATGGTGACACAGTTACTCGGTTGCCCTGGGCAGCTCAAGGCCTTTTCCAGTTCCTCCATGGCACCTTTCTTTTTCTTCAGTTTTTTCACCAAAGCATCAACAGCTTTCTCTGCCCATTTTTCTTCTTCATCGCCCTGTTTCCACCCAAGAAGTCTCTTCACAGCTGGACTTGTAAAGGAAAATAAACTTGTCACATTCATAATGACAGCACTAGTTATACTCCTTGGATATGGTGAAATAAAGCTGTCTCCAAATGCAAAAGGACAGCAGAAGAGATTTGTTTATTTACAGAGAAGTCTCTTTAACTTCTTAGTTTGAAGTCCAGAAGAGTAGAAATTACCATTCCTAGTGTTTAAAAAAGTAACCCAGTCAGCACCTACAAAACAAAAAAAGAATGGTTAGAATCATCTTTACCATACAACCACATTTATTAAGTAATCACCATGTGCTAGGTACTATTTTAAGTGCTTTTATGTAATACAGTATGCTGTGGACTGAATTGTGACCCCTAAAATTCATATGCGGAAGCCCTAACTCTCAGTATGACTATATTTGGAGATGGAGCCTCTAAGAAAGTAATTAAAGTTAAGTAAGGTCATCAGGGTGGGGCCCTAACCTGATAGGACTGGTGGTCTTAAGATTGCTATCTCCCTCCTCCAGCCTCTATGCACACACACTGAGGGTACTGCAAGAAGGTGATCATCTGCAAGCCAGGAAGAGAGCCCTCACCAGAGCCTGTATTGTCCAGAACCTTGATCTTGGACTTTCCAGACTCCAGAACAAAGAGAAAATCTATTTCTGTTATTTAAGCCACCCAGTCTATGATATTTTATTATGGCAACCAAAGCAGACTAATATATAGCATTTAATGCTTTTCACAATCCTTTGAGTTAGGTAATACAATTGCTGCCACTTTACAGATGAGTAAACTGAGAAGCAGTTTAAAAAGTAAGCCACTGTTAGCAAAAGCTCTGGGATAAAAGCAACAAAGTTAAAAAGCCCAAGTTCTCAAAAGATATTGTAATATTTTAGATTTAGATTCATTTATAACCTCTAAAAATATATTTCAAAACACCTCAATCAACAAAAACTGAAAGCAACAGGGAGAAAAAAATAGTCTAATATCTCTGTTTTTTTGGTTTGTTCTACAAATATTTCTTAGGCTAAAAGAAAATTCCTCTTATATAAATGTAGTAATATTTTAGGGTATTTCTTCAGTGAACAAGCCTGTGTCTATGGGCTACAGGACAAATAGGATAGGAAATACATCTCCTGCTTTAAAAATGTTGCTATTTATTGACATAAAAGGAATAAAGCACATGGACACATACTGTACCAAATTCTTTAGCCAAGTTGCCTCATTTAAACTGTTTACTCTTTAGCACATGAAAACATAAAATGTGAAAAAGGTTAAGGAGGTTAACTTTGTACAAACCCTGGCTAAACTGGAGTAGCACGTATCAGACCAACCTCCTTCCAAACAAACAAGCCAGAAAACAAACAAACAAAAGCCCAGCTTTTTAAAGGCATCAAAGAGGAACCAAGGCACTCAGGACTTGAGGGGGCCAAGATCCTGGAGAGAGGGGAAATGCAATGAAGTGAGCTGAATATTCGTCACCACTCTTTCCAGGGATTTGCCAATAGCTATGCTATGAGCAGCAAAAGGTCTAGGAGCCGAGCAGAAAGAGGTAACTAAGAGGCTAAAAACTAAGCAGAGCTTCTAGTAGCCTCATAGCGCTGAGGAACCCCAAAATAACAACACAGCAACAAATGGAGTTGAGGGCCTGCTGAGGAGAAACCCTGGTAAATAGTCTAGGCTTTCAATGGAAGCTCCTGGAGGAATATGCCCCAGTCTAAGGGCAAAAATGAAACGGATCAGTCTTTACAACCAATCTAGAATCATCTTAATCCTAGCCTTGGTCTAGGTGATGGGTATTGCTCTCTAACAGCTTGCCAGAAGAAAAACAAATTCTCTGTAGAGGAAGACAACATCAACCTTAGCCACTACAATTTTAAATTCACAGTGTATGCAATGAACCAAAAGTTATCAAGCATACCAAGAAACAGGACCAAATGATCAAAACAAAACAGAATAGAAACAGACCTAACGGGTGACCCAGGTAATGGAGTTACCAGAAACAGACTTTAAAGTATTAATGATTACTATTTACTATGTCAAGGAAAGAGAAGACAAGGTTGAAGATTTTAACAGAGAACTGGAATCCATAAAGAAGAATGAAATAAAAATTCTAGAACTGAAAAATATAACTAATGAGACTTTAAATAGGATGAACTTAACAACAGGTTAAATACAGTAGAATAAAAGATTAGTGAGCAGGAAGACTGGTAAAAAATGCTCATACTAATGCAAAGAGAGGGAAAAAATGAAAAATAAAGAACTAAGGAGACATAATGGCTCTAGTGAAAGGTCTAGCACTGCATAAGTAGAGTCTTAAAGGAAAAGAAGAAAGACTGTAACAGAGCAATATTTTTAGATACTAGCCAAGGATTTTTCCAAAACTGTCAACAGACATCTAACCATACATTCACGAAGCCCTACACCTTCCAAGGATACATACAGAGAAATCCACAAATTTCAATGTGTCATATAACAGTAAAATTCTTGAAAACCTAAGATGAAACTCTTTAAAAAGGCACATTACCTTCAAGTAAGTACAATCAGGTTGACAGCTGACATTTCAGCATAAACAATGGAAACCAGAAGACAATGAAATGACATCATTAGTGCCAAACGTAAATAGCTGGTAACTTAAAATTCTACATTTAGAGGAAAAACACATTCAAAAAATGATTGTGAAATAAAGATGCTTTCCAACAATCAAAATCTGAGAGAACTGGTTTACAGCAGATTGTCACTAAAAGAAATACTAACAGGAATTCTTCAGGCAGAAGGAAAAAGACTCTAGAAATAAGCAAAGAACTGCAGGAAATGAGGAAGAGCTCCTGAAGGGGAAATAAGGGTAAGTTTAAATGAATACTGACTTCACAAAACAACAATAGGAATGTCTTGTGATGTTTAAAATATATGTACAATTAAAATGCATGGCAACAGCAAAAAGAGATATATGAAGTTAGCATTCTAAGGTCCTTGTGTTATCCAGGCCATGGTAAAGTATAATTTACTATTAGTACAGTAAGTTATGAATTCATGTCATAATAAAGCAACAACTGAGAGAATAAGTTAAAAATTATAACAAGCTAATAGATGGGTTAAAAATATGGAATTAAAAAAATATATATGATTAGCCCAGTAATCCCAGCACTCTGGGAAGCCAAGGTAGAAGGATAGCTTGAGGAGTTCCAGAGTAGCCTGGGCAGCACAGGAAGACCCTATCTCTACAAAAAGTAAAAAAGTAGTCCAGCAAGGTGGCATGTGCCTGCAGTCTCAGCCACTCAGGGGGCAGAGGCAGGAGGACTGCTTGAGCCTAGGAGTTATGATAGGTGTTATGATTGTGCCACTGCACTCCAACCTGAGTGACAGAGTGAGAGCGTCTCTAAAAATCAAATAAAAATTTTAAAAATGATTAATGCAAAACATATGAAAAGGAGACAACAGATGAGACAAACAGAAAATAGTAAGATTTAGATATAATCCCAAAGTATAAGCAATTACTTAAATATAAATGACTAAAATATGACAACTAAGAGAGTTGTGGGGAACATTATTTAACCATATTGTACTTAAAAGAGACACACATTAAATATAAGAACACAGTATTGAAAGCAAGAGAGTGGAAAAATATATACTATGCATATTCCACCCAAAAAGCTGGCATAGCTATCCATTCAGATAAAACAGACTTCAAAAGTAAGAGGTATCACCAGAGATTTTTAAAGACAAAAAAGAAAAAAAGGACATTTTATAGTGATGAGTTGAGCCACCATGTAGTTTTTAAATTCCAAATTTTATGTAAATAATAACAGTCTCAAATTCATAAAGCAAAAGACTAACAATTACAATGACAGGCAAACCCACAATCCTAGTGGGAGATTAACATAATAAATGATAAAACAAGCAAACAAAAATCAATAGATACAGAAAAAAATTGTTTAAAAACTTGATCCAATTCATATACATATTATCACAGCACTCAACAACTGTACAATTCATAACACTTTCAAATACGCAAGGAATACTTACTGAAATTGACCATATAATGAATAACAAAGCAAATCTCAATCTGTATCAAAATACTAAAATCATATAGAACATATTCTTTGATTTTAGTATAACTAAATCAATAAAAACATTGTTATTGAAAAGAACCAAACTTTAAAATAACCCAAAGGTCAAAGAAGAAATTATAGAGGAAATAGAAAATATTTTTAACTGAATGATTGTAAAAATATCACATCAAAAATGCAGGATGTGGCTCAAGGCACAGAGGGAAATTTATAGTCTTAAATGCATATATTAGAAAAGGAAAAAAGCTGAAAACTAACACTCTAATACCCGCCAAAGATTTTTTAAAAGGAAAAATAAACCCAAAGAAAGTAGAAGAAAATGAAAGCAGAAATTTAAAGCATACTAAAGAAAACCTATAAAATCAAAGTTGATTCTTTGAAAATACTAATAAAATTGGATAAATCCCTAGCAAAACTGATAAATAAAAAAGAGAAGGCACAAATTACCAATAAATGGATCAGAATGGGGAAATCGTTAGCCTCAGAAATTAAAAATTATAATTATTATAAATAGCTGTCATGGCAAACGGTGCATGTCTATAGCTACATTGTGATAATCTACACATCTGTCATCTTCACTACAGGAAACAATGTAGGACTCCAACTTATTATTTTCTTACCTTTGGAACTTGGCATAGTACCTGGCACATAGCTGATTCTCACTAAATGCCTGATGAATAATTTAGCTCCTTGAAGAACTTAGAAAGCCAAATACGGAGCGTCAACTCTATTTGGGAGGCCACAGGGTGTCCGCTGTTTTCCTTTTTAAAGAGTTCACCCAAATTTACTAGTTTTTTTGAAGTTGGTATTATTTTCATTTAACATTAAAGGAAAGAGAAAACAAAACTATGCTATTATCAAAAGTCACACTTGGTCAGAGTGTACCTATTGATATGATAATTTCCTTTTACTAAAAGGTTAGTTTTGCAAAAGAACAAGAACTTTTTTCTAGGCTTCTGGGAATAATTTATAGAGGGAGTGTATTTCTTCATATTCTATATGTCCATCTCTTCTTCAAAAACAGCTTTTTAACATTTTAAGCAATAATTTTTAAACAGAATGGCTAAGTTTGCATCAAAATAACTTGGGGCTATTTTAAAATATATAACAAATACATTTAAACAAATACCCCCAAAATCACTTGGGGGTATTTATTTAAGGCAAGTGTTGGGCAACGTATTATATAAGAACCACCATTTCAGATTTTTGTTTTAACTATTCAAATCGACATTCATTCAACAAAGCTGTATTAAGCACCTGCTAAGTATGCCTAGCACAGTGCTAGACACAGGAGACACAGAAGCAAACATGTCTAACATACTGGAGGAGCTCACAATCCATTGGGAAAGCCAGTGTGTAAACAACTAACTCCCATAAAGCAAATTGCTAACCTGCATGCTAATTCTAAAGGACTTTGCTGAGATGTTTTATTAGGTGACCTTCCAGGGACTCAGTCAGAAGAAATAATACGATTATACCATTGCCCATGGGCACAAGAATAACCGAAGAAGAGGCCCATGTGCTGTGCATTTACCTACTATTAACTTACTCTAATATCATGTGATAAAGGCTATAAAACAAGTATCAACAACACTCTGGTCTGAATATTTGTATCCCCTCCCTAAATTCACATGTTGAAATCCTAACCCCAAAGGTGACAGAATTAGAAGGTGAGTCCTTTGGGAGGTGATTAGGTCATGAGGACGGAGCTCCCATAAATGGAATTAGTGCCCTCATAAAAGAGATCCCAGAGAGATCTCTCCTCCCTTCCACCATATGAGGTTACAGAGAGAAGAGGCCATCCAGGTACCTTGATCTTGGATTTCCCAGTTACTGTAACTTTGAGAAATAAATTTCTGTTGTTTATAAGCCACTCAGTCTATATGGTATTTTGTTATAGCGGCCTACAAACTAAGACAATAATATATAAAAACGGAAAAGGAAAGAACAATTCCAGAGATTTCAGAACATTTTTTTCCAAGAGAAAACATCAGACTTAAAGGATAAGTAGAATTTTGCAAAACAATAGAGCAAACATTTTGTGTGTTCATTACTTGACAAACACTGTTCACTGCTGTTTATCTATTAACCAGTTTAATCTTAGCAACAATACCTTAGTATTTACTGTGAAGTAAATACTATCATTTTCTTTATTTTACATGTAAGGAAAATAAAATATAGAATAGTTGAGTATCTTGTCCAAAGTTATGTAGACAGCTATAAGTGGCAGAACCTGGATCTGAACCCATTTTGCCTGGCTCTAGAGCCAGAATTTTTAAACCACTTTTCCAAATGGCTTGTTCCAACAGACACATGATAGAAATGCTAGGGTTTAATCCGCTGGAGATGATGATACAAGCTGATATGAAGGAAGGGGCAAGACTGAAGAATCTTATCATATGGACAAGTGGAAGGTTTTAAATCTGAGAATTAGCATTATTAGATCTACATTTTAGAAAGACAACTAAGGTAATATCTTCAATACAGAAAGATTTCTTCATACTGGGAGCAAAAAAAAAAAAAAAAATCTAAACCAAGGGCATCCAAACATTATAGAAGCCAGTTAGGTGGTAAATGTCTTGAGGCCACTCACGAAAATTAAAGTGAAAGATCACAGCACTTTGCATATAAACATGCCCAGACAAAACAAAATGCAGGCTGATGACTAATTTTTACCTGAGTTAAGCATTTTTTAATATACAAGTCAAACAGGTAACCTACCTCATATAAGGAACTCAAATGAGTCCATGATACTATGGCCTTGGCAAGACAACTACTTTTTTTCTGCCCCTTTTTGTACTTCCTGCCTTAGTTTATGTCAAAAGCTAAGTGGCCTTATCAGTTTAAAGTGCAAAATAAAAACATGAGTCAGCAAACAGAGATTTCCTTCCCTCTTGTCCAAATATAAACATTTCACACTAACAAAAAAGTATTCATCTAGTAAAAAAAAAAAAACCCAGCAGCCTTAAAAATATTGAGATCTTTATTCCAGCAACTTTATCTTCAGAAATTTACTCTAAGGAAATATTCTGAACCAGAAAGGGAAAATTGTTTTTGCACAAAGATTTTCATCAGAGCATTATTTATAATAGGGAAAAAAAGAGAAACATCTAATAATTGAAAAATACCTAAGTAAACTGCATACATCCACTCAATGGAATATTATACAGACCTTAAAAATTATGTTCATAAAGACTACGTAATAATTTGGGGAAAACTGTACGCAGAACATAAAATGGTTGGTTATATGTACCATGAACAACTATGTAAATATATGAAAATATTAACCATGACTGGGTTTGGAAGATTAGTAATGTGTCTCTCTCCTCCTTTTCTAAACTTTTCAAACGTTCTTTAATGAAAAAATGTAACTTCTGATTTTTTATAAAAAGGTTTTCGAAGCAAATATTTGCTAATTACAAAAAAAAAAAACCCACAAAAATCAATTCATTATCTCAAGCCACATCTATACTCTACTTAGAAATCAGGTTGGATTTATAGTGTGATCTGGTTTGAGAAGCAAAAAAAATATAATGTAGTTTAAAGCAGTGTTCTGAACTCAGAACGTTTTCCTAAGGAGTCTCACCCATGGGAAGGATTTCTATCAGAACTGCCAGAAGTGAAATTAGAAAAATACTCTTATACTACTCGACACGGCTAATTAATTTTCCAACTTATGTGTTATTCCTTAATATTAAAAGAAAAAAATGTTAAAATACTCTTAACTGCTATGTAACTTGCTTTATATTTAAAGGAAGCCTAATCAGCCAATTGCAGAACAAATGGGCATTTTCTTCACCTTGGCCTCATCTAGTAAAGCAACAAGTAAATTATCCAACTCCTGTGAATATCAACAAAATACACTCTCTTCCATTTAATATGTTACAGATCCCAAATTCCCACAGAAAGTTTTTTTTTAATTACCCTAATTTGTATATGAAGATATAATTGTTTTTTAAAGGAAGGAGTAACCACCAAATGTTACAACCCCCTTTAATAAAAAGATTAGGAGACAAATAATGTTCAACCACTCTCTGTATCAGCTTCAGACTAGAGGCTGTTTTATAATTCTTGCACCAGTATGGAATTCAGCAGACAAAATAAATGCTCCCATTAAATATTGAGGGAATAATTGTATTATTCAATAAAATAAACAAAAAATACAGGCTACAAAAAGTGACTGGGGGAAAAAAATCCAAAAACTCTCCGTACTTTAAGAAAGGCAAATAACAGAAGATAAATGGTCTATTGTCAAATGAAGCAGGCAACTCTTTTCTCCCCCTACTTCTTGTTCTTTGGTTCATTACACTTTCTTAACTAATAGTAAAAAATCATGGCACAAAGATCAAAAGAATTAAGGAACTAAAAGTACAGGGTATTGATTAACTTCACTTTGAAAATGTTTAACAGCTGGATACTTTTTTTTTCTTTTTTTTAAAGACAACTTTATAAAAATTCTGTTTGATCGGCCAGGCTTGGTGGCTCACACCTGTAATCCCAGCACTTTGGGAGACCGAGGAGGGGGGATCACCAGTCAAGAGTTCAAGATCAGCCTGGCCAACATGGTGAAACCCTGTATCTACTAAAAATACAAAAATAAGCCGGGCATAGTGGTGTACACCTTTAGACCCAGCTACTTGGGAGGCTGAGGCAAGAGAATCACTTGAACAGGGAGGTGGAGGTTGCAGTAAGCCAAGATTGTGCCATTGCACTCCAGCCTGGGTGACAGATTGAGACTCCGCCTCAAAAAAAAAAAAATTGTTTGACCTTTTTTTTCCTTTTTGGAAACAAATATTTCTAAGTAACAAAACCACCTAAGTGCGTATTTCCAGACTTACATCGCCAGATATATTCTTAAACAGATAGACTGGTCTTGTGAATACACAGAAAAAGTAAGACTTGAGCTTCCAGAGTAGACCTATGGTGGGCTTCAGAGTGATTATAAGCAAACTGCATGAATTTTGTAGTTCAGCATTTTTTTTTTTTTTTTTGACAGAGTCTTGCTCTGTCGCCCAGGCTGCAGTGCAGTGGCGCGATCTCGGCTCACTGCAGCCTCCACCTCCTGGGTTCACACCATTCTCCTGCCTCAGCCTCCGGAGCAGCTAGGACTACAGGTGCCCACCACCACGCCCAGCTAATTTTTTATATTATTTTCCAGTATTTTTAATATATGAAACTATTTCACAATACACCTCATTAGATGCCATGGAGATGCAAGATATCTCAGAGACATGTTGTAGAAAGTGATCAATATTAACTGGCAATATTAATTAGTATTACAGAAATGTATGTGTCATCTATCCTAACATCCAATTTTGGATAGGATTCAAGGCCTGGTGAGATCAACTCTTGCCTTGTTTGAGATGCTTAAATTAAAACATCAAAAAAGGTCAAAGGGGAACATGCCAGGGGACTTGTAATGTAATTCTCATTACTATAAAACAAACTACTTTTTTCTAACCTGCTCCATTTCACTTAGGTACTCAAGTCAACTGTATAGTCCAAACAAAGATGGAATTGTCCAAATAGATCATGATTTCAAAGGATAATAAAGACACCTGAAAAATTCCTGACACTTATAGAAACCACAGACTCACAGAAGATTATACACTAAAGACGTAGGGTTAAAAATGCATAAAAACACAAAGGTTGGAAAAACCATATTATTTCAGCAATTTAAGGCCAATAAATATTTTAAAACAATAAAGAGCAATCCATCATTGCTTGCATCTTTCAAGCCATCTTGTAAGCAAAGAATTGCAATGAGATTTATTGGTAAAATATGAAAAATTCACAAAATGGAAAGGGGATCATAATCATTTGCCCTAAATAAAATCAGGCTGAATTAATCAGAAGTCCAGAAGAACTGGGAACTTACAAACTTTTGATAAAGCTGAAATAACTATTACTTAAATGTGGAACAGCAGACAACCCACATGAGACAATGGCCCAGCAAGAGGGCTGAGGCAGAAACTGCCATCCGCTCACATTTCCAAACAGAGAAATAGTACCCCTAAAAAACAGTACCCCTAAAAATGAAGACAGGTGGAGACAGAACTCTAGAACAAGTAGAACACAACGATAAGTAGCAGACAGTAGGAATTGTAAATGGTTCCTAACAAAAAGCATGAAAGATTATTGTACAGCTCCTTAAGGAAAATGATAAATATCTACCCTTAAGGTTAAGGCAGACAGGCAAAAGACAAGTTAAAATTTGCTATACAAGTCCAATGCCATTACAATGAATATAAAAACAGAAATGGATCTAGTTATTTCAGTTCCAGAAAATACCCTAAAGTAGCAATGTTCTTTGATCTGGTTCAACAAATAATGTTCAAATGCTTCTTTAACCCAGTTACTCCAGTTAGGAGCTAACCAGGTTTTCAGATACAGTAAAGTCCTTACGGGTTCTTGGAAACTGTGGCTCTAAGTGAAACGATGTAAAACAAAATTAATTTTAGCATCAGCTAATTTATATAAACAAGAGTTAAGTTCCTTCAGGACATTTCTGGTCACAAAAACATTACCAAACTTCTGAGACCCAAAACACTTCTAAAATTAACACTGAAATAAATGTGAGCCATATATACATTTAAGAAAGATGAACAGAAACAAGATAATTATTTACCCAATTATTCCAATTCAGGGTCGCAGTGGCCCGAGCCGATCCCAGCAGCTTAGGGCACAAGGTGGGAACCACCCCTGGACAGGACACCATTTCATGGCAGGGCGCACTCACACACACACCTACATGCACTGCAATGGGGACAATGTAGACATACTAATTCACCTAACGTGCACACCTTTGGGATATGGGAGGAAACTAGAGTAGCCAGAGAAAACCCAAGCAGACATGGGGAGAATGTGCAAACTCCACACAGACAGTGGCCTAGGCTGGGAATGTTTTTTCTCATCAACGTTATAAGGAAATGGCATTGAATGAAATGAGGTTGTCTGAGGACCTGCTGTATTTGTATTGGAGGAGGAAACAGGTGAAGTGCCTGCATTCCTTTTTCCTGTTTTAAAACAGCAGTTAGCCCTCAACTTTCAACATTTGTCTCAATCTCAAATGAGTCAAATTTAGCTAAATAAAACTCACCACTAAGCAAAATAAGGGAGGAAAAAACCTCTAGAACAGAAAGAAAAATGAAAATGGATAAAACCTTGCTCTTTACTGATGCTAACGTACTTCATAAAGTACAGCGCTTAACTTCATTGCTAAAAAGGCTATAATGAACTCTATTTCGCTTTAGTCCTTAGGGGAAAAATGTATTTAAACCAAATTCCTACACAAGAAAGCCATACGGAGACCCACAGAGAACACAGAACTCTGCTGCTCTCAGTTCACAGCAGCAGGAGAGTCCTACCATCACAAACACCACAAGTAAAGTTCCATCTTACTGAGCCTCTTACTATTCAGCCTTGATCTGGCTACTTCCAAACATGGGACTGATGATGCAGAATAGCTAGTTTGACATTTTTCCCACTGAAAATTTATTTTTGCCGGAGACTGATTTTCTAAATCTGGAGAAATTGGGGGTTGGAGATAGGAGAGAGGTTCAGTTCGTGAAATTCTATTTATAGTGATGCAATAATGCAGGTACTATTGCCTTTAAAGCGCAGACACTGTGCGTTTAAAGCGCAGACACTGACAGCAAGTCTTCCAGTCTCTCCAGTATAACTTAAGTGACATGCCAGCAAGAGATGCAATTTGGTCCCTCAACAGTGTTAAGTGAGTAGAAATCTTAGGAATCAAAAAGAAAAGGAATACCATGTAGACTGAATTCCAGCTTACTACTTACCACTTGTAAGTTCACTGAAGCTGTGAAATTTCAGCCAAACAATTTCAAAAGTAGCATCTCCTTGATGAAAAGGAAGCAAGGAACTTATGGATGTCAGAATGACAAGAGTCTCTAAGGATATAACTGTAGTTTATTTATTTTAGGTGTGCCAAGTGTGCTATTAACGTATCTTCATTATATCAGAAAATTCTTTAAAAAGAGTTCTTTCTGGTTCTGTTCTGCATACACAAATCCTTCCATCCTGACAAATCTAGGCTGCTAATAGAGTACCTGGTTAATTTTTCTTAATCACAGAGATTCCCTATAAAATAGCAGCTGTCACATCTGTTTTGTCTGATTAGATGATTACTTGAATAGTTAAGGCAATTGAAAGTTTTCTTATTGTCCCCAACTTCAACAAACAAAGTTGGCTTTTCTATATCTTCTTGCCATTTCCTCTAAAAGTTGTACAACATTCCTTAATCCCATTGAACCCCCATTCCCAAATTCATGCTTGTAATGGCATACTGTCCTTCAGGACACGGTAGCCTTTCAAGATGTCCAGCTCCCCATAAGCTCATCCTGATAAAGGCCATTCACATTCATGTCAACTCAAACACTGTAAAGACTCCTGGCCTACAAATGCTCACTCCTCAAACACAGGAAAGATTGAAGACCACAGACATTTTAAGATTTAATTTTATTGACTATCCCAGGAGAAAGTCTATGGTAGTTGTCTCAGAAAAAACTATTCTCTTTGAGTCAGTTATCCTAAAATAGCAATTTTAGACTACAAAGAATGCTAAATGTGGTAGATTTCCGTAAGTGGCTAGTTATGAATGATTCGTCAGTAGCTAATAAACGAAATTGTTTGAGTTACCAACTTATACAAGCATTATACTGGTTGTTTTTACAAACATTATTACATTGACTCCTCACACCAATGCTTCAAGGTAGAAATCATTATCTCAATTTTAGTAATAAACTTGAGGCTCAGAGGTTAAAGTAACTTTCTCCAGACCATATTCTGGTAAGTAGTATATCTATATTTTAAACCAGTACTGACTAATACTGAAGTCCCTCAGTCAAGTTTAAAAAAAAAAAAGGTAATCCAAATATCAAATTCACAGATGAAAATGGAATCAACTACAGGAGGAAAAAACTATCCCTTTAAAAAAAAAAAAAGAAACAAAAATCCTGCTGTATTTCATGTTTTGGAACATATTTCTCTCGCTCCACTGATCTCACAGGTGCTGTTTATGACAACAAACATGCACATCTGTAGGGGTGAACTGACAGACACAAAGCAGGACGGCCTGAACTCTCTTCCTATATTTAGATCCTTCAGCTCAGCTCTTAATTGCATAATTTAATCAGGACCCTCTAGAAGGGAAACACATCCATATTCATCACAGGCATCAAAGGAAACATCTTTACAAGTTATATCCTTTTACAAACCAACATATGGTCTCACGCCACTTTCCCAATTGTTGAACTCCTCCTCTGGGAAGAGCATGGAATTTTATTTCTTTTTATCACTTGAAAAAATCACTTCCCTCCTAATTCAGTAAAACTGGGTGGAGGCCACTTCCTCCACAGGTGAGAGAAATAAAACTTGTTGATCTGTCATTGTCAGGAATTTTAAAGTTAACCATTTATTTTACATATTTTGAAAATGGAAACAAAAGGCAGACAAAACCCAGAATGAGAAATTGGGGCACATTCTCCATGCTTTCAAATAAAACCTCTACCTACTTTTTTGTCATTTTAAGATGGTTTCTAAATTAGAAAACAAGTGTCCTTAACTTGAATAGGTTTGAACTGCAGCTGTCCACTTAGTAGCTGTACTTTGAAGAAAACAACTCTGAGCCTCAATTTGCTTTTCCACAAAATTGTGATACCATCACCCAATCCACTGGGTTAGGCAGATTAAATATAAACATGAAAGGCTTACTTCAAAATTATAACATGCTGAAAAACAAAGTGATTAACAAAGCAGGTTCACAAATAAGGCTAATTTTAATATTTTGCATATCCAAAAAAATGAGGTTTACAGTCTAGTTTTTGTCTGTTTAATGAAGTTCTAACTTCATACAAAAAGAGAAAAACTAGTAACCACTACAGTTATTCAATTCACTCAACAAACAGCTATCACATGCCAGGCACTATTCTAAGCACTAGAAACGCAGCACTGAAAGAGACACAAAAAGTTTTTCAAAGTCTGTTTCTGTGCCTTGGTGGGGCCTACATTCTGGTGGTCAGGGAAAGCCTCGTCGTGAATGTGGTATCTGAACAGCCCCCTGAAAGGAATTATCTGGGGAAGGGCATTCCAAGCAGAGAGAAGGGCAATTGCAAAAGCCATTTGAGCCATTTGGCAAGAATGATCCTGAGATGTTCAAGGAATGGCAAGGAGTCCTCACTGAGGCTGGAATGGAGTGAGGGGAGAGAAATGAGAGATGAGGCCAGAGAGGTCACAGGGGAAGGTATGTGCGGGACCCACAGAGACTTCAGAGCTTTTGACCCAAATTGAGATGGAAACACTGGGAGATCTGAGCAGAGGAGAGCCATCATCCAACTTAGAGTTTAATAGAATTACTGTGGCTTGCTGGGTTGAGAACATACTGAAGGACGCAGGGATCGAAGTAGGGAGTGGTGGGTAGGGAGACCAGTTAGGAAGCTATGGCAATTGTTAAGGTACAAGATGATAAAGATTTCAACCAGCGTGGCAGAAGTCGTCAGATTCTGGATATATTCTCAAAGTACAGACATGAACAAATAATACTTTACTGCTTATATAAAGAAAATAATTAACTGTAAGGTTGGAGAATTGTTTAATTTTTAGAAGTATGAAAACCCGTATTATGGGAACTGTAAGACTGAGCGAGATTTTTTTCTTCTTTTTTTATGGAATCTTTCTACCCAGAGATTGAATATCTGAGGTAGGACCAAAGACAAGGCCACTGGAGGAGAAGTAGTCCAAGAATTATGGACTAAATGTCCATAATTCCTGTACAGGAATACAGGTTGAGTATCCCTTATCTGAAATGCTTGGGACCAGATGGTGTTTCAGATTCCAGGTATTTTTGGATGTTGGAATATTCTGAATATATAAAATGAGATATCTTGGGGATGGGACCCAAGTCTAAACATAAAATTAATGTATGTTTCATCTACACCTTATGCACATAGGCTGAAATTTTTCTTTTTTTCTTGAGACATGGTCTTGCTCTGTTGCCCACGCTGGAGTGCAGTGGCATGGCTCACTGCAGCCTAGACCTCCCAGGTTCAAGTGATCCTCCTACCTCAGCCTCCTGAATAGCTGGGACTACGGGCAAGTGCCATCTCGCCTGGCTAATTTTTGGATTTTTATTAGTGACAGGGTTTTGCCACATTGCCCAAGCTGGTCTCAAACTTCTGGGCTAAGTGATCCACCGCTTCAGCCTCCCAAAGGGTTGGGATTACTGGCATGAACCACCATGCCTGGCCAATCTTATAAAATAATTTTAATAATTTTGTGCACAAAAAAGTTTTGACTGTGACCTGTCAGATAAAGTTAGGTGCAGAATTTTCCACTTGTGGTGCCATATCAGTCCTCAAAAAGTTTTGGATCTTGGAGCATTTTGAATTTTCAGATTAGGGTCGCTCAACCTATAGTATAAAGGGAATAACAACCAGGAGTTAAATCTTGTAGGAATTAGAGTGAACGATATGGGCAATGGGGCAGAAAATGACTAACAAGGAAGAGTAATGAGTGGTATAATTTTACATGATAGTCGAAGTTGGGTGTTTTTTATAGAGGATGGTAGAAGAATGGTCTGAAGGTGGCAATAAGAGGTAAAAGGTTTATGGGAAAAACCAGCCACGGCTTGAGAGAGCCACAGGGGAAACAGCTCCCTCAGATGAACACACACAAAGATCTATGTTCAAGTATATTCGTGTTCTAAATAACCCAGGTGCCTAACAATAATGGAATGATTAAATAAATTATGATACATTCGACTATGATGTAACTGTTAATAAAATAAGAAAAAACAGATGGACTTTCATGTACAATACTACCATGAAAAGAAAACCATACCACAACTGTTCAGTAAGAAGTGGTAAAAAGTATCTATAGTATGGTCTCTTTCTAAAAACACAAATAGAAACAAAAACTGTCTATGTATATACATGTGCATTTTTAAAGGCCTAGAAAAAAATAAATGAAACTGAACAAGTAGTTACCTTTAGGAGTGAGCTGGGTACAAGGGAGTGCAGGAGAGCCAACTACTTTTAGTTTTAACCAATTGCTGTTTTCAAATTTAAAACCACAATAACAAAAATAAATAAAAACTGACAGTAGGTAAGAGAGTTATTTCTACATGGCTCTAGAAGACAGCATTATGACCAACAGGTGGCAAGATATATCTTTGTATAAAGGAAAAAAAATAATTGAAAGTGTATCTGCATAGGATTTTCAGAGAAATGTATTCTGGTAAAATACATGACCCTATTCTGGGTTAATATGATATGGATAGGAATGGAATGTACTCTTTTATTAAGGATTCAGGCACATAATCAAAAAATTCCATTTCAAAAAATGGCATATTATAGCAAAAAAGTAAGTTTCCCTCCCATTTTAGACCCTTACTCCCCTTTTTATTAACTGTTCAAATATCCATCAAATTTTTCAATGCATGAATTTCTTATTAAAATAAAAATGTTCTATGTTATTCAAATATCTTCACAAGCAATTTGGTCCTGTCCTTTTTCCATTACAGAAATCTGTTATTTGAAAGAATAACTTCTAAAAATCAAAGTTTATCTAACCACTGAAACAAACATTGACATCGGCCAGATTCCACTCTCATATGACAATCAATGACAGACTTTTTCAATCTGCCAAAAACTGGACTGGAATTGCAAACATTCATTTGGCCACCTTGGAGGAGAAACTGAACAAATAGCAGCAACCCCCTCTTCCAGAATGTGAGAGCTCCCTCCACCTAAGAGCTAAAAGAAGCAAATGCAAAGTTTTTCACTGGTTTTAGAGAAATAATGCTTTAGATATAAGCAAGCATCACCTATAGAATTAGGTGAGCCCTGTGCCCATGAATCTAGTCCTTTCTACCTCTGATCACTTGTTCAGTACAGTCTTATCTGCTAACTTCCCTAAAGTAATTTATTTACCAATTACAATGGAAAAACCCAAGACAATATTCTCAGAAGACTTCAGAACCCAAGTTCTCCTCCTTTACACGCTCAGCTACTAAGAAGGCTTTCGTTTCCATTAATCCAGTATTTAACTGAACAAATTTTTAAGCCCTTATCACCAACATAAAGGTGCAGTAGAAAGAAAATGAGTATAACACAGTTCCCATTACCATCAAGCTTATGGTTATGAAGTGTGTATGGGAGAGATGGGAGAACCATATCATATGGTACACTATGATAAGAGTCACAGGACCGCCTGTTCAGGCTCTTCATCTAAGGAGAAACATACGTGCAGACAGAGCGACCTACAGTCTGTGCTACAACGACATCTTCCACGCATCCTGAGCTCGGTGTTACTTACCCTACAGTGGAAATCCAAATAGTCCAAATATCAACCAGCTGTTTCAGTGGGTATGAAAAATGGGACAGATAATCCAAAGCAGCCTTACTAGTAATTAACTATTGCTTCTACAATGTATTATGATTCATCAAAGCTTTTAATCATTTATATTTTGCTTACACTATTAATAAAACTACAATATGCCCTGAGAACATAGTAAATTCTAGAGAAATGCCTATTTAAGATTCAAAAATTGCTGTGGAAAATCTGTAAATGGATGACGGTTAACTATAGTGTTTTAGTATATTATAAAAACATAAAGACAAACATTTTATGTCATATAAATCACTCTTTCTCTTGGAATTCAGAGTATAGGCAAAAAAACAGACTTTTACAGAACACCTGAAACATACTAGTTTGAAAACTCAAGAAACTTTTATCACTATCACCACCAACTTCAAAGGGAGAAAGTGGTAGGTGGTTTTATGGGAAACACTGTATAAAAGTGCATCCATGGTCTCCATCAAATTTCAACAGAAGTATAGTCATCCCTTGGTATACCTGGGGCACTGGTTCCCAGACCCCACCACCCAATACCAAAATCCTTGCATACAGGTCTCAGTGGGCCCTGTGGAACTCGTGCATAAACAAAAAGCTGCCCCTCTGCATATTCAGGTTTCACCTTCTGCAAATACTGTATTTTCTATCCACTTTTGGTTGAGAAAAAAATCTGAGTATAAGTGGACTCCTGCGGTTCGAACCTCTATTGGTCAAGGGTCAACTATATTCAAAAACAATCAAAAGTCATCCTTATATCATCCTCATCACCACAACCACAACCATTATGAATCACCACGCACTGTTTTGAGCACTTTAAATTTAATTAAATAGGTCTCTTAATCCTTACACGAGTCCTATAGAACAAGAACTATTTTATAGATGACAAAACTGAGGCACAAAAAAAGTTAAGGAACCTGCCAAGGTAACCTCTCTACTGCTTCTCCACAGTAGTCCCCCCCTTGGTTTGATGCATAAGGCAGAGTAACAGGCAAGGATTTGCTTATAGTTTTAAAAAATTCCCTCCATCTCCTTCCATCCCTTTCTAATTTATTCTTGTTTTTGCTATTGCTTTCCTTCTTGATACCTTCCCACTTACCCAGAACATGAAAAAAAAAACAAGAGTTTTATCAAGGCAGCAGTGACAAAATTAAATTCACTTTAATCTAAAGAGCTTAGAATAAGACATTATAAGCTATCATTCAACAAGACATCAGAAAATTGGCACCATTAGCTCTTGTATGTGTTCAAATCTTAATAATCCTTTTCTCATGATGAATCTGTAGAACACTAAAATTAAACTCCTTTTAAGAAATTCATTTTCTTGACCCAGGTGCAATGGCTCACACCTGTAATCCCAGCACTTTGGAAGGCCAAGGTGGAAAGATTGCTTGAGGCTGTGAGTTTGAGATCAGCCTGGGCAACATAGCCTTTATTTAAAAAAAAAAAAAAAAAAAGCCAAGCACTGTGGTGCATGCCTGTAGTCCCAGCTGCTTGGGAGGCTGAGGCAGGAGGATCACTTAGGCCCAAGAGTTCGAAGTTACAATCAGCTGTGATCACCAGCCTTCAGCCTAGGCAACATAGCAAGACCCTGTCTAGTTAAAAAAAAAAAAAAAAAAAGGAAATTAATTTTCTTTACATTCCCACTGATTATTTTAAGATCCTTTATTGAAAACATAAAGAAAACAAAAATTGCTAGCTCTTTTTATCTTGAGGTTAATAGTTTTCCAATCAAGTAGATGTAGAGATAAAGAAAATTTAAAGGAATCTTTCAGGTATATTTTAACATAGATAAGATGCTAAGATATTAATTTCAACACCTAATACACAGTTGTAAGTCACAATGCTACTTATAGATAATGGCAAAAATAGTACTCTGGACTCTGAAGGATTTGTGGTAAGGGGTAAGGAAAGTGGGAAGATAAAGCACACAAACTGTGTGCTGGTGTGGCAGAAACGGTCATGACACTACCACTTCAGTTACCCCATCTGTCTCCTGATCCCCTTTTTTATCCTCTATTTCAGGGTTCCTCAACTTTAGCATTACAGGATGTTTGGCTGCATCCCTGGCCTCTACCCACTAGAAGCTATTTGCAACCCTCCAGCGTCTCCCTCCAATTCGTGACAACCAAAAATTTTTCTGACATAGCCAGATAAGCCACAGCTCTATTCTGCCACTTTTCCTCTCCTTTTCTCTTTGCAATCTAAGCACCTCAGGCCTCAACAGCTTTCTATAACTCATTTGCAGACTCCGGGATTCACAGAACTGCTGATTCTTCCACAAAGGGAAAAGGGAGAGATGTCAAACACACATATCCTTTCTGTCTCTGCTCTCCTCAATGAAAAAAAGGGGAAGCAAAGCAGTCAATCCTCAGAACTTAACTGGTGTGTCTGAGCACCCACAACTGACATCACACAGTGCTGGGTGCTACAGAGTATAAAAGACATGGTTCATAACTACAATGAACTCACAACATACCATATTTCCTGATGTAATTCTAAAAACAACAAAATGAAAAAATTCATTCACCAAGTACCTACTGTGTGCCAGCCCAACCGTTCTTAATGTTGCTGGATATTAACAGTATTTTTAAAAGCTTCCTTACCATAACCCTTCAATAGGATGGGCCCAGGCATCTTTGTGGTGGTAGCTGTTCACACGATTTTGATGAGTAGACAAGGGAGAACCACTGCACTAGGCACTGTGCGAGCACAAAGATCATAAAGACACTGGCCATACCCTCGAGGAACTCAGTCTAAAGAGTTAATAAGGTAATTGTAATAAAAGGCATTACAACAGATGCTAGACTAGACAAGCAGGTTTGTATTGTTCCTTAAAGTTAGAAGATCCTCAGTGCAGGTCCTGTACTTACAATTCCTTACCCCCAACTTTATCAAGCTGTCTAAGAGATACACTATGAACATAAGCATAAATAGAAATACAGACACTCAAAACCTTGCTGAAAGAATGAACTGGGGCCGGGCGCGGTGGCTCACGCCTGTAATCCCAGCACTTTGGGAGGGAGAGGCAGGTGGGTCCCAAGGTCAGGAGTTCGAGACCAGCCTGGCCAACATGGTGAAACCCCATCTCTACTAAAAATACAAAAACTAGCTGGGCATGGTGGCGGGCACCTGCAATCCCAGCTACTCAGGATGCTGAGGCAGGAGAATCACTAGAGCCTGGGAGGCGGAGGTTGCAGTGAGCCAAGATCACGCCACTGCACTCCAGCCTGGGCGACAGGGTGAGACTCTGTCTCAAAAAAAATTAATAAATACAGAATAAAGTAAGGTAGAAGTGGGCCAGAGGCAAAAAGCTCTATCAAATGCATCAGACTTTTTTCCCCAATCCCTTGATTTTGAAGTGAAAGTTTCAAATGCATAATCTCCTCTTACCAATTAGATTGCTTCTTCAGGGCAGAAAATGACTTACAGTTTTCTCTATCCCATCCAAAACATAGTCCAGTGCTGGATGCACAGCAGGAATGCATGAAATACTTGCTGAATTGATTAATATCAGCTTAACAAAAAAGGAGAACTCCACAGTGAGGACACACCCCTTTTAAAGGAGCCTTTTCTAGAATACAGAACATCTCAGCCCACACAAATTGACAAAACTCTTCAGCAAATATATGCTATAAATGAATGCGAATAAATGCTATAAATACAGTTTTTGTGCCAACATTTAAATGATAATCAAATTAATTTTGTTCACAGTTAACAGAAAAACATTTAAAACTAATCAAATATTCCCTCAAGCTTGAATAAACTAAATAGAAGCCCTGAGCACACAAACATAAACACATGAAAAATAAAGAGGTTGTTATTAAATATGTTGGACTGCAAAGCCAGCAATGTGCAAAAAGCAAAACAGGAAGCTGTAATAGATGAGATGGCAAGCTATACGCAACCAGCTGTATAATTTCTACAGCAATATCCACTGTATCATTACTCTCTTTCATGAAAAACTACTGTCTCTGATAAAATTAAGACCGATTTTCCTGGCATTTCTCTTCCCTCTACCACTTAGCTCAAAGAGTTTGAGTGACAAGTCTCACCAATGCATATCACTTCAGGGCCCGTACTCCCAGTCACAACCCACTCAGAAAGGACTTAAGGATGGGTAGGGGATGCTAGTGGGCCAAGTTGTGAGCCTGAAGGTGAGATTTAAAAGCCTTTTTTATCCAACTTTAAAATGTTTGCAGGTCATTTAAAAGAAAGGAGATGGTAAGACAGAAGACGCAGACAAATTCTGATTCTGTCTAGTGGCAAGGTAAGAACTCACTTAAGGCTGAATGTAATTCAGTTAGGTAAGGATCCTACCAATAACCAGCAGACTCATCCCCTTATGGGCAGCATATGAATAGACTTTTAAACCTGCGGTACTGTAAAATATATATTTGGGCTTCAACCTTGTTTCTGGCATACAGCTCCTAAAATCCTTGGAGACTCCAAAGTGATGTCTTTTTGTATGCTAATGATTGACTGTTGGCTGGCAGCCCCTAACTAGCTTTAGGATGGTGGCAAGATTAGAGGATTGAGACTTTCAGCCCCACCCTCCAACCTCAAGGGAGGGGGCAAGGGGCTGAAGGTTAAGTTGATCACCAGTGGCCAATGGTATAATCAATCATGCCTATAAAATGAAGCCCTATAAAAAACCAAGAGGACAAGGTTCAGAGAGCTTCTGGACAGCTGAACATGCAGAGGTTCCTGAAGCGTGGCACGCCCAAGTTAGGCATGGAAGCTCCATGCCCCTTCCTCCACACCTTGCCCTATGTATCTCTTCATCTGTATCCTTTTTAATATCCTTTATAATAAATCAGTAAATGTAAGTTTCCCCGAACTCTGTAAGCCATTCTAGCAAATTAATTGAATCCAAAGAGCGGAGTCATAGGAGCCCCAACTTGAAGCTGGTCAGCCAGAAGTTCCAGAAGCCTGGACTTATGTTGGAGGTGGGTGGGACTGAACCTTCAATCTGTGGGATCTGAGGCTATCTCCAGGTAGAGTCAAAATTGAATTGGAAGACACCCAGCCCAGCCAGTGTTTGGTGTGTAGCGAAAAACCCACACACATTTAGTCACAAAAGTATTTTGTGTTGACTGTTGTAGTGTGAGAGCAGAGGGAAAAACAGTTTGAGTTTTCTACTGACAGAAAACCCATGACCCCTATTATCCTTTAAAAAAATTTGTAAAATTAAACACTGATGCCTAACTTTTACATTTTTTTTAAACATTATAAGGTTTTACTACAAGGGGAACTTTTCTCACTTTATTTAATACCTCATAAACTCGTCCATCTCAATAATCAAAACTATACTCCAAGACCATCACTGCGTCTCACATCAATGAGCAAATGCCACTATAAAATCTAATACTGCAATTCAGGTAGGAGAGAAAGGGGCCTATTTCAATATGCTCTAGGAAGCACTGGTGTCTTCAAGGTTCATCATCTACGCCAGGTGACTGAGAAACTGTGTATAACTGATAGCCCCTCACACTGCAATAAGGAAACTCCTGGACGAAAACCATGTTATGGAGGGAAGCAGGGTGCCTGCCTCTTATAACTCTACTTTGTATATATCTTGTACCTCCTTGACACTCCAGATTCTCCTAGGAGGCTGGGAAATTCGGGCTTCCTTTCCTTAAATGAGAAAAGCCCAGTCTTCCCAGACTGATACTTCCTAGTATACAAAGAATAACAAAATACAGGAAAAAGGAAGACATCATCCCCATTTCAATCAAGTCTGATCCAGGACATAACCAAAACATTGTGTGTTCATTAGTAGTTTGTACTTCTTTTTTCCTTTTTCTTGAGACAGTCTCACTCTGTTGCCCAGACTGGAGTGCAGTGACACAATCATAGCTCACTGCAGCCTTGAACTGCTGGGTTTAAGTGATCCTTTTGCCTCAGCCTCCAGAGTAGCTGGGATTACAGGCGCAGAATCTTCCCGTCAGCAGTTGGCATTTCATTTGTTTGTGAAATGCTTGTTCACGTCCACTACCAATTTTTCTATTGGGGTGGTGCTTCCTATTGATATAAGTCTTTCTTGTAAAGAACAATATCTTGTTGCAAATCTCTTTATCTGTCTTTCAGGTTTTGTTTTTGAGTATGTTTGGTCACATAATAAATGCTATCAAATCTATAAAAAGTTTCCTTTATTGTTTCTGCCTTTGGAGCCACATTTTGAAGGGCTCTGTGGCTGGCTATTAATAACCCTCCCCCCAGTGGCATAAATCAAACTCCCCTTTCCTTCTAACACTATGACAAGAATCCACTGCAGAATCTTTCTGCATTAAGCACATATTGGTTTAATGAAAAAGAAATGTTTTTAACCGTAATGAATGCTGTAATAAAAGCCACAGAAAAATTCAGAATACAATACTTATTTTTTTAAGTTCTAATTAACTTAACCTTTAAAATCATTACAGGGATTCTTCTGTTAGTTCAATTTCTATACTTTTCTTAGAAACCTTTATCTAGAATTGTTAGGGAAATGCTCTATCTACAAATTCCCAAACTTGATATTTCACTACTTCATTACCAAGATTCTCATTGCTTACTGCTTCTCAATTCATTTAGTTCATCAGGCTTCTTATAAAACAAGTAAGTGTTGGGGCTTGGTCTTACACCCAGGCAATCTGACTCTAGAGTCTTATCTCTGAACCCATTTGCTATCCCTAAGCCTACCAGGCCACAAAGTGATACCAAAAAGTAACAATTAACCTAGTCTCCTATACAGCAGCCTCACCACACTTCACCCCAGGTTTCCCCCCAATTGTTTAGAATTTGACTTCTCTATAGATTGCCTGGCACACTACCTACGGTGGTTCTTCTTCCCTTACCATGTGCTGATCTTCCTCCTCACCATCCCAGTGAAAGGACTTACCTCCAACAATACAGGAAAATCAGCAAAAGTGCACAGGAGCTCTGCCACATGCTTTCTTCTCACTCGGACCCCATTCTGTTTCTTTCTCAGACAACTCTCCCTCCTTACCACGGTCAACATTTGTCACTTGTGCTCCAGATGGCTAACTCCATCACCTCCAATTGCTCTCTGTCCACTGACTTCTTCCCCTCAACCTTCAAATATGAAGAGGTCTCATCTATCTTAAAATTCAAGTCACTTAAGGCAATATAAGACTCTCTCACTTCTTAATGTATTCAGCCTTCTCTGAAATTGCATTCACATGATTATCTGACTTCTTCTCCTTCACCCTGAACTGTACATTTTCCCCTCCAAACCTACTTCTAGAATCTCTCTTCCAGTGGCTTCCTGGTTTTCCCACTCCTCTGACCCCATGCCTTTCTTCCAGTTTCTTCTTTGGTCTATGTCAAACAGCCTCTCAGGCAGTCTACTTCAAATTAGCCTCTTCCTTCTATTAATTCCTAACCGTGGGCTCCAATGGAAGATTCAATCCACCAGTTCTTTCTCTCTTTGTGGTTGTCTCAGAATACCCAGCAGATGACTGCAGAGAGTCTAACGTAAAGCTTTCAAGTCCTCCCAAACCTTATCTCCAACCTGCCTGTAGCATACTTTGACTTAGATATCGCACCTTAAATTTAACACATCAAGTCTAATTTATCATTTGCACAATTTTTATTTCTTCTACAACCAGCTCTTCCCTATTCTTAAGTAACATCTTTATTAGTTTTCCAGCCACCAAGTTTAGAAACTTAAGGATATATCTCCGACATCTCTTTCTCATTACTTTATAGCCACATAATCACCAAGCCTTCATGGTTTTTTGTTTTATTTTATTTATTTATTTATTTTTAAATCCTTCTCTTTCCATGTCTACCTTTACCAGAGATTTATCATCTCACACATAACTCAATAGCTTTCTTACTGATCTCCTGGCACTGGGCTCTATCCCTCCAGTGCAAACTGCATGTTCAAACACTTTCAGTGACTTCCCAATGTTTCCTTATTCTGGCACTCTAAGGCCCTAAAATTCTCACTGGAAGTCAACCTTTCTGAGCATCTCCTCCACACCACCATACTAGGCTCCATGAGGAACACCCACTGAGGTCAGGCAGGGCTGCTCACTGCCTCTGGATCTGTGCTATTTGATATGATAACCACATGTGGCTACTGAAACATAAATTAATTTTTTAAAAAATGCTGTTCCATGTGTGGCTACAGCTACTGTATTAGCACAGATGTGGAACATTTCCATCACTGCAGAAATTCTATTGGACAGTGCTGCTCTACAGATACTCAACACTCATGCTTATCTCCCAGTTTTTCATGCCATTACTCTGTCTATAATGTCCCTCTTCCTTCTGCCTATGCAAACTCACATGTCCTTCCAGGCCACAGTGGTCCTGATGTGAGTTGTCTGTACAATTTACTCCTATACTACCTTGTAACGGCTCTTATAATGTTGCTGCATTTAATTTTTCATGTTTGTGTATACTCTAATTATTAAGCCTCAGAACTAATAAATATTCAGGGAATAAATGAAGCATATACTTATTACAATACTGCAGCAAAATGATCAAATAAGGGCCCATTTAATATCCCTCCTTCATTAAAAAGATACGTTTCTTTTCCATCTAAACAAACAAAAGATCTTGCATTTAGTTAACTGAATAATGGCTTAATTAATGCCTAATTATAACCGTTGAGAGAGTCTCCCCCCCACCTTTTTTCTTGAAGTGTTTGAAACTAAAAGAAAAAAAAGCTATAAAGGTCTGGAATACTTCTACTTTGCATAAGCACACCACAAAGAAACCACACACACACACACACACACACACACAAAAAGACAGGGAGAGGATAATACATGAATAGTTGGAGTAACTATACCCTAACAATCTCAGATTGTAGAGCAAAATATCCACAGTACAGCAGCCCTACAATTAAGGGGAAACTACAAATAAAGCATTAAAACTTATGTATAAAAATATATTCTGAATCAACAGAGAGACCCCTCTCTCCTCCTCTTCCCAAACAGGACCTAGTGAATATTCATTTACATCCTGAACTCAAAAGCATATACATGCATAATTAACAATTGTATGTTCTTTCTTCAGATCCAGGCTTATTGTCTCAAAAAAAATATTTGTTAAGAAACCAATCTATACTGCAAACCTAGGTTCTTATTAAAAAAAAAAAAGTTCCTTTTTCAAACACTAAGAACATAAAAGAGATTTGGGAAAATCACCAGGTAAGGACTTCCTCACACCTTAGAGAATTTAATGCTTTATTTTCAAGAGAGAGTCTTCTCTAAAGTTCAGATTTTAGCTTATAACAAAAATTATAAAGATGCTGAACTGTTCAAATACTGTAGTTCCCAGTACCTTACTAAAACTCTGATGTAGTCACTGGAGTGAAACTGCTTATGAAACTTTTGGCTTTTCTTTTCTGAAAGATAGTTTCCTTTATGCAAATGAATGTTCTAGAGAAGCCGCTCATTTCTGCAAGTCAGCCCGCAATAGCTACAGACATTACTGTTTTGCATATAGGACTAGCCCTGCACCTCTAAAACTGACACCATCTTAATAACGCAGAGCAAGATGAGTATTTTAATTTAGATTTTAAGCAATTACATTAATACTATTTGGCTCTGCCTTTTTCTTCTCTTTCCTTTTCTTTTTAAAGGTGGCTACAGCAGAGTGATGAAAATACTTCAGGTATTTTTGCTGCAAATCAGATGCCAGATCAACAGATTAGACTGAATATTTGTACTACCAGATAACAGCAGGAAAGGAAAATAAAGGGTCAAGAGGTTTCAGATTGGGGCAAAGAGGACATGCCCCTATTTGTTATCAAAGTATGTCCTAAAATCTTGGTACCAAAGAGTAAAACCACATATAGAAGTAGCAGAACATTTCATCAACCTCAAAGACATGCTATGACTTAAAACCGATTTTTTCCACTTTTTTATATTTAAATTATCCTTTTTCTCCTCAGACCTGTCCAATTCTCTCCCTAGGACTCCCTAGCTCCCTAAATACCCCAAACTTTAGCTTTTGGTTAGGAATGTGATTTGTTTTCGAGAGTCAAGAGGAGATTCGTATATTTTGCTAGATGTCAGAGTTGCCTGCTTTAATTTGAACTTTGTGCAATCTTGGATCTCCCATTTTCTAATAAGGTCTCATTGATTAAATTAGATATAGGGCTTTTCTTTTCCATCTCCAGAATGAAAAAGAATCAATTTTAATATGTAGAAAATAAGCATTTCTCTCTGGTTGTCAGATTTGATTCCTACTTAGCTCAAACAATGTTAGGTATAAAAAGTTGCTAACAGGCCAAAAAATTCTTTCCTCCCTTCCCTAAATTACACTGGATATGCTTACACCAAAGCCTCAGAAATATCGTGAGCGTGGTAGGGAGAAAAAAAACCTGAAAACAAAAGGGCACTTAATGCCAAGAGGAGTCCAGATCTTGGCTTTCCCTTTTCCAATCACTAGACAGGTAACTTTGGATGTCAGTTACCTTCTCTGGACTTCAGACTGTTCACCTTGATATGAACCAACCAGATTAGAAAATCTTTAAAGCAACTTTTAATACTAAGTATCTCTATTCTCTGTAAAGGAAATTACAAATCTTAATGTTTATGAAAGCACTTGGCAGTCCCATGGACATATTTCACCCGAAAGACCATGAGATTTGGATAGTTAAGTGTACACATTAACTCACCATGACATATAAGCATTTTGGGATAGGAAGGTGGGAATAAGAAGATACAAGATCCATAGTTTCATCGATTCTTAAACAGCCCTGACCTTGTAAAACATTTACAAAAATAGATGTTGAATGTTTTTTTAAAAATCCCCAATGAATTTGCAATTACTATTCTTACAGTGTTTAACAGCTCAGGGAAGATAGACTAATTTTGGTAAGACAGACAAACTGAATTACTACAACTTTCCTCCTAACTTAATATCAGTTTGTGATTATGTAAGAAAATGCAAGAGGAAAGTGACAAGAATTATGCAGAAAAGCAGAGATAAAACTAATTTGGCTTTGAAATGCATTATTTTCATGCCAGATTTATTCTTCAAATTATGTGCTGCTTAGATGAGCATTATTTTTCCTTTCTTAAACACTTACAAAAGAACGACAGAAGATAGCCCAGAAAGGCACAATAGAAGGTAAATTTATTTAAAGACCTACAAAATACACAAGCCAAGTCATGTCTATACTGGCATAGTAAAGCACAGCAGAACAATGATGATTTGGGTCTTCTGAACGAAAGACCAAAAAACATAGTTAAGATGGAGTTTCTAGAGTTGGACTGCCTCGATCATATCCCAGGTAAGATTAGAAATCATAATCATTCACTGTACCTCCTGAAGCAAGATACTGAATCATTCTGTCCTCAGTTTCTTTACCTGTAAAATGTGACAACAATAGTACTTATGGAAGTTTTGAGGCTTAAATGAGATATGGGTATTATAAACAATGCCTGGCATACATACAGTAAAAATTCAGAAAAAAGGGTTAGCTACAATTATTTCTTCTCTCTAAGGCTCTAAACCAAATTAGAATCGATGACACTAATAATAAATAAGATCTACAGAAAAGTCAAACTCCTTTTATCCAGCAGCTTCAACTGTCCCTTCCAAATTGTGTTTTATTTTAAAAAGAACAGCTAGTTAGTGATAAAATTAGTTTATATATGTCTTTCCATCTTTGACTCCACAAATCATTAGTAGAGTTAACAAGTGAGAAGAGGTAAAGGTCCTGGGGCAGCAATGGCTAGCAGAACCTCCTGTGATGATGGAACTATTCTATATACACGCTGTCCAGTATGGCAGCCACTAACCACAAGCAGCTACTAAGCACTTGAAATGCGGCTACTGCTGAGAAAACGAATTTTTATTTAATTTTAATTTAAACTTAAATAGCTATAAGTAGCCGAGTGCAGTGGCTCACACCTGTAACCCCAACACTTTGGGAGGCCGAGGCGGGAGAACAGCTTGAGCCCAGGAGTTCAAGACCAGCCTGGGCAACATGACGAAACCCTGTCTCTACAAGAAATACAAAAACAAATTAGTCAGGCAGACATGGTGGCAGTGCCTGTAGTCCCAGCAACTTGGGAGGCTGAAGTGGGAGGACTGCCTGGGCCTGGGAGGTCGAGGCTGCAGTGAGCCATGATCGTGCCACTGCACTCCAGCCTGGGTAACACAGAGAGACCCTGTCTCAAAAAAATAGAATAATAAAATTTCAAAAAAAGCTACGTGTGACTATGGCTAGGATAGCAGAGCCCTAGATAATCCATAAGCTAAATAAGGATTGTCAGAAACTTAAGCAAAATAAGGATCTTCTTTTCCTGAACTGTTTATATGTTCAATTCAAATATCTTTGTTTCTGGTATAGGCCTGGTAAGTTTGACTAGTTAAAGAAATAACATGTCAGTAGATATCAATACAGTGAAAATTCAGGGGTAATAAAAGGATCAAAGTTAAGTATGTGGTCCACTGATATTTTATAAGGTCCCTAAGGCCAAGTTAAATTCAAACTCACATGAAGCATTCAGTACACATATCAGAGCTGCAAAGGTCCTTATCAGCATCCCTAAAGCATCTGTTTCTCCTCTACCAAATGAAAAGCTACTTATACAATTCAGATTGAATATCTCTGCATTTATCTTAAATTTTTCTACAGAAATTCATAGTTCTGTAAGCCTTTTCCCTCTTTCACACACACTGGTATCCCTGGCCATCTCAGCCTTTCCACTATAAACAAAACCCATGTACCACCCATATCTGAAGTATAACGCCAGACTCCTGCTTAGCTACCCCTGTAATATGGTTTAATTATGATGACTGAACTAATAGGCTGACATCATAGACTTTTACAGGCTGACCCCATGTCATCCTGATGTATCATTTTGCACCAGTTCAGTGCTGTAAATCAATTTAAGATCTCAAGCAGGTTGAAAAGGCTGGTAATGATGCTTTCTCTGCCGTCTCTGGAGACTCTACATTATACCCAACTTACATTATTTATAAAGCCTCAGTGATGCCTCCATTAGCCTTGTAAGACTACACAAATGAGATCTTTTATACACACACACTTGGCCTTGATTATGTAGGCTACTGCAGCTTAAACATGCTAGTCTAATTACTATACCCAAGCTACTTCTTTTTCCAATCTACTAGGTTATTAGATTTAATATTTAACCCAGAATTGCTAGAAATCAAAATTACAAAGTGAAATTTAGTTTTTAACTAATAAATGTAATAAACGTAGTTGAGAAAATGTGACAACTTCCTCTTAATGCCTTAATGAACTTAGTAAAAATAACATAAAATTCCAAGAAGTGTAAGAGGCCAATGTCTTTAATTGCCTAAAAATTGTCATTTCTCTAAAACACAAAGGTCATCAGCTCTTCAAGGATACGAAACCAAAGGATACTGCAAGAGGTAAAATGTATTTGGTTACATACCTATGGTTGTAGGGGTCAAAACTAAATCAAGGACAAATCCCTACCCTCAGAAGAAACTCGATCCTGCCTGGATCCTCTAGAGGCTCTGGCATCACCCACCTCCAGAAAAATCATCTCTCACGACCCTAGCTACACCTTCCTAAGAACTGCAGTATTACACCAATGATACACCACCTGCACAGAAATAGCAAATAATTGCAAATGGGAAAGAGAGTGGGAGAGGGCAGAACAAACACTTTAATCAGTACAGCATATTTAGATCTGGCACCTACATCAGAATAACACTGATGCAACAATATTTATACCAATTGAAAATGCTGGGGCAGTGAACACTTCTGTTCCGATTCTTTTTTAACACGGTCCACCTACCTTCAATACAATTTAAAGTAATTACAAACAATTTGAAAAATCAACATGGGCAGGGAACAGTTTTCTCATTGTGTTACTGAGGTGTGGGCAAGTTATCCACAACAGGCAATTAGACCCAGAGATGTTCTGAAATAGAGGCATTCTGAGATTTAGCGGCTGAGAGTTTCAGCAACAGGAAGAAATAACAGAAATCATGCAACTTCTGTATCATTCCACGTACTTTGAAACTTCAGATACAATGGAAAGAAAAGAGGGGGGAGGGCAGAGAAAAAGGACAGTTGTCTCAGCACTCACGAAAAGGATGCTTTCTCAGGAGATGGTTCTGAGACCGGCCTCAATTTTCAGAAGGAACGCGCCTTTACTGGTTATCTTGCACCGTGTATTTAAAAATTGCATGCTCTTCAAAATAAACAAAAGCTCAGCTACTGTAGCTGTGAGATCTGGCAGGCATTTGTTCCTCCTCCCCTCCTAAAGCACATCAAGAAAACGTTCTCCCTTTAAAGCCTTCATACAGTTTCAGCAACTAGAAAAACAAGCCCACATCTGTCTCTCACGCCCACCACCCCCACCTTCCTACAGAAACAACCCCGAGAAACACTAACAAAGACAGGGAGCAGAGTAAAGGAACAGTTGTTCAACCGCGAACTCACGAATACACATGCAGTGAGGCAATCGACTCCGGTAAAGGGAAAGGAACGAGACACCAGGAGACGCAGCGGGTGTAGGCGGAAGAGGGGGAAAAAATTACGCGCCGCCGCCAAACCTTTGAATAAATTAGAGGGGATCTCGGTGCGAACTTTCCTTGACCTCGACCCCAAAGAGGCTTGCTGGGGCCGAGAAGAAAACCCGTGCGGGATGTGGAGGGGCCCGGGGCGCCGGGGTCCCCCGCCCGCGAGACCCGCTCCACCAGGCGCCTTGGAGAGCAGCGCCAGCGGTCGTCCTCCAGCTCCCGCAGGGGTCGCCCCGCCGGCGCGGGGGACACAATGGGTCCGCGGGCCACGCGAACGGGCCTCGGCCCGGCGGCAGCACGGGAGAGATGTGAGGAGCGCGCGGAAGGGGAGCGCGGCCGGGGAGATCCCAGCGCGGTCAGGCCCGGGAGCCGAGGCTCGGGGGCCCGGGAACTGGGCTTCCCACAGCAGAAGACCCAACAAAGACACCAGGGGAGCCCGGCGGGCTGGGCGCGAGAAGACGTGGTAGCAGGTTCGCTCCTCCGAGCAGACGGGAGGCGCCATCATGGGGGGGGGGGGTCGCGGCCCGCCCCGCGCAGAAAGAGCCCCCTTCCCGCCGCTGCCCGCGCCCCCAGCCCAGCACGACCGCGGCGGCCCCACGCGTGCAGAGACGGCGGCGGCGGCGCTGGAAAGCCCGGGGCGCCGAGGGGAGGGCTGGGACGCGGCATGAAGGGAAAGTTCGGTTCGGGTCTGTTTCGTTTTACCGGGTTGGCGGCGCGCCCGTCCGTGTGGGAGCACGAGTGGCCGGGCGAGCGGGGTCTCGCGGCCCGGGTCCGGACGGCCGGGCGCTGCGCCACTCTCCGCTCCCCGAGCCTCGGCCCGGGTTGAGCCGCTCGGCCTCTCCTTTCTCCGCCCGCCCGCCTGCTTTCTCCTGGAGCCTGGATTGATCTGGTCGCGCTGGCGTCAGGGAGTCGGAGCTGCCCAGCCTCCACTCCTCAGCTGCCAATACCCGGCGCACTCGCCTGCCCGCCCGCCCGCTCACACGCTCACCCGCTCACCCGCGCGCCGCCGCCGCTGCCGCGCGACCAGGGATCCTCTCCAAATTCCCGGCCCGGCCGGCGTGAGCGCAGCGCGGCCGGGGCCGGAGGACGGCGCGGGGGAGCGGCCGGAGCCACCCCCTTCTACCGGCAGCCCCACGCCCCGTTTCTTCCTGGAGAAAAAACAGTGTGGCGGCGTTCAGGCTTTCCTAACCCTGCCTTTTTAGTCCCGGTGGAGCGGACTTAGTCCATTATCTGCAAGTGAATTTCGATGTTCCATATGTTTATTTTCTGAAATGTTCATTAACGCTTCCACCGCGCCCACTGAATCGTTCTATAAACGTGGAGTGCATGTTGACAGTTACCTTTCGAGACGCGCCCTTTTATGTCTATCTTTCGTTGCCCCTCACTCACTCTCCAATAATTTGCAGGCCCCAGAAGTTGTACGTACCCAGAATTGGATAGCCTAGTAAATACTGCACGTGGTTATACAAACCCTGAGTCAACAGATGCGTTTTGTGTCAACTCAGGATCCAGTGATTCGAGTAGGTAACCTTGTTGCTCCAAATAATGGCATGCCATAAGGAGATACTGCTTTAGAACTCCACATTTTTGGTCCAATTTCTACAGTCTTTTAGATGATGCCAACTCCCCCGCACTTAACTCTTACCTACCTGATCTGCATAGACATTGAAAATATCTTCTTGCAAGAGTCAACTTTTCTCTTGGCTAACTCTTGAAGCTGCATAAAATCTTGCATAATTACTATAATGTTGAGTTACGTTTAGAAAAAATGATTTTTTTTTGAGGAATAAATTTCACATGAAGCAAAAAAAAAAAAAAAAAAATCACTCCCAGCAATGTATATCAGAATATGTCTTCTAATTAAATTCCTTTTTCCCTTAACCTATTTGAGCACTTACTGGTCAATTCGTGGGCCTCATCTTATTTTCCCTAAAAGCAGCGTTTGACGCAGTTGATCATTCTCTGCTCCTTAGAACAACAGGAAAGTGAACCTTGTTAAATGCCACTCGGATCAGGCCACTCCTCTGTTGAAAACCCTCCCTTGATAAATAGTATAAAGTATCCCATACAAGAGAACATTATTCAGCCATAAAAAGGAATGAAGTACTGATACTGATGCATGCTACATGGATAACCTTTCAAAACGTGAAGGGAAAGAAGACAGACCACACATTGTATTCTTCCACATATGTGAAATGCTCAGAGTAGGCAAGGCTATGGAGACAGAAAGTAGATTGGTGGTTTGCATAGGGTTGGGGAAATGAGGAACCTGGGGAGTGACAGCTAAAGGTTATGGGGTGACAAAATTGTTCTAAAACTAGTTTCTGGTGATGGTTGCACAACTCTGTGCATATACCAAAAGCCATTAAATTGCACACTTTAAATGGGTCAATCATTTGGTATGTGAATTTTACCTCAAGCTATTAAAAAAAAAGCATGACAATGAAATGCAGTATATGACCTTGATTGGATCCTGAATGGGGAGGAGGAGCTATAAACTGTCATTTTAAAGTCGTTAATTTTTAAAAAAATCAAAAATGGCATTTATTTAATTTTGAGACGGAGTCTCGCTCGGTCGCCCAGGCTGGAGTGCAATGGCACGATCTCGGCTTACTGCAACCTCTGCCTCCCGGGTTCAAGCAATTCTCTTGCCTCAACCTCTCGAGTAGCTGGGACTACAGATACACACCACCACGCCCATCTAAGTAGAGACGGGGTTTCACCATTTTGGCCAGGCTGGTCTCAAACTCCTGGCCTCAAGTGATCCACCCGTCTCAGCCTCTCAAAGTTCTGGGATTACAGGCATGACCCACCGCGCCCAGCCTAGATGGCCTTTCTTAGTGCAGTCCTAGTAGTCTTAAATGATAACTATTAATATTATTATGTATGCAATAAAATTTGATTTTGCCCATTGTGCAAATTATTTCCTTAAATGATAATAAAAATTTGGATATTCTTTTTAAAAGGACATTGATGAGACCATTATAAAAACCTAAATATGGACTGTATATTAATATCATTTTATTAAATTTTTAAAAAATCCTCCCTTGGGTCCTCATTTCACTCAGAATAAAAGTTCCCATAATAAGCACAAGACTCTACATAATCTTTCCTTCCCCTCCTTTAGCACTCTGACCTGCACTTCTACTCTTCCTCTTGCTCACTTCCCCAAGTCACACTGGCATCCTCACTCTTCTGGAACAATCTGGGCACATTCTCACCTCAGTATCTATGTGCTAGCTGTTCCCTCCCTTTCTGAGTTCATTTTGTGTTGCTGTAATAGAATACCACTGATAGAGTTTGGCTATGTATCCCCACCCAAATCTCATCTTGAATTGTAGCTCCCATAACCTCCATGTGTCATAGAAGGGACCTGGTGGGAGGTAATCGAATCATGGGGGTGGGTTCTTCCCATGCTGTTCTCGTGATTGTGAATAAGTCTCATGAGAATCTGACGGTTTTATAAAGGGCAGTTTCCCTGCACACGCCCTCTTGCCTGCTGCCACGTAAGATGTGCCTTTGCTCCTCCTTCACCTTCTGCCATGATTGTGAGGCTTCCCCAGCCGTGTAAAACTGTGAGTCCATTAAACCTTTTTTTTTTGAGACAGAATCTCACTCTGTCACCCAGGCTGGAATGCAGTGATGCAACCTCAGCTCACTGCAACCTCTGCCTCCAGGGTTCAAGCAATTCTCCTGCCTTGGCCTCCCAAGTAGCTAGGACTACAGGCATGCACCACCACGCCTGGCTAATCTTTTTTTGTATTTTTTAGTAGAGACGGGGTTTTGTGGTGTTAGCCAGGCTGGTCTCAAACTCCTGAGCTCAGGTGATCCACCTGCCTTGGCCTCTCAAAGTGCTGGGATTACAGGCGTGAGCCACCGTACCCAGCCCTAAACCACGTTTTCTTTATAAATTACCCAGTCTTGGGTATTTCTTCATAGCAGTATGAAAATGGACCAATACAACCACCAGCTGGGCAGTTTATACACAATAAAAGTTAATTTAGCTCATGGTTCTGGGGGCTGAGAAATCCAAAATCAAGGGGCTGCATCTGGTGAGGGCCTTCTTCCTTCATCACAACATAGCAGAAGGCATCACATAGCAAGAGAGAGAACATGAGAGGAAGGGTAGAAAAGGGCCAAACTCATGCTTATATCAGCAATCCCCTCCTGAGATACCAAACCGCACTCCCATAATGCCATTAATCCATTCATGAGGACAGATCCCTGTTAAAAGAAAAACTTTAGGCAAATTAAATTTAACAGAGTTTAATTGAGCAAAGAGCAATTTGAGAACTGAGCAGCCCCCAGAACCAGAATAGTTTCAGAGCAACTCTGGGGCTGCCACAGGGTCAGATGATGTTTATGGGCAGAGAAAGAAAAGTGACAGAAAATGGAGTGAGGTACAGAAAAAACTGGATTGGTTAGAGCTAAATATTTGCTTTATTTTAACACAGTTTGAACAGTTGGCTGCCTGTGATTGACCAAAACTCTGTGATTGGTACAAGAGTTGGCTACAGTCTGTTTGCATATCCAGTTAGGTTACAGTTTGCTGTGTACAGAGAAACCTTTAGGCCTAACTTAAAATATGTATGGGCCGGGCGTGGTAGCTCACGCCTGTAATCCCAGCTACTCGGGAGACTGAGGCAGGAGAATCAGTTGAACCCGGCAAGCGGAGGTTGCGGTGAGCCAATATCATGCCATTGTACTCCAGCCTGGGCAACAAGAGCAAAACTCCGTCTCAAAAAAAAAAAAAAAAAAATATATATATATATATATATATGTGTGTGTATATATATGTATATACATATGTACATATGTATATATACGTATATATATATATATGGAGGCAGCTTTAGCCTAAACTTAATTTAACAGTCCTCATGACATAATCACCTCTTGAAGTTCTCACCTCTCAACACTGTTGCGCTGGGGATTAAGTTTACAATATATAAACTTTGGGGAATGCATTCAAACCATAGCACTCCCTGGACAGCTCTTCCCACAGATGTCCACATGGCTCACTCCTTCATCTCCCTCAAGTCTTCACTCAAATGTCTCCGTATTATTTAGCCAAAAGAGCAGGATTTTTGGTCTTCTGTGTTCATTGCTATAATCTCAGCACCTGAGCAGTGCCTGGTATTTAACAGGAGCATATTAAATACCTGTTGAATGAATGAGTAAGTGAAGCACTGTTCTAGCAGGGGATATGGTGGCAAGCAGAAAAAAATCCCTGCCCTCATTAAGGAAGACAGATAATAAATAAATACACGGCCAGACGTGGTGGCTCACACCTGTAATCCCAGCACTTTGGGAGACCGAGGTGGATGGATCACGAGGTCAGGAGTTCAAAACCAGTCTGGCCAGCATGGTGAAACTCCATCTCTACTAAAAATACAAAAAAAAAAAAAAATTAGCCGGGCATGGTGGCATGTGCCTGTAGTCCCCGCTACTTGGGAGGCTGAGGCAGGAGAATCACTTGAACCCGGGAGGCAGAGGTTGCAGTGAGCCGAGATCGTGCCGCTGCACTCCAGCCTGGGCGACAGAGCGAGACTCCATCTCAAAAAAAAAAATAAATAAATAAATAAATAAATACGCAAATATGCTAGGTAGTGGTACAAGTGATGGAAAAAACAGGGGAAGAGGGATTGAGAATGGGAGAGATGACTATTTCTAAAGGGGCAGAGGAAACCTCACTGCAAGAGGTCCTGAAGGAAGGGAAGGAAGCACAGTACACACTCTGAGGGATGAGTTCCCAACCTCCCAAGCAAAAGGAAGAGCAAGTGTAAAGACCTAGAAGCTGAGTCTACTTTACACATCCACTGAAAAGCTGGGGGGCAGGGTTGGGGACAGTGCAGTGATGTAGGAAAAGCTAGTGACTGGAGGGAAGGCAGAGTGTGTGGACCCAGATGCACACAAGCTGGTGCTTGCTTGCAGAGGTGAGAACGCAGGGATGGTCTCTTCTCACCACTCTCTCATCTTAGTGAAATTGCCCGGGAACCTGCTTCCCGAGAATGGTGGGATTGAAGAGATGCTGGAGGTTGGAAGAGAGAGGAGTAATATCTAAGTCATCTGGTAGGGTTTGAGAGTGAATGAACTGTGGAAATGTGGTAAGATTGCTACTATTAAGTGTCCATTTGAGGTTAGCGGCCATTAATTAATTAATTTTTTTTTTTAATTTTTTGAGATGGAGTCTTGCTCAGTCACCCAGGCTGGAGTGCATTGTCACAATCTTGGCTCACTGTCATGATCTCAGCTCACTGCAACCTCTGCCTCCCAGGTTCAAGTGATTCTCCTGCCTCAGCCTCCCTAGTAAGTGGGATTACAGGCATGCACCAGCATGCCCGGCTAATTTTTGTATTTTCAGTAGAGACGGGGTATCACCATGTTGGCCAGGCTGGTCTCAAACTCCTGACCTCAGGTGATCCACCTGCCTCAGCCTCCCAAAGTGCTGGGATTACAGGCATGAGCCACTACACCCAGCCTAGTGGCCATGAATTTAAAGTAAGACCAGTCAGCATGGCTGTGGGTTTTTCTCCAGCCTCGGTTAACCTGAGGGGACAGAGCTGAGTTTAACTAGGGCTGGGGTTTTGCAGGTGTATGTCAGGGAAGGGAAGGGGATCAGACAGCAGAAGCTATAGGCAATAGAGTGACTGTCGGGGGTCTGTGATAGGAGGAAGGCGAGAACATATAGTAATGTGAAATGTTGGAAAGATGATAGGATCCACCGAGTGAAGCTCCTAGTGTGGTCCATGAGTTACTGGAGTTGGGAGCCTTTCCCAAAAGCTGGGGAGCAGTCTGGGAATGAGATACTTGAAATTGAAATCATGATGCTGGGGCAGTTTTGAGCAATGCCAAGATGTAGGGGTGTGACCAGAGATGGCGGATGGCTGAGGTAGAGAGGAGGACAAGATCCTTCCAGAAAAGGAGATATTAAGGAACTGAAGGCAAACTAATTATGCTAATCAGTTTATCAGGAAAAAATCAGCTACTAATCACTTATAATAAGACGAGTCCTTAAAATTGGCTGCAAATTTTATATAGGCAAAATGTAAATCCAAAAACCTGTTTTAAGAGATGATTCTACTCAATAGAAAAATAAATGTAATGATTTATAGTTCAGCTCCCTCAGGGAATTTAAGTGACTCAGTTTTCCTGGAATGAGCCTGCCAAGGATCATTGGTGTGTTATTTTTCATATTAAAAGGAACGCTGGCCAGGCATGGTGGCTGATGCCTGTAATTCCAGCACTTTGGGAGGCCGAGGTGGGGGTCAGGAGTTCGAGACCAGCCTGGGCAACATGGTGAAACCCCATCTCTACAAAAAATACAAAAAATTAGCCAGGTGTGGTGGTATGTGCCTGTAGTCCTAGTTACTCAGGAGGCTAAGGTGGGAGGATGGATTGAGCCTGGAAGGTCAAGTCTGCAGTGAGCTGTGAGGATGCCACTGTACTCCAGCCTGGGCCAAAGAGCAAGACTCTGTCTCAGAAAAAAATGTTGTTGTTGTTGAAATCCTTTATTCTCTCATCACACCCTTTGCTCCAAAGAACTTATAGCTGTCTGTAATTATGAATGTATTTAGTCAAATTATTGAATATCCAGTGAGAAAACCCCACTGCTCTTCTAAGTAATATGTGGGTGGGAGCTGTATCTAGTTTGTGTTCCCATCTCCAAGCCCAAAGTTTGCACAGACCTGTCATGGCAGACCCTCAAATATTTGCTGAAAGAATAAATCTCTAATACAACTGTTGCGGTCAAATACAAATTGGTATTTTTTCTTAATTACAGCTAGTAATTGTTCTCATTATTGCCCCCAAGTCTGAAATTCAGATCTAATTATAAATTGTAGGAATTAATAAAAAGTTGTCAGCCCTTTTCCTGAGAGTTTTGTAACAGTCTATACATTACAAAGTTCCATGTGAAAATTCTATGGTAAACATTATGATGGCAGTAGAACTTATATTTCCAGCTTCTTAAATTTGTGGGGTGATTTGGTTTGGCTCTCTGTCCCCACCCAAATCTCATATTGAACTGTAATCCCCATGTGTCAGGGGAGTGACCTGGTGGGAGGTGATTGGATCATGGGGGCAGATTTCCCCCGTGCTGTTCTGGTGATAGTGAGTCAGTTCTCATGAGATATGATAGTTTAAAAGTATAGCACTTCCCCCACCTCGCTCTCTCTCCTGCTCCACAATAATAAGACGTGCTTGGTTTCCCCTTCAACTTCCACCATAATTGTAAGTTTTCTGAGGCCTCCTAGCCTTGCTTCCTGTTTAGCCTGCAGAACTGAGTCAGTTAAACCTGTTTTCTTCATAAATTATCCAGTCTCAGGTAGTTCTTTATAGCAGTGTGAGAATGGACTAATACAGAAAATTGGTACCAGGAAAGTGGGGAATTACTATATAGATACCTGAAAATGTGGAGGCAACTTTGGAACTGGCTAATGGGCAGAGGTTGGAACAATTTGGCGCACAGAAGACAGGAAGATGTGGGAAAGTTTGGAACTTCACGGAGACTTGTTGAATGATTTTGACCAAAATGCTAATAGTGATATGGGTAGTGAAGTCCAGGCTGAGTTGAGCTCAGATAGAAATGAGAAAGTTATTGGGAACTACAGTAAAGGTCACTCTTGCTATTCTTTAGCTAAAAGACTGATAGCATTGTGCCCTTGCTGTAGAGATCTATGGAACTTTGAACTTGAGAGAGATGATTTAAGGTATCTGGCAGAAGAAATTTCTAAGCAGCAAAGCACTCAAGATGTGGTCTGGCTGCTCCTCACAGCGTACAGTCGTATGTGTTCACAAAGAGATGGTCTGAAATTGGAACTTATGTTTAAAAGGGAAACAGAGCATAAAAGTTTGGAAAATTTGCAGCCTGACCATGTGGTTGAAAAAAAAAAAGAGCCATTTTCTGGGGACAAATTCAAGCTGGCTGCAGAAATTTGCATAAGTAAAGACAAACCAAATGTTAACAGCCAAGACAATGGGGAAAATGTCTCCAGGGCATGTAAGATACCTTTGCAGCAGCCCCTCCCATTCCAGGCCTGGAGGCCTACGAGGGAAAAAAGGTTTTGTGGGCCATGCCCAGGGCCCTGCTGCTCTGTGCCACTTTGGGACATGATGCCCTGCAACCCAGCCCCTCCAGCTCCAGCCATGGCAAAAAGGAGCCAAGATACAGCTTGGGCTGTTGCTTCGGAGGGTGCAAGGCCCAGGCTTTGGCAGCTTCCACGTGGTGTTGGGCCTGCAGGCGCATAGATGACAAGAGCTGAGCTTTGGGAGCCTCTGCCTAGATTTCAGATAATGTACGGAAATGCCTGGATGTCCAGGCAGAAGTGTGCTGCCAAGGTGGAGTCCTCATGGAGAGCCTCTACTAGGGCAGTACAGAGGGGAAATGTGGGATTGGAGCCCTCAAATGGAGTCCCTACTGGGGCATTGCATAGTAGAGCTGTGAGAAGAGGGTTGTCATCTTCCAGACCCCAGAATGGTAGATTCACCAACTGCTTGCACTGTGCACCTGGAAAAGCTGCAGGCACTCAATGCCAGCCTGTGAATGCAGCTAAAGGGGGCTGTACACTGCAGAGCCACAGGGGCATTGGAGTTGCAGAGCCACAGGAGCTGCCAAAGGACTTGGAAGCCCACCCCTTGCATCAATGTAACCTGGATGTGAGACATGGAGTCAAAGGAGATTATTTTGGAGCTTTAAGATTTAATGACTGCCCTGCTGGGTTTTGAACTTGCATGGGGGCCTGTAGCACCTTTGTTTTGGCCCATTTCTCCCATTTGGAATGGGAGCATTTATACAATTTCTCTATCCCCATTGTATCTTGGAAGTAACTAACTTTTTTTTACTTTACAGGCTTATAGGCAGAAGGGACCTGCCTTGTCTCAGATGAGACTTTGGACTTGAGCTTTTGAGTTAATGCTGGAACAAGTTAAAACTTTGGGGGACTATGGAGAAGGGATAATTGTATTTTGCAATGTGAGAAGGACATGAGATTTGGGAGGGGCCAGGGGCAGAATGATATTGTTTGGCTCTGTGTCCCCACCCAAATCTCATGTTGAATTGTAATCCCCACATGTCAGGGGAGAGACCAGGTAGGAGGTGATTGAATCATGGGGGCAGATTTCCCCCATGCTGTTCTCATAATAATGAGTGAGTTCACACGAGGTGTGATGGTTTAAAATTGTAGCACCTATAGGCTTTCTCTCTCCTGCTCTACCATGGTAAGATGTGGCTTGCTTTCCCTTCACCTTTTACCATGATTATAAGTTTCCTGAGACCTCTTAGCCATGCTTCCTGTTAAGCTTGCAGAACTGCGAGTCAATTAAACCACTTTTCTTCATAAATTACCCAGTCTCAAGAAGTTCTTTACAGCAGTGTGAGAACAGACTAATACATGGGCCATTCTATACTCTTTGCTTAATGGAATTATTGTCTTGTGCTATATTGTCAGTGTATTTGTAGTATTGGTGAAGTCAGTAAGTATTTGTAGTATTTAGACACAGACCTTTGAGGATGATTTATTCTCTCACTCACTTTCCTGCCACGTGGAACTTCAATACTTCAACGTCCTTATTCCCCAAAACATCACAGAGAATATTAATGCTACTGGATTCCTGATATAGACTGACAGCATTCTCTTCACTTATCTGATCTCTATTAATTCGATCATTTTATATATGTTGTTCAAATGTTGCTCCTAAATTCACCTAACAAAAGCAGAGTAAACAGACAACCCACAGAGTGGGAGAAAATATTTGCAAACTATGCCTCCGACAAAGGACTAATATCCAGAATCTACGAGGAACTCAAATAAATCAGCAAACAATAATAATAATAATAATCCCATCAAAAAGTGGGTTAAGGACATAAATATAAGCAGACAATTCTCAAAAGAAGATACACAAATGACCAACAAACATGAAAAAAATGCTCAACATCACTAATTATCAGGGAGATGCAAATTAAAACCACAGTGAGATACCATCTTACTCCTGCAAGAATGGCCATAATTTAAAAATCAAAAATAATAGATGTTGGTATGGATGTGGTGAAAGGGAACACTTTTACACTGCTATTGGGAATGTAAACTAATACAACTACTATGAAAAAGAGTATGGAGATTCCTTAAAGAACTAAAAGTAGAACTACCTTTGATCCAGCAACCCCACTGTTGGGTATCTTCCCAGAGGAAAAGAAGTCATTATATGAACAAGACACTTGCACATACATGTTTATAGCAGCACAATTTGCAATTGCAAAAATATGGAACCAGCCTAAATATCCATCAAGCAGCAAGTGGATAAAGATAATGTGAGCTGGGCATGGTGGCTCACCCCTGTAATCCCAGCACTTTGGGAAGCTGAGGTGAGTGGATTACCTGAGGTCAGGAGTTTGAGATCAGCCTGCCCAACATGGAGAAACCAAGTGTCTACTAAAAATACTAAAATTAGCTGGGCATGGTGGCGGGCACCTGTAATCCCAGCTACTTGGGAGGCTGAGGTGGAAGAATCGCTTAAACCCAGAGGCAGAAGTTGCCCAGTGAGCTGAGATCGCACCACTGCACTCCAGCCTGGGTGACGGAGCAAGACTCTGTCTCAAAAAAAAAAGTTATATATATATATATATATATATATATATATATATATATATGTGTGTGTGTGTGTGTGTGTGTGTGTGTGTGTGTGTGTGTGTGTGTGTGTATACCATGGTATACTACTCAGCCATAAAAAGGAACAAAATAACACCATTCACAGCAACCTGGATGGAGTTGGAGACCATTCTTCTGAGTGAAATAACTTAGGAATGGAAAACCAATTGTTGTATACTCTCACTTATAAGTGGGAGCTAAGCTATGAGGATGCAAAGACGTAAGAACGATACAGTGGACTTTGGGGACTTGTCAGGGAAAGGTGGAGGTGGGGGTAAGGGATAAAAGACTACACATTGGGTACAGTGTACACTGCTCAGGTGATGGGTGCCCCAGAATCTCAGAAGTCACCACTAAAGAACTTATCCATGTAATGAAAACCACCTGTTCCCCAAAAAGTATTGAAATAAATTTAAAATGAGAGCCTTTTTCAAGTGTTGTTAAATATCAAACTTATAATGGCTAGAGTTGACAGAGCATTTACCTGTCACAATACTAAACACCTGAGAGGCATCATCTCTTTCAGTCTCAAATCTCCATACAAGGTAGATGCCATCTTCCTTATCTGTGGATAGTATCAGTGTTTATTGAATAGAGTTTGTGAGGAACAATAATACTAGTGATAATAATAGCTAACACTTATGTTTACTATTTGCCAGACATTGTTTTGAGCACCTTACATATATGTTATAAACTCCTTTATTCTTCAAATCAATCCTATGAGATAGATACTATGCTATTTCCATTTTATAGATGAGAAAACTGAAACACCAACATGTTACGTGACTTCCCAAGGTCACACAGCGAGTATGCTAATGCCTCTAAAGTACTTAATGAGGTATCTGGCATATATATGTGTTCAGCAAATGTAGCCAATATTCTTTTCACTGGACATTCATAGTGTTGTACTTAAGTGAAGTATTTTAGGTAGACTCAGTTAGTGGGTTAGTCCCTTTTTTAAAGTTTTAATGATCACATGATTTCCAGAAACAAATTATTTAACGGTTTTGCTTTCAAAAGTAATTTCCCTTCACTAGGCCTTCATCCATTGGCAAGGTTTTCCATGCTGAAAGATTGGCTTTGGCTACATTTAATACAAAACCTAAATAACAGTGGCTTAAGCAAGATAGGATTTACTTCATCTCTTGTAGAAAGAGACCAGAAAAAGGAATTTCAGGCATAGTTCAGTAGGGTAGCTCAGGGCCATATCTGGCACAAACCAGGGGTTTGAATGTGTGTCAGGTAAATTTTAAAAACCCCAAGTAATCGACTCAGAGGTGTTAGGCCAAGGTCTCTGTGATTCCCTTTGCCTCTCCCTCATTGTTGATTATAAAATGGCCACTGCAGCTCCAGTCACCTCTTTATTCTCGACAGGAAAAATAAACAGGCAAGGACAAGAGGGATGGACCAAGCCTGAAGTCCTTTTAAGGAAGACACCACCTACCACCACCATGGGTGATAGGCTGTCATCACTACTACAACATCTGCCTATGCATCCTTGGTGAGAACTCTCATGTGGCTTTTCCTATTTGCAAGGATGGCTAGGAAATATCATTTTTGGTTTTTAATCTAAGCAAATTATTTTTAATCCAGGCAACAAAATGACAAAGTGAGAAAGAAAGTAAAAGATGAATGCAGTGGTGTGCTCCAAATGACTTGTACTGGCTGTGAGAGCTGAAGGTGACATTTTCAGATTCTTTGCAAGCTTATCATGAAACACATTGGTAGCCTGAAATTGGCCATGGTGGGAGTATTTACGTTGCAAAAATTGTCAAACACTGAAAATTAAGGCCCTGCCCCCTTTTGTGGAGAGGCAGTTGTTAAACTTTTACCAGCACACCACTGAATATTGGATAGGCAAATGGGAGTCCCTGCTACTGAAGGCTTTTTTTTTTTTTGTCTTACTATGTTTGTCACTTATTTCTGACTTTACTGGTTGAGACTTATTAACACATAGGTAGGTAATCTTTTGAAATACTTGTTGTTTTAATAATCCTCCTGTCTTTATTCTATTGAGTTTTATTCTTTCTGCAGAGAATGTACAAGTTGTTTCTTGGTAATAAGTTAGAAGAGTCATAAAATATTGTGAATTTCTGTTCTAGACATTTAAAAGGTTTTATTTTAAAATATTCTGATCTAGAAAGATTCAGATATATTCAGAAATAGCTTCTTAATTTTATATCTGAAGCAATTGTGATCTCAAGCTGTTGCTAAGACCATTAGCTTTTCTAAGGTATAATTTTACTGAGGTAGAAAAAAAAACCTTACAGTAATTTTTCTTCCCAAATTTAACCCTGAGAAAAGGGTAAAGTGGAATGTTGTCTCCTCCTGGTTATATGGAAGAGTCAATGGCTTTTCACTCTCAAGGCCGAGACTTCCTAAATAGGTCTTTTCCCCTTTTCTTTAGAATATAAACAGGTACTTAAAAGCACAGCATTGACAACAACAAAAAATGCTTTCCTTTTGGCTTGAAAGAAGGCAATAAGAAGAAAGATTTTAGGAGCTGAGCTGGAAATTAAGAAGAAAGCCTCAAGGTTCTGTGAGCATGAACCTACTTAAGGGGTCTTGCCTCCAAGACAGTATTTAGGATATATGGAAAGAAGCACAGGAAAAAAAGGTATGTATCAGTTAGAGTTGCAACATGTACCTTAGATGTTTCTTTGAAAAATCTTGCCTTGTATGACTTCCTTTAATGTTATCCAACTGTAGTAGTTATGAAGAAGAATTTTTTTAATTAAAAAAGATCCATAATGATCAGTCTGAAAGGATTGGCTATGCAGCTGAATTATACATATTTGAACACTGTCTATTGAGGGTTTTTAGAGGATGGTCAATAAATGACACCTGCTTGCTCTCCTAAGTATGAAGGCAAATAAGGACCGAAATCAGGCCCAGCGCGGTGGCTTATACCTGTAATTCCAGCGCTTTGGGAGGCTAAGGCGGGAGGATCGCTTCAGCCCGAGAGTTAAAGGCCACAGTGAGCTATGATTGCACCAGGGCACTCCAGCCTAGGTGGCAGACTCTGTCCCAAAAAAACAAAACAAACAAACAAAAATCAGAAGTCAGAGAGATAAAAGTCTAAATATTATCTTTATTATCTAAAAAGTGGACTGGAAGATTTGGCCTTAGATCTGTGGCCAAATTTGCTTGCTAATATTTTACCTCTAAATTAAAAAGTCCCAGATACTACCATAGTGGAACAGCCACAGGCTGCAATTTATTTGCAATAATTGTGGATCATAAAAGTTCACTCTCTCATGAGAAAATGCCCTTCTTCTGGTTTCCCGAAAGATTATTCCACTCTGTATCAGTTTATACCCTAAGTTACCTCATCTTTCAAACGACAGGCTAATGTTGTGCCTTTCCATTTGAGACAAGGTGATCTCTTTTTTCCCCAGCTAACAAAGGGAGACTCCATTTTGCCTAAATAAGACTTCCTGAAGTTGTTTTTTGTTTGTTTGTTTTGAGGTCTTACTCTGTCTCCCAAGCTGGAGTGAAGTAGTGCAATCACAGCTCACTACAGGCTTGAACTCCTGAGTTCGAGCCATCCTCCCATCTCAGCCTCCCTAGTAGTTCTAGGACTGAAGATGCATGCCACCACAACCAGCTATTTTTTTTTTTTTAATGGAGATAGGATCTTCCTGGTCTTGAACTCCTGGCCTCAAATGATCCTCCAGCCTTGGCTTCCCGGAGTCCTGGGTAGAACCCAGAGGGATTCAGATGTAGGTGAGCCACCACAGCCAACCAAGTTTGTGTTTTCTTCTTAAGGTGCTTAAGCTCAAATTGTATCCATTTCAAATGGATTGTATTGTCCCCAAAAGCCATGGCTAAGTTGGAATGCTTTGTGTAAAATCACAGGAGATAAAATAATAAGTAAAAACATGGGAACGTTACTATAGAAAGTCCTGGTGACAGTGAAAGAACAATATTAACTTAGTTGGCTAATGTTTAATGAGTACCTGCTGCATGCTGGGCACAGTTCTAGGCACTGGATGATTGCAGTGAGCAAGAAGCTTCCACTTTAAGTTGGCAATGATATTTTAATTGAGGAGAGCAACAGTGAACACTGGAACACAATATAAGATGTGAAATCTAAGCTATGAGGACAATAAAACAGGGTAATGTATCAGAGAGTGATGTTAGGGGGTGGACAGCTTTATATTTTTCAATCATACTCTCAATAACCTCAGGAGTCTTCTCTTCAAAAAATGAGGAATCGCACAATTTCTTCACTAGCAACAACCTTTCTTTTCCTGTAGTCTCAACTCTTTCTCTCCATTGGCTCCTTTCCCCAAACAGTAAACATCCTAAAAATATACACATATGCACACGCTTATAAATACACAAAACAGAGCCACAAAAATAAAACCCCTCTTGCTCCTAAATATGTATCTAGTTTTAGCCATGTTCTTTTTCTCTTCTCATTCACACTTCCAGAAAAAGTAGTTTAGGCCCCCACTGTCTTCATTTTCATAAGTCACATTCATCCCATAACCCACTAAAATCCAACTTCTGTCTGCTCCATGCCATTGAAACTGTTCTTGCTGAGGCAGGGCCACTGCATACTGCTGGGTAGGTTGTGTATATACATCCCTGGTTAAAATTTTATTGACCTTTGTATTGCCAAATCTAATAAATACTTTTCTGTCTTTATTCTATTGCATGGCTCAGATTCATTAAACACTACTAGTCATTCTTCCATTCTCAAAAACCTTGGCTTTGTCAAAGACTGGAAACAACACAACTGTCCATTCCTAGAGGTCTAGCTGAATTAACACGATGGAGTACTTTGGAGCTATAACAAAGTGTTAGGTCTGTTTTCTATATGCTACAGAGAGTAATTGCCAGGATATATTGTTAAGTGAAAAAAGTTGAGTAGAGAAAAAATATGTATTGTATGTTGTCATTTATTTTTAAAAGGTGAGGGATATGAATATATACATGTTTGATCATAAAAAACAATAATGGAAGGATAAACAAAAAATGTTTTAAAGTTACATAGAGGGCAGAGGGAAAGAAAGGTAGAAAAAACAGGATGGAAGCTAGATTTCTCTGAATATACCATGTTTTGTGGATTTGACTTTGAACCCTGGAAATATTCTATTTACTTATAAAGTGAAAGTCATTTTGTAAAAGAATCAATAGAAACTAAAATAAAAAACAAATCAACCTGTTAATCAAGCTTGTGATACAGAAAGGAATTATTTCAAATGACTTAAAAAATGCAGGCAGATCACAAGGTCAGGAGATCGAGACCATCCTGGCTAACATGGTGAAACCTCATTTCTACTAAAAATACAAAAAAATTAGCTGGGTGTGGTAGCACACACCTGTAGTCCCAGCTACTTGGGAGGCTGAAGCAGGAGAATCACTTGAACCCAGGAGGCAGAGGTTGCAGTGAGCTGAGACTGCATCACTGCACTCCAGCCTGGTGACAGAGTGAGACTCCATCTCAAAAAAAAAAAAAAAAAATGCCGGGAGTGGTGGCTCACGCCTGTAATCTCAGCACTTTGGGAGGCTGAGGCAGGTAGATCATGAGCTCAGGAGTTCAAGACCAGCCTGGCCAAGATGGTGAAACCCCGTCTCTACTAAAAATACAAAAAAATTAGCCGGGCATGGTGGCACACACCTGTAATCCCAACTACTCCGGAGGCTGAGGCAGAGAATTGCTTAAACCTGGAGAGGTGGAGGTTGCAGTGAGCCAAGATCGTGCCACTGCACTCCAGCCTGGGCGACAGAGCGAGACTCTGTCTCAAAAAAAAAAAAAAAAAAGCAACAATCTGTAAATCCTTCGTGGAATATAATTGAAGGGCAAAAATAACTAGAAAAGAAAACTTTCAGTAGTCATATCATTATTAATAATATTTGGCATTTTTAATTTGAAATTATCATAAAAATATACAATGATGCAACACATAGTGATGTTTTGGTCAATGATGGACTGCCTGTATGATGGTGGTCTCACATAAGATTATAATGGAGCTGAGGAATTCCTGTCACCTAGTGACATTGCCATCATAATGTCATAGCATGATGCATTACTCCTGTTTGCGGTGATGCTGGTGTTAACAAACTGGCTGTACTGCCAGTTGCATAAAAGTATAGCACATACAATTATGTACAGTACATAATACTTGATAACAAATGACTATGTTACTGGTTTATGTGTTTGCTATACTGTATTTTTTATCATTATTTTAGGGTGTAGTTCTACTTATTAAAAAAAAAAGTTAACTGTAAAGCAATCTCAGGCAGGTCCTTCAGGAGGTATTCCAGAAGAAGGTATTGTTATAGTAGGAGGTGACAGCTCCATGCATGTCATCTTCCAGTGGGGCAAGATGTGACAGTGGGAAGCAGTGATACTGATGCTTATCCTGTGCAGGCCTAGGTTAATGTGTGTGTCTGTGTCTTAATTTTTGACAAAAAAAAATTTAAAAAGCAAAAAAAAAATTTTTTTTTAATTTAAAAATATAAAAAGTTTATGGAATAATAATATAAAGAAAATATTTTCGTACAATTGTACAATGTGTTTGTATTTTAAGCTAAGTGATTACAAAATACTCCAAAAGTTAAAAAATTTTAAAGTTTATAAAATCGAAAAGTTACAGTAAGCTAAGGTTAATTTATTATTGAAGATAACTTTTATTATATAAATTTAGTGTAGCCTAAGTGTGCAGTGTTTATAAAGTCTACAGTAGTGTATAGTAATGTCCTAGGCCTTCCCATTCACCCACCACTCACTCATCTACTCACACAGAGCAATTTCCAGTCCTGCAAGCTCTATTCATGGTAAATGCCCTATGCAAGTGTACCATTTAAAAATCTTTCCTATTTTATTTTATTTTTCATCTGAATGAAGATGCCAATAAAGGACTTTTACTGCAGGTTTGTTGCATTTAAATGACACAATGTAAGGGGTAAAAAGTGTACAACACATAAAACCCCAGCATCAAACAAACAAGCAAAACAAAACACCAGCATCACTCATTTCCTCTAAATTCACAGTACAAAAGCAAATTATGGAAATGATGCGAGAGGGAACCAACAATGGCATATTTTCTTCTTCCTTAAAGAAAATCATAGCTGTCATTAATATTTATTCCCCTGTGAAGTACATTGTTCTAACTTCCATTCCAAGGGGAAGTTCTGTCCTTGAGGACACCCAAAATTATGCTATTACACGGCCGCATCAGCAGCATCCTGGGCACTGGGAGAAAAAGCCAAGCAGCTGGTTCTCTGTACAAAGTTGTTGCTCCATAGATAATGTAACGATAGGATCATTTCACCATTACCAAGTCTCCTGCAAGGGTCCCTACATACCTTGACCAGTGAGGTCCTGAGGTCAGCAGAGTCACAGCTGAGCAGGCCACGGGTACTTCTAAGTAGGAAGGCATAACAGTGTGAGAGAAGTCCACTCAGGTCTGCTGATTAAGCTATCAATAAAGGCTAAGAACATTCAGACTTATTAACTCCTTGAATGAGACCCCTCATTCTCTGTGGTTCTCTCAATTCAAGGTAGCAATCTGTCATCTCTGAAGTTGCTCCTGAAAATAGAGGGAAGATGATGGCCAGGCATGGTGGCTCATGCCTGTAATCCCAGCACTTTGGGAGGCCGAAGTGGGTGGATCACTTGAGGTCAGGAGCTCGAGACCAGCCTGGCCGACATGGCGAAACCCCATCTCTACTAAAAATATAAAAATTAGCCCAGTGTGGTGGCTTGCCTCTGTAATCCCAACTACTTGGGAGGCTGAGACACGAGAATTGCTTGAACCTGGGAGGCAGAGGTTGCAGTAAGCCAAGATCATGCCGCTGCACTCCAGCCTGAGTGACACAGCGAGATCATGATCCACAACAAAGCTAAGGGAATGTGTATAAAGCATAAGGCAGCAGCTCTCTACCTCTGGTGGGCATCAGAAATACCTGTGTATGTTTCTAAACATATGAGGGCTTGGACCTCACTCCCTACCTCCAAAGGTGGAGCTCCAGGGAGATAGGTCTTGCTAAAGTTCAGTTGGCAATTCTGATGTCTGCCACAGAGAACTAACTATTGGTACAATGTTTCTGCCAGGCCTATGCACAATCTTTATTTGGTGTAACTGGAGATGATTTATCAATGGTGCATTTTACAAGATCACCACGTTAAGAAATCCTTCTTTTGTCTACCCTGGCTGCAGATTACCCACAAAGAGGCACACATAAAATGTCAATTCACTTCATAACCAAAGTTAGAATTTTATTTTTTTTATTATTATACTTTAAGTTATAGGGTACATGTGCACAATGTGCAGTTTTGTTACGTATGTATATATCTGCTATGTTGGTGTGTTGCACCCATTAACTCATCATTTACATTAGGTATATCTCCTAATGCTATTCCTCCCTGCTAACCCTACCCCACGACAGGCCCTGGTGTGTGATGTTCCCCACCCTGTGTCCAAGTGTTCTCATTGTTCAGTTCCCACCTATGAGTGAGAACATGCGGTATTTGGTTTTCTGTCCTTGCAATAGTTGCTCACAATGATGGTTTCCAGCTTCACCCATGTCCCTACAAAGGACATGAGCTCATCCTTTTTTATGGCTGCATAGTATTCCATGGTGTATATGTGCCACATTTTCTTAATCCAGTCTATCACTGATGGACATTTGGGTTGGTTCCAGGTCTTTGCTATTGTGAATAGTGCCGCAGTAAACATACATGCAATAAACATGTGTCTTTATAGCAGCATGATTTATAATCCTTTGGGTGTATACCCAGTAATGGGATGGCTGGGTCAAATGGTATTTCTAGTTCTACATCCTTGAGGAATTGCCACACTGTCTTCCAAAATGGTTGAACTAGTTTACGGTCCCACCAACAGTGTGAAAGCATTCCTATTTCTCCACATCCTCTCCAGCACCTGTTGTTTCCTGACTTTTTAATGATCGCCATTCTAACTGGTGTGAGATGGTATCTCATTGTGGTTTTGATTTGCATTTCTCTGATGGCCAGTGATGATGAGCATTTTTTCATGTGTTTTTTGGCTGCATAAATTATCTTGGGCAGTATGGCCATTTTCACGATATTGATTCTTCCAATCCATGAGCATGGAATGTTCTTCCATTTGTTTGTGTCCTCTTTTATTTCATTGAGCAGTGGTTTGTAGTTCTCCTTGAAGAGGTCCTTCACATCCCTTGTAAGTTGGATTCCTAGGTATTTTATTCTCTTTGAAGCAATTGTGAATGGGAGTTCACTCATGATTTGGCTCTCTCTTTGTCTTTTATTGGTGTAGAGGAATGCTTGTGATTTTTGCACATTGATTTTGTATCCTGAGACTTCGCTGAAGTTACTTATCAGCTTAAGGAGATTTTGGACTGAGACGATGGAGTTTTCTAAATATACAATCATGACATCTGCAAATAGGGACAATTTGACTTCTTTTCCTAACTGAATATCCTGTATTTCTTTATCCTGCTTGATTGCCCTGGCCAGAACTTCCAATACTATGTTGAATAGGAGTGGTGAGAGAGGACATCCCTGTCTTGTGCCAGTTTTCAAAGGGAATGCTTCCAGTTTTTGCCCATTCAGTATGATATTGGCTGTGGGTTCATCATAAATAGCTCTTATTATTTTGAGATACGTCCCATCAATACCTAGTTTATTCAGAGTTTTTAGCATGAAGGGCTGTTGAATTTTGTCGAAGGCCTTTTCTGCATCTGTTGAGATAATCGTGTGGTTTTTGTCTTTGGTTCTGTTTATATGCTGGATTACATTTATTGATTTGTGTATGTTGAACCAGCCTTGCATCCCAGGGATGAAGCCAACTTGATCGTGGTGGATAAACTTTTTGATCTGCTGCTGGATTTGGTTTGCCAGAATTTTTGCATCAATGTTCATCAGGGATATTGGTCTAAAATTCTCTTTTTTTGTTGTGTCTCTGCCAGGCTTTGGTATCAGGATGATGCTGGCCTCATCAAATGAATTAGGGAGGATTCCCTCTTTTTCTATTGATTGGAATAGTTTCAGAAGGAATGGTACTAGCTCCTGTTTGTACCTCTGGTAGAAATCGGCTGTGAATCCATCTGGTCCTGGACTTTTTTTGGTTGGTAGGCTATTAATTATTGCCTCAATTTCAGAACCTGTTATTGGTCTGTTCAGGGATTCAATGTCTTCCTGGTTTAGTCTTGGGAGGACGTATGTGTCCAGGAATTTATCTATTTCTTCTAGATTTCTAGTTTATTTGCGTAGAGGTGTTTATAGTATTCTCTGATGGTAGTTTGTATTTCTCTGGGATTGGTGGTGATATCCCCTTTATCATTTTTTATTGCATCTATTTGATTCTTCTCTCTTTTGTTCTTTATTAGTCTTGCTAGCAGTCTATCAATTTTGTTGATCTTTTCAAAAAATCCAGTTCCTGGATTCATTGATGTTTTGAAGGGTTTCTTGTGTCTCTATCTCCTTCAGTTCTGCTCTGATCTTAGTTATTTCTTGTCTTCTACCAGCTTTTGAATGTGTTTGCTCTTGCTTCTGTAGTTCTCTTAATTGTGATGTTAGGGTGTCAATTTTAGATCTTTCCTGCTTTCTCTTGTGGGCATTTAGTGCTATAAATTTCCCTCTACACATTGCTTTAAATGTGTCCCAGAGATTCTGGTATGTTGTGTCTTTGTTCTCATTGGTTTCAAAGAACATCTTTATTTCCGCCTTCATTTCATTATTTACCCAGTAGTCATTCAGGAGCAGGTTGTTCAGTTTCCATGTAGTTGAGCGGTTTTGAGTGAGTTTCTTAATCCTGAGTTCTAATTTGATTGCATTGTGGTCTGAGAGACAGTTTGTTATAATTTCTGTTCTTTTACATTTGCTGAGGAGTGCTTTACTTCCATCTATGTGGTCAATTTTGGAATAGGTGTGGTGTGGTGCTGAAAAGAATGTATATTCTGTTGATTTGGGGTGGAGAGTTCTGTAGATGTCTATTAGGTCCACTTGGTGCAGAGCTGAGTTCAATTCCTAGGTATCCTTGTTAACTTTCTGTCTTGTTGATCTGTCTAATGTTGACAGTGGGGTGTTAAAGTCTCCCATTATTATTGTGTGGGAGTCTAAGTCTCTTTGTAGGTCACTCAGTACTTGCTTTGTGAATCTGGGTGCTCCTGTATTGGGTGCATATATATTTAGGATAGTTAGCTCTTCTTGTTGAATTGATCCCTTTACCATTATGTAATGGCCTTCTTTGTCTCTTTTTCTCTTTGTTGGTTTAAAGTCTGTTTTATCACAGAGTAGGATTGCAACCCCTGCTTTTTTTTGTTTTCCATTTGCTTGGTAGATCTGCCTTCATCCCTTTGTTTTGAGCCTATGTGTGTCTCTGCACATGAGATGGGTCTCCTGAATACAATACACTGATGGGTCTTGACGCTTTATCCAATTTGCCAGTCTGTGTCTTTTAATTGGAGCATTTAGTCCATTTACATTTAAGGTTAATATTGTTATGTGTGAATTTGATCCCGTCATTATGATGTTTGCTGGTTATTTTGCCCGTTAGTTGGTGCAGTTTCTTCCTAGCATCGATGGTCTTTACAATTTGGCATGTTTTTGCAGTGGCTGGTACTGGTTGTTCCTTTCCGTGTTTAGTGCTTCCTTCAGGAGCTCTTGTAAGGCAGGCCTGGTGGTGACAAAATCTGTCAGCATTTGCTTGTCTGTAAAGTATTTTATTTCTCCTTCACTTATGAAGCTTAGTTTGGCTGGATATGAAATTCTGGGTTGTTGAATATTGGCCCCCACTCTCTTCTGGCTTGTAGAGTTTCTGCCGAGAGATCCGTTGTTAGTCTGATGGGATTCCCTTTGTGGGTAACCCAACCTTTCTCTCTGGCTGCCCTTAACATTTTTCCTTCATTTCATCTTTGGTGACTCTGACAATTATGTGTCTTGGAGTTGCTCTTCTCAGGGAGTATCTTTGTGGCATTCTCTGTATTTCCTGAATTTGAATGTTGGCCTGCCTTGCTAGGTTGGGGAAGTTCTCCTGGATAATATCCTGCAGAGTGTTTTCCAACTTGGTTCCATTCTCCCTGTCACTTTCAGGTACACCAATCAGACGTAGATTTGGTCTTTTCACATAGTCCCATATTTCTTGGAGGCTTTGTCCATGTCTTTTTACTTTTTTTTCTCTAAACTTCTCTTCTCACTTCATTTCATTCATTTGATCTTCAATCACTGATACCCTTTCTTCCACTTGATCGAATCGGCTACTGAAGCTTGTGCATGTGTCATGTAGTTCTTGTGCCATGGTTTTCAGCTCCATCAGGTCATTTCAGGTCTTCTCTATGCTGTTTATTCTAGTTAGCCATTCATCTAATCTTTTATCAAGGTTGTTAGCTTCTTTGTGATGGGTTCAAACATCCTCCTTTATCTTGGAGAAGTTTGTTATTACTGATCGTCTGAAGCCTTCTTCTCTCAACTCGTCAAAGTCATTCTCTGTCCAGCTTTGTTCCATTGCTGGTGAGGAGCTGTGTTCCCTTGGAAGAGAAGAGGTGCTCTGATTTTTGGAATTTTCAGCTTTTCTGCTCTGGTTTCTCCCCATCTTTGTGGTTTTATCTACCTTTGGTCTTTGATGATTGTGACATACAGATGGGATTTTGGTGTGGATGTCCTTTCTGTTTGTTAGTTTTCCTTCTAACAGTCAGGACCCTCAGCTGCAGGTCTGTTGGAGTTTGCTGGAGGTCCACTCTAGACCCTGTTTGCCTGAGTATCACCAGCGGAGGCTGCAGAACAGAAAATATTGCAGAACAGCAAATGTTGCTGCCTGATCCTTCCTTTGGATGCTTCGTCTCAGAGGGGCACCCGGCTGTATGAGGTGTCAGTCGGATCCTACTGGAGGTGTCTCCCAGTTAGGCTACTCGGGGGTCAGGGACCCACTTGAGGAGGCAGTCTGTCCGTTCTCAGATCTCAAACTCCATGCCGGGAGAACCACTACTCTCTTCAAAGCTGTCAGACAGGGATGTTTAAGTCTGCAAAAGTTTCTGCTGCCTTTGTTCAGCTATGCCCTGCCCTCAGAGGTGGAATCTACAGAGGCAGGCAGGCCTCCTTGAGCTGTGGTGGGCTCCGTCCTGTTCGAGCTTCCTGGCGGCCACTTTGTTTACCTACTCAAGCCTCAGCAATGGAGGACGCCCCTCCCCTAGCCTTGCTGCTGTCTTGCAGTTCAATCTCAGACTGCTGTGCTAGCAGTGAGCGAGGCTCCATGGGCGTGGGACCTGCCAAGCCAGGTACGGGATATAATCTCCTGGTGCACCGTTTGCTAAGACCATTGGAAAAGCACAGTATTAGGGTGGGAGTGTCTCAATTTTCCAGGTACAGTCTGTCACAACTTCCCTTGGCTAGGAAAGGGAATTCCCAGATCCCTTGCACTTCCCGGGTGAGGCGATGCCCCGCCCTGCTTCCGCTCACACTTCATGGGCTGCACCCACTGTCCAACAAGCCCCAGTGAGATGAACCCAGTACCTCAGTTGGAAATGCAGAAATCATCCATCTTCTGCATTGCTCACGCTTGGAGCTGTAGACTGGAGCTGTTCCTATTCAGCAATCTTAGAACCCAAAAAGCCCAGAGTTAGAATTTTAAATGAACTTTTGCGCTTCACACTTTGCTTCTTTTATGTGGTAGACCTAGGATGTTCTTTTTGACTTCTTATTTGTAGTTAGTTTCACAGAAAATTCTTCTGGATTTAGTGTGCTGCTAATCTCTTGTTTGAAAGATTAAAAAGATTTATATATACATATATTTTTAAAAAAGACCAAACAGGTTGGGTGTGGTGGCTCATGCCCTGTAATCCCAGCACTTTGGGAGGCTCACGTGGGCAGATCATCTGAGGTCAGGAGTTCAAGACCAGCCTGGCCAACCTGGTGAAACCCCATCTCTACTAAAAATACAAAAAATTAGCCAGGCATGGTGGTGCATGCCTGTAGTCCCAGCTACTCAGGAAGCTGAGGCATGAGAATTGCTTGAACCTGGGAGGCGGAGGTTGCAGTGAGACAAGGTCATGCCACTGTACTCCAGCTTGGGTAACAGAGTGAAACTCTGTCTGAAAAAAAAAAAAATACAGAAAACATTCATCTTAGCACCTTCTGATAAAAATTTTTAAAAAAAGACGCTGATTTTACCTTACCACTGATTTTTACTAAACTTTTAAGCTTTAGTTTAAGCAACAGGATCACAATTTATTTCCCATCACTAACACCCAGATTGTTTCAAATACTCAAAAGGGAAGTGCAAAACATCATGCTGTAGGATTTCTATGCCTTAGCTTCTGCAATATTTCTCTACAAAGGGGCCAACATGACCCTAGCATTCCTGTCTTCACTCTCAGAGCTGTACAAATTATGCTTTTCGATGTATTCTTGAAAAAGATCTGGTAGCAAGTAGTGAACGCTCTGGCCCCTTCTAAGGGCTCTCTGGATTTTTGTGGATGAGATATCATTAGTGATCCATTCATTCACCACATGAATGTTGCTGTGGTGTTTCCATAGCACATTAGAGTCATAGATGAATTTGTGAGCATCATTTGCAGCCCAAGTAATACATAAGAGCCCATAGTCAGCCACAGTTTGGGTGATGTTTTCACCTTTCCACAAATTAGGAACACCAAAGCACTCCAGTAAATCTGCCCCACACAGCAGCTTGACCTTTGATGCACCTTTTGGTTTTGGCTCTAGGGATTTTTTTTTTAGTAGAATCTTGTCTTTGTTCAGTTCTCTTCCTCTTCCATCCAGGCCTTTCTAGTGTAGGTGAGTTCTGCTTGTGATCACAGTTAGTAGCCTCCAGTTTCTCCTGATGGTGTGTTAGCAAAGTAATAGTCTCTTTCCACTTTTTCTGAAGACTTTCCCATGTATCAACTTCCACTCACTTGGAATTCTTGGTGGCAAGTTCGGCTATGATGACCTGGTGATGGGCAGGAATGAGTCCTTTCTTCTTATAAGCATCACCAACAGGAAAGATCATGTGTTTGACAACTCTATATCTTCCTGTTCCATTCATATAGTCCTTGGCCAGCTCAAACAACCTTAGGTGCCTGTTGGTGATAGGATTGAAGGAGCTACAGCAAGGAGAACCACTTCAGTCTCTGAATTTTCCATAGTAAGAACTTGAAGTTGTTGATGTAAATGGAAAACTGTGATGCCTCCCTTGTTGTTTTTACAAAGGAAATTCTTTGAATCTGAAATGTCTTGCAAAGTAGACTATTGGAACCATTCCGATTAGTGTGTCAAAAGTCTTCTCTAAGGTGGGCTAGAAAAATGGTTTTATATCCAAACTGTAACTTGCGCCCTCACTGTCCACTGGCCTGAGTGCTCCTGGAGACAACCCATGTCCAGGACGCCAGTGAGGTGAACACCTTTCCTATTGTATTTTTACTGGACCTTTTCCAGTATTCAGTACAGTAACATGCTGTATAGATTTATAGCCTAGGAACAATAGGCTACAGCATATAGCCTAAGTGTGTAGTAGGCTATACCATCTGGGTTTGTGTAAGTACAGTCTATGATGTTCACACAACAATGAAATCACCTAACAATGCATTTCTCAGAATGTATCCATATCATTAGCAACATATGACCGGGTAACAAAAAGTAATTACTTTAACATTGTCATCAACCAAGCTTTACCACATAAGAGAAAAGCAATAGAAATACAAATTTAAACAATTTAATTAAAACTACTTTAACCTTAATTTTGAATTGAGAATATCAGTATGAACTCATGATGTACTTTGTCTAAAAATACATATTCCCTGGCTCTTCTGAAGAAAAAGTTTTAAAAACAATTACCAATGCAATAGCAATGAACATCTTTCACACTCAGATTGTGACCTCTAAATAGCATTCCCCATTTAAAAAAACTAAAACGTTTTGGAGAAATGACTGATTCTACATCTGGAGCAAGACATGCATAAGATGACTATGGGTCATTCTTACTTTCCCTCCCTCCCTTCCTTGCTTCCTTCCTTCCTTCCTTTCTTCCTTTCCTTCCTTCCTCCGCTCTTTCCTTTTCTCTTTCTCTCTCTCTTTCTCTGTGTTCTTTTCTTTAAGGTCTCACTCTGTCACCCAGACTAGAGTGAAGTGGCATGATCACAGCTCATTGTAACCTTGAACACCTGGGCTTAAGTGATCCTCCTGCCTCAGCCTCCTGAGTAGCTAGGGCTACAGGCGTGTGCCACCATGCCCAGCTAATTTTTTACTTTATTTTTGTAGAGGCGGAGTCTTACTGTGTTAGCCAGGCTGGCATTAAACTCCTGGCCTCAAACAGTCCTAAAGTGCTAGGATAACAGGTGTGAGCCACTGCACTTGGCGCCATCTACATTTTCCTAATGTCAGTTATGCTAATTGTATAAAATGATCTCACTACCTGTTATTCTATTAGCAAAATTGCTTTGCAGACACCTAAATAGTACTTTCATTAAAAAGGAAATGCACAGAAATTGTAGAACATTATTACCTGTTAAATTTTACCTCTACTTTTTTACAGTAGTGAGAACCCAGCCCTGAATAAATAAATTTTCTAACTGTGTTTGTTTTCCCACATATGATTTTTGAAGCCCATAGCTATTTCAGTCTTTCAAACTCCTATGCTTTGAAATTCCTATAGTTGACCAGGAGTGGTGGCTGACACCTATAATCCCACCAGTTTGGGAGGCTGAGGCAAGAAGATTGCTTGAGTCCAGGAGTTTGAGACTATAGTGAGCTATGATCACGTCACTATACTCTAGCTTGGGTGACAGAGCAAGACCCTGTCTCAACAAAAAGAAAAAAAGAGAAAAGAAATGCCTGTTGTTGCAGAAAAGCCTCGAATTTTTTCTTTTCTTCTCCTTTTTTTTTTTTTTTTTTTTTGAGATGGAGTCTCACTCTCTTGCCCAGGCTGGAGTGCAGTGGTGCGATCTCGGCTCACTGCAACCTCTGTCTCCTGGATTCAAGCAATTTTCCTGCCTCAGCCTCCCAAGTAGCTGGGAATACAGGCATGTGCCACCACACCTAGCTCATTTTTGTATTTTTAGTAGAGATGAAGTTTCGCCATGTTGGCCAGGCTGGTCTCAAACTCCTGACCTCAGGTGATTCACCCTCTTTGACTTCCCAAAGTGCTGGGATTACAGGTGTGAGTCACTGCGCCTGGGTGCCTCCAATTTTTTCTGAATGAGATAAAAACGTTGTAGACCTGTGTCTTTTCTAAACTCTTCCCAAATTATAAATGGCAAGATACAGTTGACTTACTAGGTCACTCTCAACATTAGAATAAAGGGGGAAATGTAGTATAGAGTCCCAGAAAATCTGTAACAATAGAGTTTCCTGACAGTATAACAAACATTTCAAATCAAATATAAAATGTCCCTCTTTCCCAGTAAATAGAGCTACCCTGGCCCTTTCAGTAACTCTTTGGGATAATCAACTATTAGTGCATACTTAGCCACAAGAACTCGTGGACAAGATACATCTTACTATCTTCCTTTACCTGGAGATCCACCCATTTCTTCTCACTTAGTCTAGATATCACAGGATTAGTTAGACCTCAAGCTTCCCAGATACTGTAGCTCCTAAAATTATAGAGAGAACAGCAGAAAACTTCTTTCCCCACATTCTCTATTACTTTCTCAACCCACAAAAGGAGAAAAATATACAATCTAACCCACAAATGGAGGAAAATATACAATCTGGAATAAATCTTAAGGTGTCATCTCCTTTGTCTGTCATCTTTAATGTGCTAGAATATCTGGCATTAGGCCCAGAAAATTGAGATTTACTTCCACTTCTCAAAGATCTCTATTTCCTCTACAAAGGAATACTCATCAGTAAGGCAATGCTCTTGGCTCAATTTAGCTTAAAGGGACTTAGACTGGAGCCCTCCATTACAGAAGCTTTCTCCCCTGTGTATTTGTATTAATGTATTCTTTCCTCTTGACAATCTTCTCCCAGAAAATTTCTCCCTCCCTAATAGTGTTTTTGGTGGACAGACATTAACCATCATCAGTCTTCAATCCTACTTTGCAGTATTTAGATATTCTGATGTCCCTTAGTTCACTAGATTCATCGGTTTGTTCAGTAAATATTTACTGAGCATCTACCAGGCCCTGGTATAGGTCAATAAGCAACACAGAACTCTTCCTTTCATGGAACTAACATCCCAGTGGCTCTTGCAAATATCCTGTGAGATGGCTTCAAACAGGCAGCATGGTAGTGTGTCCTAAACAAGCGGAAAAAAGAATCAGACTAGTACATGCAGGTTTCCTCTTCACGAAGCTCTCATTCCTGTCCTCTGGGTCCATTTTTCTCATAGGTAGGTTGTGCACTCTGCTTCTTACATTCTCAAAAACAGTGCACTGAACTGCAGGTGTTGTGGGAATACATTTAAGAAATGTTAAAAAAGACCATAGGGGAAATGACTCACTTTGTAGAAATTCACATCAATAGTGTATCTGGAATGATCCACTTTGCTAGCTTGGAATACAAACACAATTGCCTCATATTTATTTATTCAATTTATTACCTGCCCTTAGTGATAGGAAGTCCACTTATTTCCTAAGGCCTCCCTCAGCCAGCCTGCTTGGGTAAGAACACTAGGAACTTACTCAGTTCAAAGGCGATCAGTCCTGCAAAAAGCCAGGACGAGAGAGAAATCTGGGAAGTATGAACAATCCACTAACACCTTGGCTTGGTCTCTGTCACATGAGGTTAAAGATGGGTCCCGCACATTCTGATATCAGGACATTTGTTTGTGGCTGCTGTGATGCTCCTACTGATTCAGCTCTCTTCTTCCCATCACCCTGCCAGTGTCCCTCTGGAGCTCTGAGACCACATCTATTTTAGGTCACATTCACACACTCATCAATTTTTTCCCTTCAATGCTTAGCACCAAGCCAGGTGGGCCAAAGCTAGAAAAGAACTCAATCCCAGCCTCTTGTCATGCTGGAGCACATAAGTCTTCTCCATAAATCCTTCTTTGGTCTGTCTTAGCATCTCTTCCTGCCACTGGACTACCTCGGCATACCCCAACAATGAATCTCCCTGTTGCATGCAAAGGAGAAAGCCAGATGTTGTTAAGCAACAGACACATGCTCATTTTGGACACCTACACCTACACACAAACTCTCACAGGCAAAGATTGTCTGTTTGCCTTACATTTTCACAACTTGGAGGGTCTTTGAAATGATTTTCCTACAGTGAAGCAATATGCTTCAGGGAACTGTTTTTGGCTGACAGTAAAAGAAATGGAAGCTCATGACAACACTAACTTTTCATAGAGAAAGGTCTGCTTCTAGCACTATGGATGTTGAGTGAGACCAAGTCATCATTACGTAGGGCTTCATTATTCATGAGGGGAGGGCTACATTGTTTGCTTCTCTCCCATCACATGGTATTTTTACTAAACATTAGCATTTTAATAACTGAGGAAAATATGAATGAGAATATGTTAGTGTGCCATTTGTGGTGGCTTTTAGAAAACATGATGTTGGACAAATGAAAGTCAATGATGATGGTGACATAAGATTTCCTGGGCCACCTATTTGAAGGCTCCTTTCTCCTTCAAACACCTCATTGTTCTGCTACTTTCAATAACACTACATGAACTGCAGAATTAAATCAGAAATCTTTAGCCAGGCATTCAAAGTCTTCTGCAATCTAGGACTTACCCACCTGTTCGTCTTAATTTATCATTATCTTTCTAACTAAATTCTGAGCTTTGGCTGTATTTGTTTACTCACTAGTTCATGAACTTACCATGCACAGTTTTAAAGATAAACTTTAATTTGGAATAATTTTTAGATGTACAGAAAAAAATATGAAGTTGGTACAGAGAGTTCCTATATGTCTACTCTTTATCCAGTTTCCCCTAAAGTTAACATCTTACATTATCATGCTACATTTGTGAAAGTTAAGAAAACAATGTCGGTATATTACTTTTGACTAAACATCAGTTTTCATACTACAGTCCTTTCGCTGTTTCAGGATCCTATCTAGGATAACAAATTATATTTAGACCACGCATCTTTTTTGTTTCTAGTCTCTGTTCATTGCATTTTCCCCCCAGGATGCCCTTTTCTCTCCTTTCATATTCTCCAAGGTCCATTCATGTCTTATCTCTGCAAGCTTTTCCTAATTGCTCCTGTCCTCTGTGATTTTTCTCGTCTTCAAATTGCAGAACCACTTTTGTCTGGATCACATATTTGGAACACAGCATACACTGACCTGCATTATTATATATCTTTTTATATTTTGTTTGCCAATTAGCTTTTAAGGAAAGGATAATATCTCATTCATTTTCTCATCTCTGGCACATGTGCAGGCATTGTGTTCTGTAAATATTAATGGAATTATTAGAGGCCTAAGGCTACTACATTTATATTTTATAATATACTAAATATGAATATAACTTGACAAATCATAATAACTAATATTTATTGAGTGCCTCCCATATGACAGGCACCTTAAAGGCTTTAGATGTAGTTTTAGAGTTAATTCTTTTAATTTGTCCCTCGATGTTTTTACTCTGTACACTGGGCTGGGATTTAGAAGCTATTTTGCATCATGTCCTGTCTCTTTACTCTCTGAGGGCAGGAACTTTATATCTTCCTGCCCAGAACTAAAAGGTGAATGTTATAGAACACAGTGCCAACTATTTATTTTTCTTCCTTATGACAATATATTCTCTTATAATTTTTTAAATTATAAAAGAAGTTTATGCACATGAAGAAATTCTGAAGTGTACATATATAGTAAGAGATACCTTCTTCAATTTTTCCTTCCAATTCATCAAGATCAAATTGTTTAAAATTTTGAACTTGACACAGGTTGTTAAAAATTTGAATATTTTAAATTATAAATAAACACATATTCATGATCTTAAAAATTTCAAACTCCAATTATACAGAAGAATAAATACAAAAAAGAAATCTCCATGAGTCCTACTTTTCAGAGGAAACCACTTGTGAAAGTTTACTATTATAAAACCTCCAGGAGTTTTCTATGCATATAAGCTTTTCATGTTTTATTTTTGGCAGGAATGGAATCCGGGCATATCTGATCCTGATATTTCCAAGGTGTTCCTAGACACCTTCTGCTGCCTTGGACATCATTACCTGTTATTTCCGCGCCCCCCCCCCCCCCCCCCCAACGCCCATTCTAGCCAATCTAGTTTTCCTGGGCACAAACCAATCCTTCCCCTTTTTCAGGCTTCCTCTTTCTGACTCCAAACAGTAAGTTTTTCTAGGATTTTTTTTTTCTTTCCCTGCATGTTTTCATCCTCAGAGTTTATCCATTCTCTGGGTTGGTTACCATTTTCTCTTGCTCTATTTTCTTATGGTCAAACTTCTTTTTGGAGTTTCCCAATCCACACTCATTCCTTAGCCCTCTGAAATCTGACTCACATACACTACTCCAATAAAATTATATTTGAAGATTCCTGAGACATCACGGAAATTATTTTAGCTCCTACCCCTATGGGCTTCTGGGTACCATTAACTCTTCTTTCTCCTTCTAGAAGCACTCTTCCTGGCTTCAGAGGCATTGCAAAATCGTAGTGCTAATTGTACCTTTAGGATTGGCACCTCCCCTACTGACCTCTATGGGGTCTCTTGTTCCCCTTCTCTTTCTCCAGCCCACACCCCCTCCATCTCTTTGGGGAATTTTTCAGCTCCCCAAACCTCAAACACCATCTAACTCCATCTGTCCAACATAAACTAACCTTTCTTAAATTCTAGTCCCACACTTCCAACTCTCTGCAGGTCATAGTCACAATTTTACTTCAGCATTAACAGCTCAAAACTTAAAACTCATCCGCTTGATTTTTTATTTTTGTTAATGGTACTGCCACTCTTTTGGTCACCTAGGTAACATATTGGTCATTTTTCTCTCCAGTGACCTTTGAATCTCATCACTGTTTCTCCCATAAGTTCCACTGCTACATGTTTTGCCTCCTTCTCATATCTAGTCCATTATCTCCCCAATTCTCAATTGCACTTTTATAGCCTTCTGATTGTTTTACCTTCATTTCCTTCTTCATTGCCTATCCATCCATAAATTGCCAGGCAAGTCTTCACTAAAGCCCGACTCTGATTATGACACTTCCCTGCTCAAAACTCTTCAGTAACGAGCCTGAGAGTGAAAGATAAATTCTTCAGCATGATTTTGGAAACCCGGTATAATAGCCATTCTCAAACTTCTTTGTTTTAGGATCCTTTTTTTTTTTTGAGATGGAGTCTCGCTGTGTTGCCCAGGCTGGAGTGCAGTGGCACGATCTCAGCTCACTGGAACCTCCGCCTCCTGGGTTCAAGCGATTCTCCTGCCTCAGCCTCCCGAGTAACTGGGACTACAAGTACGCACAACCACACTCAACTAGTTTTTTGTATTTTTAGTAGAGACGGGGTTTTGCCATATTGGTCAGGCTGGTCTTGAACTCCTGACCTCGTGATCCGTCTGCCTTGGCCTCCCAAAGAGCTGGGATTACAAGCGTGAGCCACCGCGACTGGCCAGGATCCCTTTTCACTGTTAAAAATTATCAAGGACTCCAAGAAACTTTTATTTATATGGACTATACCTATCACTATTTATTAAATTAGGAGACTGAGGGAACTTTTAACATATTTATTTCTCATATATTTTAAAATAGCAATAACAAACCCATTACATGTTAACATATTTTATGAAAAAATTATTTTTCCAAAACAAAAAAAATAGAAGAATGGCATTGTTTTTCATTTTTGCAAATTTTCTAATGCCTGACAATAGAAGATGGCAATAGTCTCATAGCTGCTTGTACGTTCAATCTGCTATGATATCACACATCATGTAGACTCTGGAACATTCCACTGTGTATTTACAAAAGAGGGAGCATTAAAAGGCAAATAGCATCTTAGCATTATTGAGAAAATAGTTTTGCCCTCACAGTCCTGTGATAATGTCCCAGGTCCCCAGAGCCACTGCTAGGTACTTTTGTCTCATTGATCCTCAACCAAACCTCATAGCCAGTTAAAACCAGGCTATCCATCCTCTAAGCAAATTCACATTTTCATGGCTATTCTCTGAAATGAGTAATGTGATCAGAGAATTTTACTTGTATATTGGGGGTACCCTATGGTTGGCCCAGGGTAAAAAAAAAAAAAATAGGAGAGAGAGAGAGAGGGATTTTTTTGTCCTCTGATTGGCTGGAAACCCTATAGTGCTTCTAGAGTACTAGAGTCTAGAGTACTGGAAATCAAGGAACTTAAGTGCTAGTGACAATTCTGTAACTAACATTTTATGTGACCTTGGACAAGTCATTTAATATCTTGATTCTCAGTTCTTGAATGTATAAGCCAAGGAAATTAGATGAGATGATCTCTCGGAGAAGTTCAAGATCTAAAATCATCAGTGAGTTGGAATTAACTCACCCGAAGTCTGTTCTGAAGAAGTAGGAGATACCTGCCACTTCCCATCTTTTGTATACCTCTCTCTCTCTCGCTCTCTTTTTCTGAGTTAATCACAAACTACTGTCTTTTTGTGGGTACATAAAAAATCAGATTCCTTGTTTTTGTAGTTTCTAATGACTGTCTTGAATGGCTTCAGGAAATAATCTGGCTGGGTGCCGGTGGCTCACGCCTATAATCCCAGCACTTTTGGAGGCTGAAGTGGGAGGATCCCTTGAAGTCAGGAGTTCAAGACCAGATTGGTCAGCATGGTGAAACCCTATCTCTACTAAAAAATACGAAAATTAGCTGGGCGTGGTGGCACATGCCAATAATCCCTGCTACTCGGGAGGCTGAGTCACGAAAATCTTTTGAACCCAGGAGGTGGAGGATGCAGTGAGCCGAGATCGTGCCACTGCATTCCAGCCTGGATGACAGAGTGAGACTCTGTCTCAAAAAAAGAAAAAGAAAGAAATAATCCACTAGATCTTTGTTAATTAAATTTGGAATAAAATTTCAAGAAATTTCATGAAATTTAGAATATTTTCAGCCATTATTTTTTCCATTCTTTTTATGCCCCCCGCTTCCCTCCTCTTTTCTCTTTCAGAAACTCCAGTTACACATTGTCACATACTCAATGATGCACTGTGCTTTTTGGTTTGTTTTGTCTTTTTTCCTCTCTGTGTGTTTCATTTTGAATGGTTTCCACTGCTATGTCTTCAAATTTACTAGCCTTTTCTTCCACAGCATCAGCTCTTGTTAATTACTGTATTTTTCATCTCTAGCAATTTTATTTGGGTCTAAAAAGACCCAAATTTTTAAAATTAAATTTTTTTTTAAATTTCTTTCATATCTCTTCTTAAAATGCTCATGTTGCCCTCTATCTTCCAGAGCATGTGAAGTATACTTTTTATAGCTGCTTTAACATCCTTGTCCACTAATTCTGTAATCCATTTCATTGGGTCTGTTTTTATTGACTGATTTTTCTCCTCATTATAGATCATATTCTTCTTCTTTGCATGCCTGGCAATTTTGATTGGATGTCAGACATTGTGAATTTCATATTGTTCCTTGCAGGACATTTCTTCATTGCTTTACATATTCTTGAACTTTGTTCTGAGATGCAGTTAAGCTACTTGAAAACAATTTGATATTTTCAATGCTTGCTTTTAAGGTCATTCAGGTGGGAACAGAGCAGCGTTTAGTCTAGAGCTAATTTGGCCCCATTAGTGAAGCAATGCCTTTCTGAGTACTCTATGGCCCTGTCTAATACAGGTTTTTCCATTCTGACTGCAATAGCCCTTTGTGTGATCTCTGGGGATTATTGCACCTGCTCCTTTCTGGTGATTCTTTCTCTGGTTCTCAGCATATACATTCACTGATCAATAATTAACTGAAGATTCAAGGGGAACCTTCTGCAGGTATCTGGAGCTCTGTCTGTGCAGATCTCTTCTCTGTGAAACAATTTTTCTGCTACTCAGTCCTACAAATTCTAGCTGCCTTGGCTTCCCTGAATCCATAGCCCTGTCCCCTTAACAATGGGAGCCTGCAGGCTGTTTGAGATCCTCATTCCTGCACTGCAGACTGGAAGCTCCCTCTAAGTATTAATTTGGGAGCAATTCTAGGGCTTACTTTGTAAATTTCCATTTTCTCAGGGATTGCTTTCTTGAGCTGCCTGATGTCCAATGTACAAAAACTGTTTTTTCATGTCTTACATCCACTTGTAGTAAGTTTTAAAGTTTGGTCTCTCACATGTAATCTTTGATCAATCTGGAATAGATTTTTATTTCTACTTGTCTATTGTAGGTTTATAGACAGAATCATGTCCCCCCAAAATTTTAATATTGAAGCTTTAACCTTCAATGTGATTATATTTGGAGATAGGGCCTTTAAGGAGGTAATTAATGTTAAAGGAGGTTATTAGGGTGGGACCCTGATCCAACAGGACTTTGGCCTTTTAAGAAGAGAGAGATGCACACACACCAGGGATGCATGTGTATAGAGAAAAGGCCAGGTGAAAACACAGGAAAAAAAGCAGCCATCCGTGAGTCAAGGAGGGAGGCTTTACGAGAACCCCGCCCTGCTAGCACCTTGATCTTGGACTTCCAGCCTCCAGAACTGTGAGAAAATAAACATCTGTTGTTTAAGCTGCTCAGTCTGTGGTATTTTGTTATGACAGCCCTAGAGGACTAATGAAGTGGGAATCCAACTTCGTTTAGAGATAGCCAGTTATCTTCACATGTTTATTGACCATCTCATCTTTTCTTTTCCCCACAGAACTACAATACAACCTCTACCATACATCAGATGTCTGAGTCCTGAGCTCTGTTCTGTTCCACTGGTCAATTTGTCTTCCTGCACCAAGACAATACTATCTTAATTATTAGAGTTTTAAAATATTTTAATATTTAGTAGACAAGTACATCTACCTTATTCCTCTTCATCAGAAGTGTTGTAATTCTTGGCACATTGCTATTCTGAACACCTTTTAAAATTAGTTTGCGAATTTCCACCAAAAACACTGTTGGGATTTGAATTGTGCTGTATTAAAACTGTGGATCAGTTTGGGGAGTACTGACATATTTAGAGCATTGAGTCTTCCTTTTCATGAACATGGAATCTTTCTCTATCAAGTTCTTCTTTTACATCTTTCAGTAATGTTTTATAGTTTATCCATAAAGGTCTTGCATATTTTTTGTGAGATTGCTCTGAAGTACATTTTTTTGTTGTTGCAATTGCAAATGGATATTTAGAGGCCGTTTGCTCTTTGTGGCTGGTGTATATAAATGAATTGATTTTTATGAATTCATCTTTTGCCCAACCACTTTGCCAAACTCATAATTCCAATATTTTTTCTACAGATTCTTTTGGGTTTTCTATGTATACATAACATCTATGAAAAATGATAGTTTTTGTTCCTTCCTTTCCAATCTTTGTATCTATTAGTTTTTCTCTTGACTCTTTGTACTGGCTTATGATATTTAATAAAATATTGAGTAAAAGTGAATGTTTTCCTGTTTTTCCTGATTACGTAATTTCATTTTATTTTTTAGAGATGGGGGTCTTGCTATGTTGCACAGGCTGGACTTGAACTACCAGGCTCAAGCCTGGAGGAAGATTCTCTTGCTTCAGCCTCCTTAGTAGATGGGACAACAGCACATATGACAATGCCTGGCTAATATGATATATTATACAAACTTTTGGTAGTTATTCTGTATCAGGGTAAAAAAAATCTTCTGCTTCTAATTTGATGGGTTTTTAAAATAAAAAATGAAATACACGTTCATTAAGTTCTTATTCTACATCTGTTAAAAATTACCACATTTTTCTCCTTTAATGTATTTATATGATAACTGATATTCATGAGTTTGCTAATATTAAACTGCTCTTGCGTTTTTGGGATAAATGCCCAAGTTAGTCATGATGTAGTTCATTTTTCTGTATATGTTAGATTCAGTTTGCTAATATTTTGTTTAGAATTTCTCATCATGTTCTTAAATTAGATTGACCTATAATTTTCTTTTCTTATGCAATGTTTTCGTTTTAAGATCAAAGTTAAACTGCCTCATAAAATGCATTTCCAAATTTTTCCTTTTGACAGTTCTGTATAAGCTTGTATAAGATAATAAGTTCTGTAAGATAATAATTCTAACTGGAATTATTCATTTCAGAAAGTTTGATAAAATTCACGCATATATGTAATAGGCACGTATTTCTTTTTGTGTTGGTTTTGGGATCTATTTTTCTAAGATTTTGTGCATTTTGTCTTTATTTTCAAATTTAAATTGGCATAAGCTTGGTTATAATACTCTTTAATATTACAACCATGGGTACAACAGAGGTTATATCCCTTTTCAATCCTAGTATTGTTCATTTGGGCATGTTCTGTCTCTCTCTCTCTCTCTCTCTCTCTCTCTTTCTCCTTAATCTTAGCAGAGACTGATTTTTTAAATAAACGTTTTTGAAGAGCCACCTTTGGTTTCATTGCTGTTCTATTTGTAATTGTTTTCTAATTTGTTGATTTCTGCTCTTGTCTTTATTCTCTTGTTCTTGCAGGCTTATATTGTTCTGTTTTTAACTTATTAGTTGGACACTTATCACATTACCTTTCAATTGATCATTATTTTCTACAATACCCTCTGAAAGTGCATTTTCACCTCATTCTACAAGTTTTGATATGTCCCAGTTTTGATGTTCAATTTAATTAATTTCTAAATGTTTTAAAATTTAATTTGTACTTTTCTTTGAAGCATTATTTAGTAGCCTATTTTTAATTTCTAAGCATATGCGGGTTTTATTCATCTTTTTGTTATTGATGCTGTCTCATAAATTTTTAGAATTGTCATTCAATTTAGGAAAACCTCAATCCAGATTCTTTTATGCATATGCTATAAAATTTCAGGGTATTTCAAGATTTCTAATGAATGACTAATTTCAAATACTCTTTGAATTGACAACACTCAGTAACTAGCTTGCCATAGCAGACTGATATACCTGTTTAGAAGAATATTATGAACTGTATGTTATCTTGCGTGATATTAGAAGAATATTGTGAAATCAGGAAAGAGTTTATTGTTTTGTTAATGTACTTTTATGCATCATTCTCTTCATTAATTGTTTCCAAACAATCCAAGAACCTATTCATTATTTCAGTTTGAAAAAAATGATCTATATTTCTTAATGAATTATGGCTTCTGGTATGATTTGAAACTTTTGTTATAATTTGCTTGATGTCAAAACAATTTCTATTGATTTTATAATTCATCTTTATCATTTTCACATTTTAGTAACTTAACAGATTTCTTCTGTTGTTGAACATATAAATTTATTTTAAATATATTTTTTAACTTTTATTTTTAGTTTAAGGGTACATGTTCAGGTTTGCTACATAGGTAAACATGTGTCATGGGGATTTGTTGTACAGATTATTTCATCACCCAGGTATTAAGCCAAGTATCTATTAATTATTTTTCCTAATCCTTTTCCTCCACCCACTCCCTGCCCTCCAGTAGGCCCCAGTGTGTGTTATTCTCCTCTATGTGTCCATGAATTCTCATAGTTTAGCTCCCACTTATAAGTGAGAATGTGCAGTTTTTGGTTTTCTGTTCCTGCATTAGCTTGCTAAGGATAATGGCCTCCAGCTTCAACCATGTCTCTGCAAAGGACATGATCTTGTTCCTTTTTATGGCTGCATAGTATTCCCTGATGTATATGTATCACATTTTCTTTATCCAGTCTATAATTGGTGGGCATTTATGTTGGTTCCATGTTTTTGCTATTGTGAATAGTGTTGCAATGAACATACACATGCATGTCTTTATTGTGTTTTGGTTTGTTTGTTTGAGATAGAGTTTCGCTCTTGTCACCCAGGCTGGAGTGCAATGGTGTGATCCTGGCTCACTGCAACCTCCGCCTCCCAGGTTCAAGTGATTCTCCTGACTCAGCCTCCTGAGTAGCGGGGATTACAGGCACCCACAACCATGCCAGACTAATTTTTCTATTTTTAGTAGAGACAGGACTTCACCGTGTTGGCCAGGCTGGTCTTGAACTCCTGACCTCTGGTGATCTGCCCATCTTGGCCTCCCAAAGTGCTGGGATTACAGGCGTGGGCCACCACGCCCAGCCCGCGTGTCTTTATAACAGAATGATTTATATTTCTTTAGTTATATACCCAGTAATAGGATTGCTGGGTTGAATGGAATTTCTGTCTTTAGGTCTTTGAGGAATTGCCACACAGTCTTCCACAATGGTTGAACTAATTTACACTCCCACCAACAGTGTAAAAGCATTCCTTTTTCTCTACAACCTCACCAGCATCTGTTATTATTTATTTATTTGAGATGAAGTCTTGCTCTGTTGCCCAGGCTGGAGTGCAGTGGTGTGATCTCAGTTCACCGCAACCTCTGCCTCCCAAATTCAAGTGATTCTTCTGCTTCAGCCTCCTGAATAGCTGGGACTACAAGTGCATGCCACCATGCCCAACTAATTCTTTTTTTGTGTGTGTGTGTTTTTAGTAGAGACGGGGTTTCATTATGTTGGCCAGGCTGGTCTCGAACTCCTGACCTCAGGTAATCTGCCTGCCTCAGCCTCCTAAAGTGCTGAGATTACAGGCATCAGTCACCGCAACGAGCCAAGCATCTGTTATTTTTTGACTTTTTATAATAGCCATTCTGACTGGTGTGAGATGGTATCTCAATGTGGTTTTGATGTGCATTTCTCTAATGATCAGTGATACTGAGCTTTTTTTCATATGATTGTTGGCTGCATTGTATGTCTTCTTTGGAGAAGTGTCTGTTCATGTCCTTTGCCCACTTTTTAATGGGGCTGTTTGTTTTTTTCTTGTAAATTTTGAACATATACATTTAAAGATGACAAAATACCCTTCATATATGTTCAAATCAGGTATTTTTAATGTTCCAAAACATCTGTACAGATTGTAGTTAAAATGGGATAATTGGCTGTATCAATTTTTTAAAAATAAACAATTTACTTCTCATTTGAGTTTGGTTTTATCTTCCAAATCTTTAAAAATATAGGTTAGAATCCTTAAAACGCAAGGCTTAAAAAGTCTTACAGGGGACAGACCATCTGGATACATTGAGTTTAAAGAAAAATCCAAGTTGCTTGTGTATTAGTTTGCTAGGACTGCCATAATAAAGTATCATACTTGGTGGCTTAAACAACAGAAATTTATTTTCTCATAGGTTTGGAAGTCCTAGACTGAGATGTCAGCAGTTTGGTTTCTTCTGAGGCCTCTCTCCATGGCTTGCAGATGGTCACCTTCTGCATGGACACCTTTCTGCGTCCTCACCTGGTCCTTCCTCTGGAATGGCCCTTCCTCAGGATGCCTGCACATGCCTGGTGTCTCTTTTTATGACCGACTCTTTTTTTATAAGGATATGAGTCAGATCAGTTTAGAGCCCATGCTAACAGCCTCATTTTAACTTGGTCACCTCTATAAAGACCTTATCTCCAAATACAACCACATTATGAGATACCAGGTTTAGAGCTTCAATGTATTAAAATGTGTGTAGGGGGACACAATTCAGCCCCAAACAGCCTACATATTTGAAGCAGTTCATTGATGAGATAAACTGGAAGGACAGAAAACTTTTACCCAACACTAATGAGATTAAAGGAATGAGCCTTACGTGGCACATACACACATTTGTTAATGTTTAAAAGTCATGTTTGCACCCCTGTGTTTCACTTTCACCACGTGTTGTCCTAAGACTGACAATGACAGTTGTCCAACAGCAGGTTAGGATTGTCCGGACCTTCACTTTGTTGAATGAAGTCATTGGAAGATGATTTTCAGTTGGCAAAAAAGCTAAAAATAGCTCCTAGGAATTTTCATCATAACTGTGTCACACAATTGCCATCTGATTAGTATTTATCACATCTGGTGTGGAGAATCTATAAGACGGGAATAGTATTTGTCTTCTGGATTAATTTAATTTGCTGTTTCATTTTGTACAAGTTTTCACATTGTTTTTATTAATTCTTTATAAGCTGTTTTGGATAAACAAGTCACATTTAGTATTTTACTTTGAAATGTTTCCATGTGCCCATGTAAAAATAAAAGATCCAGTTCAGTAATTGGTTTGAGAAAGTCCATGAAATTTCCATTATTTAAACTGTATCACATTTTATTATGACCTCTTAAAGGCAAACTTCTTTTGCTTAACATTTAATAACCACTATGACTCTTGTTACTTTAAAACAAAACTAGATGTTCTTCTCTGTCTGCTCATCTGCCCAGTGCATTTCTTTTTCTTTTTTTTTTTTTTGAGACAGGGTCTCACTCTGTCATCCAGGCTGGAGTGCAGTGGCGTGATCTTGACTCACTGAAACCTCCTCCTCCCTGTTCAAGTGATTCTCCTGCCTCAGCCTCCTGAGTAGCTGGGATTGCAGGCGCGCACCACCACTCCCGGCTAATTCTGTGTGTGTGTGTGTGTGTGTGTGTGTGTGTGTGTGTGTTTTGTAGAGACGGGGTTTCGGCATGTCCAGAGCATTTTTATTTGATTTATGTGTCATCCAGGTGAACTTGCTTTTTTTTGCTCTGCAGAACCCAAATGACTTTTGAGCAGCGATATCAATATAATGTTCAGTCAGAAAATCTAAGTACTGTCCATTTTTTGGGAAACAGTTTATAAGCAAAACAAAATATGGAACTTTTAGTCTTGGAGCAAGCTGGCCAGGATCTCGTAACAGTTCTTCCTGGTAATCAGGGTCAATTACCCCTGCCATTCTATTGACTAATCACTGGCCAATCCCTAGTCACAAGGAGTTATAGGGAGTGTGCTGGGGGCAGCCAAAGCTTGTAGTTCAAAAGTACCCTTGCTGTGTCCCTTGGAAAGAGAGGGGCCACACTTTGGGACCTCCAGCCTTGCAGAGGCCAGAGTTGTGGGGACGAGAAAGACAAAACCCCAAGTGAGTGATGGGAATAAGCCACTACGTTTCCATCCCTTGGTTTCTAGACCCACGTATTCCTCCTATTTGGGACATAGTATGGCTCTCTGATTAAATGCATATGCTATTCTGGAAAATGGTACCGAATCCTTCCAAAGTACTGTTTCAGAACTGACAGTGAAACTGTACCTTTAAAAAGTTATCCTAGTGTCCCAAGAAGCTGGTTGCTTCTAGACCACAGTATGCAAAGACTAGTGGATCCCATGACCCTGGGCCCACTCTCACACCCCGTTCACTCTGAAGAGGGTCTCGTGGTTGCATGCTACGTTCTATGAGATTCCATGCCTGTATGAATCATTGCCTAGCAAGTTTGCTTCCCTCTATTGGGACATTTTCCCAGGTCATCACCACTAAAATCTTTAGCAATTGAATTGTCACCTTGTATCAGGGTGTCCCACTTATTTTTCAGGGTGATGTCTTCTTTGCCTGCTGGGCAGGGTGAGCCAGTCCCAAATTGCTGTCTCAACTGACTATGTTTTGGATCATTGTCAGTACCACTTGCATTAGTTCAGGTCCACTGGGAAGCAGATGCCAAGATGGGATTAGACGTACATGAGATTTATTGGGGGAGTAGTATTGTTCTTCCGGGATCAATCTAAACCTTCCCCCTGCGTTTAAAAATCTTTCCTACTCTTTTCTCAGCCGATTTGTTCAACTGCATTCCTCATGCCAATCCAAAATGTGCCCTTCATGTTGAATATCTGCCACACTGATATTGTGCACACTGCCAATTCCCAGTTCTGAAACTTGGCTCAACATTCTCTTTCCTAGAATGCCAACACCACTTTCCCTTTCTAACTCTTCATACTACCTGCCTAGCACCTGATGAGGTTTTCCCTAAATGTTTAGTGCACTCAATATCTCTTCTTCAAAATGCCCTGACAGTTGGTGTAAGCAAGGATATTTGCATGATTGCAGTGATCTGAAACTGAACACACAATATCTCCAAGGTATGCCTGTACTCATTCTATTTTATTTTTCCAGGTATGTTGGTATTAGCTTATTAAAGGCAGGGAGCAGATGTTACTTCTTTGGTATCTCCCATTTTGCACCTTTCATAAGAGACTCTCAGCAAGTTCTCCAGCGATTGCTTTGAAGTGAATTTAATGAAAGTGGGTGTTGTAAGCTGTTTTATCTAGATTTTAGAACAATGTTTCTCCAACTTTTCTGATGAGAAGACTTAAAGAGAATGATTGTTAAAAACAGATTCTTGGGACCCCAACAGACCTTCTGAAGCTCTCCAGGGAAGGAAAGTAGAAATCTCTTGCTGTTATTGTTGATCCCGACAAACAGAGGGTAGAGCTAATCATTGCTCTGTGTAAGTGTCACTCTTATGCCATTTACTCTTTCATTCTCAATACCCCATTCCCTTTCCTCTCCTGCCCTCACAAGCATCCATTTTAACTTTTGTGATGTGTTACCTTTTTGTTTGTATGCATTTTTGCAATATGGATAGTGTTGTCTTGTATGCACGTATTTTTAGACTTGTGGGAATGTTAATGTGCTATATTTACCTCTGCTTCTTACTTCTTCCACTAGATACGATGTGTTTTAGATCCATGCATGTTGCTACATGTACATTTAAGTCATTGTTTCTAACCACTGCATAATACTCCTTGGGTGCATTTACTACCCAGTAAATCCTGAGGTTAACTTCAACTCCCCACTGCTAGAAATACTGCAACTACAAACAACTTAATTCTTTTTCTGGGAGGCTAGATTATCCTTCTTATTTGGTGAGATTATTATTTATTTAGTGAAGGTTGAGTAGAGTAAACAAGTAGAGATGAAAGAGAGGCAAATCTCATGCTTTACAAACAGCTGTTGGCTACCAACCCTGAAGTATGGCTAGAAATCAAATTATTTTCTAACCAAGGATGATAACCATCCAAAACAATATTTATTTTCAGGATACTAACTTTAGTACACATGGTAGTCCCAACAAATCCCAGGCAATTTATAGCAAGGCGTGTGAAAAGGCTGAAAGTTCTTAGCTTTAGGCCCCCATTTATTTGGAACCACTTATAGGAACAACCTAGTTACACCCTTGAGACAACCCTGACTCAAAAGAAAGTTTTGCAAATGAGAGCCATCTCCCAAAAGCACTCCCAAGGACAGTCCGGCCTGAATATCAATCAGGCTCATTTGGAGTCATCAGATGCACTTAAGCAGAAGCCAGTTGTCAAGCACTGTAGTGCAGGTATTTTTAAAAGCTGAGCACAGCAGAGGCTCCCCCATAAATTCTGGCTGGCTTCAAGTTGTTGCCTGGAGCTATATTGCAGAACCTCTGATGTAGTGCCAGAGGGGTCACTGGAGGATTGTGTATTTACTCGAAGGTACTCTAACCCTCTTGTCTCTGCCCATAAGTCATAGCACTGAAATGCATGTATTGGCAAAAACTACCCCAGCTACCCAGGGCTTCTTATGACAAGCCTTCAGATCTTCTGCCATCTATCTAACAATGTGGTGAAAAAACATATATATCTCTTGAAATAATAAGCATAGCACAAAGACTGTGGAATCTGTAGGTAAGCCAAGAGGTTAAAAAAAGTCTCAACTTGAAAAAAGTAACAACTTGAGGCAGTGGAGTACCATATCTATGAGAACATCCCTTATTTACCTGGCTCAAAGAATTAGGATTGGTTATTATTAGAAAATGTGAGGACAGCAGAATGAGAATAAACTGCAGATTCCTCATGTAGATTGTGCTACTGAGGTACAAATGGTATCTCTGCTCAGCCCAGGGCTGTGGAAGGGGCACATTTTTCTAATTAGCCTGCCCAGAGGGGTCGCTTTTTTCTAATTGATCAGTCAAAAGAGGACACATTTTTGCAAAGCCCAATCCAGAGGGATATGAATGAGATTTCTATTGCCCTTTAAGAGGTACTTCATGTTCTATCAGCGGCCCTGCAGGGAGGAACATTGTGTCATTCATATTTTAAGCCTCGGTGACACAGTGAATTGTGGGGATGGGCAATAAAATCCAAATTTGTTCAACTGAATGTTTGTCAAACTGGGATTTACGGCTTTAAAATCCTGCCCTCTCCCTCACACTAAAGCTGATAAATTCATTTTACCTACCTCCCCACTTAGATGATTAGTTTGCTTTTTAAGATGGGAATCATGCCTCCATTTTCTTTATGATCCCCAAAATAGCATGTATAATGTTATGCCCAAAGTAGGTATTTAATAAACATTTTTGAATGGCTCATCTGAACAAAATAGGAGGTTTGTTTTAAAAATCTGTGTAATAAGGCCTGTGCGATATGAGAACTATTGGAGCTGATTTGCTGAGACTCCTCTTGCATGTAATTTTTCACACAGAACTTTGGAATCCCTAAAGGCAAATTTTAATTTATACAAGTGTTCAAAAGAGACTGCCCTGAAGGCACACAGGTGTTTCTTAACCCAGGTGAGTCAAGACCGGCAATGGGAAAAAATACTTTCTGGATCTCTTAAAGAGACAGAAATTCTCAATACAATCAAAGAGGTGGAATCATTCTTTTCTCTCCTTATTTCCTGCAAACACGTAGACTTGTTGTGTTTACAGGCAAATTATAGGGTCTAGTTGGTTTCCATCTCCATCTAACTTTCCTCGTAAATAATTAATTCAAGTGTTTACAAATAGAAACTGAAATAACATGCTAAGCATGTGGACCCTGCGGCCCCCCTCCCATTTTCCATGAAAGTGTTCCATAAAAAGGAAAGATAGGTCTCAAAAGGTTAACACCGGATTTCTATGGATGGTGTAATACTTATATTTTCTTTTTTATACTTGTCTAAATTTTCCACAATTTTTATAAATGGCATATACTTTCATGGGAAAAACACTTTCTTAAAAAATAACAGTATTGTGTTCTCTCTCACCATATGGGTGGGCATATGACCTAATCTGGGCTGATTAGAGTCCCTCCCTAGGACTTTTTCATTTGCAGCTGGAGAAGGGAGGAGAAGGGAGTCTGTGAAGTCACATAACTAGAAGGATGTAAAAATGAAGTTGCTTGGAAATATCATCCCTGATATATTTTTCCCTGGAGAAAGCTTGGCTATGTAAGGAAAAATAAAAATAAAACATACACAAACAGAGAGAGAGAATCCAGAAGTCAAACAGGCAACATCTGAATGTAATGTCCTTGCAATACTTTTTTACTTTACTTCACTCATGATTAATTTTTAAAATATTTATTAAGCACCCAGTATGTGCTACAGGCCAGGGACTGTGATAGATGTTAAAAATGCAAGGGTGAATAAGACATAATTGCTGGGGTTTGCATATACATCCAAGGTGCCTCTTTGTTACTTTGGAATAATAAAGTAAATTTGCATACTTTGGTGAAATATCCTGAAGTCCTGCTATAACACTGTACCTTTAAAACACAATGAAACCAGACTTCTACTCTTGGTCAAAATAGAGAAACAGGATCAAAATTTACCCTCGTACATGAAACAACCAAAAAACCAGACAAAATACATGAAACAATGATTTTTCAAGACAGTGGAGATTATCCTTGAGGCCTGGAAAGTAAAAAGGTGGGTCTTACAATTGCCTCAGTTTACTGACTTGAGAGAAATCCTAGGCTGCAGTGCAGAAAGGGCAAATCCAGGAGGATCCCAGCAGATTCCTTGAGTTGAGGGGATGGGGTTGAGAATCCAAGTAGATTGACATGGCTAGAGTTCATAGGACAGAGAACTGGAGAAGAGAGAAGAGCACAGAGTGAAGACTTCAGAGACCTGCATGAATGCATGAGAGAAAATCAGCAAAGGAACCACCTGAAAAGATTAGAAGGACACTGCCTAGTGTTCACACAGGGATAGGAAAGTGCCTTTTCCCACCAACCAGACTGGAAAAACTCATAATTCATAGTGCAGAAGGGCCTTACCTGAGTGGTGAGAAATAATTATCCCTGAACTAAACATTGCTCTGGACCAGCCTAATAAATCTTAAAAGGAAGACAAAACCCAAACTATTCCCAAGTAATAGAACTGCATTACAGAAAAAGATTAGGTAAACTTATAGAAAATGTAAAAAGTATCCATATCCCAACACTCAACAAAGTAAAATTAACACTGTCTGACATCCAACCAAAAATTACCAGGCATACAAACAGGCTGGAAAATATGAAACACAATAAAGAGAAAAATTAACCAGTCAAAACCAATGCAGAATTGACACAGATGTTAGGACTAATAGACAAAGATATTAAAACAACAATTACAACTATATTCCATAGTTTAAAAAGTGAACTAGAGACAAGGAAGATATTTAAAAACAAAATTAAACTGCTAGAGATGGAAACTACAATGTCTGAAATGAAAATGCACTGAATAGGATTAATGGCAGACTGAACACTGAAGAAGGAAAGATTAGTACACTTGAGGACATAGCCATAGAAAGTATCCAAAATGAAACAGAGAAAACAAAGAACAAAAAGAAAACAAATAGCACCAGTGCCTATGAAACAACTTCAAATGGCCTAATATAGTTATAGTAAGAGTTCCTGAAAAGGAAGGGGGCAGAAAAAAAATTTGAAAAAATAATATTGTAAACTTCCCAAGTTTGTTGAAAACTATAAACTCACAGATCGAAGAAATTAAACAAACTCTAAGCACAAGGAAAATGAAGAAAACTATACCAGCACATCTAACAAAGAGAAGGCAATAAATTATCAATATCAGGAATAAGAGTGGCATCACATGAGATTCTACAGATATTCAAAGGATGGTAGGAAAATATCATGAACAATTTTATGCCAATAAATTTGACAACTTAGAGGAAATGGAAAAATTTCTTAAGAGACAAGCTCTCATCCTCATTCAAAAAGACATAGATAACTCAAATATCCTGTATCTAATAAAGAAATAAATAGAATTTGCATTTAACTCTCTCCTGGGCTAATGAAAACTGGTGATCAGTACCAAATCTATACAAACTCTTCCAGGAAAGTAAAAGGGAGGGAACACTTCCAACTAGTCCTATGAGGCCAGGTTTACCCTGATACTAAAACCAGAGAAAAACTTTAAAACTACATACCAACCTAACTCATTAAGTTAATGCAAAAATTCTAAACAAAATGTTAGCAAATTGAATAAACAATATGTAAGAAGGATAATACATCATGGCAAAATAAGGTTTGTCCCAGTAATGCAAGTTGGTTTAATATTAGAAAGTTAATCAAGGTAATTCACCACATTAACAACAAAAAATGATCATCCCAATAGACATAGAAAAGCATTTGACAAAATCTAACATCCGTGTCTGATTAAAAACTCTTGGCAAACTAGAAGTGGAAGTGAACTCTCTCAGTCTGATAAAGACCATCTATAAAAAACATACGACTAATATTATTCATAATGGTAACACTAAATGCCTTCCTCTTAGGATTACAAACAATTCAAGGATATCTGCTTTCACCATGTCTATTCAACATTATGTTGAAGCTCTAGCCAATGCAATAATGGCCATAAAAAGAGATAAACGACATTTAGATTGTAAAGGAAGAAGCCAACCTATCCCTATTTGGAGAAGCCACCATTGTTTATGTGGAACTAATAAGTGATTAAGCAAGGTTGCAAGATAGACAATCAGTATACGTAAATCAATTTTATTTCTACGTACTAGCAATAAACAATCAGGTATTAAAATGTTTTTAAGTACTAGTTACAATAGCATCAAGAAATATGAAATTCTTAGGGTTAAGTTTGACAAAATATGTGCAAGTCCTATACAATGAAAACCACAAAAGATTGCTGAAAAAAGTAAAGAAGACCTAAACAAATGGGAAGACATATCATGTTCAGGGATCAAAAGACTCAATATTGTTAAGATATCAATTATACTGACATGTATCTGTAGATTTAATGTAACCTCAGTCAAAATGACAGCAGACATTTTTGTAGAAATTGACAGGCTGATTTTAAAATTTTATGAAAATGTAAAGATCCTAGAAAAGCCAAAACTAATTTGAAAAAAGAACAAAGTTGGAAGACTAATAATACCTAACTCTAAGACTTATTAAAGCACTAGAATAATTAAGACAGTGTGATATTGCGGCAAAGATAGATTCATAGATCGATGCAAGAGAATACAGATTCCAGAGATTAACCCCCGTATACGTGGATAACTCATTTTTGACAAGGTATAAAGGCAATTCAGTGAAGAAAGAGCAGTATTTTCAATAAAAGGTTCTGAAAGAAACAAATGTACTTTAATCCATTCCTCACATCTTCTACAAAAATTGGCTCAAAACTCATCATACCCTTAAATATAAAATATAAAATTATAAAATATCTAGAGAAAAAATATAGAAAAAATTCTTTGTGTCCTTCAGTTAAGTACAGATTTCTTAGCTATTACACCAAAAGCACTATTTGAAAAATTCACAAAATGGACTACAACAACATTCAACACATCTTCAGTTTTGAAACACACTATTAAGAGAATGAAAAGACAAATTACAGATTGGGAAAAATATTTGCAAAGTAGTTATTTGATTGATTAGTTTCCTATTGCTGTTATAACAAGTTACCACCAAGTTAGTAATTTATAACAATACAAATATATTCTTATACATTTCTGGAGGTTAAAAGTCCAAAATGAGTCTTTAAGGACGGAAACCAAAGTGTCAACAGGGCTGGTTTCTTCTAGAGTCTGCAAGGGAGAATGTGTTGAAACCTTGTCCAGCTTTTAGAGGCTGCCAGCATTTCTTTCTCCTGGCCACAGCACTCTGATCTCTGCTTCCATTGTCACATCCCTGCATTCTCCCATGCTGACCCTCTTGCCTTTCTCTTATAAAGACTCTTGTGATTACATATAGGGTCTCCCAGATAATCCAGGATAATCTCCCCACCTGAAGATCACTAACTTAATCACTTCTGCAAAGTCACTTTTGCCATGCAGGGTACAGATGTTCACAGGTTCTGGGGATTAGGTCACGAACATCTTTGTGGAGCTGTTATTCAGTACACCACATCTGATAAAGGACTTGTATCCGGAATATAAAAAGAGCTATCAAAACTCAATAATAAAACAAACAACCAAATTAAAAACTGGACAAAATATTTAAACATATTTGAAACAGACACTTAACCAAAAAAGATATACAAATAGCAAATAAGTATATAAAAAGATGTTCATCATTATTAGTCTTACAGCTACGATGGTGGCTAAAATTAAGAAGTTTGATATATAAGTATTTGCCATATAACTATTGGCTAGGATATGGAATAACTGGAACTCTGATATGCTGCTGGTGAGAATGTAAAATTGTATAATCACTTTGGAAAGGAGTTTAAAAAACATACACCTAGCATATAATTTAATTTTTCCACTTGTAGGTTTTTACCCAAAAGAAATGAAAGCATATGTCTATTTTGAAATGAGTAGACATTCTGGAATAAAAGCATTCTATTTACTTGTACAGAAATGTTCATAGACACTTTATTTGTAATAGCCCAAAACTGAAAAGATCACAATGTCCATCAAAAGGAAAACAGAAGAACAAACTATGGTGTAGTCACGCAATCGAATACTACTGCAACAATAAAGAACAAACTATTGATGCATACTGCAACATGAGTCAACTCCATCCTACCAAAAAAGAGTATAAACCATACACATAATGCATACGTATAAAATTCCAAAAAATGCACACTAATCTATAGTGACAGGAAACAGATTAGTGGTTGCTTGGGGGAAGGAGGATTGCAGGAAGGGACAAGGAGAAGGGACTATAAAGGGAGTAAAAAGAAACTTTTGATGCTGATGCATATGATCATCATTTTGATTGTGCTAATGGCCACACAGGTATATACATATGTTGAAACTGATCATATTTTATACTTTAAATGATGAATTTATTATATGTCAATTATACTTCAATAAAGCTGTTTTTACAAATAAAAAAATCCAGGCAATAAAAATGGCCTATCCTATTTTTTATACTATTTAATGGGCTATACTTATTCAATAATGTAGCAAGAGAAACTTGCTGTATGTCAGTTTCACTATCCTGTCAAGTGGTCCAGTGACAGGGACTTCAAGAGGGACTGCTTTACTATGAAGTTATAGCTAGTTACTATTCCAGTGTGATCATCACAAATTACAGCAATCTCTTTTTTGCATAACAAGCTAAGGACGTTTCATCCTGGGTACTCTTCTCTGACACCTAGTACTTTGTACAAGTTTCATCTCTGCTGTAGCAGTAGGGATTTTAAAGAGCATCAGAAACAAAAGGAAAAAAACAGTCTAACTGAAAAGAGAAAATTAAAGGGCAATTAGATAATGTAGTTTTGGAAAATTAGGTTTTCAGCCTGTTTTTGTGCCATAAACTGGGTCTCCTATATTTTCAGGAATGGTTTTTAAAGATTCTGAGCCTCATAAGGAAGACTAGTGCTTTTTTTTTTTTTTTCACTTCTGTGATGCCCACCATGGCTAGCATGGTGGGGTAGAGCGTAGTGATTAAACACAATTGATTTATTTGATTAATGACTATGGAAACATGAACAAGCTACTTAATTTGTCTGGTATTCCTAAAAAGAGTTGATTTGAGGCTAAAATGAGATGACTTCTTAAAGTACCTGTCTTACACTGCATTTTGAGTTCTCAATGCCTTTGGATAAACTAGCTTCATTAATCTTCATGACAACTTTGCAAAATAAGCATTATCATCCCCATTTTACAAATGAAGATACAGAAACTCAAAATTTCAAAATAATTTATCAAGATAATAGAATAGGTGGCAACATAGATGAATCTGACTCAAAAAGCCAAATTCTTTTTTACTATGCCATATTGTTTTTCTGGTATAGTCAATAAGTATTTGCTAATTAATTAGTATTCAAGATATGACTCTAACAGATACTAGAACATAAATATTCAACGTGTGTTTGTGTATGTGTGTGTGGGGAGCTTCTCTATAGAAGACAATTACTTACTTTGCCTGTGTTCAAATTTTTTAATAGGAATTTCTTCAGAATCTCTGGTTCATTATTTTTAATGTGCTCAATGGTGGCAAAACTTTTAACATGGATATGATTAAGAAAAACCGTCAAAAACATTAAATATGTGTGTGAATGATTAATCTAGATAGTTACATTTGGGGTAAAAGCAAGATGAGAATATTGGTCCTGCTTTTGTTGCAGTTTTGAAAGACAGTTTCAAAGGAGGAGTGCCAAAGTTTTGCCAAGTGATCGCGGTATCCATTGAAATGAATATGTAGTCTGTTGCACTCACTTTAAAGAGACAAACACTAACTGAGTACGATCTGATGCTTACTAGAAAAGACATAAAATTCATTATATTACAGGCATAGCTCATTTAGCCTTGATTCTACCTCTCTTTTAAGTAGTGATTCAAGCGGCAAATCATCGAGGCTTCTTCTCAGATAGTTTTGCCTATATCAATATCATAGCTGAGTGTACTTTTGAGTTGTAATATAGTTAGTTGCTTTGAATACTAATTTGAAAACTAATTTAAAAATCTGTTATGTAGGCACTATTTATGCTTTTTTGGATATTATTACACTAATGCAACTGTCTAACATTGAAAATGAATAAATAAATGTTTAATAGTTACTTCAAGTAATATAACTGTAGAATCTGGGTTTATAAATACAAAGCTATTCATAGATTTATTGCCATGATACAAGAAAGATACTGAATGTCAAGATGTCTGGGTTTAATTCCAATTAGAACTGCTGTGTGACTGTGGAGGAATGGTAATACCCTCTGCTCTATCTTTCTCTCATTAAAAAAAATTACATTATGCATCACATATCTTGATGGCAGAACCTCACTGTTTTCTGATAAAGTACTATCTGAAACTGCTTGTTTAGTTTTTAACTCAGATATTGCTGGAGCTGTGAGAAAATAATACAATGTTTTGATAGCGAAGGCTTTTCCTTTACCCTGTATTTGAAATAAGGAAAAAAATATACAAGTGCTATCTTGGAATTAATCGAGTAAGTGTTGTCAAGAAGAATGTGAAACATTTGCATAGATAGCCTTAGCATTTACAAAGATATTTATCCTGCTAGGAGAAAGAAGCTATTGGGTGTCTAAGGGAGAGAATGCAGTCATGGATTCTTAGTTTCTGCTTCTGGTTGGGCCAGTAAATCCCCTTTCTCATCCCTCTTTTAAGCTTATCACCAGACAGAAACAGAAAACCATGGCTTCAGGCTGTTAAAAGCCTAAAACAAAACAAAACAGAACAAAAACAACAAAATAAGTCGGGTTAAACAAGCTTGTGTGCCTCAAGTAAAACATAAAACGTTATCAAATGTAAAGTTTCCTTTATAAATATATGTTATAGACAACTTATAATAAATTGAACACAGAAATTATTCTATTCATTTATACCTATGACCTAGAGTATATAACAGAGCTAAGCTTTAAAAAGTGAAAAACCATTGAAAACGATAGAGGTGTTAAAGAGAGAGAGAGAGATACAAAAAGTGAAAGACCAATTGTCCAACTTCCCAAGTCATCCAGCATATTAATGTAATCATTTAAGATTCATATAGCTAACAGCTTCATTGTTTATTCCCAAAGTACACAATACATGCTTTGTTCTACATGTATGGTCTAGTTCCTATAAGCATTGCTATTGGCATTCTTTTTTATAAAATATTTTCTAAATCCCTTGTGTAGGATCTATTTTATTTTTGCCAGTCGATTAGTTTGCAACCAAAAAAGATGACTACCAATAAGCAATGCTTATGGTCGATGCCTTTGAAAGACAGCTAAACACACATACACACAGAAAAATAATTAACTGATCATCTGTTATTTTCTTTCCAATTTGGGCTTGGTTAAAAAGACAGACAGTACATAGCAGTGACCAGCTGCTGACAAGCAAAGTTCAGCAAACATTTAAAGGCAGCCAAAATGTTTACAACTTTTCTTTTGTAATATTTAACTATGAAATTGCAAAATGAGTGACAAAATATATAAGAAAAAATATAGCTAATGGAATATAATCTTAATTAAGATAGGTTAAATTATGGTACCATAAAAATACATGCCCCCAGAATCAAGTTTTATCTTTAAGGTTAAAAATTCACTTCTAGGAATTCAGTCTGATGCCAGCAATCCAGTCTTTTTAGATTTTTGTATCCAGACTTTAATAGACCACTGTATAAGGGCTTCTGAACAACAGATATTAATTATAATCCTTAATTATACTCAGGCTGTACTTCATCATTTTTATTCTCTCAACTTTCTGGATGCTCAGCTGAAAATGCAAGAATTAACAGGCTCTGAGACTTATTGGTAAATTATTATCAAAGATCATTGAGTATCTTTTGAGTGTAAACAGCAATCTGTTCACTGATTTCTATAAATGTTTGCAGCACTCACTATATGCTCAGCATAGTCTCTGTGGATATAGCTATATGTACAAGACATGCTGCTTTCCCCAAAGAAGTTGCCATATAACAATACACAAATGCTTTCATCTAAAATAACTAAATAATAGTGCTTTGTGCAAAAGGAGATTTTTACAGCTCTGTTTTCACTTATCAGTTTGAAGATATGCTTAGAAGTGTTAAGCATTTACTAGATACTAACTGAAGATAGGAAATTCTTCTTTTTTCTTTTCTTTTTTTTTTAATTGAGACAGAGTCTTGCTCTGTCACCCAGGCTGGAGTGCAATGGCGTGATCTCAGCTCACTGCAACCTCTACCTCCCAGATTCAAATAATTCTCATGCCTCAGCCTCCCAAGTGGCTGGGATTACAGGCATGTGCCACCACATCTGGCTAATTTTTTTTTTTAAGTAGTGATGGGGTTTCACCATGTTGACCAGGCTGGTCTTGGACTCCTGGCCTCAAAAATCTGCCTGCTTCAGCCTCGCAGTGTTGGGATTACAGTCATGAACGACTGCATCCAGCCTAGAGAAAGGAAATTCTATCTGTGGGATTTGAGCAAGGAAACTATGCTAGATATTTGCAAGTGAAGATCTAAACGTCTAGTAGCTAACATCAAAACTTCTTCCAGTAGTGCAGGCATAGCACGCAGGAGTACAGTCGTAGAAACTGCCAAACATTTTATGCAAATTTAGTGACTGTGGTGGTATAGAAACAGGAAAAAAATGGTTGATATAAAAACATCTTATTGTATTTAAGACAAAAATTTGGAACCTTCAAGACACAGTCAATTTTTGTTTTCTAATAATAAAATTATATCTTTTGCCTAATTGTATCAAACAACAGTTTGACCCAGTTGGAATTAACTTAATAATAAGTTCTAATATTTTCCTAGTTGATTAATTATTTCCCATACTTCAGATACATAAAACAACTCTTCAACAGTTGTTCAAACAACATTAAAGTCTCTACCTCCTTAACATGATGGAATAATAAGAATCAGATTTACTTCCCCATCTTTAAACAAATATAAAGCTGGACAAAATATAAGTTTTGCAGTTTTTGTAGAGACAGGGTTTCACCAGATTGCCCAGGCTGGTCTCAAACTCTTGTACACAAGCAATCCACCTGCCTCCGGCTCCCAACGTGCTGGGCTTACAGGCATAAACCACCATGCGCGGCCTAATATATTTATAATTGGAGTACCAGAAAAGGTAGGTTGGGGAGGGAAGAAAAATTACTTGAAAAAATTAATGGTCACAACTTTCTAAATTTGATGAATTTGATAAATTTGATGAAAATGATAAACCCACAGATTCAAGAAGCTCAACAAACCCCAAGCAGAAAACATGAAAGAAACAACACAAAAGCACAGCACGACCAAATGCTGCAACCTAGTAATAAAGAGTAAATCTTAAAAGTGAAACAGAAATATTACATATGGAAAAGTAAAGATGTATTAGTCAGCTCAGGCTGCCTAATAAAATACCACATAATAGGTGGCTTAAACAGCAGAAATTTATTTAAGCAATAATAATAACAAAGGAATTTTGGTCAGGTTCTGATGAAAGCTCTCTATCTGGTTTGTAGATGGTTGCCTTCTTGCTGTGACCTTACATGGCCCTTCCTTAGTGTGTATACATGGAGACACACACACACACACACACACACACACACACAGAGAGAGAGAGAGATAAAGAGAGAGAGAGACATATCTCTCTTTTTCTTTTTACAAGGCCACCAATCCTATAAAATTCAAACTCTGCTCTTATGACCTCATTTAATCTTATTTACTTCCTAAAAGCCCTGTCTCCAAATACAGCCACATTGGGGTTTAGGGCTTCAACATATTAATTTGGGGGTACAGTGTGTGTGTGTGTGTGTGTGTAAAATTTAGCCTATATCAAAAGATAAACATAACAAACAGTAGCCTTCTCGTTAAAAAATGTGAGCCAAAACAGCAGGGTGACACTCTGAAAAAGTCTTTATATGTACATAAAAGCTGAGAAAATTTATTTCCAGTAACTGGCACTACAAGAAATTTGAAAAGAAGTCCTTTAGACAGCAGAAAAAAAGGATTATACAGTTGGAAACTTGGATATTACAAATGAATGAAGAACACAAAATATAGTAAATATGTATATAAAATATATTTTTTATTTTTAAATCTCTTTAAAAGATCACTGATTGTTAAAAGTAATAATGTTTTGTGAGGTTTACAAATATGTAAAAGTGAAATGTAGATAGCAAGCAGTAGCACAAAGGTTGGAGAGTAGAATGAACATACACTCAAATAAGGTTCTTAAACTATAAATGTAGTGATATATTATTATTTAGAGGTAAACTCTAACAAGTGAAAGCCATACTGTAAACTTTAACCAATTAAAAAAAAAGGATAAACAAAAAATACTAGAAATGAAAACAAAACAAAGGCCAATGAAATGAGATCATAAAAAATCACAATTCAAAAGAAGACAGGAAAAGAAGGAAAAGGTAATAAAGTACAAATGAGGAAAAAAAGCACCAGAAAACAAAAAAGAAAATGGTAGATTTAAAACCAACCATGCTGGTAATTACATTAAGTATAGTAGGCTAAATACCCAACTTAAAAGGCAGAGATTATGAACATGGATGAAAACAAGGCTCAACTAAATGCTGTCTATGAGGAACCCACTTTAAATAGAAAGCTATGTAAGTTAAAATAAAGAATAGGAAAGTATACTATGCCAAAATGAATTTTAAAAGCTGGCATGGTTATTAATATCAGACAAGATATATTTCACAACAAAGAACACTACCAGGGATAAAAAGGTCATTTTATAAAAATAAAGAAGTAGGCTGTAATCCCGGCACTTTGGGAGGTCAAGGCAGGCAGATTGCTAAAGCCCAGGCATTCGAGACTGGCCTGGGCAACATGGCAAAACATGATCCTTACAAAAAATACAAAAAATTAGCTGGGCATGGTGGTGTGCACCTGTAGTCCCAGCTACCCAGGAGGCTGAGGTGGGAGGATCACTGAGCCTGGTAGTCGAGGCTGCAGTGAGCTGTAATCACACTACTGTACTCCAGCCTGGGCAACAGGGCAAGACCTTGTCTCAAAAAAAAAAAAAAAAAAAGTAAATTCATCAGGACTTAAAAATCTGAAACATACACGCTATGTGTCTTAGTCTGTTGGAGCTGCTATACAAAAATGCCGTCTACTGGGTAAGTTGTAAACAAGAAATTGCCCACAGTTGTGGAGGCTGGGAAGTCTAAGATAAAGGTACTAGGAGATTCAGTATCTCATGAGGACTTGTTCCTCACGGATGGTACCTTGTATGTGTCCTCAGATAGTGGGAAGGCAAAGGCAACTCTCTGGGGCCTCTTTTATAATGGCACCCATCCAACTTATGAGGAATCTGTCCTCATAACTTAGTCACTCCCCAAAGGCTCCACCTCTTACTACCATCACCTTGGGAATTAGGTTTCAACATACAAATTTTGAGGGGAATCTAACATTAGACCATAGCAATATGTGTCTAATAACGGGGTTTAAATGTACATGAAACAAAATCTGATAGATCTGAAAAAATAAAGAGCAATTTCACAATTATAGTTGGAGATTTCAACATTCTTTTCTCGGTAATTGATAATGATGGATTATACTTGACCCTTGAACAACATGGGTTTGAGCTGTGGCAGGTCCATTTATATGCAGATTTTCTTCTGTCTCTGCCACTCTTAAGACAGCAAGACCAACCCCTCCCCTTTCTTCTCCTCCTCAGCTTACTAAAAATGAAGACAATAAGAATGGACACCTTTATAACGGTTCACTTCCACTTAATAAATGGTAAATATATTTTCTCTTCCTTATGATTTTCTTAATAACATTTTCTTTTCTCTGGCTTACTTTATTGTAAGAGTGGAGTACGTAAAACACATAATATACAAATATGTGGTAATCAACTGTTATGTTATCAGTAAAGCTTCCAGTCAACAGTATTAGTAAAGTTTTTGGGGAGTCAAAAGTTATATGTAAAATTTCAACTGTATGAGGGGGTCAGCACTCCTAACCTCTGTGTTGTTCAAGGGGCAACTGTATGTGTTTCATAATATTACAGATAGCCACATGCAACAACAACAAAAAAAAATGAAATCAATCCTTATCTCACAGCATGTTCAAAAATTGTCAAAATAGATCGCAAACCTATAAATCAGCTAAAAGTCTAATGTTTGTAGAAGCAAACAGAGAAAAAAAATCTTGGTGATCCTTGGATAGGCAAAGATTTTTAAAACAGCAACAACCATAAAAGTAAAAATCAATAAATTGAACTTCATCAAAATTAAAACACTGACACAATAAAATTATTGACACATACTCCTCAAAACACTCTGTCAAGAAAATGAAAAGGCAAGTCACAGACTCTGAGTAAAATGTATGCTAAATACATATTTGAGAAGGAACTTGTATCTAGAGTACATAAAGAACTCACATAATTCAGTAAGAATTGTTTTTTTTTTTAAGTGGACAAACAAAATTTTGCCCATTTTTTTAAGTGGACAAACAAAATTTAACAGACTTCACCAAAAAAGATATGTGGCAAATAAACATATGAAAAGATATCTAACATCATTAGTCATTAGAGAAATGCAAATTGAAACCACAATGAAATACCACTCCATACCTATTAGAGGGGCTTTTTTTTTTTTTTTTGGACTGACAATACTAACTATTCTGAGGATGTGGAACCACTAGAATTCTCATATATTGCTAGTGAATAAGGAAAATGGTACAGCCACTTTGGAAAATAATTTGGCACTTTCTTCTAAAGTTAAATGTACTCTTACCATGTGACCCAACCATTCTATTCTTAGGTATTTACACACACACAAGTTAAAATAGGCATTTACATAGAGATTTGTATAAAAATGTTTCATAACATTGGGGGGAGATAACCCTCTCTCTTTCGTATTGAGAGTTGATATTTGAGTGAGAAATAAACTTACAATAGACTAACAGGAGACAAGGCGTATAAATTTATCACATGCCCAGGGGCATCACAGGAAAGTGAGACCTATTAACCCCATGAGGTTTAGAAGCTTCTGTGTCTTTCTTCATGGAAGAGAAGGAATGTGAAGCCTTTAGGCACATTTAGGGGAAGAGTAAATAATTTTTAGGGGAGATGAATGGGCAAAAAAACAAAAAACGAACCAAAAACCAGACGCAGCCTGGGACAAAATTTGTCTGGGATATAGGAGAGGGCTCAAGGCAACTACGTATCTTCTGAAGAAACTCCCCTTAGATAAAAGAATGTCACAGCAAGCACTTCTCTGCACTTCAGATGAAGCAAAGGGGCAAGAGATGGGTGAGGGACCTGGAAAAGATCAGAGAGACCTTGGCTGTGAGGCTGCTTCTTTAGTTCAAAGTACTCAGGGTGTCAAAGTGTCATACTTTAGGGTATCATTTCCTGACCTCCAATAATAGTGACTTCATTACTATTAGACAACAACTAAAAACAGCTCAAATGTCCATCAACTGGTAATGAAGAAACAAATTGTGTTATATCCTTATAATGACATACTACTCAGCAGTAAAAATTGATGCATTATTGATACATACAACATCATGGGTGAATCTTAAAATAATTATATTAAATGAAAGCTCTGTGGCAGGTAGAATGCCCTCCCAAAGATGTCTACACCCCAACCTCTGGAATTTGTGAATATGCTACATTAAATGGTAAAAGGGGCTTTGCAAATGTCAATAAGGCTAAATACGTTAATGTAAAATTATCCTGGGTGATGCAGGTGGGCCCAGTCTAATCACATGAGCCCTTAACAGCACAGCAGTTTCTCTAGCTGGAGTCATGGAGACCCAGCAGAAGAGGAAGTCAAAATGATCCTTGAGGATCATTTTAAAGCCATGTGCAAGGATTGGAGACAGGTCTCTAGGAACTAAGGATGGCCCCCAGCTATCAGCCAGCAAGGAAATGGGGACCTCAGTCCTACAACTGTGTGGAATTCTGCCAACAACCTGAAGCAACCTGGGGATCGCTTCTCCCCCAGGGCCTCTAGCAAGGAGTGCAGGGCTGCCTGATGACTATGGTCTTGTGAAATCTAAGCAGAGGTCCAGGTTGAGCCACACTGCAGCTGGACTTCAGCCCCACAGAACTGTGAGATAATAAATGGGTGGGAGTTAAGCTGCTGTTTGTGGTTATTTGTTAAGACAGCAATAGAAAATTAATACAAGGAGCCACATACAAATGATTGTGTACTGTATGATTCTGTCTGTATGAAATTCTAGAAAAGGTAAAACTACAGTGATTGCAGTCAGGTCAGTGGTTGGTTGCCAGGGGTCAAGAGTTTTAGGTAGGGGACTGATTGCAAAGGGTCACAAAAAACCTCTTCGGGATGATGGAAATATCATAATTATTGTAAAGATTATATGACTCTGTGTATTTGTCAAATTCATCATATTGTGTGCTTAAAATTATTATATTTTATTGTGTGCAAGTTATAAATCAATAAAACACACATATATAACATTAAAGTTCTCCTTGCCTTTTGACTTACCACAGGTATTTTGATGTAAAATTCTTAAAACTAAAAGCAAGTATTAGCATACCTATCATCTCATATATGCATATTCCTAAGGTGAAACACATTTTTAACCATTTTGAAGATGCTGATAATAATGTATAAAAGTATTACAATGTACTGACACTAATGTCACAACCAGTAATTGTGTATTTATTATTATACGCATATGGACAAGCAAACATACACATACACATTCATATAAATACAGGAAGGTAGAAAAATTGAGACTTTTTTTTATCACTTTTAAGTAATTTGCCATTGGTAATGAAGAGTTTATATAGACACACTGATTTCATTCATAGAGACACATTGATTTGGGCAACATGAACCCATTCAGGGTGATGCTCTATTCAGCATTAAATAGAGAACAAGTCTATCTGACAAGTCTATATGTTATATCTCTTTATTAGGTCAACACTCCCAGAGTATCATCCTTAGGAGAACATTAGGAATTAGTGGAAGGTGAATACAGTAATAGAATTTATTGACTATTTGCTCTGTGACACACTATAATAGATTCTGACTACATTTTTTGATGTTCTGCTGCTGACAGCTTTTCAGCTCCACCCCTCCTCTTTGTTCATATCTGCACGTAGGAGCGAGACAGTAAGAAAACCTAGTGCTCCCTCCATTGGCACCAGTAGAGATTCCAACCACGTTCAGGACCCTCAGCTGAACCCCACCTACCAATCACAATAAATCCCAAGCCAGGCACCTTTCCTCTCTCTCTTAAGCCATTTTTGGACCAGTTCAGGAGGCCTGCTTTGCTGTCTTCAAAAACCCTCATCATAATAAACCTTTTCATACCTCTTGGTGTAGGCATAGCATTATCAGTATCAACATCCAAACTAAATTTTGGATGGGGGTCCATACCTTCCTGCAGGAAGGCCACAACACAGACACTCTTCTAGGCATTTTATATGTGTTTCCCAGTTTACGGTTGAGCAAACTGAGAAGCGGGGTAACTGGCTAAAGGCCACATAATAACTAGCAGAGCTGGAATTCATACCTGAGTCCACACTCCTAACTAAGTCAGCATTCAGCTCATCAAATCATGATGACAGTGGTGATCAGCAGCAGTAGAAACATCATAAGGAGGATGTAGGTCTTTATTATTGAAAAAATATTGTGAAAACACTGAACGAATTTTAAAAAGCTGCTTCAAAATAGTGTAGAACAGCCTTCCCTTAGTTATCTGGTAGTTCAGGGTTGTTAAGTTAACCTAATATGTTAGACAATGAATGTTATGATTCAGCTCTAGAAAGCTAAATTGGTCAGTTTGACACTAGAATGAATTGTTTCAAGAATGTCTCCTTTTGACCCTCTCCCAGTATTAGGTGGCCCCAGCAATTGGCATATCGTATCTAGATAAAGAAACAGATGACTCTATTTCAAATGTCTTTCCAAAAGAAGGAATGACCCACAAGTTGAAGAATGTGTCACGTAGTTACAAGGTTGATTCGCTGTTATGAAAGTATCAAATGAGTGAAAGATCATCATGAAGACTTCCTGGAATTTTGGCAATACAAGGAGGTAGATTATATGGATCCTCTACGAACAGAAAGAAAGCATTTTAAAATGCACGACAGGCAGAGAATAGTCATGAATTGAATTACCCAGGGAGATAATCAGGAGTTTTTTTGGGACGTAATCCTCTACTTCCCTGTGGTCTTTTACACTAAAATGATGATATGTAAAACCAAAGTATATAGTAATAAATGTGTGTTGAGATGTGAAAAAGGCCAGTTAAAGGTACTTAAAAGAAAAGGATTGAAAAAAGACCCAAGCAAGAAAGGGACAATAAGCATATAAAAACAACCATTTTTGAGATTGTTGAGACATTGCTATTTTTCAGGTGTGCTAGGCACTTTACATTCACTATCTCATTTAATCCTTACAATAATCCTTAGAAGGAAATATAACTCTTTTAGCATCTTCAGGTGATTGCTTCCAGGAACCCCCCCCAGATACCAAAATCCATGGGTGCTCAAGTTCCTTACATAAAATGATGCAGTATTTGCATATAACCTATGCATATTCTCCTGCATTCTTTAAATCATCCCTAGATTACTTATAATACCTAGTACAATAAAGTAAGTGCTATATAAATTGTTGTTGTACTGTATTGATTAGGAAATGATGGTAAGAAAAAAAACCTGTTCATGTTTTGTGTAGACACAATTGTCCATTTTTTCCGAAATATTTTTGATCCGAGGTTGGTTGAATCCACGAATGCAGAACCTATGGATATGGAGAGCCAACAGTATTTTCATTTTAGAGGTGAGTAAACTGAGACTCAGAGAGACAGTGTGACTTATCCAAGGTCACACAGCTGGTAATTTGTGAAATGTGAATTCAGACCTTGACTTCAATGACCCCACTCTGTTTAATCATCCTGCAATACTGACTCTGAAGTGCTGCCTATTGATCACGGTACTTTCCAAAAATGCTGTGGAAATCAGAATGCTATAATTTGAAGATGCAACTTCATTTTTTCTCAGTCATTTGCAGTTAAGATAAATGACTCCATTTACTAGTTTGTAAATACATCATAACTCTTAAGTTGACCGGGGTACATTTATTTCCAAATATCTCTAAAATAGTGTTTTCCACCTGATGAGCTTTTTTTCTTTCTTCTTTCTTTCCCTTTCTTTTCTCCCTCCTTCCCCCACTTACTTTCTCTTTCTTTCTTTCTTTCTCTTTCTTTCTTTTCTTTCTTTCCCTCCCTCCCTCCTTCCTTCTTCCCTCCCTCCCTTTCTCCTTCCTTCCTTCCTTTCTTCCTTCCTTTCTTCTTTTCTTTCTTTCTCTTTCTTTCTTTCTTTTTCTCTTTCCTTCTTTTTTCTTACTTTTTTCTTTCTGTCTCTCTTTCTTTCTGTCCTTTCTTTTCTTTTCTTTCCTTTCTCTCTCTCTCTCTCTCTTTCTTTCAAGACAGGGTCTTGCTCTTTCACCCAGGCTAGAGAGCAGTGGCATGATCATAGCTCACAGCAGCCTTCAACTCCTAGGCTCAAGCTGTCCTCCCTCCACAGTCTCCTGAATAGCTGTGACTATAGGCTAATTTTTAAAATTTCTTTTGTAGAAATGGTCTTGCTTTGTTGCCCAGGCTGGTCTTGAACTCCTGGTCTCAAGTGATCCTCTCACTTTGGCCTCCGAAAGTGCTAGGATTACAGGTGTGAGTTACCGAGCCCAGCCTGCTTTGTTTCTGTGTTTTTTTTTTAAACCTACTTAATATTTTCCTTTAAACTGACTCTTTCTTTTTACTTTAGTTTCTTCCTAAGTTGTAATATTCATGAAATCATAGGTTTGATGTACTACTTACCTTTTTCTAATAGATATTAAATATATGTAATTATTAGAATACAAATATTCATCGTGTTCCATGGTGGCCCACATTCCATTGTTCAGGAAATACTGTTCTTGAGCTTGCAAGCAGAGAGAATTGAAATGCCTCCTACAGAGTTGTCCTTTTATAAAAAGGACAAAGGACAACTCCCTAAAGTGGATTTTTCATTAAGCTGCACCCAACCAAACAGCGAGCAGTCTTCCTAGGTTCCAGAGTCTAAAGCCTCCTGCCATCTCTTGGTAGATGACCATCAGGTAATCCAGACAAGACCAGGACCCTGAGACTTTCTCCTCATCCTTCTCTAGCTTCTACCTGCCCTCATGCAGGGTCCTCACACTTGTCCCTTGGCTACCCAGGCTCTTGCCTCTCCCTCAGCCCAAGCAGGGTCCTATACTCAGGACTGGTATAGGTCCTTTCTCATCTTCAAAACCTGCTTTCGGCTGGGTGCGGTGGCTTATGCCTGTAATCCCAGCACTTTGGGAGGCTGAGGCAGGCAGATCACTTGAGATCAGGAGTTTGAGACCAGCCTGGCCAACATGGTGAAACCCCGTGTCTACTAAAAATACAAAAATGAGCTGGGCGTGGTGGCCGGCGGCTGTGGTGGCCAGCTACTCGGGAGGCTGAGGCAGGATAATCGCTTGAACCCGGGAAGCAGATGTTGCAGTGAGCTGGGATTTTGCCAACGCACTCCAGCTTGGGCAACAGATCGAGACTCCATCTCAAAAAAACAAAACGAAACAAAACAAAACAAAACAAAACCCTGCTTTCCCGTTGAGCTATTTCTCCAGGGTTCATTACAGTTTGCTTATCTTAGCCATGCCAAGGGAGAATTAGTGAGTTAATGCAACACTGCTCCCAGGTAAAAATACTTGTACATACTATCATCCTTCTGGAGGTCATAGCATGGCTCTGACAATAGAACTCCAGGTATTTTCGTAGTCTGTGGTGGGACAGTCTTTCAGTGTCTTTCAGATAACCATATCAGGTACACAGGCCACCAATTCTTCCTATGTATGGTCTGATTCTTTCTTTTCCAGGTATCTTGAGACCCTTGGATAATATAATTAAGCATGGAATTTCATCCCTGTGACATCCCTGGATTGGTTTGGGTCACTCTTTCTATTACAAAGCCTTGTATTTCTATATTTCTATATATCTATATATCTATGTTCCATTTCTGTATTTCTATATATTCCTCTTCTACCAACATATCCAGAAGACATTGCACTATTTGTAAAAATTGATCATTTTACTCAATATTTTAAAATAAGCTTTATTATTTCCTGGTATTAAATCACTGTCAATGTGTAAAAATATGTTTATATAATAATTATATATCATTTAACCAAATATTACCTTGTCTAACTTTGTTTTAGTGAGTGAAACACAACACTTTTACTCCTGGGTATTCTCCAGACCCAGGTTTTATGCTTGACAATGGGGAGAAGAATAAAATTATTTCCTTCATTAATTTGAAAGGCAGAAGTTGAAGCCTGCTTAGAATCGTTATGTAAAAACCAAGACGGTTTTATATTTATTTTAAGAAAAAGCAATAAAATGATTTTGAAGGAGACAGGAGATATCAAACACAGTTGGGGAAAATATAAGACAGCACTATCTGTGTTCTTGATCTTTAAACTTGCCTTTATTTATGTATTTGAAGTTCAACAGCAGCTTCCACACCTAACCAAAGAACTGTTGGTATATTCATTCCCTCTTCCTCCTGGAGGGCTCATCTCCTATTCTACATTTTTTATTTTTTATTTTTTTGCATTGCTGCTAAGAGAACATCTACAAGAGGTAAGAGAGGACTGACCAAAAAGAATTGGAGATGGTCCAAAATATTTGACTATTTCTTGGCATCTGAGAAGGATGAACCTTTTTATTATTAAGAATAGTAATGTTCCCAGTGTTCCCTGAACATATGTTGTCTTGAGCAGCTGTGTGTCCTGGGAGCCCTTTTGTTACCAAGGGAACACTATAAATGTGTCCTATCACCTTTCCGTCAAATAACTGAGAAATAATCTATCAGAATTTTCCTTCCTGGCTAAAAATGGATATGCTGGGAATTGTATAACTTGCTCAAGCAATTCTTTTGCTAAATGTAAAAGTACTCTACTTCTCACAATTACAGCGCTGACTCTCTTCTCTCAATGACCAACTTGGGGAAATGTGGACAAAATATATATGCCTTTATTCTTAGAGTCCTCTGTCTCAAAATTCCACATTTGTGACTTAAGTATGAAGCATTGGCATCATTAAAAACCAAATGGGAAGTTATAAGAATGTGGCCACATTCTTCATCAATATAACCGAAATAATGCCTATATATAAAAATATATATTTTTCCCCCCTGAGGCAAGCCTTCTCACATTTTAAAGCTTAAATAAATACAGGTTTTCAACTTGTTGGGATTAATCAGAAATAATGAAACCCAAATTCTTGTAGCTCTAGGAAGAATAAAAAAGGCAGCCAATTTCTCTCTATTGATCTATATACCAAGAAGTGTGATGTAATTGCTGCTTCCCATCAACATGTGCCGTTGCATCAGAGGTCTTCCCAGATGTTACCTCAGGGGAGAGTAAATGTGTTTTTATTGTCTTCCTCATCTAAATTTGAAGATATTGGTATTGTCAGAGCTCATATTCTATGCCTGGCACTGTGGTGGGCACTGGGAATAGAAAAATATATAAGACACAATTCATGCTCTCAAAAGTTTCTATGTCCCTCAGACCTAGAGGTCAAGTGTCTACCAACACAGATCTTCACATGAACAAGTGCTATAATGCAACCTGCAGGGATGGTTGGAATGAGCGGTGGTACAGAGACAGGACATGGAAATATGACACAGGCATCTCCATCTCCTCTTAGAAAGGGCCTGACATTCTCTGGCTAAATTTTAGCAGGCTTGCTATAAAGACAGCCCTGGTGGATAAACCTTACATAGACCATAGCTCTTCTTCAGTTTGTTTTTGCCACATGCATTGCCTAAAAGTGAATGAAGCAAGCAGCCACCATTATTTAGGCTACCACCTATGCCTAAACAAAGGGGAACATAGTTGTTGCAAGAAATATTAGGCCATCAATCTGGTTTTACCTATTGTCTCTCAGCCTCAAGCCTACCCTCCTGTTGTGTTTCCCAGAGTCCCTGACAAATCTGGAGAGAGGTGTAACTGATAGCTCTTTCTTTGACACTATTTCAGTTCCTAGGAACGTTCTCAGCAAAGTCGGGTTTGGAGGAGTATCTGTATCCTGCCCTAGAATGACGTTTCCCAAAAAATGAGTTGCCTAGGAGGGATGTTTGTTAAAAATAAAGATTCCTGGACACACCAAAATTTGCTGATCCAGAATCTTTAGAAGTGAGGGCCTGGAATCTGCAATTTTAACAGCTCTCAAGGTCATTCTTCGGCATACTGAAGTCTAGGGAAAAGTCCACTAAGGAATAGTCTGAAGAAACTGATTTGGGTGTAAGGAATTCAATGAATATATTCAATATTTGTAGGGCAATAAGGATACTTTGAAGAATATCAGATCCCCATAATTTAGGAAGACCCAGGTAGGTGACACAAGAGAAATTCCAGTTAGTCACACCACTTGAAAGTGTTCAATAATCAAATACTTATTTATTAGATGAGCTTAACTCTTCCAATTTGTAACTTTCTCTGGTGGATTCCAGGAGGAGGCATCAGTCAAATACATTTTGGTGTAAATTTATCTTATTAGCTTTATTTTCTTTTAACAAGTGAATGAGATTTAAAAAAGAACCTTAAGAGAACAGAAGTTTTCATGGGGAATAAAGGAAAAAAGAACTGACCGTCCTGGCTAACACGGTGAAAACCCATCTTTACTAAAAATACAAAAAATTAGCCAGGCATGGTGGCAGGCGCCTGTAGTCCCAGCTACTAGGGAGGCTGAGGCAGGAAAATGGCTTGAACCCGGGAGGCAGAGCTTGCAGTGAGCCGAGATCGCACCACTGCACTCCAGCCTGCGTGACAGAGTGAGACTCTGTCTCAAAAAAAAAAAAAAAAGAACTATGAAACATAAATATATAAATCAGGGCCAGGCACGGTGGCTCACACCTGTAATCCTGGCACTTTTGGGGGCCGAGGTGGGAGAATAGCTTGAGGCCAGGCATTCAAAACCAGCCTGGGAAACATAGCAAGACCTCCATCACTATAAAACAAAAAAGAAAGAGAATGGAAACATAAATATATAAATCAAATATCTTCATTTTTTGAGTCTCCACTCCAAATATTCTTCTGGGTTTACTCATTTGTTCATTCATTCATTATTTAGTCAATGAATTAAATGATTCATTGTTTATATGTTTACTAAACAGAAATAAATGTGTACTCAGGCAACAACTCTGAGGCAAGCCCTACGTGCTGGGGATGCAGTGGTGAGCAAGGCAGAGCACATGTCTGCTTTCAGGGAACTTCTTTCTCCTATGGGGAGACAGGCAATAAATGAGGGAAAAACCAAGTAAAAATATAACATCAGAGAAAATGATTAAGTGCCGGGAGGGAAACAAAGCAGAATGGTGTGGTAGTGCCTGAGTGGAGTTTGGTGGCAGGCAGACTACTTTGAATTTGATGCTGAAGGAAGACCTCTGTGATTCAGTGACATTTGAACTGAGCCCTGAACCCATTATATAAAGAAGTGAGAAAGAGTCTTTCCTGCAGAAGAAACAGCTAGTGCAAGGATCCCCTAAAAGGAACCAGCTAGGTGTGCCTGAGAAACAGTGAAGAGGCCAGGGAAGATTGAGTGGAGTGAGTGACTGGTAGAATGAGAAGAGATGGGCATGGATGGCTAGATCAGATGGATCACCTGGGACCCTGTAGGTCATAATAAGGCGTTTGAGCCTGCTAGGGCCACCATGACAAAATACCACAGACTGGGAGGCTTAAACAGCAGATGTTATTTCCTCATTGTTCTGGAGGCTGGGCGTCCAAAATTAAGGTGCCAGCAGGACTGGTTTCTCCTGTGGCCTGTCTGCCTGGCTTGTAGATGATCCCCCCACACCTTCTTGCTGCCTCTTCACCTGGTGAGTCCCTCTGTGTATATGCACCACCTGGTGTGTCTCTATGTCCTAATCTCCTCCTTTTACAAGGGCATTAGTGAGATTGAATTAGGTACCTACCCTAACATCCTCATGCCAGCTTATTTATGTATTTGAATGTCCTATCTCCAAATATAGCCAGGTTCTGAGATCCTAGAGGCTAGGGCTTCAACATATGAATTTTGAGAAGATACAATTCAGCCCATAAAATAAGGTTTTTGGGTTTTATTGCTTAGACATTTTTGGAGAGTTTTAAACAGCAAAGCAACAAAATCATATTTAATTTTACATAGATTTCTCAAGCTGCTCGGTGGTGAGTGGGTTAGAAGAGGACGGAATGAAAGAGGGAGCTAGGGAGGAGATTTTTTTTTTTTTTGAGACAGAGTCTTGCTCTGTCACCCAGGCTAGAGTGCAGTGGTGTGATCTCGGCTCACTGCAACCTCTGCCTTCCGGGTTCAAGTGATTTTCCTGCCTCAGCCTCCTGCGTAGCTGGGACTACAGGCACCCACCCCCACACCTGGCTAATTTTCTGTATTTTTAGTAGAAACAGGGTTTCATCATGTTAGCCAGGTTGGTCTCGATCTCCTCACCTCGTGATCCGTCCACCTCGGCCTCCCAAAGTGCTGGGATTACAGGTGTGAGCCACCGCCCCCGGCCTGAGGTGACTTTTAAAGAGAAGACATGGTGGCTTGGACCAGGGGATAATAGTGGAGGGGAGATGGATGTACTTCTACTGCGTGTGTTTTGGAGGGAGAGTTGACAGGGCTTGCTAACGGATTGATCCGTGGTGTGAAAGAGCAGAATCATGGAGAGAGAAATAAAAGAAAAAATAACAACAATAACAATAAAATTTTAAAAAGAAGAAAAAAGAAAATAACAAAGAATCATGGGGAGAGTACAAAACTTAAGGATCATCAAGAAATCAGAAAGCTATGGAGTGTCCAGAGTACGGGAAATCTTGATGAAGTGGCCCCAGGGAAAAGCTGAGTGTAGAAAGAAGGTAGGAGGATGCTAAACAAATTTCCCCCTACTTCAAGTGTTAGCCTACTTAGTATGTGTCTCCTCTAGCTTAGTTTAAAATGTGTGCGTGTATATATTTCCAAGACCACCTTTACTTGTTAGTTTATGTGTCAACTTGGCTAGGTTAGGGTACCCAGTTAATCGATCACCAGTTCAAGTATTGCTGTGGAAGTATTCTGTAGAAGTGGTTAAATCAGTTGACTTTAAGTAAAAGAGATTTTCTTTGATAATCAGCAGACCATTCCAGCCTGCCAGCCTGCCACACAATTCCAGACTCGCCAGTCCCTCCACAATCATGTAAACCAGTTCCTTGGAATAAATCTCTCTCTTTCTCATGTATGAGTGTATTTAATATATATTTTTTATTGTACGTGATATATATTATATATTCTTTATATTCCTTCATATTATATGTAATGCTCCTTTAGATGATATATGATATGTGTTATATTTTGTATATGTGTATATATCCTACTGGTTCTCTTTCTCTGGAGAACCCTGACTGACTAACCATCTTGCATACCTCTCTGTTCCTGTCTCAAGAAAAGGGAGGTGGAAGGCATGAGGTGAGGCCATGATGTTCATGAAGGTGAAGAATGCCACATTCATGAGTCTCATGTTCCTGCCTTAGAGGAAGAGGGCAGGGATGTAAGATAAGGTGAGCTACCTGCTGTAGGAGAGCAAAAGGGTTCTCAGGTTAAAGGGCAGTCCTTTTACTTCCAGCAGACCTCTTAGAGATGCCATCTCTGCCTGCTTCCAGTGTCATTCTCATGCTATGCCCATGATTCTAACTCCCTTCCTCTGCAACCTTCATCTGCAGAACTGAATGCGGGGTGCTGGGCATGTAGCAGACCATTGGGCTGACTTCACTGTTTGGAACCCTGAAGTGTACACACTTTCTGTTTTATCCTGTTTGGACTCCACTCCCCTATTTGTTCCTAAGATTAATTTTTCCCCAGAAAACTGAAGTTTTATTAGTTGAAGGTAAAAAATCTATACAATTTCCTCCCTTTGAAAATCTTTCTTACAGTGGATGAACTATTCAGATGAACCTTCAGGGCTTTATTTCACTGGCCCATCCATAAGAACCTTGGAATCTAGAAATAGCTTGTCGTTCGTGGATTCTTTGGCCAGCTTCCTACAGCATACCACATTAAAACTCCCCTTACAGAAGGGGAGTTGGATCAAAGATGTTGCCTTTGTTCGCTGTACCTGTTAGGTGCCTGAAAGTGCTGACACTACAGAAACATCAGAAAGAAGGAGGCGCCACAGGTCAGCAGTTATTTGCCCAGCCAGGGTAATTTGTCTTATCAAAAACCAAGTGTGGTGTCCATTCCGCAAGTCCTATTGCCTCCCTCCACAGATGAGGTCATTAAGTTATTTGGCGTTTAACGGTTCAGCAATTTTAAGAGTTGACAACAGTAAAAGGAAAGAAAAGCTGATTTTCAAACACCATTCTAGTAAGCAGTGGTTTCCTACCTTAAAGAATCTCTGGTCGGGAGTGGTGGCTCACGCCTGTAATCCCAGCACTTTGGGAGGCCTAGGCAGGCGGATCATGAGGTCAGCAGATCGAGACCATCCTGGCTAACACGATGAAACCCCGTCTCTACTAAAAAAAAAAAAAAAAAAAATTAGCCGGGTGTGGTGGTGGGCGCCTGTAGTCCCAGCTACCTGGGAGGCTGAGGCAGGAGAATGGTGTGAACTCGGGAGGCAGAGCTTGCAGTGAGCCTAGATCGTGCCCCTGTACTCCAGCCTGTGCGACAGAGTGAGACTCTGTCTCAAAAAAAAAAAAAAAAAGAATCTCTGATTATATCACACTATAGCTTTTAGATGTCATGTTAAGATATGTTTTGGGCATTGCTCTTAGTACTTAAGTATTTAATGTAAGGTTTCACTTAAGAAAACTATGAAAGGACTTGGCAGTAACTTCTGGAATTTAGCCAGAGCACAGCTTTTATTGTGTTCCACAGCAATTTATCTGTTTAACAAGTACCTTAGCTAGTAGTGGCAGAATCAGAATCTGAACCCCCCCTCGACTCAGTTTCAAAGCCCATACACGTGCTTTCACTCACCCACTTAACAGAGCCTTATTAATCACTTACTAAGTACCAGGCCCCGTGTTATATGTGTCACATAATCTGAGAAAGAATCAGGAAGAAATAGTGGTGACGTCTGCCCAGATCTACCTCATGCCAGCTGAAAGTGAAGGAAAGCGGGTAAGTCAGCTTCTGAGCCTGCACTGATTAAGAAAAATCTGGGACTACTCCTAGTTACAAATAAAAAAATATCATTCAGATAGTTTATCCATTCTTCTATTTTTACAATTTCACGATTCCAGTCCACTCTACTCCTTGATGTCCTGAAATGAATTCATTTGGAAAAATTCCTAATTGGTCATGAAACAGCTATCCTCATTATTTACTATTTAACTGTTCATATGCACTAAACAAGATATTTTGTTTCTAAAAATCTATCTTTTAAAATAATCCAAAATAATGAAAAATGTTCCATGCTTTAAAGTATTTTCCACTTCGTTATTTATACTGATTAAAAATTAGGAAAGGTTGAGTAATTTATATAATGACCACAGAATGATGCCTAGCATTATTTTGCAATCATTTAAAAAGACTATTTTCATAGATTATTAATCACATAACAATTTTTATAAAATAATATTAGGGGAAACAGTAAGTTAAAATACTGTATAGGTATACTACGATTAAAACTATTTTTTTGAATGTACCGAAAAGATACTAAAATGCACCAGATGCTAAAAGTGTTTATTTTAAGATGGTAAGATATGTGTTAAAATGGTGTTAGAATGGTGGCTTTTCCTTTTCTGTTTTTTAGACATTCTTTTTGTAGAGAAAATAAAATTAATCTAAAATTATGAAGGAAAAAAGTTACTTCACATCTTTTGTTTGTTTGTTTACATGGAGTCTTGCTTTGTCACCTAGGCTGGAGTGCAGTGGTGCAATCTCAGCTCACTGCAACCTCCGCCTCCCAGGTTCAAACAATTCCCCTCCCTCAGCCTCCCAAGTAGCTGGGATTACAGCTGCCCGACACCATGCCCAGCTAATTTTTGTATTTTTAGTAGAGATGGAGTTTCACCATGTTAGCCAGGCTGGTCTTGAACTCCTGATCATATTTCTATACTTCATAACCAGATGGTACTATAACCATAATATCAAGCAATCCACCTGCCTGGGCCTCCCAAAGTACTGGTATTACAGGCCTGAGCCACCACTAACGGCCTTATTTCACATCTTGGTGGTAGGCAAGACATCTTATGTTAAGTGAATTGATAGCAATTGCTGTCTAGTTTAAGGGGAAAAGATGAGCTGGAGACAAATTGAAAACAGGTAATGAACAGGGGACAGTCTTATGTATACGTGGTCACTACTCTAGGGGGTATTCCTTCACAGACGTAACACCTTAACTTGAAATGCAATTTGTTTTCCTTGAATAGTGTTTTCTATTTTATCTTAACACAATTACTAGACAGACACCACTTTTTGCCAAAAGCAGCCTAGATCTTCAAAAACACCTCTGCACAATGAACTTTCTTATCTGCCTGAAGCCAGAGAATGTGGCCAAGTGGTTTCTGAATTTTTCAGCTCTAGAGTCTAAGTTCTGGTGATTTCAATTCTCAGTGTCAATGTGCTGGCAGCCTGGTAGCCCTGCTTTGACTTCATCCTATTTCAAGGAAATAACTGACTAATCAAAACAGAGCAGGGAACATTGCTGAGTCCTAAAGATATGAGTGGGAAGCTATGCACTATTTAAATAGGGGCTGCTCCCCTGGAAGAAAGCTGGAAGAATGCTAGAGGGAGGACTTCTCCTCTCATGAATCCCTCAGCTTTCCACTTAGCCAAGCAGGATGTCAATCCTAAGAAATCACATTTTGGAGAAAACCAAACAACTGTATAGGAAACTTAGTTTGAGGAACAATAGCCAGAAGTTTACATGTCACTTTTATATGTCTCTAGGAGTTGCTTCATTTTTTAATAACTGTTTTGGACTTAGATTAGGCAATGTATACCAAAGTCCTAAAAACATTCATGCCCCTTGACCCAGAAATTCTAGGACTTCAAAATTCACTAAAGGAGACAATCAGATAAGTTGAAAGGAAATTTATGTACTAAACGATTTATTTGTTTAAAATAGTAATAGCAGCAGCAACAACAAACAGAAACAATCTAAATGTCCTACAGTAGAGGACTAGTTAGAATAAATTATGGTATAGCCATACAATAGAATACTATATGGTCATTAAAATGATATTATACCACTATTTTTATTGATATTGATCAATTTTCACAACATGAAATTATACAAAAATTATAAGAATGTGTACATTTCAATCTAATTTTTTTAAATGTACACATTTGCTTTGTAGAAATCAGAAAGACTATGCACCAAAATGTTAATGGTGATTTTTTTCATGGTGTTTTGGATTTTTCGTTGGTTTTAGTTTAATATGTATTTTTGGTTTTGTTCACTTGCATTTCTAATATTTTTACATTTCTTGTGTAACTAAGAAGGAAACACACTTTAACAACTTGTCTTTTTCAAATGTTTAACATTTTCAGAAAGAGTTTTTAAAATTCTGGAATATCTAGTGTGTACCGTTGGATCGAGTTTTGGACTCAAAAGTTATTTTACAGCTCAAAGATATTTTTAGGATGGTCATGGTATCTTTGGCAATAAAATTCCTTTAAAAACTTATTAAGCTTCTGGCTAGTTCCCGGTACGCTAACCACACTAATGTTCTTGCCTAAAAGTTCACATAATTCTCAAATCTGCTTTATTTCTTTGCTTCTTCACCTTAGGCCTCTCTCCCTCAATTTAATGGCCTCTACCCTATGTCCATCTTGAACGATAAATGGGAAGGCTACATTCCTAATCTGATCTTTGCCCCAGGGCTGATTCTTTTGTTTAACTGAGGAGTATCACTGGCCTTTCTTACTCAAAGCCTTATCTTTTACTATTTGGGAATAAAAACTATCAGCCTTTTCAACATTTGAATGACCCAGATTTCTTGACTTTCTTTATTCCCTTTCATTTCAGCTTGCAAACCAGCCCATTCTTTCCTGAGCCCATTTCTTTTCCATAAAACATCACCAAGGACAGCTAATGGTAGCCAACACACACTGGCACTCAAGTGATCTGTAACCACTCCAACCACCTCTCCTAGAGCTTCCATTCAGGAATGGTCTGCTTTCAAGTTACTGCAGGTGACAATGTTTCATGTCTTGCCACTATATAACAAGAGTATATAACACAGTACCACACAGTGGCAAAACATTATTCCAGCCGCTAGCATCAGTTTTCTTACTATTCACCACCTCATCATTTAGCACCCTGCTTCAAGGTACAAGTTTCTGAATTGTAAACAAATCAAAACAACATTTTGGTGGTTTAAAATCATAAAAAATATATATATATTTTGGCCTGAAATCATTCAACACAGGTGTCTGTGGTTGGGTGGATCTCCTGGATAGCTTTTTTCCTCATGGCAACTCAGCTTCTTCCAGGCTTCTTCCAATAAGTGGCTTCCCCACGCTCCAGTCTTGGAGTTCATGTCTCTGTATCCATTGACCAGAACTCAGTCTAATGGTTCCACCTAACAGCAAAGGAGCCTGGGAAACAAAGCCTAGCTGTATGCCCAGGAGGAGAAATAATGCCTTTGGAGAACAAACAGCATTCTCTCTGAACAATGGTTTACTGGGTACAATTTTCCTCATGTAGGCAGTTACGGGGTCAGCAGAACTACAGGAAAGTGCTCTCTCCCCACTCTTGCTTTCTCTGTTCTGACTATGAAAAGAAAAGAAGCTGAGAGTTGCAGTGGGAAGCAGAAGCTGTGAGACACAAACACAGTGAGGTAGAGAGAGCAAATAGGGAAAGCCTGTGAATTAAAGGCCTCCCAGTTGACAGCTGAAGCCGGGACAGCTGTACAAAGGCAAACCCTGTGCTAAATGGCTTCAATCTGTGAACACGGTCCAAGGATCTTAACACCAAGAGTTGAAAAATAGTTGAAACTTTTTTCTCTGGATAAAGAAAGCTAGAGAACTAGATTTAGCTGTAATTTAATGGAGCTCAGTATTAGAAGGATAGTTATTTATAGCTAGATATTTGTGTGTCTTTAAACAACATTATTTTTATGTTTTTGTTCATATTTTGCATTTCAGAAGTGATTATTTAGTTTTGGAAATCATAACTGATTAGATCTTGACCCTTTCCTGCTCTTTTTACTTGAGGAAATCCTGATCTATTGGCTTAACTAATTAATTAAGTAACCCATCTATTTATTCAATAAATATTTATTAAAGTCCTATTAAGAGCCAGATATTGTGTTAGGTTAAATCTGGTTAAAAGGCAAATATAGTCCCTGCCTTCATGAAACTTATAGTCTAGTGGGTAAGACACATGTTAACCAAACTCTCTGGGACGAGCAATTATTTGTCTTCAGTAGTATATGATTATAACAAATGATATGATGGTTATAATACCATCTGGTTATAAAGAAGAAGTATAGAAAGCTTTCAGAGTATATCACACAAAAGCCTGACCATTTTTAAGAGGTCAAGGACAGCTTCCTTGGTAAAATCACATTATTTTTAAGTAAAATATTTATTATTTATTTGTAAGTTACAAAAGGATATGTAGTGAAAAGTGTTTTTGTGCCTGCTGCCTCTGTCCCAGCCCCCTAGTTTCTCTGCCTGGAAGAAACCACTCTGACCAAGTTACTGCAGGTGACAATGTTTCATGTCTTACCACTATGTGACAGTGTATATAACATTGTACAACACAGTGGCAAGACGTTATTCCAGCCACTAGCATCAGTTTTCTTACCATTCACCACCTCATCATTTAGCACCCTGCTTCAAGGTACCAGCTTCCTTGTATGTCTATTTTAAAACATCCTCACAACAGGTGGCATACTCTACATGCTGTTCATTTCTTGCTTCTTTGCCTAATACATAGAGAGCCCAGCCGATCATCTGTCATGGCTGCATGATATTTCATGGTATGCATTGCTATAATTTGTTAATTAGCCCCAGTATTCATTTTCTTTATTTTTTATTATTATTTTAATTATTATTATACTTTAAGTTCTAGGATACATGTGAACAACGTGCAGGTCTGATAGATAGATATACATGCGCCATGTTGGTTTGCTGCACCCATCAAGTCATCATTTAAATCAGGTATTTCTCCTAATGCTATCTGTCCCCCAGGCCCCCAGCCCCCAACAGGCCCCAGTGTGTGATGTTCCCCACCCTGTGTCCAGGTGATCTCATTGTTCAATTCCCACCTATGAGTGAGAACATGCGGTGTTTCTGTCCTTGTGATAGTTTGTGAGAATTATGATTTCCAGTTTCAACCATGTCCCTGCAAAGGACATGAACTCATCCTTTTTTATGGCTGCATAGTATTCCATGGTGTATTTGTGCCACATTTTCTTAATCCAGTCTATCATTGATGGACATTTGGGTTGGTTCCAAGTCTTTGCTATTGTGAATAATGCCGCAATAAACATATGTGTGCATGTGTCTTTATAGCAGCATGATTTATAATCCTTTCGGTATATGCCCAGGAATGGGATGGCTGCGTCAGATGGTATTTCTAGTTACAGATCCTTGAGGAATCACCACACTGTCTTCCACAATGGTTGAACTAGTTTACAGTCCCACCAACAGTGTAAAAGTGTTCCTATTTCTCCACATCCTCTCCAGCATCTGTTGTTTCCTGACTTTTTAATGATCACCATTCTAACTGGTGTGAGATGGTATCTCATTGTGGTTTTGATTTGCACTTCTCTGATGGCCAGTGATGATGAGCATTTTTTCATGTGTCTGTTGACTGCATAAATGTCTTCTTTTGAGAAGTGTCTGTTCATATCCATTGCCACTTTTTGATGGGGTTGTTTGTTTTTTTCTTGTAAATCTGTTTGAGTTCTTTGTAGATTCCATATATTAGCCCTTTGTCAGATGGGTAGATTGCAAAAATTTTCTGCCATTCTGCAGGTTACCTGTTCACTCTGACAGTAGTTTCTTTTGCTGTGCAGAAGCTCCTCAGTTTAATTAGATCCATTTGTCTATTTTGGCTTTTGTTGCCATTGGTTTTGGTGTTTTAGTCATGAAGTCCTTGGCCATGCCTATGTCCTGAATAGTATTGTCAAGGTTTTCTTCTAGGGTTTTTATGGTTTTAGGTCTAACATTTAAGTCTTTAATCCATCTTGAATTAATTTTTGTATAAGGTGTAAGGAAGGGATCCAGTTTCAGCTTTCTACATGTGGGTAGCCAGTTTTCCCAGCACCATTTATTAAATAGGGAATCCTCTCCCTATTTCTTGTTTTTGTTGGGTTTGTCAAAGATCAGATGTTTGTAGATGTGTGGTGTTATTTCTGAGGGCTCTGTTCTGTTCCATTTGTTAGATACCTGTTTTGGTACCAGTACCATGCTGTTTTGGTTACTGTCACCTTGTAGTACTGTTTGAAGTCAGGTAGCATGATACCTCCAGCTTTGTTCTTTTTGCTTAGGATTGTCTTGGCTATATGGGCTCTTTTTTGGTTCCATATGAACTTCAAAAGTAATTTTTTCCAATTCTGTGAAGAAAGTCATTGGTAGCTTGATGGGGATGGCATTGAATCTATAAATTACCTTGGGCAGTATGGCCATTTTCACGATATTGATTCTTCCTATGCATGAGCGTGGAATCTTCTTCTATTTGTTTGTGTCCTCTTTTATTTTGCTGAGCAGTGGTTTGCAGTTCTCCTTGAAGAGGTCCTTCACATCTCTTGTAAGATGGATTCCTAGGTATTTTATTCTCTTTGTAGCAATTGTGAATGGGAGTTCACTCATGATTTGGCTGTCTATCTGTTATTGGTGTATAAGAATGCTTGTGATTTTTGCACATTGATTTTGTATCCTGAGACTTTGCTGAAGTTGCTTATCAGCTTAAGCAGATTTTGGGCTGAGACAATGGGGTTTTCTAAATATATAATCATGTCATCTGCAAACAGGGACAATTTGACTTCTTCTTTTCCTAATTGAATACCCTTTATTTTTTACTGTTGCCTGATTGCCCTGGCTAGAACTTCCAACACTATGTTGAGTAGGAGGGGTGAGAGAGGGCTTTCTTGTCTTGTGCCGGTTTTCAAAGGGAATGCTTCCAGTTTTTGCCCATTCGGTATTAACTTTGTGATGCATGCACAAGCTTCAATAGCCGATTTGATCAAGTGGAAGAAAGGGTATCAGTGATTGAAGATAATATTAATGAAATAAAGCGAGAAGACAAGATTAGAGAAATAAGAGTAAAAAGAAATGAATAAAGCCTCCAAGAAATATGGGACTATGTGAAAAGACCAAATCTATGTTTGACTGGTTTACCTGAAAGTGATGGGAAGACTGGAACCAAGTTTGAAAACACTCTTCAGGATATCATCCAGGAGAACTTCCCCAACCTGCAAGGTAGGCCAACATTCAAGTTCAGCAAATACAGAGAACACCACAAAGATACTCTTCGAGAAGAGCAACCCCAAGACACATAATTATCAAATTCACCAAGGTTGAAATGAAGGAAAAAATGTTAAGGGCAGCCAGAGAGAAAGGTCTGGTTACCCACAAAGGGAAACCCATCAGACTAACAGCGGATCTCTCGGCAGAAACTCTACAAGCCAGAAGAGAGTGGGGGCCAATGTGCAACATTCTTAAAGAAAAGAATTTTCAACCCAGAATTTCATATCCAGCCAAACTAAGCTTCATAAGTGAAGGAGAAATAAAATCCTTTAAGACAAGCAAATGCTGACAGATTTTGTCACCACCAGGCCTGCCTTACAAGACCTCCTGAAGGAAGCACTAAACATGGAAAGGAACAACCGGTACCAGCCACTGCAAAAACTTGCCAAATTGTAAAGACCATCAAGGCTAGGAAGAAACTGCATCAACTAAGGAGCAAAATAACCAGTTAACATCATAATGACAGGATCAAATTCACACATAACAATACTAACCTTAAATGTAACTGGGCTAAAAGCTCCAATTAAAAGTCACAGACTGGCAAACTGGATAAAGCGTCAAGACCCATCAGTGTGCTGTATTCAGGAAACCCATCTCACGTGCAGAGACACATATAGACTCAAAATAAAGGGATGGAGGAAGATCTACCAAGCAAATGGAAAGCAAAAAAAAAAAAAAAAAAAAAAAAAAGAGGGGTTGCAATCCTAGTCTCTGATAAAACAGACTTTAAACCAACAAAGATCAAAGGGACAAAGAAGGCCATTACATAATTGTAAAGGGATCAATTCAACAAGAAGAGCTAACTATCCTAAATATATATCTACCCAATACAGGAGCACCCAGATTCATAAAGCAAGTCCTTAGAGACCTGCAAAGAGACTTAGACTCCCACACAATAATAATTGGAGACTTTAACATCCCACTGTCAATATTAGACAGATCAACAAGACAGAAGGTTAACAAGGATATCCAGGACTTGAACTCAGCTCTGCACCAAGTGGACCTAATAGACATCTACAGAATTCTCCACCCCAAATCAACAGAATATACATTATTCTCAGCACCACATCGCTCTTATTCCAAAACTCACCACATAGTTGGGAGTAAAGCACTCCTCAGCAAATGTAAAAGAATGTAAATCACAGCAAACTGTCTCTCAGACCACAGTGCGATCAAATTAGAACTCAGGATTAAGAAACTCACTCAAAACCACTCAACTACATGGAAACTGAACAACCTGCTCCTGAATGACTACTGGGTACCTAACGAAATGAAGGCAGAAATAAAGATGTTCTTTGAAACTAATGAGAACAAAGAAACAACATACCAGAATCTCTGGGACACATTTAAAGCAGTGTGTAGAGGGAAATTTATAGCACTAAATGCCCACAAGAGAAAGGAGGAAAGATCTAAAATCGATCCCCTAACATCACAATTAAAAGAACTAGAGAAGCAAGAGCAAACACATTCAAAAGCTAGCAGAAGGCAAGAAATAATTAAGATCAGAGCAGAACTGAAAGAGATAGAGACACAAAAAACCCTTCAGAAAATCAATGAATCTAGGAGCTGGTTTTTTGAAAAGATCAACAAAATTGATTGACCGCTAGCAAGACTAGTAAAGAAGAAAAGAGAAAAGAATCAAATAAATGCCATAAAAAATGATAAAGGGGATATCACCACTGATCCCACAGAAATACAATCAGAGAATACTATAAACACCTCTACACAAATAAACTAGAAAATCTGGAAGAAATGGATAAATTCCTGGATACATACACCCTCCCAAGGCCAAACCAGGAAGAAGTTGAATCTCTGAACAGAACAATAATAGGCTCTGAAGTTGAGGCAATAATTAATAGCCTACCAACCAAAAAAAGTCCAGGACCAGACGGATTCACAGCCGAATTCTACCAGAGGTACAAAGAGGAGCTGGTACCATTCCTTCTGAATCTATTTCAATCAATGGAAAAAGAGGGAACCCAGTATACGTTTTCTATTGCTGCTATAGCACACAACCATGAATTTAGTGGCTTAAAACCATAAAAATATATTCTCTAACAGTTCTGGAGTCCAGAAGTTGGAAATGGGTTTCACTGGACTGAAATCAAAGATGGGCATTATCAAAAAACCAAACCAAAAAACAAAAACAACCCAACAATCTAGAAAATAAGTGTTGGTGAGCATGCAGAGAAATCAGGACACTTGTGCACTGCTGGTGGTGAAGTGGTGGAGCCACTGTGGAGAACAATAAGATGGTTCCTCAAAAAAAATTAAATATAGAATTATCATGTAATAGAGCAAATCCATTTCTGAGTATACACCCAAAAGGAGTGGAAGCAGGGATTCAAGCAGATATTTGTATACCTATGTTCATAATAGCATTATTCACAATAGCCAAAAGGTGAAAGCAACCCAAGTGTGCATCGACAGATGAATGGATAAACACAATGTGGTATATACATACAATGAAACATCGTTTAGCTTTAAAAAAAAACAAAGAAAGAAATCCTAACACATGCTACAGCATGAATGAACCTTGGAGGCATTATACTAAGTGAAATAAGCCCATTACAAAAGGACAAATACTGTATGATTCCACTTATATTAGGTAGCTAGAGTAGTTATATTCACAAAGACAGAAACTAGAATGGTGGTTGCCAGAGCCTGGAGAAAGAGGAAAATCAGGTGTTACTGTTTAATGGGTACAGAGTTTCAGTTTTAGAAGATAAAGAAGTTCTGGAAATTGATGGTAGTATGGTTGCAGAACAATGTGAATGGACTTAATGCCACTAAACTGCACATTTAAAAATGGTTAAAATGGTAAATTTTATGTTATGTATATTTTAACACAGTAAAAAATAAATAAGAAAACTACAAAATACCTTCTGCTATTTAAGGTAGCATTTATAGGTTCCAGCAATTAGGACCTGGATATCTTTGGGGGCCATTATTCAGCCTACTATAACTACCTATCCAACTTTTTCCCACTGACTTAAAATGACACCTTTATCATGTACTAAATTTCTATATTTAGATCAATTTCTGGACTTTCTATTATTTTTCATTGAGTTGACTCTTTATGCATGTGTGTCAATACACTATTATGATTATTTTCTTGTAGAGATGTAGCCTTTCTATGATGCCCAGGCTGGTCTCCAACTGCTGTACTCAAGAAATCCTTCTGCTTTAGCCTCCTGAGTAGCTGGGATTGTAGGTACACACCACCATGCCCAGCTACAGTACTAACCTATTTTAACATTATATTTTAATATTTAATAGGTTTTGCCCCCATTCATTATTCTTGTTTTCCAAGATTTTTCTGGCTATTCTTGCTTATTTTCGGTATCAGCTCATCTAATTTCTTTTTTTTTTTTTTTTTTTTTTTTTTTGAGACGGAGTCTCGCTCTGTCGCCCAGGCCAGACTGCGGACTGCAGTGGCGCAATCTCGGCTCACTGCAAGCTCCGCTTCCCGGGTTCACGCCATTCTCCTGCCTCAGCCTCCCGAGTAGCTGGGACTACAGGCGCCCGCCACCGCGCCCGGCTAATTTTTTGTATTTTTAGTAGAGACGGGGTTTCACCTTGTTAGCCAGGATGGTCTCGATCTCCTGACCTCATGATCCACCCGCCTCGGCCTCCCAAAGTGCTGGGATTACAGGCGTGAGCCACCGCGCCCGGCCCCAGCTCATCTAATTTCAAAAAAAAAAAATTCTATCAGTACATTTATTGGGATTTTGAAAAGTTTATTGATAACTTCAGGCAGAATTAAAATCTTTCTGATGCTGAATCTTCTTGGCCCAAATCATGGTATGCCTTTTCAGTTGTTTAGGTCTTCTTTTATGTTCTTTAATAGCATTTAAAAAGTTCTATTTGGCCCAGCACGGTGGCTCACACCTGTAATCCCAGCACTTTGGGAGGCCATGGTGGGCAGATCATGAGGTCAGGAGTTCAAGACCAGCCTGGCCAACATGGTGAAACCCCATCTCTACTGAAAATACAAAAATTAGCTGGGTGTGGTGGCGTGCACCTGTAATCCCAGCTACTGAATAGGCTAAGGCAGGAGAATCACTTGAACCCAGGAGGCGGAGATTGCAGTGAGCCGAGATCATGCCATTGCACTCCAGCCTGGGTGACAGAGTGAGATTCTGTCTCCAAAAAAAAAAAAAAAAAAGTTCTACTCATGTAGATCTTGCCCATTTCTTAAGTTTATTCCTAGCAATTGTAGAGGCAGGGGAATTGTCCCTATTCCTGCTAGAGGTTTGATGTCAGAATCTGATAAATAAAAGGACAATAGACAGACTGACAGGAGAAAAAAGGCATATACATTTATTACTGTGCACATGTACATGGGAGTCCCACAAATATGAGAATCAAAGAAAGGCCAGATAGCTGAGGGTTAAATAGCACCCTCTTCATAGAAGACAGGGAGATCAGGGGATGTGGACAATTTTGAGAGATAGTAAATGGTTTTCAAGGGAATTGAATATGCCCAAAGCACAGTCAATAGGAAGTTATTGTAAATGATTCTCTTTGGAAGCTGAATGGGATCAACAAGTTATGGGAAGGTGACGGGAGAATTGCATTGTGAACAAAGGTCACCATATTATGCAGAGTCTCTTAGGTAATCTCTCAGGGAAGTGTTCAGAAGAACAGATGAAAAATCTGTCTGGGTGCAGTGATGACTTTTAGTGTCTTCTCTTCTCTGGAGGTTAATCTTTTCTGGTTATTTGATGATATTCTCAGGGAGGGAGTCTTAAGACAATGGCATTTTTTTTTTTTAAGAAGTTTTTCTCAGTCAGATAAGGCAACTTCCAGAGAGAGTCCCTTCCTGTACTTGTAGGGGTTGGGAGCAAAAGAAAGTTAGAAAGTCTTTGGTTTTGAGGCAGTTTCTAAAGACCTCCAATTGCCTTTAATTCAAACGTGCTCAGCATGCCAAAGCACCATACTTTGGGGTAGCATCCTCTGCAACCCAACACTGTTTAACTTTTTTTTGCTATTGTAAATGGACACTTCTTTTTCATTATATCTTGTTTGCATATGTAAAAACTGTTGACTTCTGATTATAAATTTGAATCTCACCACCTTATGGTATGTTCTTTTATGTAATAATATATTTCAGTTCATTATCTTAGTTTTTTTCTGCACAACATTTAATCCCTTAGCAAAATTATATGTTACTACTTCCTTCCTTTCTCTAACTACATTGGATGATACTTGCTGAAAAAATGTTAAATAATAGCAGTGATATTAGACATACTTGTTTTATCCTGTTCATTAATAGGAATGCTTTTAGTACAGCCCCATACATTTTTATTCAATATATACATTTATTTTTATCTCAAGGAAAGAGTCATCTATTGTTTTAATAACAGTTTTTTGTCAAAAATGATAGCTGTTTATTACAATTTAATTTTTAGCATTTATGGAATTGAACATAGGTGTTTTTCCTCTTTTGACATATAATGATAAATTGTATTAACAGATTTCCAAATATTGTGTCACAGTGTAGTATCCTTTTAATATGCTGCCAGATCCTTTGCTAACAGTTTATTTAGAACTTTTGTATTTATATTAGTAAGTGAGATTGGTCTGTATATATCTTTCTTTTTTTATTATCAGGTTTTAGAATAATTTTTATGGTAATTTATAAAAACAATTCAAAAACTTTTCTTCTTTTTCTTGCTCTGGAACAGTTTAATGGCATTGGAATTACCTATTTTTAAAAGTTTGGTAGGATTCACCAGTGAAATCATCTTGACCTGGTATGATCCCTAATGGTTCCTTCCAATTTTTCTATTTATTTCATGTGTTTTTTACTTTCTGAATATTAATGTTGTGCTTATCAACATAATAATGTCCCCTTCTTTGTTTTGTTTAAAGCTCCTAACCTTACTTTGATCTTTTCTGGTACTGCCATCCAAACCCTTACTTTCTTTGTATTGGCATTTGATCAATATACCTTTGATCATCTTATTTTCAACCTTTGCAAATTGGTTTGGTTTAGATATGTCTAATGTAATGATGAGCTAGTATTTACTGAGCTTTTATTATGTGATAGGCACCATTCTAAATATGCTGTGTATATTAGCTTACTAATTCTTTCCAATAATTCTGTGAGTTAAATTTAGTTCACTCTTCATTTTATTAAGAAAGAAACTGAGGCACTGACTTATTAAGTAAGCTGCCCCAAATCACATACATTTAAATCCAGGCAGCCTGGTTTCACAACTGTTAGTAAATTATTCTTTGTAGTGCCTCATATCCAGGATACGGTTAAGGGTTTTTAAAATCCAGTTAGATTTTCTTAAATGGATAACTTTAGCTCATTTTTACCTATTGAGATGACAGTTATATTTGGGTTTAGTTTTGCCATATTTTGTTATGCTTTCTGTTTTATCGCTTTAAAATAATCCTTCACGATTTCCTTTCCTTGTGTGTGTTTATGTGTAATACTTCTGATTGCTCGAAAGGCTTATGTCTTTGTTTTAGTATTATCGTTATGCACCGTAATTTTATATAAAATATTTATATATATAAGGTATTGTATATTATGTGTGTGTGTATGTGTATTTAATCCTCTGTTTCTTCAGGCAGTATTTAGTAGCTTCTTATTCAAGCAGAAACAGGCTGATTCACCAGAAGCATATTTTCCCAAAGCTAATTCACTGAACAGATTCACCAAAAGTCAATTTGCTTTATGGCCAGTTTGCAGAATGACTTGTAGAAAATTGACCCCAAGCCACTCTGAGTAACGGCAAAATTTGCATATTTCCTTTCTCCTTCCTAACTTCCTACCCCTCAACCACCTGTTTTATTTGATTGTGTTATTTTTCTTAGTGTTTTTGTTTATGCCTTAAAGTAAAATTATATCTGCATTACTCCTTTATCTTTTTACCCTGGTTATAAAAGATTGAAAAATCTACATATTTATCTTTCATCTTCTTCCCTGCTTCCCCCTGACTTTTAGTTTTTTAATTTATACTTTGTCATAATTTATAACATTTATCATCTGTTCTGGACCATTTTCCTCACAATTTGCTTTAGTTTCACCAATTAAATTAAATGTTTTTGGGCAATCCCTTGGCTATAGTTTCTTCACTTGTAATTTGATTGGCTGCTGTTTGACCTCATCAAGGAGCTCATGGGATCATTATTCCTTGAGTTCTTGTACATTAAAAAAATATATTTGTTGTTGCCTTTACACTTGTAAAACAGTTTAAAAAGAAAGAAAACTTTAGGATGACAATTTGTTTCTTAAACATTTTACAAGCACTCTTCCACCTCCTTTTAGTATTGAATGTTGATTTGAAGAAGTTTAAAGTAACTGAAGTGACTAAAATATTCTGACTAATACTCATAGTATTCACTCTTTTGTCAAATGTTAATTTTTACCTGTCCTATCCATCTCCACTCCCAATTCCTATTACCCCAAGGCAGCAACTTTCAATGCTCTTAGATATTTGTTTTGGTGTGTGTCTATGTCCTAATAAGTGATGCTCTTTCAAAATTTTTCAGTTAAAGATATTATCCATTGATTTCTTACAATGGAGGACTTAGATCTTTTACAATTCAACCCACATCATCCATGCATACACACATACGTACAACTACACACTTCCCCTCTTTTTCCCTTCCTCAACGTTTGGAGTTAAATCAATTTTTAGTGGTTTTATCATGACTATATAACTACTATTCATTGACCACTGAGCTCTATGGTATTGTATGATCATATTTCCTTTCTTGTGCAACTTTTTGGGTTTTTCATTTTTTTGTTTGTTTTCCGAAGTTAAAAATTGGCTGCTTTATGTTTGTGTATTTTTGTGTGTGTGTAGCCGTCCCAAAGTCTTAAAAAAGTCTTATAAGAATTTAAAACTTCCCTAAAATATGTTCAAACACATCAAGTACTCTAAAAACTTCATTTTCTTCTTGAAATGTCTTTCCTGTGTCCCTGTGTCCTTCTGCTGTATTCTGAGCTGTGAGATTTCAAGGCTTTGCTCAGCTCTCAACCTAGAACTTCCCCTTATCCACATCCTAGGAGTTTCCTTTCCCATCTGGAGTTCTTGTTACCTGCACATCTTCTTCATTTTTTATTATGTGCTTATTTTACAAAGTCACATCTCCAATTAGCCTTCTGAGAAAGTGTGCTTGGGAGAAAAGCTCTTGAGACCTTGCATGTCTCAAATTATTTTTGTTCCACCCTCACAATTTATCATTTGGCTGAATCTGGAATTATATGTTGGAAGTAATTCCATCAAAATTTTCAGAAATTGCTTCATTGTCTTCTAGCACTAATATTGTAAAGTCTTTGGCCAGTCTGATTCTCAAAGCATTTGTTTGTTTTCTTTTTAAGAAACTTTTTTATCTTTGATCTAGACATTTTCAACAATCTACCTCAGGGGAGATAAGTTTTCCATTCAGTGTGCTGGCATTCACTCAACTCTTTTAATCTAGATAACCTACTTTTAATGGGAAAAACCACAATTACTTTCCACCAAGCTAATATTCAATAATAAGAAAATTTTTATTATTTAATACTTTCCTTTCATTTTCTTTTTTCTTGTAAATCTAAATATTTGGATGTGAACTCTTGACAATCTATTAATTTTCTTTTCTTTTTCTTTTTTTTCTTTTTTTTGGAGACAAGGTCTCACTCTGTTGCCCAGGCAGGAGTGGTGCAGTAGGGCAATCATGGTTCATTGCAGCCTCGACTGCATGGGCTCAAGCTATCCTCCCACCTCAGCCTCCCAAGTTGCTGGTGTGTGCCACCATGCCCAGCTAATCTATTAATTTTTATTTGGAAATTTTAATTTGTGCTGACAATGAATTTAGAAAATTTCTTTTTTGAATGTTTCATGTGTAAATACAGACAATCTCTGACTTACAATGGTTCGACTTACAATTTTTCAACTTTATGATGATGCAAAAGTGATACACATTCAGTAGCAACCTTACTTTGAATTTCAATCTTTTCCTAGGGTAGCGATACTCAGTATGATCCTCTAGTGATGCTGGGCAGTGGCAGTGAGCAGCAGTTTCCAATCAGCCATGCAATCATGAGAGTAAACAACTGATACTCCAAAGGGTATTCTGTTGCCAGCAATTTTTGGATATTGTGTTTTGTGTTTTTGCATCCCATCATGTCTACAAAATGTCCAACTGTGTCTCCTCCCTCCGGTAAGAAGAAAAAGAGCATGTTTAAAGTACGATAGGTGAAGCAATGATGTTCAGTAGGTTAGGCATACTAAATGCATTTTTAACTTGTAATATTTTCAACTTACCATGAGTTTATTGGGACATAACCCCTTCATAAGTAGAGGAACATCTGTATACATGTGCATGTTCTCGTTTTATGGATGTAATGTGTTATATTTCTGAGTTATTACTTTTCTTAGTTTTCTGCTGCTCCTTTCGTTCTCTATTTCCACAATTGTTTTTCTTCATTTTGTCTGTCTTTTGTATTAGAGACTTTCTTCAAATGTTAGTGATCATTGGGTGTCAACTCATATTTAAGAGTGAGGAACTACAAAGTGAATTGGAACTCAATATTCATTGATGGGGCTTGGAAACTGGGAGCTATTAGGGGAGACGTAGTCCTTTCTTTGGTGGTCTTTTCCCTTGTAACCTGTCATTTCTTTTTTAAAAACCTTTTATTTTAGGTTCAGGAGTTCATGTGCAGGTTTGTTATGTAAGTAAACTTGTGCTTGTTGTATAGATTATTTCATCCCCCAAGTGCTAAGCCTACTACTCAATAGTTATTTTTTTTCTGATCATCTGCCTCCTCCCACCCTCCACCCTCAAGTAGAACCCAGTGTCTGTTGTTCCCTTCTTTATGACCATGAGTTCTCATCATTTAGCTCCCACTGATAAGGGAGAACATACAGTATTTCAGTCACTTCCACCTGAGAGAAACTTCTCAGTTGTGAGTTGAGATTGGGCAAGGATTAAGCATATTTGCTACAGTTCTGGGACATGAGAAGAGAAAGTCGAAGGAGTGGTTCTCACCTCTCAGTAAGTAAACTTATGTTACTCCTACCCACAAGGTATTCATGATGTCCCCAAGTGCAGAGTTAGTCTGTATGTTTCAGGTTCTCCAGCAAGTAATATCCAGAGATCTGCTGAGGCTCAGGAGAGGAGGTCTCATGGCTATTTGGGGTAGGGAAGGGATGAAGGGGTTTAACTGATTTTTAAAAATACCTACAATCAGAACTTGCCCTGCCTTTCTGTCTTCAGAGCTACCAGTTACCTTTAATATTTGAGTTACGATGAGAGCAATCATTTTGTTTCTGTTTCTAAGGAGCTTCACGCGCATACTGGCCTAAGTTTCAGCCTTTTCTGGTCTGCTGTGTCAATTACCACCTGCTCTCCAATTTCAAAATGTTGTTGACATATGCTATTCTTTTCTCCAATTCTTTTCGTGTGTGTGTGTGTGTGTGTGTTGGTCTTTTAATTTCTATACCACCCTTTCAGTAGAGTTTTGAAAGGGAATGGAGATAAATGCATAATTCCATCTATTACAGCCGTGAAAACACACTTCTAAGTTGTCCTGCTGCAGGAAACATAATTGACAAAGGGCCTCAGCTGTTATGCTCTGAAACCCAACACTATGTTTGGGAGGTGGCTGTGCTTTCCCATGAGATGCTCCTACTCAGTGACAAAGTGTGGCAGGGATACGAAGGCAGGACTATTCCTGGGAGATGTGATGCTCCTGTAATGGACAGTGTTGGCCAGAGGATTCTCCACTGGTTTTGTCAAAATTTTCTCAGAAATGCATTACAGTCAAGGGCCTTCCTTCCTTCCTCCCTCTCTCCCCTTCTCCATCCTTCCCTTTTCCTTCCTTCCTTCCTTCCTTCTTTCCTTCCTTCCCAGGGATCACAATCGTATCATGGTCTGATACTTCTTCCTAAGGCAAAAATTGATGAAAATAGCCAGTAACTATTATAAAGTGTATGTCTTTTCAGTCTTTTGATTAATGTCTTATTTTATTTCTGGGACCTTAAGCTATATCTATGCTTCTGTTCAATTATGTGTCGATTTTCTTTAGGGATATCCATTATGCATATTTAATCTTCATTTTTATCTCTAGATTTATCATTTTTCTTTAATCTTATTTATTTTTGAAATCTTCTCCTTTATATGCTATGCTTTCAGTAGTAACTATTCTCCTTTATTCTACTTTAACTCTCATTTTGAATGAGATTTTACTTCTCTTTTCCACTCATCTTTGATTTTTTTCTCTTCTCAGCACATTTCCTCCCAAACTCTTTAGATGTATTTTGAGTCATCATTTTATATAAGTATTTCTTTCATTAAATGTTTTAAATTCATGGCAATATATTTGGTAATACTTTTCTTCTGGTTCATAACAAAAATCTTCTGGGATATATTCTTCATCTGCCATTTGTACTATTTGTTTTCCCCATTCCTTCAACAGTTTTTTCTTTTCTTTTTCTTTTTTTTTTTTTTTGAAGTAATTCCATAGATTCAGTGTGCTTACTTTGTGGTAATACTCAACTTTGAATGACGGAAATTCCTTATGAATTGGGTATTTGCACGTTGCTCATAGCACAGCGGCAGTGCTGTGAGTTCTGATTTGGAATTACAGCTCTGCCACATAATAGCTGCATGACTCTATTTCTGCAGTAAAGGGCTAATCATAATAGCATTTATCTCACTGAGTGCTGTAATGGCTAATACAGGAGGTCAATCCCTGAAAAGGCATGCAGATAATGCATGTACATGTGGCATTGTAAGAATACGGTAAATACTACCTTTTTTAAAAGTCATCTCAGAGTGTCTTTTTGCACTTCCACTTTATCTTGCCTGTATCTGGCATTTCTTCCTCCCTTCCTACAGCTCAAAGTTACATCTACCTGCTAAAGTTGTGGGAGATAACGTTAGTATTTCTGGTTTTTCTTTCTCCTTGTTTTTGAATGATTTCTTATAGGAAAAAGGAGTTGTGGGCGGGGGGCAATCCTGTCTTTAGTCACCATTTCTAAGTATCAACCAGGACTTGACACTTAAATTGAGGCATGAAGGATGAGTGGGAATAAAGTAACTGAGGTAGGGACAGGTAGGGGAACATGCTAGAAGAGGAAAATGCATGTGGCTCCTGTGACATGGGAAGGAGCTGTGAAATTTGAAGCACTGAAATGATTGCATGGCTGTAATATAAGGAGGGAAAAGGAGAATGGGATAAGATGAGGCTGGTAAGTAGGCAGCCATTCACATGGTTTTCCATCAACACTTCACCCCTCGGTGCAGCTAAACACAGTACTTAAGACAACTCGTTTTATGCTCCTCAATTTTTGGTTGAATAAGGAAGGACTCATGGAGAGGAAATGGGACAGACTTTGAGTCGCCTTTGGGGCTGGGTTTCAAGGCCAAACTTTAAAATTTATCAGTTATCTCTTCTTAAAGAGAAGATTGATCACTGCCACTTTATTGTATGATAATCCAGGTTACCTCCGACAATGTCTATGTTGCAAACATTCCTATATCCATTTATGGAGCAAAACATTCCAAGGTTTTTGATTCCAATTTAAAAATAAAATCATAAATATATTTTGCTTTTAATTTTTGTAGCTTTTTGCTTATAAAAAACATTGCACTACTATTAATAGAATTCTAAAGGAAAGAAAAAAAAGTTTAACCACAAGCACACCCAAGCCAACATATCACACTGTTTCCATATTTATTCATGTTTTCTTACGAATATATTTTAGAATAATTGCAGAACAGTGAATATTTAAATAAATAATAAAACAATTCAGAGGAGTTACTGTAGAAGTGGTTATTTCTGTTCTGGTGATCTAAGCTAGTTTATGTAGTTTTATAGAAAGGCAAATTGGAATGTCTTTAAATAAGTTGCAGACTTGCACACTAACATTAACCCACTATCTAGTTTGATTGTGAAGTATAATCTTAGGTACCATTGTCTCTATATTTGATCCCTCTGGCACCACATTCTGAAAGTAGTAAAGAAGAATGATGATTGAAGTTTTTGTTTGTTTAGTTTTGGTTTTAACAGGAACTTAATATTACAAAAGTGTAACTTAAGTAAGATTGATCTGATACCAGGTGGTATGTGAGAGACTAGAAACAGGAAGATAAGTAGGAAGCTATTTCAAATACCCCAGGCATGAGGTAACAAAGGAAACATTACAGTAGTTGAAGTGGAAATACAAAGGATACTTGGGTACATGATAGAAATAAGAAACGCAGAGGGGAAGTGATTTGCAGGAAATGATGACAAGCTTGTTTCAAATATGTCAGATTTGGGACGCGCAAGTAGATACTTTGTGAAAATAGAGCTATGAAACTAGAGCACAGGTAAGATGCCATGTTAGACTTGCTCTTTTGGTGATCTTCATAGTGAAGAGTTGAGGCTAACAAAGTAGATGAGGTCTCTAAGGTACTACTATGATTCAAGAAGAGGTAAAAGATAAAAAAGACATCAACCAGGATGAAAACTAATGGGCCTATTGTATTTAGGAGATTATTTAATAATCAAATGGCAGGTAATAACAGATGTCATGTATACAACTTATTTGAAGTATTTGGAAGAAATAGAAGAGACATGGAGGAGCCAGCAAAGCCATGTGTATTAATGTTTTCTTCTCCACATTAGAGAATATCGATGCAGGAAAAGTTCAAAGAGTAAAAATATGAATAAAGGAAGAATAAAGAGGAGAAAACTCTACCTCAGTGTTAAATGAATTGAATAAAATCTAGTAGAGTGGATCCCAAAGCTATTTTGGCAGTAAACAAACAGGAAAAAAGTGCAATCTTCTGACATAAATGTTAACAGATCTGCCAAGGAATGAAAAATGAGGATTAAGGAAAGAATAATATAGCACTTGTTCTAACCCAGTGGGTCTCGACCAGGACTGATTTTTTGCCACTCAAGGGACATTTGGCAATGTCTGGAGACATATTTTGTTCTTACAAGTGGGGCATATTCTACTAGTAGGTAGAGGCCAGGGATGCCGTTAAATAACCAACATTACTCAGGGCAAAAACAAGGAAGTATTTGAACCAAAAAGTCAATAGCCTCAAAGTTGAGAAACCTTGATCTAACCCATTCAACACGTCAGAAACAGTACTGGTGAGTCAACAAATCCTGAGAGTTTCCACTGATACTGTAAGAGTAGGAGAGAAGATTGGTTGAATTTTGTACTTTACCTCTCCCTTTGAAAAATTATTTTATGTTAGAATGCATGCATGTACGAAAGTTACATAGCAAGAAGTAGGTAAAACAAAGTACAGTGTCACCTTGAACATGGGTTTGAACTATGTGGGTCTGCTTATACAGAAATTTTCTTCTTCCTCTGTCTTCTCTGAAACACAGCAAGACCAACCCTCTTCTTCCTCCTCAGCCTAATCCATGGGAAATGATGAGGATAAAGCCTTTATGATGATCCACTTCCACTTAATGAATAGTAAATATATTTTCTCTTCTTTATGATTTTCTTAATAACATTTTCTTTTCTTTAGCTATATATATAGATATATATAACATATATATAAAATATGTATAACATAAAAACATATGAATCAATGGTTTATGTTATCAGTAAGGCTTTAAGGTTTCTGGTCAACAGTAGGATATTAGTAGTTAAGTTTGGGGGAGTCAAAAGTTATGTGCAGATTTTTGACTGCACAGGGGGCTGGCACGCTTAACTCCCACATTGTTAGAAGATCAACGGTAATAAAATAACCAGAAGAGACTCTCTCAGACATAAGTTCTCATGTGGAGAAATATGCAAGGGTATCTTCCAATATGAAAGCTAGGAACAAAGTTTAAAGACAAAACAAACTACAGTTTCTCTAATTAAGGCAATTCACAATTGCACAGAGCTCTCCTGCTACCACGTTTCTATAACATCAGGTTATAGAAAAGTGGATTGAACTCAATATCCAGCTCTCACATTGTTGTTGAAAAAGGAAGACACAGGACAATTTGGAGTAGACAACCTTCTCCCTATTCTTCCCACTTTACAGCTAAAATTTCCAGACATTACATACGAAACAAACAAAACATAATGCTGAAAGGTGGAAAGAAGAGAAACAACTGAATAGGGATTTAGAAACCTGAAAAAAGACAGAGAGGTGAGTTCCCTGGGTTTCTTTTTTGCTTCATGTATCCCATACTGGGTTAGGGACAAGCTGGCAACTCAGAAATCACAATGGGCACAGACAGAAACAAACAATAAACAACAAGAAAAGGTGACTCTGTCTAGTCAAAGGATGGTGAAAGGGACAGTTTAGTAAGATAGAAAACTTTCAGACAATAACTAACTCCTCTAACCCAACCAAACATTCTGAAAAAACTGCAGCTTCATGGCTAGCACATCAGCAAAAGCTGAGTCAGGACCCTGAACTTTCACACAGCAAGGAGCCATGCCCTACGACAAGGGGTGTCAGTAGAGACCAAATTGGGAGCCTAAAACTTCCAAACGAACCTAGTAGTAATGAGGCATTCCTCCCCTTTCCCACCAGCATGATGTCAGAGAAGGCCAAGTGAGAAGTCCGACTTTCACCAACTTCCAATGGTAAAAAAATCCCCCAACTCAGTGTCAGCAGAGACCATGTGGGGAAAAGTAACAAGGTGTCCTTCACCCTCCCAGTCAGGGTGGAAGGCCTAGTGGGAAGTTTGCACTTCCAACACTGCCAGCACTAATGAGGATCCCTTCCGTCTTCCTCTGGCATGTTGCGTGGGGGATTTAGACTTCTCCCACCTGACAGAAACAAGGTACCATCTCCCTTCTCCCACCAGTGGAGTGTCACAGGAGGTCTGTTGAAACAGAAAACTTAAATAATATCCAAAGTGTCATAACATAATACCAAAAGTGTCCAAGAAACAATCAAGAATCACTCGTCATATCAGGAACCAAGAAAATCTCAAGTTGAATAAGAAAAGACAACCAGCAGACACCATGCTGATGTTGGAATTATCTGACAAGGAGTTTAAAGCAGCCATCATAAAAATGCTTCAACAAGAAATTATGAACATGTTTGAAACACAAAAGGAAGCCTTGGCAAAGAAATAGAAGATATAAAGAAGAATCAAATAAAAATTTTAGAACTGAAAAGTAAAATAACCAAAATTTAAAAGCTCATTGGATTGGCTCAACAGAAGAATGAATAGGACAAGAGAAAGAATCAGTAAACTTTAAGACAGTACAATAGAAATTACTCAATCTAAAAAATAAAGAGTAAATAGACTGAAAACAAACAAAGAGAGCTTCAGGGACATATTGGACTCTAACAAAAGATCTAACAATTGTGTCATTGGAGTCCTAAAAGAATTGGTGAAAAAGGGTGGGGCTGAAAAAAGTATTCAAAGCAGTAATAGCTGAAAATTCCTGAAAGACATAAACTTTCAGATTCAGAAAGCTGAGAGAAACTTAAGCAATATAAAATGAAAGATTCATACTAAGACAAAACACAGTGAAATTTCTGAAAACTAAAGACAAAGAAAAAAATCTTGAAGTTAGCAAGAAAGAAACACCTTACCTGTAGGGGAAAAATAACTTGAAAAAGAGTGATTTCTCATTAGAAATCATAGAGACTAGAAAGAAATAGAATATCATTTTAAATGCTAAAAGAAAAAACTTTCAACTGAGAATTCTTTGTCCAGTAAAAATATACTTCAGGATTAAAGAAGAATTCAAGACATATTCAGATTCAGAAAACCAAGAGAATTTGTCACCAGCAGACCTATTCAAAAGAACGACAAAATGAAACTCTTGAAACAAATGAACAACAACAACAATAAAACAAAAAAAGGAGGAATCTCAGGACAACAGAAAAGAAGACAGAACAATAGAAAGAGTGAAGATATGGGTAAATACAATTGGCTTTCTTTCTCCCCTTGAATTTTCTAAATTATGCTTGGTGGAAGCAAAAGGAAGATACAATTCTCAAATTAAATAAAAAAGAAATAAGGAACTCACCACCGGAATAAGTAGGAGATCTGGGAAAAGCTTCCCAACTTATGTAGAAACAAGGTTAACAAAACACAAAATGAAATGAAAAACCACCACAATCATGCAAGTACTCTACAGGGTGAAAAAGAAGAAAGGGATATTTATTCAAAGTAGAGATGAAGAATCCAATTTCGATGAAAATATGACTCATAAAACAGAAGGTAATTTTCTACGAGTATTTCATGATTTGAGAACATGGATACAATAGAACAAGAATGCAAGTTCCAGTGAGAAGCACTAGACAAATTGAAAGTGGAGATTGAAAGCTAAGGATTGAAGACAACACTATTTCAAAATCAAGAAACCATAAACTTCAAGGAATAGCAAATATATGAATAAAGTATAGAAAATACTTGTGATAACTCTATGTTATCACAACATGTTATGGGCTGAATTGTGTCCACCCCCACGGCCAAATTCATACATTGAAGCTCTAACTTCCAGTACCTTTAAATGTGATATATTTAAAGATAGGGGCTTTAGGCTGAAAAATTTCCTATGCTCACTACCTGGGTTATTGGATCAATTATATTCCAAACCTCAACATCACACAATATACCTATGCAACAAACCTATACATGTACCTCCTGAATCTAAAATAAAAGTTTTACACACACCCCTTTAAAGAAGTAATTAAGCTAAAATAAGGTCAGAAGGGTAAGGCCCTAATCCAATAGAACTCATGCCCTTATAAGAAGGAGAAGAGACACTAGGAATGCACATGCCCAGAGAAAGAGTCATGTGAGGACACGGCAAGAAAGTGGGCTCTACAAGCCAAGGAGAGAGACCTCAGGAGAAACCCATCCTGCCATTACCTTGATCTTGGACTTCCAGCTTTCAGAACTGTGGGAAAATAAATTTGTATTGTGTAAGCCACTCAGTTTGTGGTATTTTTTTATGGCAGCCCTAGCAAAGTGATAAACAGAGATAAAAGTTTTTAAAAGAAAAAGAAATTATGGAGAAAAATAGTAGATATGGAAGACAGACAAAGATGATCCAACATAGGAGATTTTCTAAAGTAGATAAATACAAATAAATAGAGAAGGTATATAATATAGCATACCACATTTTCTTTGAAATAGAAGACATTAATAACCAGATTGAAAGGGTACAACATATTATAGCCAAAACTGATATAGAAAAATCAACATTGAATCAATTATGACATTACAAAAAATTACTTAGGCATTCAAACAGAAAATCTAAATCACCTGAAGGTAATGGAGCCAATTAAGCTGGAATAGTTAAGCTGGTGACTTTTCAAGCTTAATTGGTTTCATTACTGAGGTAATACTCTTTTGATAGCTCTAGTTGATTGTCTCAAGTGTTAGGAGGTCTTTCCAGTCTGGCTGGTGGAAAGATGTATTATTCCCAAACCCGTGTGATCTCCAAGGATTGTTCCACCTGCTCCTTCGTAGTAGCTCTTTCATTGCCTTTACAGTTTCCTCAACGTATGCAATGATGAGGTAAAGATTCAAGGGTGAACCCTCTATAGATCTTCGGAACTCTTTGTCTTTGAAGATTTTTCCTCTCTCTGACTCCATTCCATTAATTGCCCGCACCTTAGCCCCTTTAAAATCTGAACTCTGACTCCTCATCTCAGAGAGACTACCGGGCTCCTTTTTGGTTTACGCTACCTGTTCCGAGGCTTAGAAATTCTCTTTAGAAATTCCCTCAGACAAACATAGGGCTTACGTTATTTGTTTTCCTTCCCTCAGAAATCACTTTCCTGCAATGTTTGTTGTTCCATGTATTAAAACTATTGTTCCATAGATTTCATTCCGTTCTTTACTTCTTTAAGACAAGAGGACGTATCTTGTCCCTGGTATTTCATATGGGCTAGAAGTAGAAGTCCCAAAGTTCCTGTCTTTCCCCCCATCAAACTTTAAGGTTTTTCTTAGGAAATAATATTTATTTTGGCAGAGAAACATCTACCTAAAGTTCATCAATTCCTTCAATTTCATTTTTTATATTGTCTATGGATTTCAAATGACAATAAATTCAATATTTTTAATATTGAATTTAAAAAGTAGTTTGAATATAAAAAGTTGTTTGATTTTTGAAGAGTTATTATCTATTTATTATTTTTTCTTACCATGTGCAAATAAAAAGAGATGTCTGAAATGAACACATATGCTAATAATGATAGTGATTCTAGGTGGTAGAATTTTGTGCGTCTTTTAACTTTTTTTTCTAGTTGGATATTCATATGTCCACTTTTTTAAAAAAACTTTGAAACATCTTGTGATATTTTTGAGGTGAATGGAAAGAAGAATAGGGAAAATGTGGGAGCAGTTTTCTCAAGGATACTGAAAACCTGGGGAAAGGTAACTTCCAAGGAGGAAGAATACCTTTCTCTCTGAAATAAAAAGATAAAAAGGTTATTTTAGAGGTTAAAAAAATAAAGACATACTCAGAGACAGCTGCAGCTTCATAGCAGATGCTCAGATGACCTCCATCATTTTAGAAAGGTAAGAAATGAAGTCATTTTAAGTGGAACCATTCTTTCATAAAAAACACATCACAGAAAAAAAGAACTTCAAGTTTTGAGGCAATTGAGCTTTTTGATCTGAGCATTAATTATGTCAATTTTCTGACTCAATTATTCCTTGCCTAGATTATAATGTAGTTGAATAAAGTAGGAGGGATGAAAAGACAAGTGAGTGAGTGGGGACATAGTGAAATGAAGGGGAACAAATAATAATATAGTAGTAGTATACATTGAGTACCTCTTAGCTGAAATCATTGGGACCAGAAGTATTTCAGATTTTGGAATTCTTTCACTACCCTATAGGTGCTATGCAGGCCTTTTTTTTTTTTTTTTTTTAACATTTTCAACATTATATTTATCCCCATAGAGCAGAGAACAAGCAATAAAAACACAGTAAATAATGCACAGTGGTTACCACTGCTACTACTACAGGGTGAGCATCCCCAATGTGAAAATCCAAAATCCAAAATGCTCCAAAGTTTGAAACTTCCTGAGCATTGATATGACGTCACAAGTGCAAAATTCCACACTTGATCTCATGTGACAGTTGTCAGTCAAAATGCAGGTGCACAACATAGTTTATTCATCATCCCCAAGGGATAAAAGGACTTCCTAGCCCCCTTCAGCTCCAACATATGCTTTCCATGCATGCCCAGATTCCCCCATGTGCTTGCTTAAGCTGTAGTAGTAGTAGCAGTAGTGTAGTTACCATTTATTGGATGCATACTATGGGCCAAATGGATAAATGCTTTCCATGTGTTACTTCATTTGGTACTGTTAGCAACTCACTTTTAGAGAGATACCTGCCCACGATCACACAGCTAGCCAATGACATTATCAGAATCTGAACCCAGCCTATCTGACAAAGAAGGGTAAGTTTTGGTTTCTAAGTAAGAAATTTGATTTATCTTTCCTCCACATGGTGATTCTTCAAATAGAGAGCTACCTTTTAATAGTTTTAACTACCTTATTGAGATTTTTGTTTTCTTAGATATACTAAAAGAACACATTCAAATGCCCTCCAAACGTTCTCTTCAGGATGAAAATTGAGTTTCCTCTATCTTGTTTCTTGCCTCTTATGTTACATTCATTTTTGCAAACTCAATTTCTTCCCAAATCATTGAAATGGCACCTTTTAGCCCAGCACAGATAAAGTATCCATCTTTATCTCCTCCTGTTTGGTAATGTAACACCCAGATGTGGATCCAAGACTTCAGTTTCAGTGCTGACACATTCTCTCTTTGTCCTTGGCCAATTTTGTTGCTTCTATGTCCTTACATGTTTAAAGCTAGCAGTGACAACAGCATTTTAGAATACTCAAGGCCTAGTAAATTTACTTTTATAGTATTAGAAAGCTCCTTGACAAAACATTGAATAGAACTGTCAAGTATTAATTAATTTATATTTTATTGCTTCAGAATAAGAGAAATTTGTTGATATATTTGAATAATTCAAATTTCTATGAATAATTCACTAGCCTATATAATACCCAACAATCCACTCCAATGTTAAAGGAACAAAAGTTGTTATGCTCACTGACACAGTATGACTCAGAATATGGCCAAAGGCAGTGAAATCCAGCAACTAAAGTGTACTGGTTCTTGTTAATATATTTTCTCAACTGCTGCCTAAATTCTTTTTCATTTGGTCTAATTTTTTGCAGGTACTGGACTGGAACCTGGGGTTACAATTCCAACTCATCCACAGTCAAGCAAATTCAAAAGACTTTGAAAGTGCATATTGTTCTTTAGATTTATGCTTAATGAAAAATAGCAAGCAAATATGCCCATTGGTGCCCATCCTGTGGTCAAAGCTAATGGATCTGAAAGTTGGAGACAGAACAAGATTAATTCAGTTTCTTGGACAGAGAAAACAAAATGTACATTTCCTTTTTGAAATCAGAGCACTTCACATGTTTTGGCTTCTGATCTTCAGTTTGTTTACTAGAAATAATTCTATTAAGGCGGATTTTCTTAGATGCGAAAGAGAAAAATTTAACCCTTCCAGGCCTGACTATAATAAATACAGAGACTGCATAAGAATATGTGATAATGGCGGGGGGTGGAGCCAAGATGGCCAAATAGGAACAGCTCCAGTCAACAGCTCCCAGCGTGAGCGATGCAGAAGACGGGTGATTTCTGCATTTCCAACTGAGGTACTGGGTTCATCTCACTGGGGAGTGCCGGACAGTGGGGGCAGGACAGTGGGTGCAGTGCACCGTGCGTGAGCCAAAGCAGGGTGAGGCATTGCCTCACCCGGGAAGCACAAGGGGTCAGGGAATTCCCTTTCCTAGTCAAAGAAAGGGGTGACAGACAGCACCTGGAAAATCGGGTCACTCCCACCCTAATACTGCGCTTTTCCAATGGACTCAACAAATGGCACACCAGGAGATTATATCCCGCAAATGGCTCGGAGGGCCCTACGCCCACGGAGCCTCGTTCATTGCTAGCACAGCAGTCTGACATCAAACTGCAAGGCAGCAGCAAGGCTGGGGGAAGGGCGCCCACCATTGCCCAAGCTTGAGTAGGTAAACAAAGCGGCTGGGAATTTCGATCTGGGTAGAGCCCACCACACCTCAAGGAGGCCTGCCTGCCTCTGTAGGCTCCACCTCTCGGGGCAGGGCACAGACAAACAAAAGACAGCAATAACCTCTGCAGAATTAAATGTCCCTGTCTGACAGCTTTGAAGAGAGTAGTGGTTCTCCCAGCACGCAGCTTGAGATCTGAGAATGGGCAGACTGCCTCCTCAAGTGGGACCCTGACCTCCGAGTAGCCTAACTGGGAGGCACCCCCCAGTAGGGGTGGACTGACACCTCACACCGCCAGGTACTCTTCTGAGACAAAATTTCCAGAGGAACAATCAGGCAGCAGCATTTGCGGTTCACCAATATCCGCTGTTCTGTAGCCACCGCTGCTTATACCCAGGCAAACAAGGTCTGGAATGGACCTCCAGCAAACTCCAACAGACCTGCAGCTGAGGGTCCTGACTGTTAGAAGGAAAACTAACAAACAGAAAGGACATCCACACCAAAACCCCATCTGTACGTCACCATCATCAAAGACCAAAGGTAGATAAAACCACAAAGATGGGGAAAAAACAGAGCAGAAAAACCAGAAACTCTGAGAATCAGAGCATCTCTCCTCCTCCAAAGGAACGCAGCTCCTCACCAGCAACGGAACAAAGCTGGATGGAGAATGACTTTGACGAGTTGACAGAAGAAGACTTCAGAAGACTACTCCGAGCTAAAGGAGGAAGTTTGAACCAATGGCAAAGAAGTTAAAAACTTTGAAAAAAAATTAGATGAATGGATAACTAGAATAACCAATGCAGAGAAGTCTTAAAGGACCTGATGGAGCTGAAAACCAAGGCACGAAAACTACGTGACGAATCACAAGACTCAGTAACCGATGCGATCAACTGGAAGGAAGGGTATCAGTGATGGAAGATGAAATGAATGAAATGAAGCATGAAGAGAAGTTTAGAGAAAAAAGAATAAAAAGAAACGAACAAAGCCTCCAAGAAATATGGGACTATGTGAAAAGACCAAATCTACGTCTGATTGGTGTACCTGAAAGTGATGGGGAGAATGGAACCAAGTTGGAAAATACTCTGCAGTATATTATCCAGGAGAACTTCCTCAATATAGCAAGGCAGACCAACATTCAAATTCAGGAAATACTGAGAATGTCACAAAGACACTCCTCAAGAAGAGCAACTCCAAGACACATAATTGTCAGATTCACCAAAGTTGAAATGAAGGAAAAAATTCTAAGGGCAGCCAGAGAGAAAGGTCAGGTTACCCACAAAGGGAAGCCCATCAGACTAACAGCTGATCTCTCAGCAGAAACTCTACAAGCCAGAAGAGAGTGGGGGCCAATATGCAACATTCTTTGTGTGTGTGTGTGTGTGTGTGTGTGTGTGTGTGTTATTAATACCACATCAATTTGCAATTTTACAGGAACCAAGATTCAAGCTCCTTAGGTGCTACTGTATTTTTATGTTGCATGCACAGACACGTACACACAGTTTCATTAGTAATTTTTCATCTGCAGGTTTTTCTTAAAAAAAAAAATCCTGTGTGGCACAAAGATCTCTTCAATTATCTAAACACAGCAGCAACAAAAGAAAATAACTGGATGAGGCTCTTCCACTGCAGAAGGTCCTTTGGAGGGGAAGCCCAAAAAGACAATCACTGACTTCCTGGGAGGGCAGAGGATGAGGATGGAGAATGCACTTCCTACTAGGACATGAAACCAGTTAAAACACTCAAAGGGGGCTAAGAAAATAAGATGAAGTAAGGCAAGGGTACCTTTTACCCATCCAAATTCCTAATTAATTTTCCCAAAACACGTAGAAAGACAATTTCCTTCCACTACTTTTTGCAGCTGCCGTACTTTGGGACCATCAAATATCATAGCCCTTACTTTAAACTCGCCAGTGCATATTCCCTCTGAAGGATCATGACTATGAGTGAGAACCTGAAGGAACTCACAGATGATTTTTCTTTCAATTTCGCTGAATTTTCATATTGAAGGTGAAGAAAAAAACTTGCCCCCAAATGGGAATCGGACATTTGAATCTCGGGAAAAGATCAAGAAAAGAACAACTGGGAAAAGATCAAGAAAAAAAGGCTTTCTGTATTTCACCTCTTGAGAATGTTCCCCCCCAGACTGAGATAGGATCACAATAACTCAATAACTGAGGAGCCCACATGCAGGTTATTTTTTCTCTAACAAGTTTACAGCAGTGCACAGCAGTTACAGACATTTATTTTATAATAAGAAAAGTACAACCATATTTATTAAACTTGAGGCGGGCAGGGGAGAGGGAGGAAAGCACATTCGGGAACGAGTTCTCAAACTAACGCTCAGAACTGGTGTCCAGTGATGTAGAAACCACTTGCCCAAATGGCGGAGCCTTTCCTTCCCTGGGGATAGTGGCAGAGGGAGTGACGGCCACTGCAGCATTCCTGCTGACTCCCTCTCAGTCCCACTTTCCATTTCTATTCTTTCTTATCAGATGGCATTCTTGGAATCAGGAATTATCACTATCACTTATAAGTTATTCATCAAGTTGAAAGTTAAATCATTAAAGAAAAGGAGTATCAGGAGTAGCTGCTCACATTGTGGGGCAGGAAGATAGGATTTGAGGGCTGCAAAAAAAAAAACAAAAACAAGGAAGGCATCACACTCCTGTCCCCAAATAATTTTTTCATAAGTTAATCATTACTTCTTAAGGGCAAAACTATAATGGATAGCTGAGTAAGACTAGTGCTGAAAACTGGATAGAAGGACCCAGAGGTGTTCTATCTTTCATTTTCTCTTTTACCTCCAATCTTTCCCCTTTCAAGCTACAGGTAAAGGCTCTACCACCATTAAGGTGTTGACTTATCCTATGAATTTGATTCTTTCTTCTTCTGAGTTCTAAGATAGTTCTTTTATCAGTCCATCAGTTTTTGTGCTTGATACTGAGGGTTAAAGGGAAAGGATGGGAGAAAACACCAAATTAAAAAAAAAGCTTGGAATGCAGGCTCAAGCTGACACTGAGTATGTTCGTTCACAGTACAAGCAACGACGTTATAACTATTAAATGGTGTTTTAGTAACTGTTGCATTTCTGGTTCCATGTACTTATTCTGCCTTTTTTTTGGCGATTCCAGGGAGTTTTGCTTGGATCTTTTCAACAATTGACTTGGTCTGATGTCGGGCGATGCCAACATAGTGATCAATCTGGGTCTTGTACTTCTCATAGACAATCGGGACACTGAAAATGAGCAGTTCAGCAAGAATTAGAAGGGTGATTCCGTTAAAAAAAGCACCAACATAGGTCATCAGCCACATGAAGACAGCCTGCTTCAAGGAGTCAACCAGATCTTCTACTAGAAAGAGAAGAATAATGAGTTTCAGGGCCCTGTTGATGTGCACCACGGCAGCATTCATGTAATTATGGAAAGCTTCCGAGGACAGAGTAATGTCTACGTCCAGGTAGGCTTTGATTGGATGGCCTTCTTCTGACTTCTGTACAGCTTGGATGACGGACTTGTAGATCCTGAAGCTGATGGTGACAGAGAGAAGAGCCAGGATGAGGTAAGAAACCACACTGATGACACTGAAAGCTGCCAGGGAAAGCAGCATGATCAGCGTGGTGGCAAAGACAAACCCAGTCTTCTTTACATCTCTCCAGAAAAGCAGATCGTGAACCGCACAGGAGGAGCTGCAGCTCTTCGTCCCCAGGGCAGGGCAGGCTCCTGGGCTTCCGCTGCCGCCGGATGCGGACGTCTCGGCTCCGGAGGACGACGAGGAGATGGAAGGGGACTGAGTGGCCGCCGATGGCTCCGCCATGGCTACGTGAGCGAGGGTGGGAGAAGGGTGAAAAGAGATAGGGGGCGGGAGAGAGGGAGGGGAAATAGAATAATCTGGCAACTGGCTCGTTCAAGTCCCTTTACTCTGCCTGCTCTGAGGACAGACTCCGACAGACTGACTCAGCCGAGTGCAGCTAGAGGGCTGCAACATTCTTTTTTTTTTTTTATTATACTTTAAGTTTTAGGGTACATGTGCACATTGTGCAGGTTAGTTACATATGTATACATGTGCCATGCTGGTGTGCTGCACCCACTAACTCGTCATCTAGCATTAGGTATATCTTCCAATGCTATCCCTCCCCCCTCCCCCCACCCCACCACAGACCCCAGAGTGTGATATTCCCCTTCCTGTGTCCATGTGATCTCATTGTTCAATTCCCACCTATGAGTAAGAATATGCGGTGTTTGGTTTTTTGTTCTTGCGATAGTTTACTGAGACTGATGATTTCCAATTTCATCCATGTCCCTACAAAGGACATGAACTCATCATTTTTTATGGCTGCATAGTATTCCATGGTGTATATGTGCCACATTTTCTTAATCCAGTCTATCATTGTTGGACATTTGGGTTGGTTCCAAGTCTTTGCTATTATGAATAGTGCCGCAATAAACATACGTGTGCATGTGTCTTTATAGCAGCATGATTTATAGTCCTTTGGGTGTATACCCAGTAATGGGATGGCTGGGTCAAATGGTATTTCTAGTTCCAGATCCCTGAGGGATCGCCACACTGACTTCCACAATGGTTGAACTAGTTTACAGTCCCACCAACAGTGTAAAAGTGTTCCTATTTCTCCATATCCTCTCCAGCACCTGTTGTTTCCTGACTTTTTAATGATTGCCATTCTAACTGGTGTGAGATGATATCTCATAGTGGTTTTCATTTGCATTTCTCTGATGGCCAGTGATGATGAGCATTTTTTCATGTGTTTTTTGGCTGCATAAATGTCTTCTTTTGAGAAGTGTCTGTTCATGTCCTTCGCCCACTTTTTGATGGGGTTGTTTGTTTTTTTCTTGTAAATTTGTTTGAGTTCATTGTAGATTCTGGATATTAGCCCTTTATCAGATGAGTAGGTTGCGAAAATTTTCTCCCATTTTGTAGGTTGCCTGTTCACTCTGATGGTAGTTTCTTTTGCTGTGCAGAAGCTCTTTAGTTTAATTAGATCCCATTTGTCAATTTTGGCTTTTGTTGCCATTGCTTTTGGTGTTTTGGACATAAAGTCCTTGCCCATGCCTATGTCCTGAATGGTAATGCCTAGGTTATCTTCTAGGGTTTTTATGGTTTTAGGTCTAACGTTTAAATCTTTAATCCATCTTGAATTGATTTTTCTATAAGGTGTAAGGAAGGGATCCAGTTTCAGCTTTCTACATATGGCTAGCCAGTTTTCCCAGCACCATTTATTAAATAGGGAATCCTTTCCCCATTGCTTGTTTTTCTCAGGTTTGTCAAAGATCAGATAGTTGTAGATATGTGGCGTTATTTCTGAGGGCTCTGTTCTGTTCCATTGATCTACATCTCTGTTTTGGTACCAGTACCATGCTGTTTTGGTTACTGTAGCCTTGTAGTATAGTTTGAAGTCAGGTAGTGTGATGCCTCCAGCTTTGTTCTTTTGGCTTAGGATTGACTTGGCGATGCGGGCTCTTTTTTGGTTCCATATGAACTTTAAAGTAGTTTTTTCCAATTCTGTGAAGAAAGTCATTGGTAGCTTGATGGGGATGGCATTGAATCTGTAAATTACCTTGGGCAGTATGGCCATTTTCACGATATTGATTCTTCCTACCCATGAGCATGGAATGTTCTTCCATTTGTTTGTATCCTCTTTTATTTCCTTGAGCAGTGGTTTGTAGTTCTCCTTGAAGAGGTCCTTCACATCCCTTGTAAGTTGGATTCCTAGGTATTTTATTCTCTTTGAAGCAATTGTGAATGGGAGTTCACTCATGATTTGGCTCTCTGTTTGTATGTTGTTGGTGTATAAGAATGCTTGTGATTTTTGTACATTGATTTTGTATCCTGAGACTTTGCTGAAGTTGCTTATCAGCTTAAGGAGATTTTGGGCTGAGACAATGGGGTTTTCTAGATATACAATCATGTCATCTGCAAACAGGGACAATTTGACTTCCTCTTTTCCTAACTGAATACCCTTTATTTCCTTCTCCTGCCTAATTGCCCTGGCCAGAACTTCCAACACTATGTTGAATAGGAGTGGTGAGAGAGGGCATCCCTGTCTTGTGCCAGTTTTCAAAGGGAATGCTTCCAGTTTTTGCCCATTCAGTATGATATTGGCTGTGGGTTTGTCATAGATAGCTCTTATTATTTTGAAATACGTCCCATCAATACCTAATTTATTGAGAGTTTTTAGCATGAAGGGTTGTTGAATTTTGTCAAAGGCCTTTTCTGCATCTATTGAGATAATCATGTGGTTTTTGTCTTTGGCTCTGTTTATATGCTGGATTACATTTATTGATTTGCGTATATTGAACCAGCCTTGCATCCCAGGGATGAAGCCCACTTGATCATGGTGGATAAGATTTTTGATGTGCTGCTGGATTCGGTTTGCCAGTATTTTATTGAGGATTTTTGCATCAATGTTCATCAAGGATATTGGTCTAAAATTCTCTTTTTTGGTTGTGTCTCTGCCCGGCTTTGGTATCAGAATGATGCTGGCCTCATAAAATGAGTTAGGGAGGATTCCCTCTTTTTCTATTGATTGGAATAGTTTCAGAAGGAATGGTACCAGTTCCTCCTTGTACCTGTGGTAGAATTCGGCTGTGAATCCATCTGGTCCTGGACTCTTTTTGGTTGGTAAACTATTGATTATTGCCACAATTTCAGCTCCTGTTATTGGTCTATTCAGAGATTCAACTTCTTCCTGGTTTAGTCTTGGGAGAGTGTATGTGTCGAGGAATTTATCCATTTCTTCTAGATTTTCTAGTTTATTTGCGTAGAGGTGTTTGTAGTATTCTCTGATGGTAGTTTGTATTTCTGTGGGATCGGTGGTGATATCCCCTTTATCATTTTTTATTGTGTCTATTTGATTCTTCTCTCTTTTTTTCTTTATTAGTCTTGCTAGCGGTCTCTCAATTTTGTTGATCCTTTCAAAAAACCAGCTCCTGGATTCATTGATTTTTTGAAGGGTTTTTTGTGTCTCTATTTCCTTCAGTTCTGCTCTGATTTTAGTTATTTCTTGCCTTGTGCTAGCTTTTGAATGTGTTTGCTCTTGCTTTTCTAGTTCTTTTAATTGTGATGTTAGGGTGTCAATTTTGGATCTTTCCTGCTTTCTCTTGTGGGCATTTAGTGCTATAAATTTCCCTCTACACACTGCTTTGAATGCGTCCCAGAAATTCTGGTATGTTGTGTCTTTGTTCTTGTTGGTTTCAAAGAACATCTTTATTTCTGCCTTCATTTCGTTATGTACCCAGTAGTCATTCAGGAGCAGGTTGTTCAGTTTCCATGTAGTTGAGTGGCTTTGAGTGAGATTCTTAATCCTAAGTTCTAGTTTGATTGCACTGTGGTCTGAGAGATAGTTTGTTATAATTTCTGTTCTTTTACATTTGCTGAGGAGAGCTTTACTTCCAAGTATGTGGTCAATTTTGGAATAGGTGTGGTGTGGTGCTGAAAAAAATGTATATTCTGTTGATTTGGGGTGGAGAGTTCTGTAGATGTATATTAGGTCCGCTTGGTGCAGAGCTGAGTTCAATTCCTGGGTATCCTTGTTGACTTTCTGTCTCGTTGATCTGTCTAATGTTAACAGTGGGGTGTTAAAGTCTCCCATTATTAATGTGTGGGAGTCTAAGTCTCTTTGTAGGTCACTCAGGACTTGCTTTATGAATCTGGGTGCTCCTGTATTGGGTGCATATATATTGAGGATAGTTAGCTCCTCTTGTTGAATTGATCCCTTTACCATTATGTAATGGCCTTCTTTGTCTCTTTTGATCTTTGTTGGTTTGAAGTCTGTTTTATCAGAGACTAGGATTGCAACCCCTGCCTTATTTTGTTTTCCATTTGCTTGGTAGATCTTCCTCCATCCTTTTATTTTGAGCCTATGTGTGTCTCTGCACGTGAGATGGTTTTCCTGAATACAGCACACTGATGGGTCTTGACTCTTTATCCAATTTGCCAGTCTGTGTCTTTTAACTGGAGCATTTAGTCCATTTACATTTAAAGTTAATATTGTTATATGTGAATTTGATCCTGTCATTATGATGTTAGCTGGTGATTTTGCTCGTTAGTTGATGCAGTTTCTTCCTAGTCTCGATGGTCTTTACATTTTGGCATGATTTTGCAGTGGCTGGTACTGGTTGTTCCTTTCCATGTTTAGCGCTTCCTTCAGGAGCTCTTTTAGAGCAGGCCTGGTGGTGACAAAATCTCTCAGCATTTGCTTGTCTGTAATGTATTTGATTTCTCCTTCACTTATGAAGCTTAGTTTGGCTGGATATGAAATTCTGGGTTGAAAATTCTTTTCTTTAAGAATGTTGAATATTGGCCCCCACTCTCTTCTGGCTTGTAGGGTTTCTGCCGAGAGATCCGCTGTTAGTCTGATGGGCTTCCCTTTGAGGGTAACCCGACCTTTCTCTCTGGCTGCCCTTAACATTTTTTCCTTCATTTCAACTTTGGTGAATCTGACAATTATGTGTCTTGGAGTTCCTCTTCTCGAGGAGTATCTTTGTGGCGTTCTCTGTATTTCCTGAATCTGAACGTTGGCCTGCCTTGCTAGATTGGGGAAGTTCTCCTGGATAATATCCTGCAGAGTGTTTTCCAACTTGGTTCCATTCTCCGCATCACTTTCAGGTACACCAATCAGATGTAGATTTGGTCTTTTCACATAGTCCCATATTTCTTGGAGGCTTTGCTCATTTCTTTTTATTCTTTTTTCTCTAAACTTCCCTTTTCACTTCATTTCATTCATTTCATCTTGCATTGCTGATACCCTTTCTTCCAGTTGATCGCATCGGCTCCTGAGGCTTCTGCATTCTTCACGTAGTTCTCGAGCCTTGATTTTCAGCTCCATCAGCTCCTTTAAGCACTTCTCTGTATTGGTTATTCTAGTTATACATTCTTCTAAATTTTTTTCAAAGTTTTCAACTTCTTTGCCTTTGGAATGAATGTCCTCCCGTAGCTCAGAGTAATTTGATTGTCTGAAGCCTTCTTCTCTCAGCTCGTGAAAGTCATTCTCCATCCAGCTTTGTTCCGTTGCTGGTGAGGAACTGCGTTCCTTTGGAGGAGGAGAGGTGCTCTGTGTTTTAGAGTTTCCAGTTTTTCTGTTCTGTTTTTTCCCCATCTTTGTGGTTTTATCTACTTTTGGTCTTTGATGATGGTGATGTACAGATGGGTTTTCGGTGTGGATGTCCTTTCTGTTTGTTAGTTTTCCTTCTAACAGACAGGACCCTCAGCTGCAGGTCTGTTGGAATACCCTGCCGTGTGAGGTGTCAGTGTGCCCCTGCTGGGGGGTGCCTCCCAGTTAGGCTGCTCGGGGGTCAGGGGTCAGGGACCCACTTGAGGCAGTCTGCCCGTTCTCAGATCTCCAGCTACGTGCTGGGAGAACCACTGCTCTCTTCAAAGCTGTCAGACAGGGACATTTAAGTCTGCAGAGGTTACTGCTGTCTTTTTGTTTGTCTGTGCCCTGCCTCCAGAGGTGGAGCCTACAGAGGCAGGCAGGCCTCCTTGAGCTGTGGTGGGCTCCACCCAGTTGGAGCTTCCCGGCTGCTTTGTTTACCTAAGCAAGCCTGGGCAATGGCGGGCACCCCTCCCCCAGCCTCGCTGCCGCCTTGCAGTTTGATCTCAGACTGCTGTGCTAGCAATCAGCGAGATTCCGTGGGCGTAGGACCCTCCGAGCCAGGTGTGGGATATAGTCTCGTGGTGCGCCGTTTTTTAAGCCGGTCTGAAAAGCGCAATATTCGGGTGGGAGTGACCCGATTTTCCAGGTGCGTCCATCACCCCTTTCTTTGACTCGGAAAGGGAACTCCCTGACCCCTTGCGCTTCCCAGGTGAGGCAATGCCTCGCCCTGCTTCGGCTCGTGCACGGTGCGCGCACCCACTGGCCTGCGCCCACTGTCTGGCACTCCCTAGTGAGATGAACCCGGTACCTCAGATGGAAATCCAGAAATCACCCATCTTCTGCGTCGCTCACGCTGGGCTTTTTTTCTTTTTCAATCAACATTCTTAAAGAAAAGAATTTTCAACCCAGAATTTCATATCCAGCCAAACTAAGCTTCATAAGTGAAGGAGAAATCAAATACTTTACAGACAAGCAAATGCTGAGAGATTTTGTCACCACCAGGCCTGCCCTAAAAGAGCTCCTGAAGGAAGCACTAAACATGGAAAGGAACAACTGGTACCAGCCACTGCAAAAACATGCCAAATTGTAAAGACCATCAAGGCTAGGAAGAAACTGCATCAACTAACGAGCAAAATAACCAGCTAAAATCATAATGACAGGATCAAATTCACACATAACAATACTAACCTTAAATGTAAATGGGCTAAATGCTCCAATTAAAAGGCATAGACTGGCAAATTGGATAAAGAGTCAAGACCCATCAGTGTGCTGTATTCAGGAAACCCATCTCACGTGCAGAGACACATATAGACTCAAAATAAAGGGATGGAGGAAGATCTACCAAGCAAATGGAAAACAAAAAAAGGCAGGGGTCGCAATCCTAGTCTCTGATAAAACAGACTTTAAACCAACAAAGAGCAAAAGAGACAAAGAAGGCCATTACATAATGGTAAAGGGATCAATTCAACAAGAAGAGCTAACTATCCTAAATATATATGCACCCAATAGAGGAGCACACAGATTCATAAAGCAAGTCCTTAGTGACCTACAAAGAAACTTAGACTCCCACACAATAATAATGGGAGACTTTAACACCCCACTGTCAACATTAGACAGATCAACAAGACAGAAAGTTAACAAGGATATCCAGGAATTGAACTGAGCTCTGCACCAAGCGGACCTAATATACATCTACAGAACTCTCCATCCCAAATCAACAGAATATGCATTCTTTTCAGCACCACACCACACCTATTCCAAAATTGACCACATACTTGGAAGTAAAGCACTCCTCAGCAAATGTAAAAGAACAGAAATTATAACAAACTATCTCTCAGACCACAGTGCAATCAAACTAGAACTTAGGATTAAGAAACTCACTCAAAACCACTCAACTACATGGAAACTGAACAACCTGCTCCTGAATGACTACTGGGTACATAACGAAATGAAGGCAGAAATAAAGATGTTCTTTGAAACCAACGAGAACAAAGACACAACATACCAGAATCTCTGGGACACATTCAAAGCAGTGTGTAGAGGGAAATTTATAGCACTAAATGGCCACAAGAGCAAGCAGGAAAGATCTAAAATTGACACCCTGACATCACAATTAAAAGAACTAGAGAAGCAAGAGCAAACACATTCAAAAGCTAGCAGAAAACAAGAAATAACTAAGATCAGAGCAGAACTGAAGGAAATAGGGACACAAAAAACCCTTCAAAAAATCAATGAATCCAGGAGCTTGTTTTTTTAAAAGATCAACAAAATTGATAGAACACTAGCAAGACTAATAAAGAAGAAAAGAGAGAAGAATCAAATAGACGCAATAAAAAATGACAAAGGGGATATCACCACCGATCGCACAGAAATACAAACTACCATCAGAGAATACTATAAACACCTCTACACAAATAAACTAGAAAGTCTAGAAGAAATGGATAAATTCCTGGACAGATACACCCTCCCAAGGCTAATCCAGGAAGAAGTTGAATCTCTGAATAGACCAATAACAGGCTCTGAAATTGAGGCAATAATTAATAGCTTACCAGCCAAAAAAAGTCCAGGACCAGATGGATTCATAGCCAAATTCTACCAGAGGTACAAGAAGGAGTTGGTACCATTCCTTCTGAAACTATGCCAAGCAATAGAAAAAGAGGGAATCCTCCCTAACTCATTTTATGAGGCCAGCATCATCCTGATACCAAAGCCTGGCAGAGACACAACAAAAAAAAAGAGAATTTTAGACCAATATCCTTGATGAACATTGATGCAAAAATCCTCAATAAAATACTGGTAAACTGAATCCAGCAACACATCAAAATCTTATCCACCATGATCAAGTGGGCTTCATCCCTGGGATGCAAGGCTGGTTCAACATATGAAAATCAATAAACGTAATCCAGCATATAAACAGAACCAAAGGCAAAAACCACATGATTATCTCAATAGATGCAGAAAAGGCCTTTGACAAAATTCAACAACCCTTCATGCTAAAAACTCTCAATAAATTAGGTATTGATGGGACACATCTCAAAATAATAAGAGCTATCTATGACAAACTCACAGCCAATATCATACTGAATGGACAAAAACTGGAAGCATTCCCTTTGAAAACTGACACAAGACAAGGATGCCCTCTCTCACCACTCCTATTCAACATAGTGTTGGAAGTTCTGGCCAGGGCAATCAGACAGGAGAAGGAAATAAAGGGCATTCAGTTAGGAAAAGAGGAAGTCAAATTGTCCCTGTTTGCAGATGACATGATTGTTTATCTAGAAACCCCCATCGTCTCAGCCCAAAATCTCCTTAAGCTGATAAGCAACTTCAGCAAAGTCTGAGGATACAAAATCAATGTGCAAAAATCACAAGTGTTCTTATACACCAATAACAGACCAACAGACAGCCAAATCATGAGTGAACACCCATTCACAATTGCTTCAAAGAGAATAAAATACCTAGGAATCCAACTTACAAGGGATGTGAAGGACCTCTTCAAGGAGAACTACAAACCACTGCTCAATGAAATAAAAGAGGATACAAACAAATGGAAGAACTTTCCATGCTCATGGGTAGGAAGAATCAATATCATGAAAATGGTCATACTGCTCAAGGTAATTTATAGATTCAATGCCATCCCCATCAAGTTACCAATGACTTTCTTCACAGAATTGGAAAAAACTAAAGTTCATATGGAACCAAAAAAGAGCCTGCATCACCAAGTCAATCCTAAGCCAAAAGAACAAAGCTGGAGGCATCATGCTACGTGACTTCAAACTATACTGCAAGGCTACAGTAACCAAAACAGCATGGTACTGCTACCAAAACAGAGATATAGATCAATGGAACAGAACAGAGCCCTCAGAAGTAATGCCACATATCTACAACTATCTGATCTTTGACAAACCTGACAAAAAACAAGCAATGGGGAAAGGATGCCCTATTTAATAAATGGTGCTGGGAAAACTGGCTAGCCATATGGAGAAAGCTGAAACTGGATCCCTTCCTTACACCTTATACAAAAATTAATTCAAGATGGATTAAAGACTTACATGTTAGACCTAAAACCATAAAAACCCTAGAAGAAAACCTAGGCAATACCATTCAGGACATAGGCATGGGCAAGGACTTCATGTCTAAAACACCAAAAGCAATGGAACAGAAGCCAAAATTGACAAATGTGATCTAATTAAACTAAAGAGCTTCTGCACAGCAGAAGAAACTACCATCAGAGTGAACAGGCAACCTACAGAATGGGAGAAAATTTTTGCAACCTACTCATCTGACAAAGGGCTAATATCCAGAATCTACGATGAACTCAAACAAATTTACAAGAAATTTGTTTGATATCCATCGACAAGTGGGTGAAGGATATGAACAGACACTTCTCAAAGGAAGACATTTATGCAGCCAACAGACACATAAAAAAATGCTCATCATCACTGGCCATCAGAGAAATGCAAATCAAAACCACAATGAGATACCATCTCACACCAGTTAGAATGGTGATCATTAAAAAGTCAGGAAACAGCAGTTGCTGAAGAGGATGTGGAGAAATAGGAACACTTTTACACTGTTGGTGGAACTGTAAACTAGTTCAACCATTGTGGAAGTCAGTGTGGTGATTCCTCAGGGATCTAGAGCTAGAAATACCATTTGACCCAGCCATCCCATTACTGGGTATATACCCAAAGGATTATAAATCATGCTGCTATAAAGACACATGCACACGCATGTTTATTGCAGCACTATTCACAATAGCAAAGACTTGGAACCAACCCAAATGCCCAACAATGATAGACTGGATTAAGAAAATGTGGCACATATATACCATGGAATACTATGCAGCCATAAAAAATGATGAGTTCATGTCCTTTGTAGGGACATGGATGAAGCTGGAAACCATCATTCTCAGCAAACTATCACAAGGACAAAAAACCAAACACCGCATGTTCTCACTCATAGGTGGGAATTGAACAATGAGAACATATGGACACAGGAAGGGGGACATCACACACCAGGGACTGTTGTGGGGTTGGGGGAGGGGGGAGGGATAGCATTAGCAGATATACCTAATGCTAAATGACGAGTTAATGGGTGCAGCACACCAACATGGCACATGTATACATATGTAACAAACCTGCACGTTGTGCACATATACCCTAAAACTTAAAGTAAAATAAAAATAATAAAAGAAAAAAAAAGAATATGTGATAATAATCTAGGTTTTTCTTTTCTTTCAGTTGAAGAAAACATATTTACCCGTCCTCTCCTGTTCAAAGAGGATATATTTTCCCCTGTCTTCTGACATTCTTTGTATTCATAGTTGGTGTCTGAAAAACTTCATTTAATGGTAGGTAAAAGAGCCCACTTGGGGAGTTGGCAAAATGGCAGATTCACTGTCTCTATTCTTTGGTTCCTGTGCGAGGCAATTGTGGTGTAGTCTCAAGGACACTGGATTGGAGTCAGAAGATCTATCCCACTTAACTGTACCATACACTATCTCTGTGACCTAGAGCCAGTCTACCCCCACCCTCAACTTTCATATTCATAAAATGAAGAAATCCTCAAAAATGTTGCTCTTTCTCTCTCCTGGTCTTTATTCAGTTAACTTATTACCCGTAAGTATCTTTCTCTTTGAGACCTTACCAGTATTCTCTACCTAAAGTTTCACTCTATCCCAACCAAACTCTTCCTATGTCCTTTATCATATTGGTATGCATTTTACTTTTTAAAAATAATCTAGTTTACTGTGTCTTTTCTATTAGAACATAAATCCCTGAAGGAAGCAATTCTGGTATATATTGTTCAGTGCTGTGTTCCCAATTCTACAAACAGTTTGGCATAGAGCAGACATTAAAAAAGTATGGTTGAACGATGGATTGAATACTTTTATACAGCCGAAATTTACCTTTTTTTTTCTTTTTTCTTTTTTTGATACAGGGCTTGCTCTGTCACCCAGGCTGAAGTACAGTGGTGCGATCTTGGCTTACAGGTAGAGGTTGCAATCTCTACCTCCCGGGCTCAAGTTATCCTCCCACCTCAGCCTCCTGAGTAGCTAGGATTACAGCCACTCTCTTTAAGGAAGCGGTGTTATATGCAATTTCATCCTATGCTTTTGTTACTACCTTTCTAACATTGGTGACATGTTGGGAAATTGAATCATGGGTAAATTTTCATCTTCTGCTTAATAACCACAGTTCTCAGGGAAGGAGGTTATAATTACTCCTGATGACTACCTTGCTTAAACATTCTTTTCAGAAATGGGATTATCTCAAAGACTGCATGAGTTGAAACCATGAGAATGTTTTTCTACTATCAGCAGTATCAAGCGTATTCTGTGTATAGTACAGGTATACCTTGGAGATATGGCAGGTTTGCTTTTGGACCGCCGTATTGCAATAAAGTGAGAGTCACATGAATTTTTTGGTCTTCCAGTGCATATAAAAATTATATTTACACTATACTGTAGTTCATGAAATGTATGTTTAAGAAGAAACTCAAACTATGTTTTTTCTTTGCTCTCACACCAGCACAACAATCAACACAAAAGACTTCTGTGACCAAATGTGTGTGGGGGGGCGGGGGGAGCAAGTGGGGGGTGGGAGTAAGAAGGGCTATGGGAGTTATAAGCCAAGAACCATGGACACAAACATAAAGTAAAGCACATATACATATGTATAATATCACTGTGGCAGCAGCATTATGTCTAAGAAAGCAAGGAACAGTGTATAGTGCTCAGGTGATGGGAGCACCCAAATCTCACAAATCACCACTAAGGAGCTTATTCATGTAACCAAATACCACCTGTTCCCAAAAAACTTATGGAAATAAAAAAAATGTAAGAAAAGCAATGCACATACCTTAATTTAAAGATAAATTATTGCTAAAAACTTGCTAATGATCATTGCAGCCTTCAGCAAGCCATAATCTTTTTGCTGGTGGAGGCTTCGTGCCTTGATGTTGATGGCTGCTGACTGATTAGGGTGGTGGTTGATAAAGGCTGGGGTGGCTGTGACAATTTCTTTTTCTTTTTTTTTTTAGACGGAGTCTCGCTTTTGTTGCTCAGGCTGGAGTGCAATGGTGCGATCTCAGCTCACTGCAACCTCTGCCTCCTGAGTTCAAGCAATTCTCCTGCCTCAGCCTCCTGAGTAGCTGGGATTACAGGTGCCTGCCGCCATGTCCAGCTAATTTTTTGTATTTTTAGTAGAGACAGGGTTTCACAATGTTGGCCAGTCTGGTCTCAAACCCATGACCTCAGGTGATCCACCCACCTCGGCCCCCCAAAGAGCTGGGATTACAGACGTGATTCACCGAGCCCAGCCGGCAATTTCTTAAGATAAGACAACAATGAAGGTTGCCACATTGATTGATTCTTCCTTCATGAAAGATTTCTCTGTAGCATGTGATGCTGTTTGATAGCATTTTACCCACAGGAGAACTTCTTTAAAAATTGGAATCCATCCTCTCAAACTTTGACGCTGCTTCAGTTACTAAGTTTATGTCATAGTCTAAATCCCTTGTTGTCATTTTAAAAATGTTCACAGCATCCTCACCAGGAGTAGATTTCATCTCAAGAAACCACTTTCTTTGCTCATCCATAAGAAGCAACTCTTCATCCATTAAAGTTTCATCATGAGATTGCAGGAATTCAGTCAAATCTTCAGGCTCCACTTCTAATGCTAGTTCTTGTGCTATTTCCATCACTTCTGCAGTGACTTCTTTCGTTGAAATCTTAAACCCCTCAAACTCATCCATGAGGGTGGGAATCAATTTCTTCCAAACTCCTGTTAATATTGATGTTTTGACCTCCTCATATAAATCATGAACATTCTTAATGGCATCTAGAATGGTAAATCCTTTATGGAAGATTTTCAATTTACTTTGCTCAGATCCATCAGAAGAATCACTATCTATGGTAGCTCTAGCCTTACAAAATGTATTTCTTAAATAACAATACTGAAAGTCAAAATTTCTCCTTGATCCATGGGCTGTGGAATAGATGTTTTGTTAGCAGACACAAAACCAACATTAATCTCCTTGTACATCTCTATCAGAGCTCATGGGTGACCAGGTGCATTGCCAATGAGTATTAATATTTTGAAATAAATCTTCTTTTCTCAGCAGTAGGTCTCAACTGTGGGATTAAAATACTTGGTAAACCAGGCTGTAAACAGATGTGCTCTCATCCAGGCTTTGTTGTTCCATTTATAGTGCACAGGTAGAGTAGATTTAGCATAATTCTTAAGGGCCCTAAGATTTTTGAAATGGCAAATGAACATTGGCTTCAATTTAAAGTCACCAGCTCCATTAGCCCCTAACGAGATGGTCAGCCTGTCTTTTGAAGGTTCGAATCCAGGTATTGACTTCTCTCTAGCTCCTTATTCAAGTCCTAGATAGCATCTCCCTCCAATAAAAGGTTGTTTTGTACATTGAAAATCTGTGCTTTAGTGTAGCTACCTTCATCAATTATCTTAGCTAGATGTTCTGGATAACTTGCTGCAGCTTCTCCATTAGTACTTGCTGCTTCACCTTGCTCTTTTATGTTATGGAGACAACTTATTTCCTTAAGTCTCATGATTGAACCTCTGCCAGCTTCAGACTTTTCTTCTGCTGTTTCCTCACCTCTGTCAGCCTTAATAGATTTGAAGAGATTAAGGACCTGGCTCTGGATTAGGCTTTGGCTTAAGGGAATGTTGTGGCTGGCTTGATCTTCTATCCAGACCACTCAAACTTTCTCTCTTATCATCAAGAAGCCTCTTTTGCTTTCTTGTCATTTGTTCATTCACTGGAATAGCACTTTTAATTTCCTTGAAGAACTTTTTCTTTGCATTCACAACTTGGCTAACCGTTTAGCATAAGAGGTCTAGCTTTTAGCCTGTTTCATCCTTCTATGTGCCTTCTTCCCCAAGCTTAATCATTTCTAGCTTTTGATTTAAAGTGAGAGATGTGCAATTTTTCCTTCACTTGAACACTTAGAGATTATTAATTAGCCCAATTTCACTATTGTTGATTGTCCAGGAATAGGGAGGCCTGAGGAGAGGGAGAGAGATAGGAAACGGGTGGTGGAGTAGTCAAGGGCACACATAACATTTATCGATTCAGTTCACTGTCTTACATGGGTGTGGTTTGTGGCATGCAAAAACAATTAGAATAGTAACATCAAAGATCACTGAGCACAGATCACCATAATCGATATAATAATATTGAAAAAATATTTGAAATATTGCAAGAATTACCAAAATGTGATGCGGAGATATGAAGTGAACACGTGCTGTTGGAAAAACGGTGCCAATAGGCTTGCTTGACACAGTGTTGCCACAAACCTCCAATTTATTAAAAATGCAATATTTGCAAAGTGCAATAAAGCAAAGCACAATCAAATGAGGCATACCTGTACATGCTTGTGAGTATAGTATTAGGGTAGTCAACACAACAGCATACGTTAATTAAATAACTATCTGGAATTCAGGCACCAGGAGACAGTGTGATAATGAAACATAGCTCTTGAGCTAGGTGTCAGAAATAGTGATCTTGCATCGTGAACCAAGAATTGTTATTACACTACTAATTAACTCTGTGAAATTGGCTTAATTTTTATACCTGTTGAGGCTTAGTTTGTACACATAAAGAGTGGAAGGTTTCTGTTTTGTTTGTTTTTACTCTTCAGGATCTGCCATCCTACAAAGCACAAGGGCAACAGCCTGATGTAGCATTCACACATCCACTGGACTTCGTTTCTACCTTTGCACAATGGAGCAGTCATTTCCTAAGAGCCCCAGGTTAGCCACAATCACATCCAACTGAAAAGCCAGGAGAATAGGTACTTGGCAAGCATGCTAAAATTAAGCGAGTTCGATGGAGCTTATTCAAATGTGGTAGTGTCCTCCATGCACTTGGAAGTTAAGTTTAAAGTCCTTTTAATTTTATTTATTTCTGCAAAAGAATGATGACATTAACATCTTGGAAAATGCCACAGTGGTGGTTTTTAAATTGGATTTTAACTTTATAAATTATAAGTGTTTGAAATCTTGAAGTCCTCCAGTATTAGAATTCCTATATCTCTTCCTTCTCCTACCCCCAAAATGTAAAATTTTTGATGTAGGATTTTTCATTTGTGGCCAAAAGTTCTGACCTTGCTTTACTATTATTAGAGATTGGATCAGGTGATCTCACACTTAAAGAGGAATACCACATAGGACACTGGAAGGACAACTTTTCTACTTTAATGATGTTAGATTCCATTATTAAAGAAAAGAGAAAGAGCTGACACTTAAAAGCCAATAATTCAATTTCTAACTGTTTTTAAGAAAAGTAGATGTAGTTTTTTAGAAGAGTTTTAGATTTACAAAAAAATTGAGCAGATAGTACAGAAAGTTCCCATATGGAGAGTCCTCACCCAATTTTCCTCTGTTATTAATTTCTTACGTTAGTATGGTACCTTAATTACCACTAATGAACAAATACTGGAACATTATTATTAATTAAAGCCCATAGCTTATTCAGATTTTCTTATTTTTTGTCCTAGTATCCTTTTCTTATTTCAGCATACCATCTTACATTTAGTTCTATGTCTCCTTAGGCTTCTCTTGGCTGTGAGTTTCTTAGCCTTACCTAATTTTTGATGACATTGACAGCTGTGAGGGGTATTGGTCAGGATTACGGTAGGATGCTCCTTAATGGGAACTTGTCCAGTGTTTTTCTCATAATTAGATAGTTTCAGTTTTTGGAAGGAAGATCACAAAGTTAAAATACTTGTTAATCATATTATACTATCTACATGATTTATTAATATGACTTGATATTGACCTCAATTACCTAGCGCAATTAGTGTTTTTCAGTTTTTCTCCACTGTGAAGTTACTCTTTTCATCTATCTTTCTATACTGCACTCTTTGGAGGGAAGACAATATGTGCATCCTATATTTCAGGAGTGAGGAGTCATGATCCCCCTATATTAGGATGAAGTATCTACCTAATTTATTTGGAATTCTTCATAGAAGACTTGTCTCTTCTTCCTCAATCATTAATTTATCCAATCATTTATTTGGATCACTATGGACTCATGGATATTTATTTTATACTTTGAGTTACAATCCTATAATACTTCATATATCATATTGCCCAAATTATTCAGGCTTTGGCCATTGAGAGCTCTTCAATTGGCGCCTATGTTACTTCAACATACTGCCATCATTAGGGTTTGTTTGTTTTTTCCTTTTTGAGCACTTTCTTACTTTCTGGCACTACAAGGTATTCCTGACTCATGTATTTCCTGCCCAAGTCCTAGAATCAGCCATTTCTTCAATAAGCCCTTGTTTTTTTATCGGAGAATAGTACTAGAAACCAAGATCTGGGTCCTATGTGTGCTCGTTGCTCCTGGGGTGTTGTTTCTTTTAGGTCCTCTCAGCCAACAAAGCATTGGATTGTTTGTGTGTGTGCTAACCATGTATATAAACATATCTATAAGTATTTATTTGTGTAATAATTTGGATATATATTGAGTTAAACATGAATTCTTCCTGATGTTCCCACTCTAATCTATTACCACATGGATCATTATAACCTCCTGTCTTGTGTATCTAAAAGCTTCCACCTCAACAGTGAAAAACCTGGCTTTCATCACCTGCCATTGAGTTACTTAATTGTTCAGTTCCAGTATACATATATAGGAATGTCAGAAGTGTTAACCTATGCTCCCATGGGAGGCAACAGTATCAACTAGAGAACAATGTTTATGTGCAGTTTCTTTTGCCTTCAGTTTTATAGACTGGATTCATTTCTGAAGTTGCTTAGGTCAATACATTTTCCCCCAGCCCCTTCAGTGAGGTTATTTTGCACATTTTGTAATTCAGATGGATTCTCTTGTCACAGTCTGCATTCTTTTCTGGGATCATCAACCTCCAAAATGATGTTTTAGTATGCCTACATTAAGGTTTATGTTCTATGTTAACATAAGGGTAAGCTTTATGTTGTACAGTTCTATGGGTTTGGACAAACACATCATATTGTATATTCACCATTGCAGCATCATACAAAATAGTTTTACCACCCTTCCTTTACTTATCTTTCCCCTTTTCCCCCTAAACCCCTGGCAACCACTGATCTTTTTATTGTATTTATAGTTTTGCCTTTTTAAAATGTCATTTAGTTGGAATCATACAGTAAATAGTCTTTTCAAACTAGCTTCTTTCAATATGCATTTAGGGGTTCTCTATGTCTTTTCATTGTTTGATAGTGCCTTTCTTTTTATTGGTGAATAATATTTCATTGTATGAATGTACCACAGTTTATTTATTACCTACTGAAAAACATCTTGGTTGCTTCCAAGTTTAGGCAATTATGAATAAAACTGCTATAAACATCCCTGCACAACTTTTTGTGTGGACATAAGTTTTCAACTCAATTAGGTAAATACTTGGGAGCATGATTACTGGATCATATGGTAAGAATATGTCAAGTATTGTAAGAAACTGCCAAACTGTCTTCAAGGTGGATGTATCATTTTAAATTCTCACCAGCAATGAATAAGTTCCATTTACTGTCAGTTGTTTTGATTTTAGCCATTCCAATAGGTGTGTAGGATATCCCACTGTTGATCGAATTTTCAGTTTTCTAATTACATATGATGTTGCACATCTATCTATTCACACAGTTATTTGCTGTCTTTATATCTTTTTTGGTGAGATGTCTGTACAGATATTAGCCCATTTTAGTTTATTTTTTTAATATTAATTTTTGTGGGTATATAGTAGGTATATATAGCTATGGGGTATATGGGATATTTTGATACAGGCATACAATGTGTAATAATTGCATCAGGGTAAATAGGGTATCCATCACCTCAAGCATTTATCCTTTGTGTTACAAAGAATCCAATTATACTCAGTTATTTTTAAATGTACAATTAAATTACTATTGACTGTAGCCACTCTATTGTACTATCAAATACTAGATCTTATTCATTCTTTCTATTTTTTGTACTCATTAATCATCCTCCCTCCCCAACACCTCCTACTACCTGCCCCAGCCTCTGGTAACCACCCTTCACTCCATATCTCCATGAGTTCAATTGTTTTAATTTTGAGCTCCCACAAATAAGTGAGAATATGCAAAATTTGTCTTTCTGTGCTGGCTTATTTTATTTAACATAATGACCTCTGGTTCTATCCATGTTCTTGCAAATGACAGGATCACATTCCTTTTTATGGCTGAATAATACTCCATTGTGTATGTTTATTACATTTTCTTTATCCATTCATCTGTTGATGAACTCTTAGGTTACTTCCAAATCTTGGCTGTGGTGAATAGTACTGCAATAAACATGAGAGTGCAGAAATCTCTTCAATACACTGATTTCCTTTCTTTGGGGTATAAACCTACCAGTGGGATTGCTGGCTTATATGGTAGCTCTATTTTTAGTTTTTGAGGAACCTCCAAACGGTTCTCCACAATGGTTGTACTAACTTACATTCCCACCAACAGTGTATGGGGGTTCTCTTTTCTCCACATTCCTGCCAGCATTTGTTATTGCCTGTCCTTTGGATAAAAGACACTTCAGCTGGGTGAGATGATATCTCATTTTCATAAACATGTTTGTCATTTGTTGTCTTCTTTCTTTTCTTTTTTTTTTGAGATGGAGCTTTGCTCTATCGCCCAAGCTGGAGTGCAGTGGCATGATCTCGGCTCACTGCAACCTCTGCCTTCGGGGTCCAAGCAATTCTCCTGCCTCAGCCTCCCAGGTAGCTGGGATTGCAGGCACCCACCACCATACCTGGCTAATTTTTGTATTTTTAGTAGAGATGGGATTTCACTACATTGGCCAAGCTGGTCTTGAACTCCTGACCTCAAGTGATGCCTGCCTTGGCCTCTCAAAGTGCTGGGATTACAGGCATGAGCCACCATACCTGGCCTGTGTGTCTTCTTTTGAGGAAGTTTGCTGATTTAAAAATCAGATTATTACCTCTAAGTTTTTTTGTCGTTATCAATTCTTTGGAATTTTCTAAATAATCAATCATGTCATCTGCAAACAAAACAATCTGATTTCTCCTTTCCCAATCTGTGTATCTTTTATTTCCTTTTCTTGTCTTACTGCACTTTCTAGGACTTCCAGTATGATGTTGAATAGGAGAGGAAACATTTTTGTCTTGATCCGATCTTACGGAGAAGTCATCTGTTTCTCATCATTAAGTATGATGTTAGCCATTTTTTTTATAATAGATGTTCTTTATCGACTTGAGGAAGCTGTCTCTATTCTTAGTTTTCTGAGAGTTTTTATTTTGAAAAGGTATTGTATTTTGTCAAGTTTTTCTTTGCATCAGCTGATGTGACCATATAATTTTTCACCTTTAGCCTATTAATGTAATTAGTTAGATGAAATGATTGTCAAATGTTGAAGCAGCCTTGCATACCTGATATAAATCCCACTTGCTTGTGATATATAATTCTTTATATACATTGTTGGATACGACTTGCTAATATTTTGTTGAGAATTTTTGCATCTATGTTTATGAAATATATTAGTCTGTAGTTTTCCCTACTTGTAATGTCTTTATCTGGTTTGGTATTAGGGTAATGGTGGCTTAATAAAATAAACTAGGAAGTGTTCCCTTCACTTTCAGTTTCTGGAAGAGATTGTAAAGAATTGGTATTATTTATTCCTTAGATATTTGGTAGAATTCGCAATGAAACTATCTGTGTCTGGTGCTTTCTGTTTTTCAGTTATTGGTTATTGATTTAATTTCTTTAGTAGATATAGTCTGTGATGGCTAATTTTATGTGTCAACTTGGCTAGACCATGGTATGCCCAGATATTTGTTCAAACATTATTCTGGGTGTTTTCATGAAAGTGTTTTTAATGAGATTAAAATTAAATCTATGAACTTTGAGGAAGGCAAATTGTCTTCCAAAGTCTCATCTAATCAGCTGAAGGGTTGAATAGAACAAAAAAACTGCCTACCCTAATCTAAGCAAGAGAGAGTTCTTCAGCAGACTGCCTTTGGATCTCACCTGCAACATTGGATCTTCCTGGCTCTACAGCAGATGGCAATCAGACTAGAATGGCAGCATCAACTTTCCTGGGTCTCTAGCCTTCTTCTCCTCTTTGCAGATTTTGGACTTGCCAGGCCCCATAATTCCGTGAGCTAATTATTATAATCAATCAGTCTCTTCTCTCTCTCTCTCTCTGTCTGTCTGTCTCCCTCCATAACAAAGTTCAGGATAATCTGAATAGTCCTATGTAACATGTATACACACATGTTACATAGGACTATTCAGATTATCTATTTCTTCCTATGCAAGTTTTGGTAGTTGTGGTCTTTCAAGGAATTAGTCCATCTAATCTAAGTGATCAAATTTATGGGCATAGGGTTATTAATAATATTCCTTAATTATCATTTTAGTGTCCATGGGATCAGTAGTTATGATCTCTCTTTCATTTCAGATATTGACAATTTATGTCTTTTCTCTTTTATTCTTGGTTAGCTGGGCTAGAAGTTCATCTGTTTTATTGATCTTTCCAATGAACCAGCTTTTAGTTTCATTAATTTCTCTATTGATTTCCTGTTTTCAATTTCATTGATATTTGCTTTAATTTTTATTAGTTTTTTGTTGCTTTAGGTATAAATTGCTTTCTTTTTCTAGTTTCCTAAGGTGGAATCTTAGATTATTGATTTTAGATCCTTCTTTTTTCCTTCTCTTTTATTTATTTATTTCTTTTTTTTTTTTTTTTTTTTTTTTTTTGACAAGGTTTGGCTCTGTCATCCAGGCTGGAGTGCAGTGGCACAATCTTGGCTCACTGCAACCTTATCTCCCAGATTCAACCATCCTCCCACCTCAGCCTCCCAAGTGGTTGAGACTATAGGTCCACACCACCACCGCCAGCTAGTTTGTGTATTTTTAGTAGAGATGAGGTTTTACCATGTTGCCCAGGCTGGTCTTGAACTCCTGGGCTCAAGAGACCTGTGTGCCTCAACCTCCCAAAGTACTGAGATTACAGGCATGAGCCACTGTGTCCAGCCTCCATTTTTTCTAATATATGCATTCAGTACTATAAATCTCCATCTAATTATTGCTTTTCCTGGATCCCACAAATTTTGATGTTGTATTTTTAATTTTCATTTGGTGCAAAATATTTTAAAATTTCTCGAGACTTCTTATTTGACTCATCTGTTACTTAGAAGTATATCATTTGATATCTAAATATTTTGGAATATTATAACTATCTCTCTGTTATTGATTTCAGATTTAATTCCACTCTGGTCTGAGAACATACTTTGTATGATTTCTATTCATTTAAATGTGTTTAGGTGTGTTTTATGACCCAGAATGTGGTTTATGTGGGTGAATGTTTTATGTAAGCCACCAATTCAATTTTAATTTAAAAAAATTAAAAGAGATTCAAAGTGAATTTACAGATTTAACAAGATAAATGGAAGTTGAAATAGGATTATGTTAAGGGTTAACAGGTTTTAGGATGCTGTTACTTTAGTTGACTACAGTGCATAGCAGCAGTCCCCAACCTTTTTGGCACCAAGGAGTGGTTTCACAGAAGACAATTTTTCCATGAATCAGTGAGGGGCAGGGGATGGTTTCAGGATGATTCGAGTACATTAAGTTTATTGTGCATTTTATTTTAGTTATTATTACATTGTAATATATAATGAAATAATTATATAACTCACCATAATGCAGAATCAGTGGGAGCCCTGGGCTTGTTTTCCTGCAGCAAGACAGTCCCATCTGCGGGTGATGGGAGACAGTGACAGATTATTAGGCAATACAGCCTCATAGGAAGTGTGCAACAGGCCGGGCATGGTGGCTCACGCCTGTAATCCCAGCAATTTGGGAGGCCAAAGCAGGCAGATCATTTGAGGTCAGGAGTTTGACACCAGCCTGGTCAACATGGTGAAACCCCGACTCTACTAAAAATACAAAAAAAAAACAAAAACAAAAACAAAAAATACAAAAAAAATTAGCCGGGCATGGTGGTACATGTCTGTAGTCCCAGCAATCCATTTTGTTGTTGTTTGTTTATTTTTGGTTGGCAGTATCAACTTGTAAATATCTAGTATATTACCTATCCTCATATGTCCAATGACAATTTTGCCACAAGGATGATGAAAATAATGATTAATGCTTAGTGGTGGCATAGGTTACAGGTGACTTTTCTTCACCAGGACTTCTTATTCCTATGACATTCCAGTCCTTCAGAAAAAGAAAATTCTAGCAGGAATAATCCAACCTTTGGCTCCATTTGTGGCAGGGCCAGCTTCCAGCGGGTTTGGCTGGCTGTCCTGGCTGGGCCTTTCATCTCCAAGGTCTCTAAGCAGACTGGCTTGGGTCCTCACCCATGTAGATTCAGTGCTGGGAAAACAGACTTAAATCCTTTGTGTAAGTTCACTCAGAGATTCCACAAAATGGACTCAGGATCTGTAAAGACTCTTTTAAAAAAATGAATCTTGTTCTGTAAGATTTTTAGCAGCTCCTGTTGCCGTTGTTAATGAGTAAAAGAGTATCATACACACACAATTATATCTGTCATTGGTGCCAAATGCCCTACTTTACCCTGACTCCCTAGAAATTGAGAGCTGCTCCTTTGGAACATGAGTTGGAACATGAAACGTGATATGGCTTATACTGCCATGGGGATAAGGACATGAGGAGTGCAGGTGTGGAGCTTTGTGCAGTCTCTTGGCCCTGTGGCTAACTGACAGGGGTCTGTTCTGGCCAAAGCGAGAGGTGATGGGTCACATTTAACCCTGCCCTTCTCCCAGCCTCAGCACTGAGAAGGCTGAACATCTTCCCCTCTCCACTCCCAAAACTTTTTCCTTAGGAACCAAGACATTAAGAACATTTTGCAGGATGAAAAATTAAATGAACTGAGGTAGGTCAACTGGGATGAATGAATGACATGATTTATGAAATAAAAGAGAATCCAGATAAACAAGAGGATAGTTTTTTCCAAGTGTCCCCACAGAAAGAAATGTTTCTTCTCCTCAGTCTATCATTAAATTCCCGGCACTGCCAACCTGAGAAGAATTTGTATGAGGACCAGTAAGTCAGATGGTGGTGGTAGGCTACTTGGGGCTGGCTTCACTTTGTTTTGCTTTCCTAAGAAAACAAAGCAATAAGAAAGGCAGCAGGCTGTGCTGGAGTGGATGCAAGAACCTTCAGTCCCAGACCAGGCTCTGCCACTCACAGCCTTCTTTGAATCTCAGGTTTCTTTGCTTCTAAAATTGTTCACTTCCCAAACTGGTAAGATAGAATACAATATTTTATATTGTATAGAAGTCAGAGTTTATAGAATATTTTATGTGTATTTAATCCTTACAACATGTAAAGAAGGTACTATTGTCTTTATATAATAGAAATGAAAACTGAGGAGAACCTATGTATCTTATCCAAGATATGTAACAGTGAAATTAAGCTGGAAGCCAATTTAGATCTCTAAACTCTGAGTTGAGTGTGGGCTTGTTCTCTTCCTCCTTTTTATGAGCTAGATTTATTATTATTATTATTATTGGGATAAAATACACATAACAGAATATTTAGCATTTTAACCATTTTTAAGTATGCAGTTCAGTGGCATTAGGTACATTCACATTGTTCTGCCACCCTCACCACCATCCATCTACAGAATTTTTTCATCACCCCAAATTAAAACTCCATACCCATTAAACAATAACCCCTCATTCTCCTCTCCCTGACCTCCTGGCAGCCAACATTCTACTTTCTGTCTCTATGGCTACTCTAGGTACCTTATATAAGTGGAATCCTACAGCATCTGCCTTTTTGTGACTGTTTCATTTTCACTTAGTATAATGTCCTCAAGATTCATCCATGTTGTAACATGTATCAGAATCTGCTTTCATTTTAACGGTGAATGATATTGCATCATATATTCCAATGTGGTTTATATTACACTGTATTTATCCATTCATGTGTCAATGGACATTTGAGTTGTTTCCATCGTTTGGCTATTGTAAGTAATGCTGCTAAAATGTGGTCTACAAATAACTGTTCAAGTCCCTGCTTTCACTTCTTTTGGGTATATACCCAGAAGTGACATTGCTGGATCATATGATAATCCTACATTTAATGTTTTTATTTCTCCTTTTAAAATAGGTAAAGTCAGCTGATAAAAATAATTTCCCGCCTCTTGTTACTTATATCGGAAACTACCTCTTATTCTTTTTAAAAAATGGTTATGGTATCCCTTTGATGCTGTGGCCTAGCTGGGTCATTTAACTGCTAGTGATAAAAGCCATGCCTTGTATTTATTTTGTGCTCTGCTTCTGCATGCAAAGCATCACATCAAAGTTATCTCATTTACCTTTTCAAGGTTTATGAGAAGAGGATCCAAGGCAGGTATTATTAACTCCATTTTACAAATGACAAAAATAGGCTGCAAAAGGTTAATAGATTTTCTTCAGTGAGATTATAGTAGTAATGAAATGAAAATCCAGCTTTCTAACTCTTCATTTAAAGTTTATTCACACAAGTTTTCTGTATACTTAAATGGAACATATTGTCAGATAATTAATTTGATTCTTATTTGATACTTATAAACTTAGAAAAGTCTCCAAATTTCCATGCCTGTTCCCTCATCTATAAAATGACACGGATACTACTAACCTATGGAGCATGTAAGGAATTACCCAACACAAATAGCAGCAAAGCAAGTCACAAAATTGGGGAGTACTAGGAAATCATTAATGACTCAACTATCTATTATTTAGTGAATATTACTAAAGCAGAATCTTAAATGAAAGTACTGAAATTGTTTCCCTGAAATTTCAATGTGATGCTGAAAATTAGTTTGAAAACATGAAAGTTTGAAAAAAAAAAAAAAGTTAGGTAAACCTGAGAATGTTCTCATGGCTGTGTGCTTCTTCCATTCAAGTGGCAGGGCCTTGTCCTGTCTTGGGTGGGCTAATGGTTTAAGACAGATGTTAGGGATCTGGGCATTTTCATGCTTCAGGATCTTTGCTGATAACTTCTCTCTGATTTACATGCCTTTCCACCTCTCATGAATTTAACTTTCATGTCCCTCTCAATGTGACATCTTATCCACTATGACTTCTCTGTTCCCTTATCCTAATTGTTCCTTCCTCTGTGTTCCCAATCCATATGTGCTTTCTTCAGCATATGTACTTTTTTTTTTTGAGATGCGGTCTCACTCTGTCATCCAGGCTGGAGTGCAGTGACTTGATCTTAGCTCATTGAAGCTTCTGTCTCCCAGGTATATGCGATTCACCTGCCTCAGCCTCCTGAGTAGCTGGGATTACGGACATGAGCCACCACACGCAGCTGATTTTTGTATTTTTAGTAGAGATGGGGTTTCACCATGTTGTGCAGGCTGGTCTCAAAACTCCTGCTCTCAAGTGATCCTTCCACCTAGGCATCCCAGAGTGCTGGGATTACAGGTGTGAGCCACCATGCCCGGCCAGCATATGTACTTATAAGATCATGTTTTAGTTTGTGGTTTTTCTCTCTCTTCTCCTTTATGCTGTGAACATCTTGTGGGCAGCCTCCATCTCATTCATTGTTTCCTTGATGCTTGTCATAGTGCTCAGCATATAATGCACACTCAAAAAGTATTTGCTAAATTTTAAAAGGTAAAATCATATGAACAAACAAAGAAGTCAAGATTGATTTTCCAGGACATGCAAGTCCTTGCACTGACACGGGAGTCTCCTTCCCCTTGCAAAAGCAATGCCCTTGTTCTCTCCCCTTTCTTCTTCCTCCTCAAGGTTGTTCTTAACATCACTCTGCTTCCTTTCATTTCAAGTAGAGAACAAGCGTTAGAAATGAGGCGCACTGATTTGGAAAGGCTGACCTCAGGTTTAAAGTCAGGGAGGGTGATAAGACAGAAGGCAGCATTATGCTGGAAACCTCCTAGCAGGTCCTTAATCCTGGAGCTGAGGGTGCTAAGAGAGATTTGGTTGCTGGTATAATATTCTGGGTTGCATCAAAATTACCTGGATATTTAAAAATGAAATGAAACAAAACAATAACAAGAAAATTCTAGGGCCCTTATGGGGTCAGAATCTTTAGGGATGGGGCTGGGACCTTGATGGGTTTAACAAGCCTTCCAACTAATTCTGAGGCACAACCCAATTTGGGATCAGTCTCTTACTTGTGCTCTCTCTTTCAATTAATAGGCTCTGGGATGTATTAGCAAAGAAGGTATATTAGTCTATTTTCACACTGCTATCAAAAACTGCCCTAGACTGGGTTATTTATAAAGAAAAGAGGTTTAATTGACTCACAGTTCCGCATGGCTGGGGAGGTCTCAGGAAACTTACAATCATGGCAGAAGCCAAGTGGGAGCAAAGACCTTCTTCACATGGCAACAAGAGGGAGCTAGCAAGAGCAGGGAGAACTGCCATATAAAACCATCAGACCATATGAGAACTCACTCACTATCATGAAAACAGCATGGGAGAAACTGCCCCCATGATCCAATCACCTCCCACCTTGTCCCTCCCTCAATGCGTGGGGATTATGGGAATTACAATTCAAGATGAGATTTGGGTGGGGACACAGAGCCCACAGAAGGAGAATGGAGAAAGTGGGTTCTGGAAAACTTCGGGGGGTGGCTGAAATATGGAAGGGAAGTCCTTAGTTTTAGTGGCTAGGAGAAAACGGAAGTTGCAATGGCTCGCCGTGTAATTGATGAGAAAACTGAGTCTTAGCCAAGGACACAGAGGAGGTAACAGAGCTGGGATTCCAATCCAGGCCTGTCTCATATCTGTTACAGAGGCCTGCCTTCCATCTGGTAAGCAGATATACATATATCTTTAGAAGCTGCCAGTGTTGTAAAACTGAATTCCAAGGAGTGTTAAACTAACAGCAATATGCAGGAGACAAGAGAAAAATAAAAAAAACTGGAGGAAAGACTAAACCACCTACACCAACAAAGCCCATGGAGGCCACTTTCCAAGGTTCTTTTGGGCCTCTGTGGGCTGGTCTCAGGTCCTATAGTCATAAAACGAACATAATACTTGTGTACTTCTTCACAACATTGCAGTGAAAATTAGTTTTTGTTTATTGTGTCCTTTGAACATGAAAAGCTCTGTGTAAGAGCTAAATACCATCATCATTCTATATTTCTTGATTCTATTCCACAGCTCTAGAACTATAAATTCTGTGAGATCCCTTTTTATTTTCTGTTATTTTTAACCATGTCAAAACCAGGAACTTGTGGAATGTCTTGAGCTTTCCTAACTGTAAGTGGTTTGAAGGATTTCATTGCTGGCTAGATTTGAGGGCGGGGAGGGAAGAAAGCATGAGTGAACAGAAACTCCAAGCATTCCGAGGTCTGCCCCTCAACCTGGAGTGCTGCTGCTGTCTCAGCATTGGTTGTGACCTCGGGTTATTGTACTGTATATTTATAACCTCAGAACTCCTGGCCTTTCAACTCTCCCTCACCACCGCCCTTCCCTTCCTCCTCCACTTCCACCCACAGCACACAATCCTGATGAATTTGAGACATTGGAGGAGGACGAAAATTTATTTTTTATGCCATCTTTGGCAGTTTAAACACTGCTTTATGGAAGTACTAACTGTGAAATCTCTGCTCTTTAAAAAGCCAATCCTTACCCTTTGCAAGAGACAGTGATAGATCATGAAAGAGTGAATCATTTTGAGTTCTATAGAAGCAGTAAAATTAAACACTACTTTCAAGACAATAGTAAAAATATTACCTGTCCTTAAGCAAGCAAACAAATTTATATAAAACAATATAATCTGGCAAGGCAATTCTTCCTTTAAAAAATAAGACTAAATGCAAAAATACATTTCATTTGAAGGCTTTAAGCTTTGGTTACTGTTTTGTCCAGAATTCTACCTCAATTTCTTCAAGTTGGCTAACTCCCCACTGCGTGGCTGCCCTTAGCTGAGATGAGAAGCTGGGGCAGTTTGTTCCCAGCGTCCAAGAGTCCAACTGCCTCTTGTTCCATTGAGCTTCTTCTGTCACTCTGTTCCTGTTAGTCACAAATGAGAGTTGTCCCATATATTTTCCATTTGTTCATTCTCCAATTTGCATTGGGAGGTGGTGGGAGAGCAGAAGGTATGTCCCGAAGTCATCAGGCGAACACCATAGAGAGGTCAAAAGCTGATAAATGATGCATGCATTGCGTTGTGGTGCTCGGCCCGCCAGGGAGAAGCAGGGTTCACCCTTTCGTTCAGGTAGTTTAATGAACATGTATGTATGTTACTGTGTGCGTGTTGATATACAAGAATATATGTTATATATTCCAAAGGCTCCACTGAGTGCCCTTGCATGCATATTGTGTGCACACAGCCTAAGCTGGAGCCAGAGCTCAGAAGATTAACACGTCACACCTGGCCCAGTCCCTGTCTAAGTGGGTGCAGGACGGTGGACAAAGCCCGCCTTTCCTGAGGCTTGAACAAAATCAAGGAAACGGTTGTCGTATTTGTCTTTATTTCGTGGGAAAACAAAGGTTGGCTTGACTGGGGCAACAGAAAATATCAGAGAGGGAAGATGAAGAGCCGCTGGTGTCCCAGCCTCGTGTTCAGCGAGGACGCCCTCCTGCAACTGCCTGCCTGTTTCCATGGGCTCCAGGGCGCAGGAAATGCCTCATGGAGAACTTTCTGGAAGATGGCCAGGAGAAGCCCCTCTCTCAAGTGAGGGCTTTCTGGGAACCCAGGGGACTATCTGCAGAAGAACGTTCTTTGGGGCGCGGGGAGAAGCCGCGCAGGCCTCCTCTCCTGGGCGCTGGGGACCGCGGGGCTCCTAGTGGAAGCTACTCCGACCCCACGGCGTTTCCACGCCTCTGTGGCAGGAGAGGGAGTTAGCAGCTCCGGGAACTCAGGCTGTGGGTTTTCAGGTTTCTATCTTGAGAAATGAAAATCCTCCTGATAAGTTAGATTTTGCCCCTCCAATAGCAAAGGCAACGCGTCTCCCTGGGGCCCCGCGCCGCCCGCCTCAACAGACCCCTCCCTGACGACCGCCTGCCCCCAGGGACTCCGGGCTCCCCCGCCGCCCCGCCAGCCCCGCCAGCCCCGCCAGCCCCGGCGCCTTCGCCAGGTCACTCTGGCCTTGTGCCCTATGGCGCTCATGCTTCTTTAGCTCTTTTGCTCTCGCACAGACGGTTTCCCTAAAAAAAAAAAGAAAAAAGAAAAAAAGAAAAGAAAAACTTTACACGGCTAAAACCTTCTTGAAGTCGATTTCTTGGAAGACCTGAGCTAACACACACTATTTAAGAGGATGCGTTTAACAATGCTGAATTCAAGCTTTAGCTCTCAGCTGATTACAAGCAAGGTAATTAACCTCCTTACATCTCAGATTACTCATCTGTAAATTGGGAATAATTTTAGTATATTTCTCATAAAATTGTTGTGACTGATAAATGAGAGAATGCCTATAAATCGAATAACACAGTTCCTGGTGCTTAGTAAATACTCACTGCTTGTTATTATTTTTGAAGTTAACATTATTTTCAGGGTTCTTTATTACAATGTATTTCAAGATTCTACTTAAAATATAGTTGAAGCTCTGATAACATTGGTGTGAGAATAACACTTTTTAGGGTAAAATCAGGGATATTTTTCATGTATTTACTGGAAGTACATGCCTGGGACATGATTTCACCAACCACATTAGCAGCTCCTGGTATCCAGAAATGCTTTTGAGTGTGGTTTTAAGGACTTGGGCTACCTTTTGATATAGTGGTATTCTAATGTCCTCAGAGCTGATATAGTCATAATCATGATGATATTCTTAGAGGTGAGTGATATACCTCAAATTTCTGCCTTTACTCTGGTTTCTAGACTCCAGTCTTGTTTGTGGTGGACAGATGCTGCTCATCTTCAAACACTTCATTATAGTTAATTTTTGATCCAGTAATGATTAATTTCAGTCTTAACTGTGGTTCATTTTATAAATTTCTCAGTGTCCACTGAGATCCCCATTGTTGAAGGCATTGTATCCTGGATGTGTTCACAGTGTTATGGACACATGGAAAGCATGAAGCATGGAATGGCACAGGTGAACAGAGAGAGGCCCAGGTGATGACAGAGTGATAAGGAATAGAGACACTGCTTGAGAGGGACCCAAAGACCTCAGGCAGTGCCTGGGCCACCCTCTCAAATCTCCTTTATGACTTCATGCCTCAGAACCCAAGACTCCTTTCAATGATTTTTTTTTTCTTTTTTTTTTTTTAATTTATTTATTTATTTATTTGTAGATGGAGTCTCACTCTGTTGCCCAAGTTGGAGTGCAGTAGCGCATTCTTAGCTCTCTGAAACCTCTGCCTCCTGGGCTCAAGCAATTCGCCTGCCTCAGCCTCCTGAGTAACTTGAACTACAGGCATGCGCCACCATGCCTGGATAATTTTTGTATTTTTAGTAGAGACAGGGTTTCACCATGTTGGCCAAGCTGCTCTCGAACTCACGAACTCTGTCCACTTCAGCCTCCCAAAGTTCTGGGATTACAGGTGTGAGCCACTGAGTCCAGCCTCAGTGATTTTTACTGAGTACTAACTAGCTGTGTGGGATGCACAGAGGCATGTGACATGGTCTTAGCATTCCAGGAATGCACAATGAATTCATTTTTAAATGAAATCTAATAATTTGACTGAATAGAATAGTTTCCACTGTTCCTATCAAGAGTCATCAGGCAAGGCAGTCACAGTCCTATTCTTGTCAATAGGGTGAGCCTCCCTTGCCTGTCCTTAATTTCACGAAGTGTCACTCTGAGAAATGTCAAGAAGGCCTTATGGCAGCAAATTGTCCACAATCTCATGGGTCAGTTACCACTATCTGAAAGGCCTTTGGTGCCTAGCATCCTGTGGCTGCTCTTCTAGAAAGTAGCTGGAGCTCCTGCTTCAGACACTGCCTCAAACCTGAGATAAGTTGGTGGCAGTGAAGAGGGAATAATAAAGTAAGAGGCTAGGAGTGAAGATTGATGACAACTTTAGTGTATGAAGAAAAAATCTTCACCTGGTGTCAGTAAATCTGTGGCCTTTGATGCTAGTGAATTAATAAGATGAGGAAAGAAAGAAAATGTTAACCCTCTGACCATATAAAGGTAACACAATTATAAATAAATGAATGAATAAGTATGTGTGTATAATATATACATTTAATATATTTGGTCTTCTGTGCCTAAGACCAAACAGCAGAATGACAATGATGACCCTCCTTAAATGCATGAAATTAAGTTGTATTGAAAGCCAGACATGATATATTGGGTAAAAGGAAGTGAAGTAAATAGGACTTTAGTGTGAGGTTTTATGTTTATTTGGCTAAGCGTTAGGCTGTGTTTACTGTTTCCTGGAGTTGTAGATCAGAGGCAAAAATTTCCTCTTGTGTCCTTATTTTTGTTTCCTCTGTTGTTCTTGGATTTCCCTAGAGATTTCTTCTAAATAAGGCCTGAGATATTCAGATTACAGCTGTAATTCCCTGTTGTTATACAGAAGCCCTGTTGATGCAGTGGTAAGGTGTGGAAAAGAAGTTTTCTATAGTCCTAGGATTAGTTCTCAGTCTTTTAGAGAGCCTGTGCCCCTGGGCTGTCATCTTCACATATGCTTCTCAGTTGCCCTCCCTCTCCCAGTGAAATCCGAGGCTAGTAGAAGCTAAATTCAGGTGTTTCCCTTCCTCTAGATTGGTTAGACTCTGGTAAAATAATTTGCCTTGAAGGCAGGCCTTGTTAAAAAGAACAGAATGTTCTGGACATATTTAAAAATGGCTACTTTCTCCCTCCCTGTGTCAGAAGCATGAAGAGATTTTCTTCCTACACTCACGATGAGAACCTGGTGGAGCTCCTAAAGGTAAAACTTATGAAGGTATGGTCCCCTTCCCCCTGCAGCTTTTATCCCTCAAGTTTGTCCACACTTAGCCTCTAGCAAGTTGACAATTATAGTTTGGTTTTCTTACCCTGGTTGATTCCTGTGGTGGTTCCTGCCCCTGGGTTTCTATTCCTATAAATTGAGATTCTCTGTACCTGAATGTCTGTCTTTCAATTCTGGGGCAGCAGTTTGTCCTGTGATCTCTGTTCTCCCATGGATCTAAGAAAAGTTGTTGATGTTTAGTTTGTTCAGCATTTTTCTTGTGAGAATGGAAGTGACAACTCCCAAGCTCCTTACATGCCAGACAGGAAACCAGGAGTTGAGATTAAGTTTTTACTGTATTTATTAATTACTCTTTAAGCTATGTTAATACACAATCTTCAGAGATTGTTCTTGCAACATAGTCATCTGCTTTTTTGATCATAACTGTAAATTAAAGTTAGTTAGATCTATCTGGGAATTTTAGTAAAATCTAGATACAGCTACAGCAAATTCATGGTTTACAGAGAGGGTGAAACCATTTTCATGAGTTATGTTTGGATCACTTTATATTAGCAATGCAATTCTCCCATTTTAAAAAAATGACAAAATTAAGACTCAGGTAAACATTTCAAATAAAAATTGCACAGTATAACACAAAGGCCTGAGATATTCAGTTAGTGTTCCATTCACTTTGAATTTTAATATCACATATTTAATAGAATTATATATAAACACAATAAAAAATTGAAAACTAATGTAATTTTATACTCATAATATTTTTATTTTCTTCATTTTTGTGACTATATAATAATCCTTACTCTTCAATTTCCATTCAGTTCATCTCCTCACAAGCATTAGAACTACATTCAGTAAGGACATTTATAAGCATATGTTCATACTTATATTTATATATTAATTTATGCAGGATTAATGTAGAAACTCATCATCTTGGAAAAAATTAGAAGCTAGTTGTCTCTATATAGTGTTTGTACTCACTAACAAAGTAAAGAAGTATAAATATATATGCATATGTGTGTATGGCACTTAGAACAGTGCCAGGTAGGTAGTGAATGCTAATAAGTTTAGGCATCACCATAATTTTCAGCAGCAGCAGCAGTAGCATTATAGCAGTTTGTTCATACTTCAATATTCATTACATTGTTTTCCGTACAGGTTTTTAAACAACACAATAATCCATTCCAAATTCTTTCATCATATTACTGTTGACTATACATCACAAAATTAATGTCAAAATGAGGATTTCATGGTTTACAGAGAAAGTATTTTGATGACATATGTTTGGATCACTCTATATTAGCAACTTTATTCTCCAATGACATTGGTCAAATAGACTTTAAGATATTCAATTGTAAATTATAATTTTTTCAAATGTAATTTGGTCACACCTGACTTGGATGTCTCTAATATTTTCAGAAGATAGGAGAAATTATGATATTGTAAAGTCTGAATAAACACAGTAAAATATTATAGCCAAATATGGTATTCAAAATTAATCTGACATATACACATGTAGGTACGATTGGATGTAAGCAACTGACATAAATGTATAATATCAAAATTGGGTTATATGTTTATAGCTACAGTGTGTTTTGAAAATTAAATTTGCATGCACTGGGTCCCCCATCAAATAAGATAGACATAATGGTAGTTAAATCAAAGTAGATAACAATAACTTCCAAAGTTAATTAATTTACTTCTAGTAGGCAGCCTGTACATTGGGGAAAACTGGTTCTGTGTTTTAGATTAGAAACCTCCTTTGAGACGCAGTCATCTTTGTGGGGTCAATGTTCTTTCTCATCCCTCTTTGTGCTTGGCTCCAACTGACAAGCATGTGTGAGAATCTGGTTCTGTCACTCAAAATGCCATTCCCTCACTTGGTATGTGGTATGCTCTAGTGCATTCTCCTTCCTCTTTTTTTTTGCTTTGGTAGGGGGTGCTTCACTCCCATGCACAGATCTTCTCCTTATTCCAGTCTTATCACCCATATTTCAATGCCTTGCTGAAATCTACCCTCTATTTTCCAGAACCTTCCTTGCCCACCATGTCCCTTCCTTCTGTTTACTCCCAGAATACTCACTGTCTGTAGCACTGACTTTGAAACTTATTCAAAAACTACCAGAATTATTATTAAATAATTCAGTTGTTGTGTACATGTATATAAGAAACAAATCTTACATTTAGGAATGGTTTTGAGCATGTATATAGAAAGTTATTCCGTAAATGCTTATGAATTAGAAATGTTTTGGAAGTAATCTTTCTTGTTTACCTCACCTATTGGACTAAAGTTATAATGAATTTTATTTTAAATTAGTTTGTGTTCTATAGATCTTCTATTCGTTTTTGGCAAATGAGAGGTTCTTGAGGCCAAGGAATAAGAACTTCCTGTGACTGTTTCCTATGGGCAGATTTTAGATTTCCCCCAAAATACGTATTTTTTATAAGTGGTCACTCTTTTGAGTTGGGGGTGTGAAGTCTGTGTAGCATATCTGTCAGAAGAAATAATGCAAAATTTCCTCATATGAGAAGGAAAACGGATTTATCTTTGTAAGACTCTTAAGAAGCTAATTAATTCTTATAAATAGTATTTTTGTTGTCATATCATGATTATCATTAGCCATCCTCATCCTTATTTAACATTTACTGACCACTTATTATGTTCCAGACACTTGAGTGAAAGAAGTGTTGTAGAAAAAAGCAAAAACCAGGTTCTTGTCACATGACCAGGAAGAGTTAGGCATGCAGACACTTTGAAGGGTGAGGAAAAATGGAAATTAGTGGGCAAAAAGTAAAAGGAAAAATAATTCTCCACAAAGCAAGAGAGAGTCCTGTTAGCAGATTTCCTGCCTCACAGATTGAATCCCAGGTTCCCACCTAGGAACAGGAGAGCCCAGGCTCCTCCCCGCTGCAATGGGCTAGAACTTCCTGTGGCTCCACCCCATCCTCCCAGTGCGCATGCTTGTCGGAGATTCTCAGGCGACCTTCCCTCTTATCTTCCTCTTGCATTTATCAGAAGTGCTGAACCCTTGACGTGCCTTATCTTATTTGCTCCTCACAACAAATCTTATGAGGTAGGTATTATTATCCCCATTTTCAAATGTGGAAACAGGCTCAGAAGGTTTCAGTAATTTGCTCAAGTTGCACAACTAGTAATTGGCAGTGTCGGGTCTGCTTGGCTCTAGAGCCTGAGCTCTTAAATATTAGATCATTAGGTTAAAAGAAACTAGTGGATTATTTGAGGTTCTTTGATGGGAGAAATGCTGTATTACTAATCCCAGTGTTTTCGTACAATGTGCAAACCTGGCACATAATTTGTTGGATGAATGAAATCTTCCAATAAAATAAACTATTATTAAAATAAGCATTTTTTCCCTATCAATCATTAGAACCAGAAAAATACACTTTCTAAGACAATGTTTCCAGACTAGTCTGTTAGATTCCCTTCATCATGAGTACCTAGGGCTGCTTATTGAAAATACAGATTCCTGGGAATCACTTTCCCATACAATCTGTTTCAATTATCTGAGGTAAGGAACAGGGAGTTTGCATTATGAAACACACTAAGATTTAAGAATTACTGCTAAGAGTTAAGAAGCAGCCACTGTCATTTTGAAAATTATAGTTCTTTGTGAATTCAGATTTAGAGTCTGGTTATATATGGGATTACATTCATATCACTCAAAACAAAGGTTGAGGGGCAGTCAGGATCATGATCAGGCACCAGTTGACATTAGTAGTGATGGGAAACCCACTCCTCTGGGGGTCAGAGACATGGACACAGGAAAAGGCCCACGCAGCAGCTGGGCCATTTGCTCTGTTGTTTGTTTGTAAATTAACTAGACCAGCGGTGGGGTAAAATGCCCCCTTGTTCTTAACTGTGAGCTAAAGGGCATCCTCCAGCCAGAACTACTGTTAGGCTCAAAGGTTGGGTATGGGCAACAGGGAGGCCCAAAGACTCTTTCACCACAGAAGCCATTTGGTAGAAATCGAGAGTTTATGAAGAAAGGAAATGAAAGCAGTGTCCTGATATAATATTCTGAAGAAATATCAGAAAATGTGTATGCTCTGACCATCATGGTTCTAAAGGGAAATAAAGAGCCAGAGTGAAATATAAAAGCTGAAACAAGGGGCATGTGCCTTGTTCAAACATTTGTTTATTGTTGAGGTCATCAGTCAGGAGCAATACTGCTGATAATTCTACAAACAAGACAAGGGGACAGAGAAAGTACTTCTTACAGGTGTTGGAAAAAAATACAAATGTGAAAAAACAAAAGAGGAAAATCTGAGAGAGAGAACAAAGAAGAAATCTGGTTGCTTTGAGATTTCTTCTTTTTTTTTTTTTTGCAGATGCATCACTACCAGAAGTTGTCCAGAAAGAACTGTGACCGTATGTTTTAATTAAATAATTTTTCATCCAGTTTTTTTCTTTGCATATAAAGAAACAGAATCCTGACATCTGATTGAATTGTAAGCATCTTCCTGCATCCTGTATATCTGAGATAAAACTTCAAAGAATCAACTTAAGGTCACAAAGGATTACAAAGAAAAAATTTTAGAAAGGGGTCCCTAGATGCACTGAACGTATTTCTATTGAGACATTCCCCTTCCTAGGGGACTGAAAACATGCAGTTTACAGCTCTGGCTACAACCCTGAAGGTAAATATATGTTACTCTAGGGAGCAGTGAAGCATTTGGCAGAAGCCTGTTGGGTAAATGGCACTTCTTTAGGGCTGGAAGAGGTGCCAGCAGAGGCTACTGTCCCTGGAAATTTCCTTGTCCAGTACTCTAATATATGAGCATTCATCAGGTCCATTTGGAACTTGCTTAAAAATTTCTTGGCAAAAATTACGGTCGGTGGTGTCAACTGCTTTTACTTGTTATTTTATACCCTGAGGAGCAGCAGTTAGAACCACTGCTTAGAGGGACCAGGCTGAAAACACATTTAAGTGAAACAAGCCATGACCAAGAGTATTAGCAAATACTCCTAGGAAATTCTGTGGAAAAATGGAGAACAGGGGCTAGCTCTGAAATCCCAGCAAATCTATATTCATGACTCAGTTCAGCTTCCCCCATCTTCCTTTTCTGATATCTATGTGCAGTTATGACTGAAAAATAACACGATTGTGTTAAGAATCCTAAGGCATCTGCATCACACTGCAACCAGATCCAGACATTGTAAATTCCAAGATAGGCCAAATCAAGATTACATGCATTCCTAGATTTTCCTCTTCTTGTCTTCTTTCTGTCCCCACATTTTCACTTATCCTTTAAATCAGTGTATCAAGACCTAGTTATAAACATCTACCATATGCAGGTAGGCACCATATGGAGTCTCTGACCTCAGGGAAATTTAGAATGTACAAGGGAGGGCAAGAAATAAACAAGAGAAAAGCAATGTGGAATATATAACCCGAGAGATGGCTCCAGGTGATTAGCAAATGTGTTACTATGACTCCAGAGGAATTACAGATCAATGTGAAAGGAACTGCACTGCTCTCAAATTTATTGAACAAGAAGTGACTTGAAAAACCATGAAGAGGAAGTTAGACTTAGCTAGTTAGAAGGGACAAGAGAGAAGACAGTTTAGGTGATAAGTACAGAGTGAGCAGAGGAATGCCAGTAGGTCAAGCATTTATCCTCCCTTCCCTTCCTTCTCATTACCCCAAACTTAATTTCCAAAGATGAATGGAAAATAATTGGAAACTGTTGCGGGGGGCGGGGTGAGGGTGTAATGGCTGAATGGGGAAAACCAATTTTTTGTCCTTGTATTCTGGAAAGCCCTTTTGAGTCTGTGTTATTCACTCTAGATTCTGAACTATTAAGTGCTATACAGCTCTGGCCTGGGACTAGGCCAAGAAAAGCAGCAACTCCACATTTTGGAGCAGGAATTAAATCTTACATAGGATATTAGATGGCTTTTAACTGAAAGCAACAGAAAGCACAACTTAAAATGTCCTGAACAATAAAGGCCATGTATTATCTCATGTAATAAAAAGGGCAGAGGTTGGGAATATTCTCCAAGATTGGTTAAGAGAGTAACTGGACACCACCATGAAGACCTAGGTTCTCTCCAGGTCTTCTCTCTGCCATCCCCTGAACACATTACCTCTGTCCTCAGATTGGCTCTCCTGATGGTTGCACGATGGCTGCAGCAGTTCCAGATGTCCCATCGAGACACAAAAAGATCCCAGATGGAAGATGCCATCTCCTCCTATGTGCCTCTTTTTAAGAGTAAGAAAAGAGCCAAACTCTAAAATATTTGAAGAGATTTATTCTGAGTCAAATGTGAGGACCATGACCTGTGACACAGACCCAGGAGGTTCTGAGAGTAGGTTCCCAAGGTGATTGGGCTTAAGCTTGGTTTTATATGTTTTAGGGAGACATAAGATATTAATCAACACATGTAAGACGTACATTGGCTGGGTCCAGAACGGTGGGACAACTTGAAGTGGGGATGCTTACAGGTCATAGGTGGATTCAAAAATTTTCTGACTGGCAATTGGTTGAAAAAGTTAAGCTATTATCTGAAGACCTGGAATCAACAGAAAGGAGTGTCTGGGTTAGGATAAGGGTTTGAGGGCCAAGGCTTTTGTCATGCAGATGAAGACTACAGGTAGCAGGCTTCAGAGAGAATAGATTATAAATGTTTTTTATGAGACTTAAAAATGTGCCAGACTCTTGGTAAAATCTCTCCTGGATCAGGGAAAAGACCTGGAAAGGGAAAGGGATTCTCTACAGAATGTAGATTTTCCCCCTGCAAATGGCTTTGCAGGGCCATTTCAAAATATGTCAAAGAAATGTATTTTGGGGTAATATACTTCAGTTTATGTCAGGGCCTGCTAGCTATCATGTTGGTATCTTTTGCTACAAAGAGTCTGTTTTGTCAGTCTTAAGGCCTCTGTTTTAATGACCCCCCTTCCCACCATGAGCTGAATTAGTTTTTCAGATTTCTCTGGAATGCCCTTGGCTGAGAAGGGGGTCCACCAGTTGGCTGGGGGGCTTAGGATTTTACTTTTGGTGTACAAAACCCATTCTCATAAAGCCTCCAGCAGACATCTCTTGATATATTCTTGCTGAGATTGAATCCTATGTCCCTTACAGGATTGCCATGATTGTTTCAGACTAATTAAAATTTACCTCCAGGTTACACAGGAGTGAGGAGGACCACCAAACCAAACTAAGACTCGGAGGAAAAAAAAAAAAGAAAAAGAAGAAAATGTCTGCTAGGTAGATGTGGTTTTAAAATCTGCCCACAAATTCTCTGATATTCCTCCCACTTCAAAAAGTTGAACAATGTCCCCTCTGCCCCCAGGTGCCATGCCACTCAAACAGCCAATGGAAAGGCCCACGTGGCGAGAGCTAAGGCTTCCTGCCAACAGGCAAGTGAGGAAGCCCAGTCAGCTGCCTGCAGTCCTGACCCATGAAGAGCCTGACTGAAAGTGAATGAGCAACCCTGAGCTAGGACAACCCAGCAAGGCCCATCCTGAATTCCTGCCCACAAAAACTCTGAGACAGTAAATGTTCGTTGTTTTAAACCACAAAGTTTTGAAGTAATAGATTAATTAGGTAACCAATTGGGACTGCAGTATTCCTTCAGGGAACTTGAATAGTCATTCTGTATATGGAAATTGTACACATCTTAAAATTGCTGGACTAAAGTGAGAAGAGACTGTCTTGAGTCAACTGGATAAAGTGGAAAAAAAATTAATTTGGAAATCAATAGAATTCTGGCCTTGGCTTTGTCACTAAGAAACACTTATAAGTAATTTCACTTCTCTTGAAATTATGATCATTATCTATAACATAAAGGAACTGAGCTAAATGTTATCTGATGCCTCTTTAGGCTCTCAAACTCCATAGATTTATGACATGCTTGAAATTCACTTTGTTTCACCCTAATTCAGAGCTTTGTTTCACTAGCTCTAGAATTAGATGCCTTGGGTTTAAATTGCAATTCAGTCACTTATTTAAATAATTGTACTTGGATGAGTGATGTTGCCATTTTAAGCCTCAGTTTCCCCATAGATTCATTGAGAAGATCAAATAAGATGATGCAGATAAAGCTCTTAGTTTGTGGGGACACTTAGTAAGTGCTTAATAAATACAGGCAGTTGTGTTATCTATGTTGTAGCAGCACATTTTGTAAAATAAAACAAAGTTGAAATCACAGATCTATATTTTTATGTACTCTGTTGACAGTTTAGAGCTTATTTGGCTTTTAACATTTTTATTATTGTTTTGTTTATTTATCATTATTATTATTTTTTGAGACGGAGTCTTGCTCTGTCGCCTAGGCTGGAGTACAGTGGCGTGGTCTCTGCTCACTGCAACCCCCGCCTTCTGAGTTCAAGCTATTCTCCTGCTTCAGCCTCTCCAGTAGCTGGGATTACAGGCACGCGCCACCAGGCCCGGATAATTTTTGTATTTTTAGTAGAGACAGGGTTTCACCATGTTGGCCAGTCTGGTCTCGAACTCCTGACCTTGTGATCTGCCCGCCTCAGCCTCCCAAAGTGCTGGGATTATAAGCATGAGCCACTCCACCTGGCCTATTATCATTTTTTGAGATGGGGGCCTCTCTCCGTTGCTCAGGCTGAAGGACAGTAGCATGATCATTGTTCACTGTAACCTTGAACTCATGGGCTCAAATAGTCCTCCCAACTCAGCCTCTTGAGTAGCTGGGACTACAGGTGCACAACACCATGCCTATCTTAACCTTTTAGATTTTTTTTATAGAGATGGGGTCTTACAGTATTGCTCAGGGTGGTCTTAAACTCCTGGCCTCAAGTGATCCTTCCGCCTCAGCCTCCCAAAGTGCTGGGGTTATAGGCATGAGCCACCATGCCCTGTTCGCTTTTATATAATCAGTATGTAAAGTGCATTTTATAGGGACTTGAAGCACACTTTTATAATTTTAAAAATTGTAGAAATTCATATGTGAAGTTTTGCCTTATAATGTATTGTTGGTCATACCCTGGATCAGGAAGCCAACCCCAAATTACAATCTCATTCCTACAAGAAGGTACAGTCTGCTGTATGAAGATCTATTTTTACATGTGTTTCTAGGAATGCTTTGCAGCGGAGTTAGGTGGCCTAGACTTTCTTGATTCTCCTGCAGAGCACAGCCTGCTGTAAATACTCCATTTTATTTGCTTAAGCTTGGTTTGTTTTTGTTTTTGCCTTTTTTTAGTGTAAGATAAATAGAAATCTAAGTCAGTTTCTGATTGTGCCTAATGGTCTGTTCTTTAAAAATTGAGATCATTGTCCAACAGACACTCAGATCTGGTTCGGCCGGTTTGGAAGTCTTTCTCTTCAGGTCTCTCTAACTCTTAGCAGTCCTCTGACAGGTTGCTGCCTTCCTCATTTACATCCATAATGCTAAGTTCCCTTTGGTCCAGGTCAGTATTCTGGGATGTTTCCAGAATCAATATCTGATGTTTCTATTTGCTCTGGCACCTGCCAGTTTACTTGGGTAGGCCTCCAGTGTGGAACAGAACTAGAATATTGTGAGTTATCCATTTTTCTGCTGTACAGCCAGGGTCACCTGAGGCTGTAGACTGACTCTCCAGCTGGAAAAACAGAGTATTCTGGACAAATTCTTTGCCAATGGCCATGTGGTAGGCCTGGCGATTGAGAGTCAAAAGAGTCCAATTTCCTGTGCTCTCAGGTTTTGAATTTTTAAATAAAGCATTGTTTTGTGTGCTAAAATTTTAAAATATAAAGTAAGTTTTGTTGTTTCTTTTTTCTGTGATTTTTTGCTGCCATCTATTCCCTTATAGCCACAAAGCAGCTATTCGGAAGCCTATTGTTCTCCTGGCAGTCTTCATGGTATTTCACTATAAACATTCCTGATTTACTTGATTGTAACCTGTATGAATTACTTAAACAAATTTACATCTTAAATCACCTTATCTTGTGACTGTTCTCTCTCTTCATTCTTCCTGATTTTGTGTAAGTTGATTAGGGTCCCCTTTTCTTGTTTTAGGTTTCCAGATTAGAATCCTGGTGTTTTACAATGGTATTTACATGGTTTGTTCTGCATTCCCTTCATTATTCTAGGTGCCAGCTTGCCTCAGGATCTGTACCTGCCTGTTTATTTTACATCCTTTACGTACCACTTCTTTTTTATCAAGCAAAATCATGCTTTTTATGGGGAAAAATACACTGTGCTTTATCAAAGTTGGAAACTTCCAACCCTGACATCTAGTCTCCTAAATTTAGAGTTCTATAGTTTTTAGAAAATTCAGAGGCAGACTTGTTTGTATAAGGAGTAAATCTATTTTCTATAATGTTGAGGAAATTTAAAACTCTAGACCTTGAGATTTCCGTGTTACAATTTTCTTCAAATTTAACATTTGACATAATGAACAGAGTGAGGAGGCAACCTAGTGAATGGAAAAAAATTTCATATCATATATCTGATAAAGGGTCAATATCCAGAAGGTATACAGAAATCCTACAACTCAACAACACAGCAAAAAGTAACCCAAATAAAAATTGGCAAAGGACTTGAATAGACATTTCTTCAAAGATGATGTACAAATGGCTAACAAGCATATGAAAAGAAACTCAACGTTACTAATTCTTAGTCCATTTTCTGCTGCTGTAACAGAATATCCAGACTGGGTAATTACAAACGATAGACATTTATTTACCTCACTGTTCTGGAGGCTGAGAAGTCCAAGGGCACTGGTATCTGATGAGGGTCATCCCATGGCAGAAGAACATGAGAGCAAAAAATACAAAGAGAAGAAATGTGGCCAAACTCATCCCTTTATCAGGAGCCCACTCCTGAAATAACTAACCCACTTCTGTGATAACAGCATTAATTCATTTATAGGGCAGAGCCCTCATGACCTCTTAAAGGTCGTGCTTCTAAACACTGCTACAATGGCAATTAAATTTCAGCATGAGTTTTGGAGGGGACTTTCGGTTCACAGCACTAATCATTAGGGAAATGCAAATTAAAACTACAGTAGATATTGCCTCATATCCATCAGGATGGTTACTATCAAAAGCCAACAAGCAAGACACTCTACATTCAGCAAATATCAAGTGTTGGTGAGGATATGGAGAAACTGGAACCCTTGTGCACTGTTGGTAGAAATATAAAATGGTGCAGCTGCTACGAAAAATAGTATGGCAGTTTCTCATAAAATTGAAAATAGAATTATCATATAATCCTGCAATTCCAATTCTGAGTGTATATCCAAAATAATTGAAAGCAACATCTCAAAGAGATATTTATACACTCATGTTTATAGCCGCACTGTTCACAATAGCCAAGAGGTGGAAGATGTCTGTCGGTAATTATTTTTCCCAATCACATTCATGATCACTTTTTTCATTTCTTCTAAGACTCTAATATCCATTTTTTAAATAGGAACTTTAGGTCATTTGAAAAGCCAAATAGTAAGTATTGAAAAACCAGACACTACAGTAAGGCCTGAAAGCTCCCACCATATTAAGCTAAAGCAGAAACATCGAGAGCAAAAGTTAGGGGTTGTGATGGTTGGGAGTTTTCTTTCCAAAGGAACACAGAGAGGCCAGGTGTGGTGGCTTGTGCCTGTAATCCCAGCACTTTGGGAGGCCAAGGCAGGAAGATCGCTTGAGTCCAGGAGTCCGAAACCAGCCTGGGCAACATGGTGAAACCCTGCGTCTACAGAAAAAAAAAAACTTAACCAGGTATGATGGTGCATGCCTGTAGTCCCAGCTACTCAGGAGGCTGAGGCAGGAGGATTGATTGAGACCGGGAGGTTGAGGCTTCAGTGAGCCATGATTGCTCCACTGCACTCCAGCCTGGGTGACATAAGGAGACCCTATCTCAAAAGAAGAAAAAAAAAAGAAGGAAAAAAAAAAGCTGAGAGAAACAGTTGTCACCACACTCTAACCATTTGGGCCCAAAAGAACACACCCTAGGAAAAGGGAAAAGGTCAAGAGGGCTGGAGGTGAAAGCCACATTGAAAGGAACGGTGGAGATAGCTGCTTTTGGTCTCCTCTAAAGGTTCTAGTCTGTGTTTGAGAGAAACATTGATAGACATGTGGACAAGAACCAAAGGGGTTTTAGGACTAATCAGATCACCACACCTTAGAAATGGCCACAGAAGCAGTCGCTGCACTGGCTGCCTCCCCTCCTGCTGGCCCACAGTGGCTGCTTAAACTAAAAGCCGCCTGCTTCTGCCTCGTAGGGGCTCTACAACCAGGAGGAGCAGGTCCAAGGTGGCCTGGGGCTTCTGATGAAATTTAGGACAGACCTCGAGGTCTTTCCACACTGTGTGTGTGTGTGTGTGTGTGTGTGTTTGGTGTGCATGCATGCATATGCACATGTGCATGCACACACCAGAGCTACCAAGAATGATGCTCTACCCCATGGACTCTGCCACCAGCCATTTCTCCAATTGCCAATAAATGCTTAGAAGCAGTTGTATCCCCCAATTCCACACCTCAGTTGGAAATACTGCTCCAATATAAGGGAGATGGACATCTCCACAATCCTTGCAGAAACCACCATGAGAACGCCAATGAGAATCTGTTTCTACCTATTTAACCAAGTCCGTTTATAACAGGATAACTTCTGAGGCTTTTTAATTTTTATTTCATTATGGCAAGAACATTTAACATGAGATCTACCCTCTTAACAGATTTTTGAGGGTCCAATACAGTATTGTTAACCGTAGGCACAGTGTTGTACAGCAGATCTGTAGAATTTTTTCATCTTGCATAACTGAAACTTTATGCCCATTAATTATCAACTCCCATTTTTTCCTCTTTCCTGCCCCCAGCAACAACTGTTCTGCTCTCTTCACTTCTGAGTGTGACTTTTTTAGACACTTCATGTAAATGGAATCATGCAGTTTTGTCCTTCTGTGACTGGCCTATTTTGATTGGCAAAATGCCTTCCAGGTTTATCCATGTTGTCACATATGGCAGAATCTTCTTCTTTTTGAAGGTTGGATAATACTCACTGCATGTATATACCAACTTTTTATTATCCATTCATCTGGTGAGGGACATTGAGGTTATTTCCGCATCTTGGCTATCTTGAATAGTGCTGCAATGAACATGGAAATGCAGACATCTCTTTGAGATCCTGATTTCAATTCTTTTGGATTTATAGCCAGGAGTGAGATTCCTGGGTCATATGGTAATTCAATTTTTTAGTTTTGGAAGAACCTCCATGCTATTTTCCATGGCAGCTGCACCATTTTGCATTCTCACCAACAGTATTCAAGAGTTCCAGCTTCCCTACAACCTCACCAATATCCGTCATCTTTCGCCTTTTTTGATAATAGGTGTCATCTTTGTCTTTTTTGATAACAGGTATAAGTTGTTGTATCCTTGTGTTTTTTATTTGCATCTCCCTGATGATTGCTAACATTGAAGATCTTTTCATATGCCTTTGGCCATTTAATCTTGTTCTCAGGCTTTTAAAAAATAAAATCAACCTCAACTTCTACTACTTTTACCACTGCCTTTCCCAGTTGATAATCTGATAAAAATTCAGCAGGAGACCCAGCTTGTTCCTGCATAACTGTCCACATCTTTTCTTCACTTCAGACATTTTAAAGTTTATCTTAAATTGGGAAAACTCAGATTGAGATTATTTTTTGGGATTCCTCCTTGCAATACCTCACTCTTGTTTCTTTGTTGTTTTTTTGCAAGCCTTGCAGCTTTACCTACAGCTCAGTTGCTGCAAGATTTTAGACTTTTGAGGGTGTTGCTCAAAGGTGTTTGAATATGATTAGGGAAACCTAGAATGGTGTGCATGGGGATGCTTTCAGTTTTTTTTCTTTTTGTTCAAAGAACTAGCAGCACATTTATGTACGTTGAATAAAAAAGCAAACAGAATTATTTATAGTATTCTTATTGATTTCAATCGCGTAGTAAATGTGGCAAACAACAGGATATTGACAAGACATTATTGTCTTGTCTGCTTATTGGTCCATAAGTTCTTATGGACTCCATAAGTTCATAAATGCGATGTCTGTGTCGGATTCATTTTTGACATCTGCAAAGCTAGTTCTATGCCTTACAAATAGCAAATTCTCAAAAAGTTTATAAATGAAGTGAATAATATTGTAAGAAAAAATAACCTCTGGATGTTCCAAGGTTGTTAACTGTTAGCCAACAGTGTGAGAGGCAGTGGGAACTATCCCCAAAGGGATATTATTTTCATATGCTTGCCTATCCACCTCTTAACATTAGAAGAAAAGGGTCTGATAATCAGACTTTTGTCCTTAGCTGGAAGAAGTTAGAGATTTCATCATTTATTCTGAATTGACTTCTGTACTTAGCTACTCTGAAGACAAGTTGTATTTCTAAATCTGGCAGGGGGCGGGAAATGGGCATTATATGCTAGCTTTTGGGAGTAAAGATCTACTGATCTCTTGAGCCAACTGCAGTGGGTCAGAAATTTTGAGCTGCTTTTCTAGGAGCAGTAATGGATTTGCGTCAATCCATTTACATTCCCACACTCACTCATTTGCCCTATTACTATGGAACTGAACAATTAATTAAAGCATTTTTCAGGCAATGGCTAGACTTAGAAGCTCACTCTGGGCAGTTAGACAACACCAATATACTTGGGCTATCTAAGGACTGAACCTGCAGTCATGACCTCATTAACATCGTGTTCTAGGAAATAAAGTTTTTTTTTCCTTACCTTTCCATGCAGAGATATATGAAAGGCTGCAAACACAAATAAACATGTCATGCAGAGATTTAAGTGTGTGTATGAGCATGTGTGTATAACAGCAGTTTCTGTGGCCATTTCTAAGGTGTGGTAATCTGAGAAGTCCTAAAAGACCCTTGGGTTCTTGTCCACATGTCTATGAGTGTTTCTCTCAAACATAGACTAGAACCTTTAGAGGAGACCAAAATAATAATTCTGTCTTCCATTAGTGATTCTTTGAAGCTATTGGCTTCCTTCCCCGAACTCTACTTCCTCTCCTTCCTCCCTCCCTCTCTCTTTTCTCATCCTCTTCCTTCCCTCCCTCCCTCCCTTCCTCCCTTCCCTCCCTCCCTCTCTCCCTCCCTCCCTCCTTCCTTCCTTCCTTCCTTCCTTCCTTCCTTCCTTCCTTCCTTCCTCAAATAGTGTTGAACTGGACACTGTTCTAGTCACTGTGACTGCAGTGATGAACAAGAGACCAAAAATCACACCTTCATGAAATTTATGGTATCTAATGGGAAGAGAAACAATGAAGAAGGTATGTAAGTTACATTTGTGGCAGGTCACACGTTGATGGGTGCTATGGAGAAAATAAAGCAGAGGAAAGAGACAGGGATCACTGGGACAGAAGGTGGGAACCCTAAATAGTGTGATCCAAGATGAACTCAGGAGTAGACAACATTTAAGCAAAGACCTGGAGAAGGTGAAGAAGCACACCCTAAAGCAGAGTCCTTGTATCCAAAGCCAGACTTGAGAATAAGTGGTAGATCCTCTATACTTGGCCCTGTAGTGACCAGTGGGTTGATTAGGCATTAAGTATCCAATGACTGATCTTTGGCAGAAAGACAAAAAATGAAAATTTGAATTCTTCCCACCCCCAACTTAATCCCCAGAGACAATGGTGAAGACTGTAATCTCTGACTCCCCATGTGATATGGTTAGGCTGTGTCCCCACCCAAATCTCATCTTGAATTCCCATGTGTTGTGGGAGGGACCCAGTGGGAGGTAATTGAATCATGGAGGCAGGTCTTTCCTGTGCTGTTCTCATGATAGTGAAGAAGTCTCACGAGATCTGATGGTTTTAAAAAGAGGAGTTCCCCTGCACAAGCTCTCTCTCTCTTTGCCTGCTGCCATCCATGTAAGACATGACATGTTCCTCCTTGCCTCCAGCCTTGACTGTGAGGCTTCCCCAGCTATGTGGAACTGTAAGTCCAATTAAACCTCTTTCTTTCGTAAATTGCCTAGTCTCAGGTATGCCTTTATCAGCAGCATGAAAACAGGCTCATACACCACAAAAAGAGAATCTCTTAGCTAGTGACATGAGATGACCCCTGTGGACATGGATCCAAAGCCTGAATGGTCCTCCCCTTCATACAGCACCCAGACAGAGCTCAAAGATGAAGTTAAATTCCTTCATACAGGAAATTGTCTTATTTGCTCTCAGGTGCAAGTATCTAAACAAATTTTCAAAATTTCGAACAATAAAAGAGAAACATAAGGAGAGAGGAAGAGAAAACTAGAGCAGTAACTACAGAGGATAATGTAGGTGTTGACTAAGTCCAGATATGCCCAAAGCAAACCAGGGAAAATTCTCAGGATAACCCTGCAGGTAAGGTCTGTGTTTGCCTGCATGGGCTGGATGTGCAAATGTTAGTACATCCAGGGGTGCTCAAGGCTGAGAAACCTGGGATGAGAGGGTCCCAGAACATTTGTTTGGAGTTCTCTGGAGCAATACAAGAAGATGAAAAGCAACCAACACCCTGGAAGCCACATTCAGAGGGCAGTGTGGGAGCTCAGTAGAGGAGGCTCAATCCTCTATTCCTTCCTTTCACATCACTTCTTTATAAAGAAAGACCATCCCCAACATCTTGTCCCATTACAAGATCCTCCTGATCTGAGATTTCTGAGCTCAAGAATCCCTTAGTGACTAAACTTTTTCAGTTCCTGCCCAGGGTCACTTCTCAGAATGGAACATGACCCCAGGAGCATTTGGCCAGGGAAATTCCCACCTTTTTCTGCAGCAATGACCTCACAACTTTATAAAGACACTTAAGACATCAAAGTTCTGATTATACTCCTTTTCCAGAATAACAGCCAACTCGCCCTGCACTTAAGTGACTAAGCAAGGCCACTTGCATGACCCTTCCCAGAAAAAGGAAAATTTTTTCAAAGTGATACTGTCCATCAGGAAAATGGAGTCTATTCACACCATGCTTACGGAAGTGAGGAAACCACTTAAATGATTCTTCCCCAAACAATAATTACCTGCTTTACTGAATTCTCCTACAGACTCATTGTACACTAAAGCAGCTGCCAGCTTCTATCTTTGAAAATAGGATGAAAAAGGCCGGGCGTGGTGGCTCATGCCTGTAATCCCAGCACTTTGGGAGGCTGAGGCATGTGAATCACTTGAGGTCAGGAGTTCAAGACCAGCCTGGCCAACATGTTGAAACCCCATCTCTACTAAAAATACAAAAATTAGCCAGGCATGATGCACAACTGTAATCCCAGTTACTTGTGAGGCTGAGGCACAAGAATTGCTTGAACCCAGGAGGTGGAGGTTGCAGTGAGCCGAGATTGCGCTACTGCATTCCAGCCTGGGTAACACAACAAGACTGTCTCCAAAAAAGAAAGAAAAGAAAAAGAAAAAGAAAGAAAGAAAATAGGATGAAAAAATGTAAATTCTCGAATTGCAAGCTGGGTGTTAGTTTGGTAGGGTATCCATAACAGATACTGTGATGCTTTGTTGGTTTACTTGTCACTTGTAACCTGTACATTAGCATCTTATGCTCTGTACATTAAATGCAAAGCTAAATTCACCTATGATTTTGCATTTAATTAGTAAAAATAGCAGCATATTTAAATATGTAAATATATGTATTGCATACACACACACACACACACACATTCATATATATCCCAGTGCCAAAATCTGGAATGTAGTTTGCCCTTCCACTGCAAAGCTGCCTGAAAACCATGATCTTAACCTTATTTGATAGAATATATTTGAGGAATAGGAAAAAGATACTTGCACTGAAGAGTCAATGTCATGATACACTTGTCTGAGTTCCATAATGTTAAGGAAACATCAGTCATATTTTAATAGAAAGTAGGGAGCTATGGTAGAATCCCACCATAAGTGGAGTCCAGAAAGACTTACTATAGATGGTGTCACCTGTGGGCTTGCATTACTGTGAGGCTAATAAAATCTTGCCTGCTGGCTGGGAGTTACCACAGGGAATTCTTAGTATGATCCAAACCCATCCAAGTCCCTGATGCATTTGGGAACCACCTAGTGGGAGTTATCCCCCTGCTGCCCAGCCTAAATATCAGTGTAGAGGCTTCTGGGTCCTGTGCATGGTTGGGACTTCCAACGACAAGCAGAGTAACTCCAGGAACCTCCTGCTCTGTTGAAAGCTGTTTTGCCAACCCAATCTGAAAGGCTGGACCAATGGGAATACTGCAGACCTCTGCCCTGGCACCCTGCTTCCCAGTTGGGATCACCTGCTGCCTTCCTGTCAACCTTCATGCTCCCTTTATTGCCCCACCCCACCTCCCAGAACATAAGAACATCAACACACCTGCATTTAAGGATGGCACCTGGTCAGAAGATAGGAGCTAATTGCATTATACCCAAATTTTCATTATCCTAGGGTGTGTCATCATGGCATTTTACTCTAGTGTAGCCTCACATGTTCATCTCCCCCCACCCCATCCTAAGCTCTCACCTAACAGCAGAGGCTAAATATATATATTTAAATCATTGTAGAGCTTCTTTTATTCCATATTCTAGGATAAGTAATATATATGATCCGACAATAAGCCAATATTAGCAAGGCCAAGGATGTGTAAGTCAAGTGTTTTGGTCACATGAATAATAATACCCATCTTCTGATGCTGGTACAAACACTTAGCTTTAAAGAGGAATGCATGGCCCTCTGCTCTTCAAAATCTCCTGAAATCACACAACATTAGATGGATGGTTTCTTAGAAGCCAAAGACAATGATCAGAAAAACCTTTCAAAAAGGAAATTTTTGAGCTGTGGCTGGCAGTAAGGGGTTTTGTCTGGAGAGAGACTGCATTACATTATCACAATAATAATTAGTCACGAAAATGTCATCTCTGTGCCAGTAGTGAGACTAAAATGTCTGGATGTCAATATAAATAGACATCAGGATACCATACAAGGGGTTGAAAATATCATTGAGATTGTGGGTGTTTTGTTGGCAAAATAAAGACGTTGAGCAAGCACATATGTTATTCCAGTAAGCCACAGACTGAAAGAAATCAAAGCTTGAGTGCAGAAGTGCGTGTTTTCTCTTGAGCGAGGAGGCAAAACACGAGGATGCTTTCGAAGCCTGCAGACAAAGCATTTGTTAGTTGGGAACACCTGATACATATCACTACAGGTGCGGCCACAAATTTTTCTCCAGGGACTGGGGTGTGGGAAGGAAAATATGTGTTCTAGGGTGGGGAGGAAGCAAATGGAATTGATGCTTATCACACACAGCCTCTTCAATTAAAGAGACATTACCGTTCATCCCAAGAGTAAGCTTTTCAAACTAAGGTAACTTACGAAACAAGAGATGGTTGCAAATAGCTTATGACTTTCTGAATTTTTTAAAAGAAATTTTAAGTGAAGATATTTCCAAAAAGAATATCTAAATGATATTTATCCTTTTTCGTGACTCTGAACCATATGCTAGGCCTTGAGATCCAGATATGGGAACCTGGGAGCTTCACTTCCTTGTCGGAGCTGAGAGGGTTCTATGTGTGACTTCTGTGGATCAGCTGATGTTTGTGGGGGAAGGCTTGGAACCTCTTTTCTGTAGCTCTTTCACCTAGCGTTGTTTGGAAAAAGACATATGTGACAGTCAACAATCCAGCTGCACCATCATCCGCTTTATGGCTTCCACTTCTGGATTGCCCAAGCACATCAGAGGAAGACAGTGAGGCAGATTGACAGTGATATGGCCTGTTTCTCAGGAATGTGTAGCTATTACCCCACTCTGCTTCCTCTAAAAAGAAAAAAAAAAAAGGCCACTCTTTTATAAACAATTACACTTATTACCTGAAAATATTTAAGCAATTCTCACAAATATACAATTTGAACCATCACTTCAAAGTAATTATTGGCAAAGTCTACCAATGAATGACCTTCCCAAAAGAAACATGACAGAATTTACTAATTCTGGAGCCTGAAGCCAACCAAGGGCTTTCTCCAGAGTGCCCCAAGACAACTGGAAAATCAAAATAAGCCCAAGTCAATCAAATCAAAATTTGATTGAGTTACTATAACCAAATCTTAACACCCAAACTGCCTATGAATATGTAGTCTAATTGACATAACCATATTCCAATTTACAAGCCCTTTAAACACCCCATTCAATTCAGTGAACTTTGAGTGGCTCCACTAGGCCAGGTACTTTGTTTGGTGAACTTGTCAGTATTAAAATAGTCTGTAATTTATTTTAAAATATTATTTGATTAAATTACAGTGGCTTAATCATAAATCAGTTCAGGGATGTTCAGACCACATACCAGAGGGAGCAACTACAGTTTTATTCAGTTTTCTGTACCTCAAAATCAACACCCTACAACCTGCTGATTAGCATACTGAATGCCAGAAGCAAATCTCTTGGGTTTAATGGTGTTGATTGCTATGATGAATATGGAATGTTAGCTATTCGACATCATGGGTGAAATTAAAAGTATTCATGATGCATGAAGAGGAGAGTGGTTACAAATATGTTAGAGACTCTCTTCAAGCTTGCATGAATAGGGTATAAAAAGTAAACAAAGGGCCAGATGCAGTGGCTCACGCCTGTAATCCCAGCACTTTGGGAGGCCGAGGTAGGTAGATTACTTGAGGTCAGCAGGTAGAGACCAGCGTGGCCAACATGGTGAAACTCGTCTCTACTAAAATACAAAAATTAGTCGGGTATGGTGGCGGATATCTGTAATCCCACCTACTCAGGAGCCTGACGCAGGAGAATCACTTGAACCTGGGAGAAGGAGGTTGCAGTGAGCCAAGGTTGCACCACGGTACTTTCCAGCCTGGCAACAGAGCAAGACTCCATCTCAAAAAAAAAGCAAACTAAGACTTAGCCTTTACCCTGTAGGTGGAGCCCAGGATTTGCCCCCTACACAGTCTTGTGTCTAGCTATTGGTTATGATGACTTCTGATGGCCTGATCTATAACACAGGGGTAAAAGATCCTGACTGTGTCAGCCTCTAAGCAGGCATGGGAGTTTTCAGAGAATCTAAGATGATAGACAGCTGAGCCTTCATTAAATGTACAGAACTGCATAAATAGTTTTGGACCTGCTTGCTCATCAATGTTTGACGAATAAATATCTGTATATGGGGCAGAATTTGGTTTGAAACTTGCATTACTTATCAACTTGTAGCAAGGCTGAGGAATAACTAAGTAACCCTTACCCACCTCAACTTCTTCGATGGCTACTATTATCTTCTGGAAATAACCTAAGAATTGTGTATGACCAAATTGCCTTAGATCAGTAGACCCTACTTTCAAAGAATTCACCAAGGACTTCCTTTTTTTTTTTTCACCCAGGCTGGAATGCAGTGGCACGATCTTGGCTCACTGCAACCTCCACCTCTCGGGTTCAAACAATTCTCATGCTGAGCTCAGCCTCCCGAGTAGCTGGGATTACAGGCACAGACCACCATGCCTGGCTAACTTCTGTATTTTTAGTAGAGACAGGGTTTCACCATGTAGGTCAGGGTGATCTCAAACACCTGATCTCAAGTGATCTGCCTGCCTTGGCCTCCCAAAGTACTGGGATTACAGGTGCAAACCACTGTGCCCAGCCATGCAAGTCAAATTACTGCTCAATTAGTTCAAGGCTTGGGAGTCCAGAGGCTACCAAGTTCTCAGAGACTGACCAATCAATGGCTATGCTCCAGACCCTTTGGACTATAAATAAATAAATATATATATACACACATTTATGTATTACTCCATTTTCACACTGCTATAAAGAACTACCTGAGACTGGGTAATTTATAAAGAAAAGAGGTTTAATTGACTCACAGTCCTGTATGGTTGGGGAGGCCTCAGGAAATTTAAAATCATGGTGGAAGGCAAAGGGGAAGCAAGACACATCTTACATGGCAGCAGGAAAGAGAGGGGGGCAGGGGGAACCACCACACACATTTAAACCATCAGTTCTCATGCGGACTCACTCACTATCATGAGAACAGCATGGGGGAAACTGCCCCCACGATCCAATAACCTCCCTTTGACATGTGGGGATTACAATTTAAGATGAGATTTGGGTGGGGACACAGAACCAAACCCTATCAATTTATATGGTTAATCTTAGTAAAATAACCTTAAATGTGTATATATATATATATATATATATATTTATATATATATATATATTTATATATTTATATATATATATATTTATATATATATATACTGTAGTAAATAACCTAATGTATATCAATTACTTAGCTTTCCTTTTGCATCAGAAACATACATCTTGGAAAATTCCATATATTTCCACATTCCATAAGAAATAGCTAACTCTTCTTTTAAAAGTTCCTGGGAGGCCAAGCACAGTGGCTCACGCCTGTAATCTGAGCACTTTGGGAGGCCTAGGCGGGTGAATCACCTGAGGTAAGGAGTTTGAGACCAGCCTGACAAATATGGAGAAACCCCATCTCTACTAAAAATACAAAATTGTCTAGGCGTGGTGGCACATGCCTGTAATGCCAGCTACTCAGGAGGCTGAGGCAGGAGAATTGTTTCAACCCTGGAGGTGGAGGTTGCAGAAAGCCAAGATCGCACCATTGCACTCAAGCCTGGGCAACAGGAGCGAAACTCCAGCTCAAAAAAAAAAAAAAAAAGTTCTTGGGGAGAGCAATCTTTCACTCTGTGGTGGGTTCAATGTTCAATGTACTAGAAGGGATTTCTTGATGTCTACCCTAAATTTTGCTATTGACAGGTAAATAATTCTGAATGGCATGGATAAAGGTAAAATGTCTTGTATCTCAGAGTTTAACTGTGGGTTTCTCTCTCCTCAGTTCTTGATTTTCAGTCATTTTGTTCGTTTTGTTTTCTTGTTTTTCCAACTTTAGAGTTGGGTTACTCACTGTATTCCCATAATAGGGACTATCCTGGCAGTTGTCCTTTGGAATAAATTGCCTGTCACTATAACAGTTAACAAGGAAATATAAGCCAAAATGTAAGTCTTTTTATTACACTAAAAATGCATCGTTAATTACACAAGTATGAGTAGCCGCCCTTTGGCTGACTTGCCTCCAGGCTTAGGCTGGGGAGGCATCCTGGTCCTGCCATGGGCTGTAATTTACAGAACCGTAAACTTCACTTCCCTCTACTTCCTCCTCCTTTACCCATCCCAGAAGCCACCACAGTTTGTAAATATAGAGCTGTCCTTTTTGGTCATAGTTCACGGCTAGTTATAGCAATATTCTCTGGATACTCAGCCTGACTTTGATGATTTTTTTAAAGGTACCAGTTAAGAATCCCATAAGTTAAGAATACATTTCTCCACAAGTTCAAAGTAAAATTCTCCTGTTTCCATTCCTGTAAGTGCTAAAATAAAGTTAAGAAGTCCCCTTTTTCCCCATTTCTACAAATCTGTATTTTGCTTCAAATTGCTTTTCTCCCTAATGTTTGAAATCAGTAGCCAATGTTCATTTATCATACATTTTTCTGAACACGGTTTCTATGGTGGATATTGCACTGAAGTAAACTAAAAACAGATTGAGACACATATGTATACTCCCTGGAGGAGCTCACAAGACTAACAGAGGAGGAAACCTAGTATGCAAATAATCATGCCCTGGTGCCTCATTGCAATGAGCGATTATGGCATAATAATCTCTCTGAGCTTCAGTCTCCTCATTCATAAAATGGAGCTAATAATTGTTCTTCTTTCATAGTGGACAGAAAACAATTATCACAGTATCTGGCAGATAGTAAGCTCTCAATAAATGTTAGCTATTTTTTATTACTCATTTTTCAAGGTCCAATTCATATGTGAAGGTCCTTATAGTCCAGTCCTGCCTAACTCTCCAACTTTACTTTTTTTAATTAAAAATAATATGAATATGCATATAGAACACATACAACAGTATTGTATTTTTTAAATTATTTTAAATTATTTCTTAATTACAAATACTACTGTCTTCCAAGTGGTGTGAGCTCCAGGAATGATCCAGTAGCATGGTGTGTGAGCATACAAATTGCTGAAGCTGAGAAGTAACTACTCTACGTAAGAAAAGGGCTGGATGCTTAGTTAAATGTGGTGGATAAAGAGTTCATTTTTCTCTCAAATCTCTGCTAAAATGGTAAGTGGATTTTAAAGTTACCGAAACTCAAGAACAAGTGCAAATAAAACATTTCAAAGAGAAATAGTGTGAGTTAAAAAAAAGTTCAGAAGATATAAAGTAGATCAGAATGGTAACTGACTTAACTACAGTCTAAAATGCCTTGAAAATAGGTACCTGATTCAAAGCAAGCCAGAACTCCCAGAGGCTCAAAGGACTTGGAGGTATTTGGTATCACAGAGGGCAAAGAAGAGGAACAGGGCTGAAAAAGAGCGATATGGGTTGAGTGTTTGAAAATGAAGCAGTTGGATTCCTATGCAGACAGGACATCAGCTCCTAGAATTCCCATCTGCGGAAAGAACAGGGAAAAGGACCCAGTGCAGGGTTACTCCAGCTGCAACGTATGTCAATACAAATTAAATCCTTGGGAACCAGAGAAGTGATCATTTGGTGGGTCTACAAATCCTGGGGATCTCCTGTAGGCCAAACTTTGGCCAGAACTCCATTTATGACCTGACCTCCTCCCATGTGTTCTCTCTTTGACAGTGGGGCCATGATGATGATTTGGGTCTCTGAGTCTCTGGATACAAATGTGAACTTGGACTCTATGTCCAACAAGACTTCCCAATGCTGGCAATTCCCTTTTACCCAATATAAATGGTTGCAGGTCTCTTTATGGAAAAACTGCGGTAAACATGACTTGGCATGGTGGGTTGTGTGTGTGTTCATGGGTATAAAAGGGCTAGGTAGGAACTCCAGAAAAACTAATAGATTGTGAAAGAAAATATATAATCATACTGGATTTCTTGGACCCATAGAAAACAGTATTAACTCACAACATGTAAAACACAAAGTTATTATTTTAGCCAAAGAAAGTGATGTAACTGCAATGGTAGGGTGTTGGTGAAAGGAGAATAAGTAGGGCCAGAGTGTTGTCTATGTGCCGGCACTTCAGCTGCCCCTTCAGCGGTCCCTTTCAACACCCAGTCAGTACTCTAATGTGCTGGCTTGGAATAAGGAGGGGAAGCCGCTTGTGTACACGCATAAAGTTTCAGAATAGCCTTGGGAGTCAAAATCTATAAAGGCATTCCCTCAAATGTCCTCATCTCATGTGTGAGGAGTTCAGGTTTTCTCAAAAAGAGTCATGACTATGGTGGTTGAGCTTCCAACCGTCTTTGAAGTTTAGCCAGTCTGAATATCAAATCCAGGGCTTGATCAGCTTTTCCTGTGAACACATTGCATACCATGAGGGCTTCTTTGAAAGCTACCAAGAGCCCCTCTGGCTTTTGTAGTTTTCAATTAATTAACTGCCCTCAGCTTTTCATTGTTAATCTGCAGAGTTTCAATGCAATTTAGAAATAACCACCCAATTTTACTCATTTTTCTTATCCCCCTACACATTTCAATGACCCAAATCATCTCCTTGATGAGTACATGTCTCTCTACCTGCACATCCCAGCTCACTACCTATGAAAGGTTTATCAAGTGGACTGCCAATCATTCCAGGGGCTTTCTGTACACCAATTACCACCAGGAATTGGTTCCTCGTTACTAGCCAAGGAATCAGTAAACTGGCTCCTCTATCCCACCTTACTGCGTTCTTGGACAATTTCAGGCACCAGCAGTCACAGTATGCACTCTCCAGAAAATGGATGTGAGCTTGATTGAGGAGTGAAAAAGTTGATGTGGAAGAACACTTGTAGAAGAAAAGGGATGGAAGCAGGATGGGGCAGGGTGGGCATCAGACCACAATACAGACGTGACAAATCTCTACCAGCCCAATGGGAGCTCTGGATCAAAGACTACCTGTGAGAGGAATCCTGATTGGGTGGAAATGGCCAGACTCTTTTACCACCTTCTTACGTGGTCATAAGCTAGGGGTTATCTGAGAAGAGTATGCACTCAACTACCCTGCTTTGCTCAGTGATCAACTGGAGTATCCTGAGCTTATATTCTGGTGAGGGAAAACAGACACGTAAGCATATGGTTTCTGTTCAATATGGTATGTACATTAGACAGGGTCAACTCAGCATAGCTAAGTGGTGGACTGAATGGGCAGGATAGAGTGGGAGCAAAGACATGCTTCCAAAGGACTCTCACTTGCACTGAATACCGATCCCTAGGGTCATGATCTTCTTCTCATCCTCCTTAGTTAGCATGTCAATTTGAAAGATTGAAATAAGACTATACTGTGTATAATATGTGTATTCACAAAGGGTCAATTTATCATTTTATTCCTAAATGAAAATAACTAAAATGATGCTTGGCATCTTCTAACCACAAATGATGAAATATTTAGCCAAAGTGGAAACTAATTTGATTTTTCATGGAGTTATAAAAGAAAGCCAGGAAAATGTCTTAGTGTAGAATGTTTTATGCCTACTCAATTTTAAAGGTTTAGGAGATTTTCTAACAATCATCAAAAAATATCTATCAAGTGACTATGCTTAGCCTGGTCCTTGCAACAGAAAGATATTTTGCTGTGGGATGTCTTTTGAGTTTGGGATAGTCAATAAATCATTCTAACTTCTAGATAAACCATCACCTAGAAAAACTCTTGATCTGTTTCTTCACAGTGCAACTGCTCAAGTTGTTATAAATTTACTTGATCTTTTTTCCTTCACTGGAATATTTAAATTACAGAAGTAGAACATACTTGAGTTTTTTTTTAAAAAAAAGAGAATGATAACAAAAATAGTTACCTATCATCTCTCCTTTATAGGAAGAATACCAGTTTTGTTATTTCCCATCTGCTTTTCTGGATATCTTACTTTCAATCTCGGCAACCTTACATGTGTGAAAGAATTACCAGGCTTAAGCATTCAAATCTATTAACTTAATAGATTGCAATTCCCTACAATAAATTGTTTTATCACTGGATAATTGCAATATAGCATACCATGAAGGAGATAAGCTCAGTTATCTGCCTAGTTTTAATTAGCAACTATCAAGATACATTTGAATTGAATTATTAAATCATCTTGAAGAATTCCTCATAGAATTTGTTGTGACAAAATTATTGTCATCTTTGTTCCTCTTGATTTATCGCACAGAATATATATATTCTATAAAAATATCTTTGCCTGTAAATATGTTTCTTAGATAATATAAACAGTTCTATCAAGTCATAACGGGTATATAATGGATTCCAGGCTCTGAAAATATCTCAAATATTTGACACTTTTATGAAATCACTAAAAATAAATCCACAAATGAAAATTTAAATCTTTCTATGGTGCCAATATTCTTTCTCAGTCATAAGCCAGGGTACCTTGGCTAGTTGCTTCCCAGAACTTCAGAGACATGGTACTCAGAGAAAAGGTCTCTAAGAGTCCTTAGCCAGGGTAATGGACACCATCAATTATTTTCTTAATCATATTATTTAACAATAGGAATTCCTTGGCCTTGAATATTCTACTTGACTTTAATGATGTGGCCTCTGTCAAATGTTGTGCAAGAAAACTACTGAGGTTCCACAGGGCCACATGTCCATCTGGGTTTGATTTAGTTAAGCCATCAAGTACTTGTGTGTAATACTTCAGACACATGGTTTTGCTTCTCTACTTTTCAAGTAAGTTCTATTTACTTAGGCAGATGTTGCAAATTAGCTCTTAAAATACTGCAAATGAAGTAGGGAAATTCTTTATGGTAGATCTAACTCTAATGTGAATTTCATTACTAACTCACAAAGACAGACCAATCCCAGAATTCTATGCAAGTCTTCAAGAAAGTATTTTTTAAAGAAATTTGAAGATGTTTCCCTCCCCCAACACTTCCTTGTCCCTCGATACGTGTTGTTGTCTATGCACCTCATGGGCATCTTAGAAATCTGGAAGACACTGAGCTCAGATTCACTCTTGGCCATAGAAAATGTGAGTACCTTAAACTATTCCCCAGTTTCTTCAGTTGCTCCATTCAACCAAAACTGAAAGAAGTACTCTACTAAAGCATCCAGTTAAACTTCAGGTTGTAAGAATTTCATTAATTAGGCATGTGAGTCAGTCAATTCATTAAAGTCACCATAAGACAACATTAATTTATGTAATAGCACATAAACTATCCAGTTAAGACATTTTAAAATGCTGCTTTGAGACTATACATTATGAATAGAAAATATGTTTAATCATTATTCAAAGAATATCTAGGTTTTGTTTTCTTTTTAACTGGTCCCATCCAAAAGGAATGATATATGAAAATTTTAAAAATTAGAATAGAGCATGTCTCAGTAAGCTTATCTATTCACATTTTCAACTACCTTCTCTTTGCTAATGACTCCTAAAACTATGCCTCCAGCACTCATTTTTCTCAAATAGTCCGGCTCCATATTTTCAACCAACTGCACTATGAATCTGTCTGGATATAATTAGAACCCATCATAATTACTTCAAAACGAATCACATTGTCAGTTACACCATGTTGGGGAAGGCCGGACACCTGAGTCTTCTAAACTCAAAGTGTTCTCTGAGTGCCAGCCGCATTGGCATTACCCAAGAGTGTGTTAGAAATACTGAGTCTCAGGCCCTACCCAAGACCTACTGAGTCATCATCTACATTTTAACAAGATCCTCAGGTAATCTGTATAGACATTATTAAAGTTTGAGATGCACTGACATAGATAAAGCACATCGATTTCAGGGTCTGACAATTTTGAGTTTGTTTTCTAGTTCTGTGATTTATCATCTGTGAGGCTATGAGCAAATTATTTAGCTTCTCTGAATCTCAATTTCCTCATCTGTAAAAATAAGGATAATGATATTTCAAAAGGTTGTTGCAAACATAACCAAGAAAATTGGGATTTTTAACTGTGTGAGAGAGAAATAAATCAGTTACATCAACTATTAGGTTGAACCATATGAAATGGCTGCCTCAGTAGGTGAAAAAAAAAAGTTCAAATGTTGACAGTTTCCTAGGGCTCATCCTTTTGTAGCAGAATAAGCTCTTAATACATTACTGGTAATAAGTATCAGCATTAACTTTCTATGGCTGCCATCACAAACTACCACAAATTTAGTGGCTTAAAACAATGGAATACTGTCCTCTCACAGTTCTGGAGGTCAGAAGTCCAATATCAAGGTGTTAGCAGGGTTGGTTTTCTCTAGAGGTTCTGAGGGAGAATTGGTTCTGTCCCTCTTTCTTTGCCTCTGGTGTGCTGGCAGCCCCTGGCATTCCTTGGCTTGCAGGTGCATCACTCCAACCTCTGCCTCCATCTCTGCCTGGCTTTCTCTGTGTCTCTGTGTGTCTTTCCCTTAGTGTGGGACACATGTCATTAGTTTTGGGGCCCACCCTAAATCCAGTATGACCTCATCTTGGAATCCTATTTCTAAATAAGGTCACATTCTGAAATTCTGCATGAACATACATTTTAAGGGGACATTTCTCAACCCACTACAGTACCCTTCCTCCCTCCCTTTCAGTAATACTGGTAATACCAATCTTAAAAACTCAGAGTTATTATTGATGCTTCAGTCTCTCTCTTTTTTTTCAGACAGAGTCTTGCACTGTAGCTCAGGCTGGAATGCAGTGGCATGATCTCGGCTCACTGCAACCTCCACCTCTGGGGTTCAAATGATTCTCCTGCCTCAGCCTCCCAAGTAGCTGGGATTACAGGTGTGCATCAACACACCCAGGTAATTTTTTGTATATTTAGTAAAAATGGGCTTTCACCATGTTGGTCAGGCTGGTCTCGAACTCCTAACCTCAAGTGATCCACCTGCCTTGACCTCCCAAAATGCTGGGATTACAGGTGTGAGCCACCACACTCAGCCTCATATTTCTTATATTCAGTTGTGCCCAAGTCTAGTGGTTTCCTTCTTCAAAACATTTCTCAGCTTTTAGCAATGTGAGACAAAGTTTATGTTATAAAGTTCAACAAAAAATAGAGCAGGTCATAACAGACCCACAGCTTAAGAAGGCTCCACCATTGGGTGAAAAAGCTGTGAGGGCTCAGGGCTTGATAAGCTTCTAGCATTTTTTTTAGGAAAATACACCCTTCCTCTGGGCTAGTGTAACCCTGCTTTCAGTACTCATGCACTTTCTCTGCAGAGTTCTTTGTATTGTGAATTACCCTATAAAATATGTAACACATCTGAGTTATAAAATGGATTATATTAACCTAATAGTATTAACATTAAAATATATACTGAAAATTAATGGAAATGCATCAAAATGGTAGTAGTGGTTGTCCCTGAAGAGGTGAGATTAAGGGCAGAGTCAAGCTCTGTCCTCCCCACCCTCACTTTCTAGAATGAATGTATATTAATTTATTACAGGAAAAATAACCTAAACCCTCCTTCAATATCTTAGAGAAAAAAAATTATAAAAAAAGAGTGAATAAATTATCTATCAAATGGAGTTGTCATTTGGCTGAATTTTAAAAAATGAAATTTAAGCCAAAACTCTAGAAGATACTTTTAAAAATTAGAAGAAAATATAGGAAAAGAGTTCATTGGTATCTGGATTTTCTCAGTATTGAAGCAATAGAAGTGTTTTAGTTATTTGTTGCTTTTTAACAAACCATCTCAAAACAATCTGTCATTTATTATCTTTCATGAGTCTCTGAGTTGACTGGCATCAGGTGAGTAGTTCTTCTGTTCCACAGGGTGTTGAATAGGGCTGCAGAAATCTGGAGGCTTGACAGCGTCAGGAGGTCTAAGATGTCTCTTTCATATGGCTTGCAGTTGGTGATGGCAGTCGCCTGAAAGGTCAACTGGGTCTGTCAACTGGAGTGCCTCAGTTCACCTCTATGGGCTTCTCCATGGGGCTGGAAGGTGAGAATTGCAGATCTCTTAAGGTGAAACTTGGAAAGTTATGTAATATCATTTCCTATATTCTATATGCCAAAATAAGTCAGCCCAGATTCAAGAGGAGGGAAAAGAGAAATAACTCTCAGTGGGAAGAGTGACATCTTTAATCCACCACTAACAGCAATAAGAAAGGAAAAGATTAATTCCTACAATTATAGGAAAAAATTCCAATTGTCAAATGCTTTATGAAACAATAATAAATGAGGGACAACATTAGAAAAATCTGCAATAAATATGACTAATAAAAGCTTATTGTAAAACTCTCAGGTATAGAGATTTGAGTTATATTCCTCAGTTCATAGCACATTATTTTTTTAATCTATTAATGGCCTCTTTCTCTTATTTTACTTATTTTCTTCCCCTTCATTTCAATTCTCACTTCTGTTTCTCTCCTTAGCATAGGCAAACGCTAAAGCTCCTCTGTTGCATAATTCCAGGAATTGTGCTGTATGTAGTAATCTTGCTACCCATTCTGATACATAATATCTACTCATATACCTTAAAATATGTGAGCAATCTTTTAATATATGTAGTGCTATTTTGTGCATTGTTTTAAATATTTATAAATGATGTTTAACTTTAAATCTCATGCCTTGGGATTTCCAGTCCCCAGACCCTCATTTAAGAAGCGTGGAAGTGGTCACTCCATTCTGAAAACAAATAAAAAGCTAAACAGATGGAAAAATTAACTTTTCTTTGATGCAAAACAGAAGTGAGTTCAAAGGGAAATTGTAGAAACCAACAGAATACAGAGAATCACAATTTATCAGAGCAAAAACCTATGAGCAGCAATCTTCAGGGAACAAGTGCCAGGGAAGGGAAACCTGAACTGTAACTGATGAATTGCTGGAGGCAAAGTGCAGATAGCTGTGAGAGACAAAAACTCCAAGGGGGCCCAGTCATGAGAGGAAGACACCACACTCATGATTTTTACTTCCTGGAGTTCTACCAGGTTCTCACAGTGAATATTAAAGAAAAAAATCCCCGTGTACTTCCAACAGAGGGAAAGGAAAAGAAATCATTTGAAATATGCCAGAGCATTCTGTTCTGCTCTCAGGAGAAACTGTTTATCCAGAACCTAACCTGCTGGTATTTTATCAGAGCCTAACTATTCAGGGAGAAGAGAAATACCTAACTCCAGCTTCCTCTAGCCATCCTGTTCCACCTAATGGATTGGGGATGGGAAGACAAACTGAAAAGCATGTGTGAAGTTCACAGTCCAGAGGCATAGGCTTACTAAAAGACCAAAACCTAATCATAGGACTACAGAATTATTCCTCGCCCCAACCCTTCACCACCACATTGCTAAAAGTACAAGACATACTGAAAGCCAAAAAACACAGTTAGAAGAGACATAAAAAGCATCAAAACTAGACTCAAATATGACAGTGATGTTGGAATTATCTGACCAGGAATTTGAAACAATTATGATTAATAAGCTAAGGTCTCTAATGGATAACATAGATAACATGCAGAAACAGATGGGCAATGTAAGGAGAAAGACGGAAGTGCCAAGAAAAAAAACAAAAAGAGAAATGCTAAAGATCAAAAACACTGCAACAGAAATAAAGCATGCCTTCGATTGGCTTATTAATAAGCAAGATATAGCTCAGGAAATAATCTTTGAGCTTGAGGATATCTCAATAGAATCCCTCTGAACTGAAAAGCAGAGAAAAAAATGAGTGAAAAAAACTGCAGAATATATAAGAACTGTGGAACAACTACAAAAGGAATAACTTACATGTAATAAGAATACCAGAAAAAGAAGAAAGAAAGGAACAGAAGAAATATTTGAAACAATGATTAAGAATTTCCCCAAATTAATGTTAAACACCAAACTACAGATCCAGGAATCTCCGAGGACACCAAACATGGTAAGCATCAGAAAAACTACACCTAGGCATATCATTTTCAAACTACAGAATATCAAAGATAAAGAAAAAATCACGAAAGAAAAAATCATGAAAGAAACCAGAGGAAAAAACACTAAACCTACAGAGGAGCAAAGATAAGAATTACATCTGACCTCTTCACAAAAACCATGCAAGCAAGAAGATGGTAGAGTGAAATATAAAAAGTTTTGAGAGAAAAAACCACAACCTAGCATTCCGAACGTTGCAAAATTATCCTTCAAAGGTGAAGAAGAAATAAAGACTTTCTCAGACAAACAAAAATGGAGAGAATTGTTGCCCATAGATCTGCCTTGCAAGACATGATAAAGAAGTTCTTCAGAAAGAAGGAAAATAATATACATCAGGAACTTGGATCTACATAAAGGAGAGCTTCTGAGAAACAATAGTGAAAGTAAAATTCTTATTCTAAATTCATCTAACAGATAAAAGTGTTCAAAATAATAGCAATGATATATTCAATTATATATTATATATAGTTATATATATTGTTGAATACCTGTATATTCAATTACACATTATGTATATAATTATGTATAAATGAAATGAATGACAGCAACAATACAAAATATGGGAGGGAGGAATTAAGATTATTTTGTTATAATAAGGTACTTGGACTACCCCTGAAGTGGTATAGTGTTATTTGAAAGGAAACTTGAATTAATTCTAAATGTATGTTGCAAACTCTAGAGCAACCACTAAAAGTAGTAAAAAAATAAGTACAACTGATATGCTAAGAGAGGAGAGAAAATGGAATCACAAACTGCTCAGTTAAAATGCACATGCCTGTAGTCCCAGCTACTTAGGAGGCTGAAATGGGAGGATCCCTTGAGCCCAGGAGTTCAAGAACAGCCTGTGGAACATAGTGAGCCCCTTCTCTTAAAACAACAACAACATCAAAAACTGAAATAGAAATAAAAGCACAAAAGGCATACAAAGAGTGGAAAACAAAAATAGGAACAAAGGACAAGGGCAAAAAAAGAAAACAGTAAAAATATGGTAGATATTAATCTAACTATATCAATAATCACTTTGAACATCAATGGTCTGAATATGCCAGTTAAAAGACAGAGATCATCAGAGTAAATGAAAAAACAAGACCCAACTATATGTTGTCTGCAAGAAACCCACTTTCAATGTAAAGACACGTACAAATTAAAAGTAAATAGATGGGATTGGATAATCTCTTACATGTGTAAAAACAAATTTAAAACATTGAGTTATTGTATATCACTAGTTATAATAACTTATCAAAAGTCTACTACAAATTCTGATAAAGGGTAAAGTTTTTTAAATAAGTGGATGACAAAAGATAAACGATGCTAACACTAATCAAAAGAAAGCAAGAGTGGCTATATTAATTTTGGACTAAGCAAACTTCAGAGAAGAAAAGTTAAAGATTACAGAGAGGCACTACATAATGACAAAGGGACCAGTTCTCAAAAATTTAATAACAATTCTTGATGCTTATGTACCTAACAACAGAGCATCAAAATACATGGAGCACAAATTAATAGAACTATAAGGAGAAATGGATGAATCCACTATTATGGTTGAACACTAAATCTTATGCCTTTTTCTAATTTTTTCTGTCAATGCTGTTTTTGATATTTATCCATTGCTGTAGTTTGATATGGGTTTTTCCCACCAAAACTCATGTTAAAATTTGATTACCAATTTGGCAGTGTTTGGAGGTGGGGCCCAGTGGGAGGTGTTTCGTTCATGGAGGCAGATTCCTCGTGAATGGCTTAGTGCCATTCTCACAGAGTGAGTGAGTTCTCGCTCTGGGTGAGACTAGATTAGTTCTCACAGGAATGGACTAGTTCCTGTCTAAGTAGGTTGTTATAAAATCAGGATGGCCCTTGGGTTTTCCCTTTTTGCACATATTAGCTTCCCCTCTGACCTTTCACCACGTTGTGATGCAGCACAAAGCCCTTACCAGATGCTGAGCAGATGCTGCTGCCATGCCCTTGGAACTTCCCAGCCAGCATAACTGTGAGCTAAATATACCTCTTTTCTTTGTAAATTACTCAGTCTCAAATACTCTGTTATAGCAACATGAAGTGATCTAAGACATCCATGTTTTTTATATGTACAATTGATCACTGAACAATACAGGGGTTAGGGACACTGACCCCCTCCATGCAGTTGAAATTTGTGTATAACTTGGACTCCCACAAAACTTAACTACTAATAGCCTGCTCTTAACCAGTAGATCTTACCAATAACACAAATAGTTGATTGACAAATAGCTTGTATTTTATATGCACTATATACTGTATTCTTACAACAAAGTAAGCTAGATAAAAGAAAATGTCATTAGAAAAATCATAAGGAAGAGAAAATGTATTTACTCTCCATTAAGTGGAAGTGGATCATCATAAAGATCTTTATTCTCATTGTCTTCACATTGAGTATGCTGATGTGAAGAAAAGGAAGAGGAGGGGTTGATCTTGCTATCTGGTAGGTGGCAGAGATGGAAGGGGTGGAGGAGGTGGAAGCGGAGGCAGGAGAGGCAGGCACACTTGGTGTAACTCTACAGAAATACATGATAATTCCTGTCTGACATTTTTTGCTTTTTCATTTTTCTAAAAATGTTTCTATAATACCAATCCTTCTTACACTGTTTGCTTTAGTTTCAGTGTCTATATTACAGAAAGATCCATGTTGCAAAAGAAGTCAAAAGCAGTTTTGAGTCATCAGAACCCTTCTGCCAGCTTGTCTAATGTCAATTTATTTCCTGGCACTGCTTCTACTACATCTTCTTCCTCATCGTCAGGCACTGGTTCTCTACATCAAATCATCTTCTGTTAATTCCTCTGATGTGGTGTGTGTTATCTCTTGAATTTCTTCACGATCCATATCTTGAAACCCTTCACACCACCCCCAACCTTTTTTTTTTTTTTGTCATATCCACAATCTCTTTCATGATTTTCTCAATTGGCTCCGTTGCAAATCCTGTGAAGTCATGCACAACACCTGGACACAGTTTTCTCTGGCAGGAATTTGTTGTTTTGGGCTTGATGGCTTTCACAGCTTTCCTATAGCAATGCTGGTATCTTTAATGATGTAGTCCTTCCAGACTTTCATGTTATTCTATCAGAGTTTTCTTTCATAGCGTTGGCAATCGTTTCCATACAGTACCTTGTGTAATAGGCCTTAAAGATCCTTATGACCCCTGGTCTAGAGGTTAAATTAGAGACGTTGTGTTTGGGGGCAAGTAGACTACTTCTTCACCTTCAGTGTTGAATTCATGGGGTGGCCAAGGACATTGTCCAATATCAAAAGAACTTTAAAAGGCAGTCCCCTACTGGCAAGGTACTTCCTGACTTCAGGGACAAAGCAACGATGGAACCAATCCAGAAAAAGGGTTCTCATTGTCTGGACCTTCTTGTTATACAACCAAAAGACTGGCAGCTGGTGTTTATTTTTTCCCTTCAAGGCTCAGGGGTTAGCAGCTTTTTATAGATAAGGCCAGTTCTGATTATAAACCTAACTGCATTTGCACACAACAGTAGAGGTAGCCTATCCCCTTCCTGCCTTAAATCCTGGTGCTCACTTCTCTTCCTTACTAATGCATGTCCTTTGTGGCATTTGTTTCTAGAATAGGGTACTTTTATCTTCATTAAAAATTTGTTCAGGCAGATATCCTTTCTCTTCAATGATTTTCTTAATGGCATCTGGGAACTTGTCTCCTGCCTCTTGGTTGGCACTTGTCTCCTGCCTCTTGCTTCTCCTGACATCTTTTTGTTTGTTTGTTTGTTTTGTTTTGTTTTGTTTTGTTTTGTTTTTGAGATGGAGTCTTGCTCTGTCGCCCAAGCTGGAGTGCAATGGCATGATCTTGGCTCACTGCAATCTTCACCTCCCAGGTTCAAGTGATTCTCCTGCCTCAGCCTCCTGAGTAGCTGGAATTACAGGTGCATGCCACCACACCTGGCTAATTTTTGTATTTTTAGTAGGGACAGGGTTTCACCATGTTGGGCAGGCTGTTCTCAAACTCCTGACCTCAGGTGATTCACCCACCTTGGCCTCCCAAAGTGCTGGGATTACAGGCATGAGCCACCACCCCCAACTGATATCTTGCCATTTTAAAATCCAAGACTCTTTCTAAAACTATCAAACCATCTTTTGCTGGCATTAAATTCTTCAGCTTATGTCCTGCACCTTCCTTTTTCCTTAAGTTGTCATATAATGACCTCTCTTTTTCTCAAACCATATTAGAGTCTATAGATATTCTTTTCATATAGCAATCCTTCACTCACATAAAAACTTCATTTTCAATATCAGATAAAAAGATATTTTTCAGAAAGTATAAGGTTTTTTTTGCACGTGCTGGTGTAGCTGCAGCAACCGCTTCACAAATTTTCTTTTTTTACACTGGTCCTTATGCTGGATTCATTTATCTTGAAATGGTGGGCAACTGCAGCGGCAGATCTCAATCTATGGTGTATATCAAGCGATTCAACTGTTTCTTGTAATGTCAGGACTTTTCTCTGCTTCTTGGGAGCACTTCAAGCATCATTAGGGGCATTTCATATACATCCCACAGTATTACTCAAGGTTTATGGTATTGCACTAAATATGATGAAAAATATGCAAGAACAACAAGAGATCACTTTTTATGGCGATATGTGATTTACTGGAGAACTGGACTGCTCACACAGAGATGATTAGCATCACACAGCATTTTAGATGGATATTTGCAACATTTGAGCTCACTGCAATAGCAAGAGGAGGTGGCTATGAAATTATTACAGTAGTACAGTATATACTACAGTTACTTTTATGCAGTTATGATTTATGCTGCATCTTTACATTTTTTAGATTTCTGTCAACTGCAAACAGCACCACATATGATCTGTGTTTGTGTCAGATTGTCTAATGTCAATTTAGGTATATTTTAACTTTGTATAATAAATTTGTGATATTTTATGTTAGTAAATGATAGAATAGACTACTATTTACATATATTTTATGCATTCATGACATGTATAGCTCTCTCTTAATTCTTTGGTATTACTAGGCTATGTGGTTCATCTATGAGTTTTTTTCAAATTGTTGCAAATCAAAATAATTTTCCACTGTATTTACTGAAAAAAATTCACATATACGTGAACCCTCACAGTTCAAACCTGTGTTGCTCAGGAGTCAACTGGTTTCTCCTGGCTGCATGGTATTTCATACTCTGCATCCACAATATTTTATGTATTATTCTCCTAGCAATGGACACCTACTTTGGCTGCAATCTCTTGCTACTGTAAACAATACTGGCATGAAAGCCTTTTATTTATTACCTCTCAGACTCTAGCCAACCCTTCTGAAGGCCAGGTTCCACAAACTGCACTTCCCAGACTTCCTTGTCAGCTCACTTCCAGTTATGTTCTTCCAGTAGAAGGTACTGGCAGAAGATCACAAGACATGAGGTGGGGAAAAGGGACTCTTCCTGCTAACAGCCTCTACTGGCATTCTTCCATCAGCAGTGGGGAGCTAGGGCTGCAGCCTAGAGCTTCTTTCAGTGTGCGTAGCACCAGCAGCATCACACCTGCTTGGAGATAATAGCAGATGAGCTGTGCCCCTCAGCAGTCTGAGCACCAGCTGTATACACTTTCAGTGGTTCATGTACCACCAGCCTTATGGCACCTTTCTCTAAGAGGTCTGGGCACCAACCCCAAAGGTTCCCTCCTCAAAGTCCCTATGTTGTGGTCATACCACCTCTTTCCTTTGGTTCCCCCAGTTGCAAAAGTGATAGCTGCTATCCACGGTTATTAATCCCTAAGTTACCCCAGTGTGCACTATGACCTCTTTTATCCTTCCAATACTTGTTTAATCAGCCCCCTGTGTTGAATACTTACTTTTGAAATACCTAGCATGACTTTTATTTTCTTGTCTGAAACCTGATTGATTCATCTCCTTGAATCTCTGTGCAATCATTTTAGGGAGAAAGGGGAATTATACTCAGAAGTGAGATCATCAGTTACAGGGAATATGCATGTGTAATTTTAAAAAATATTGCTAAAGTCCTTGCAAGCATGGCTGCCATGCTTAAACTCCCTCATTAGTGAATAAGAGGCCTCATACTCTCACATTCTCATCAATATTTTATATTTGATCCACTTTCCTAATTTTTGACATTTGGGCATAAAGTGGTGACATGGTTTGGCTCTGTGTGCCCACCCAAATCTTATCTCAAATTGTAATCTTCACATGTGGAGGAAGGAACCTGGTGGGAGGTGATTGGATCATAGAAGTGGCTTCCCTCATGCTGTTTTCATGATAGTAAGGGAGTTCTTGGGAGATTTGATGGTTTAAAAGTGTCAGTTTCCCCTGCATTCTCTCTCTCCTGAAGCCATGTAAGACATGCCTTGCTTTCTCTTCACCTTATGCCACAATTGTAAGTTTCCTGAGGCCTCTCTAGCCATGCAGAATTGTGAGTCAATTAAACCTCTTTTGTTTATAAATTACCCAGTCTCAGGCAGTATCTTTATAGCAATGTGAAACTGACTAATACAAATGGTATTTCATCTTGGTTTTAGTTTGCCTTTTTCCTCAATTATTAGCAAGTTTTACTTTATTTATTTTATTAATTAATTTTTTATTTTGAGACAGGGTCTCACTCTGTCACCCAGGCTGCAGTGCAGTGGTGTGATCTCGGCTCACTACAGCCTCAACTTGAAGCAGTCCTCCCACCTCAGCCTCCCAAGTAGCTGGGTCTACAGGTGTGCCACCACACCTGGCTAATATTTGTATTTTTTGTAGAGACAGGATTTTGGCATGTTGCCCAGGCTGATCTTGAACTCCTGAGCTCAAGTGATCCACCCACCTCAGCTTCCCAAAGTGCTGGGATTGCAGGTGTGTGTGAGCCACTGTGCCTGCCTGAAAGTTTTACTTTAAAAAGTTGTTCCTCATTCAGCCTTCACATTCTTGCCAATATATCTCCTTTGCTCATATTTTATTGTTTCCTATCTTTTTACTGCTAATTTATAAAAGTTTGCAATACAGTCTAGATATTAAACCCTTATTAATTTTAGACTTAACAAATATTTTATCTCATTTTAGTATATGTTAACTTCAACATGTGTACTTCCTCGAACAGAAATCCTGATTTATATATAGTCAAATCCAATGGATTTTTGCTGAATTGCTTTTGCTTTTTAAAACAGATTTAGTTGAATTTAATTTTTATGTTCTTTAACAGAGTTCAACATTTTTTTCTATAAAGTTCTTATGCATTCTTTATCAGACTGATTCCTAGTTTCTATGTATTAATAGTTTTTATAGCTATTCTAAATATTTTATTTTACATTATATTTTCTAGTTAGTTGTTTCTCCTAGAGAGGAATATATTTTATATTTGTGAATTTAAGTTTTGCTCTGTTTACTATTGCATGCCAAAACTTGCTGGCATTAAGACAGCCATCTTATTTTGCTCATGTATTGTGGGGGTCAGGAATTTAGATAGGAAACAGTGGGGAGAGTTTGTCTCTGCTTCGTGATGTCTGGGGCCTCAGCTGAGAAGACTTAGTGGCTGCAGGTGACTTGACAGCTGGGAGCTGGAATTCTCTGCAGGTGCCTTCACTCACATGCCTAGTAATTGATACCGACTGCTGAGTGGGACCTCAACTGATTTTTTAGGCAGAACACCTAGATGTGGACTGTTTGCCCTCTTCTCTTGGGTTAGTTTGAGCTTCCTCGCAATAATGATATCTGAGATCCTGGCATGCCAAGGGGAAGTTGCTAAGCTTTTTATGACCAAGTCTTGGATGTCATAATCAGGAATGTGCTGGTAAGAAAGACACCAGTATCACTAGGATGTTCAGTGATGACTCTCTTCTGCATGCCAGGGCTGGTGATACAGAAGGTGGTCACAGAGCTGGGTTCTTTAATAGCATGGCGAAGTACCAATAGCCATGCATTGGTACTTAATCACTGGGGGCCAGGTCAGAGGGGCAACCAAAGGCCTTTGACCAATAGGGAGTTGAGAGATGGTTAATTGAACGTTTGTCCCTAGGGGTAAAATAGGCAGCAACAAGGGTGCTGTTTAACATTTGTTGTAAGAACGAAGCAAGACCAGAGAAGCAGGAAGTTGAGAATGGTTGTCCAAATAAAAATTCAGGATCTTTTTTACAGTTCCTGTCCCTGAGCCAATTTTCAGATCCAGAACCCATTGACTAAAGAAGTGTCTGGGTCCCTAGAAAGAAAGACCTTGCAATACCATGGCAAGTGTATGTTGTAAAGATTTCCTTAGTGCCTCTACAAAGTAACCTACAGTCATATTCAAGGAGCTACATACACTGTGGAGATGGAAATAAACACAGGTCTGGTGGACACAGAGTCCGAGTTGACATTGATTCCCAGAGACCTGAAGTATCATCGTGGTCTACCTGTTATAATTGGAGCATATGGGGAGAGTTAACAAATGGAGTTCTGGCCAAAGCCTGACATATTTTCCTTGTCCCTGAATGTACTGGTGGTATTGACATACCTGGCAGTTGGAACCTGGGGCTCCACTGGGTCCCTGGCCTGTGGAGTAAAACTATCATAGTGGGGAAAGCCAAGTGGGAGCCTCGGAAATCTTCAAAGTAAGGAATTCTTGGGTAGAGGAATGAGATAAACATGTGGATTTGCATGTGAAGTATGTAAACCCAGTAGACAAAATGGGTTGGCCTGAGTTTATGTTAGCTAACCTTTGTCAATGTGTCCACTGCAATGCTGGCAGAATGCACACGCAAAGTGGCCGTGGCAGTTGAGACAGAGATTGCACATGAGCCCAATAGCAGAGACTGTTACTCATCAAGGCCCATCTAGCTATTAATACTTCCAATATCTAACCTGCCAACCACAGAGACAAATGTTAACCCCCTGACATGGCAGTGTTCCTCAAAAAGACCAACTGGCCACTTGGTCGCAAACTGACTTCACTGGGATTCTTCCATGTTGGAAATGCCAGCAGTTTCTTTTCATGGGAATAGATACTTACATTCCTGATATGGATTTGCCTTTCCCACCTACAGGAAAGCATCACTACCTGGGAATTTATGGAATGCCTATAGACATAGAATTCCACACAACATCCAACCAGAGAACCCACTTTAACTGTAATACAAGAGCAAGGTGGGCCCATGATTATGCAATTTATTAGTCATATTACACACTGCTTCTCCCACACTGCCCAGAAGCTGCTGGGGTTTTAAAGTGTTGAGCAACTTGCTGAAGGGGCAACTGATGCACTAGCTCACAAGAGGTGCCCTATGAGATGCAGCACCATCCTCCAGGAAGCAGAACAATCATTGAATCAGACCTCACTGTGGCACCGCATTTTCATCAGGAATCATCAGGTTCCCATGGGTCTGGGACCAAGGGATAGCAGTAGAATCGGCCCCACTTACTATCATTCCCAAAGATCTACTGGGGTACTCTGCAGATTCCTGCCTGGGCTCTCTGAAGGATGAGAAGCCCTCATTTCTAAAGGGGGCATGCACTCACCCAGGGAAATAGCAAGAGATTCCCTGAAATACAGGATACAGCTGCCCCTTGAACACTTTGGGATATTTATGTCCAGGGATCACCAAACAAGAAAAGAAGTCATCAGCTTGTCATAATTGACCCTAAAATGCATGAGAAAGAAGATTTCCTGGTATAAGAGACAAGCAGGAATATACGTAGCACTCAAGTGATCCAATTTGAGCATCTCTTGCCACTCTTTGCCCATATAAATGGAAACATGCAGCAGGCCTAGCCAGAGAAGTTTATGTTTAATGGGGAATTCTACTCCAGAAAAACTGCCAAGGCCAACATAGAGTGAAAAGAATTTAGAATGGATAGTGGAGGAGAAAAATGATGAGTTCCAGCTGTAGCATAGAGACCAACTGCAGAGACAGGGGCTCCATTTTGTCTCTGAACTATCCCTCAGGAAATTAGGCCCACCAGAGCCCTTGAGGAGCTAGCTATTTCCAAATATCTTGGAGAAAAGACTCGCTGACCAGAAGAAAGAAGGTGACTACCCGGCAGCCTCCAGTTGTCTACTTCTTCAGGATTCACCTCAGTGTTCAAGCCACGTTCAAATTCTTCTTGGAAAGACCCTGGTTCATGACTGAGCAAGGCAGTGGTAGCAGAGGTTAGACCCTTCTTTGGGTGGTGCCCAGCCAACAACGAGCGTGGCAGTGGCGTAAGGGCCTAGTCCTTTGTTTACCATGCAGTCCTCCTCCAATGGGCAGTCATTACTGTGGAACTTCTTGTTGGGCTGGCACAGACATTGTAAGGTCTTTATCATGTTCTGATGATTCCCTCTTCTCAGTATTGCTTCTTCAGCTTCTCTTTCACAGGACTTACTCTTCAGTAAAATATTTGCACTCTTAATTCCATCTCAGTTTCTGCCCTCCAGAGGATCTAACCTGAAATACATTTTATTCATTTTTGTAACCAGATTACTTAGCATAGTACCTGGAACATAATAGGTGCTCAATAAATATGTGATAACAGGACTCACTTTATTTACTGCAGTCTATGGCAAACTATATACCTAGTCATGGTCTAGTAACATGGCAGAGGCAAACAAATTTCCTTTCTTGTTTTTTACTTTTATCTTCTGATTCAAGAAACCTTTAACGATTTGAATGCAGCAAAGATGATGATGTTTTTGTTGGCTTTTTATTCATTAAAATGAGACACAATCTAATTCTTCTAAGTCCTTTATAATTTTCTGAGGCAGAAAATTTTCCAGGCTGGGAAAAGAAGACAAATTTGTATTTACATCACAGGGCATTTTCACCAGATATTTTTCTCAAATGACTAACGATGTGTTCATCACAGCCAGTCAAATTTGAGTTGCTACCCATAGGGACAAGACAGTAGAAATAGCCCATCAGCCAAAAAAACCACATAAAAGCCTTCAGTGCAACTCTGAAGCCACCCACGCAGCTGCCTGAGCAATCAGTCAGGGCACAGAGGCAGGAACTCAACTCATGTGGTGGCTAAAAGACTGTTTGAAGAGCTTGGCAAAAGCTTGTGGATTTCATAAAGGGGCTTTTACAATGAGAAACAAAAAATGATTTAGATCAGCTGCCCCCACTGCAAATACAGTTTCATGTGTCACTTTGTGGACGGCTTTGCCACTATATATGATGCTTTGCTTCAGAGAACTAATATAAATAGCACTATTGAAATGTACTGCACAGAACGAGAGCAATTCTGAGAGCACCTCTAGACAGATGAGAATCGTCTATCTCTGGGTCAAAGTATTTAAAAGGAAAAAACTTGGGCAATTGTTTTTATCTCAGGGATGAGAAGAAATGCCCCAACAAATTTTCTTTGAGCATACTAGTGACAAAGTGAGTGAAAAGCTGACCTCTGTACTAAAAACCTGATACATTCTCTACAGCAATGGTTCCCAGGGGTGTCAAGTTCATGTACCTTGCAAAGCAGAATCAAAATTTGAGGAACCTTACAGAACGGCTGTAAATTCCCACTGTACCCTTTGTATTCCTACTAAAAGTCCTACAGTCATTTTTGAGTATGAATTTTGGAGTCATTTATAGCAATCATTTGAGTGAAGTATTATGCAAAAACCCATGAAGTCTGCTAATGCATATACCTGGCTCTTAACTTGGCCAGCATGCCAACATTGAACTTCCTCTTGGACAGAGGCCACCCATTATTATGAGTTGTGCTAAAGCCTGTAGTGGTTTTGAGATTGAAAGTAAATGCAGTTAAAGACCGGGGCTATAAACCCCTGTTCACTTGAGACATAAAGAGCCTGGTATGTGTATAAGTAAGCCCTCCATTCTACCCTTTTAGGAGAGACAAAATAATTTGGTGTTCTTCTACCACTCAATTTATATTCAAATTAAAATATAATAATTTTTCCTGTGTGGAATGTCCTTGCTGTTTTGTTTTGTCAGGGCAAAAGAAACTCATTTAATTAAAAGAACCCTTAAACACATAAAGCACAATTGACTTCATCTAAAGAGAATTTTTTTCACATGTTCATGTAAGTATTTGTAATTTCTTTATACTGAATACAAACAAACACCCTGTTTTCTTGGCATATTAAACAACTGCTGCATATGTCTTCTGACTTAATTCTCAGGATACAGAGTGAATTTTGCAAGTAAATTCAATTTCATGTGCTAAATACATCTCTTTTAAAAGGAAAATGAATTGACTTCAATGGAAGCTTCTGATGCAAGCCCTCTAAATGCAAAATGCTAGAGGAACTTTGCAAATCTATTACCTTTAATACTATACTGTACCTCTAATTTCTCTTTAACTGCTAGCCACGAAAATGGTTGCTTTTTAAAACTCACCTTGCAAATGGTTAAAACACATACGCGCAATAGACTATGGTTTTAACCAGCATTGGGTTTTCAAAGGTTTAAATGTTACATAGCAGCAAAAAAGAAAAAGAAGGGAGAAATGGTAAAAAGTAGCATTTTTGAGAATTTAATATGTGCCAAACATTTATGAAGCACATTATATAGTTTCTGGTGGCCATATAAAGAGGGTAGCAAGTCCAGTTGCTCATCATGTTTATCAACACATACTATATTACACTTCTTGGGAGCCAACTGCAATTTCTATTACAAGAGACACTGGAAAACTGTTTATGCTAATGAGAAGTCTACTTTTTCCTAGTATCAATTAAAAGAAAATCTTCATATCAGATGCACGTACTTTCTTTTAAATAATTTAGTGAGCATAATACTCATGCCATACCAAGAGAAAAAGTATACAAAATAGTGTTTTGGCACCTTTGGTTTCAAGTAAATAATATCAATAGTTTGAACAGATGATTTCTGAGTGACAAGAAATTAATCAGTATATGCTGGGCTGGAAAGCATAATATAACTCAAGAAGAAATTCCAATTCTGAAGACTGGAGGTATTATTAGATGTCATAAAGAGAACACCTGGGAAGTTACAAGATCTCATCTGAAGCTATCTATATGAGAAAGATGATGGCCCAGTTACCTACTGATGCATAACAAACTACCCCAAATGCTGGTGGCTTAAAACAATTTATTAGTAGGAGTAGTATGTCTCACTCTGGGTCTATTATGTCTATTTTGTGGGTTAGAATTTGGACAGGGTACAGTGGAGACTGTCTTTGCTCAACAATGTCTGGGATAATTCAAATGGCTAGGGGCTGGAAGAGATGGGAAAAGGGCCCAGCCATCTCTCTCTTTCTCTCAATCTCTCTCCCTTTTCAAGCCTATGTGGCTACCTAGGGTCTCCTCAATGTATGGTAGCAGGCCTGTCAGACTTCTCAGATGGTAACTGAGAGTCCAAGAGGACCAGACAGACTGGCATGGCATTTCTTCTGCCATACTTCGGTGGTCAAAGCAGTCACTGGTCAGCAGGTCAGGAGGAGAGCGACTAGATCACACTTCACACTTCTCAAGATATAGATAATCAGGGAATTATGGCCCTTTTTAGTGAACCACAGATGAACGATAGAGACATTTAAAAATTTCAGGCATAAAAAGTCACGATTTCTTTTTAAGAGTATTTCAGATGGAGGCCGGGCACAGTGGCTCACACCTGTAATCCCAGCACTTTGGGAGGCCAAGGTGGGCAGATCACTTCAGGTCAGCAGTTCAAGACTAGCCTGGCCAACATGCCAAAACTCTGTCTCTAAAATACAAAAATTAGCCAGGCGTGGTGGCGTGCACCTGTAATTGCAGCTTCTTGAGAGGCTGAGGCATAAGAATTGCTTGAATCTGGGAGGCAGAGGTTGCAGTGAACCGAGAGTGTGCCACTGCACTGCAGCCTGGGTGACAGAGCAAGACTGTCTCAAAAAATAAAAATAAGAATACGAGTATTTCAGATGGAAAAACAAAATTTACTTGAGTTGTCCAGACACATGCATTCTAAACTCAAATGAATAAGCACATTTCAAAAATATTATATTGGATCCCACTTCTTTTATCCTAAATCTTTGTCCTATTTTGGTTTTTTGTGTCCTTGATATTTAATAGCAATGATATTTAAAACATGATATTTTAATCCATGACAATAGCATCATTTTCTCCTCTACTGTAAAATAACCAACCAAGAAAGGCAATCTATTAGGAACACCTATTGTGGCTTCAAACAATCTTTCTGAAGGTTTTGTATTCACATCAGCCTTTAAGAAAGTGAAGTTTTTAGAAACACAATAATTTAACAACAGAATTACACATCTGAGTTTAAATGAATATTGAGCCAGCTGTTTAAATGTAAAATAAATCTGTTCCTACCAATAATCCTAGAAATATACTTTAAAAACCACATACTATCTACCTAAGTAAAAGCAAACTCAAGTAATGACACAGAACCTGGGTGTCGTGTTGGTAGGGAGACTCCTGGCAATGTGAAATCAGAATGGTTGCTTAAACATCGTGAATGGATCAGGGAACACCAGCTCCCCAGCACCACAATCTCCCATCTAAGATCTCTTGCTTGGCATAGAGCTGCCTGCTCTGCCCGATATTCAGTTTCTCTCAACAAATGCATCTTGAGAATCAGAATCAGGTTCTGTGCTGGAAACTGAATATTAAATGACATGGTCAATGCTCTGGTGGGAATGACAGTCCAGTGTTGATTTTCTATTTCCCATCTTCCTTGTCCGTCCTCCTTGAAGCTGATCATGGCGATCTTTCCCCATTACTCATTTGATATGTTTGTTGAGTGGTATTCTGCACCAGTTATGTGAACCACTTGTAAACAAAAACAAAAAGATGCCACAGTTCCATAGGTCCTATATTAGTTTCCTAGGGCTGCCATAACAAGGTACCATAAACCAGGTGGCTCAAACAACAGAAATTCATTGTCTTACAGTTTTGGAGGCTGGAAGTCTGAGGTCAAGGTGTCAGCAGGAGTGGTTCCTCCTGATGGCTATGAAGGAGAAACTGTTCCATGCCCCTCTCCTAGCTTATGGTAATTTGCTGGCAGTCTTTGGCATTCCTTGGTTTGTAGATCTGTCTTTCACATGGTGCTCTCTGTCTGTATGTCTGTGTCATACAGGATTAGGAACCCGCCCTACTCTAGTATGACCTCATCTTAATTATATCTGCAATAATATTATCCCAAATAAGGTCACATTCTGAGGTGCTGAGGGTTCAACATATGGATTTTGAGGGGACACAATTCAACCCATAACATGTCCTCAGTAGTCATAATTACAGAGCAATAACCCTCTGTGCCTCATAAATAAAGCAAATGTACTTTTCTCTCAAGAATGAGAATATGTAGGGACAGAATTATTACAGTAGTCAGCCAACTTTTGAGTACTGTCAACTTTGTTCTGTATGTGGCCTAGGAAGGGATAATTTAGAAACAACGTTTTATGCAAAAGAAAGTAGAAAGATTTCCTAGAGTGTCTGAAATTTATTCACTTAACATACGTTTACTGGCCATTGTTCTGAGCACTGAGGACACAGCTGTGAGCCACATGGACAAAAATCTCTCCCTTCATAGTTATCACATTCGAATGAAGGGAGACAGCAAATAAACAAAACTAGCAAGTAAATCACAGTACTTTAGTAGGCATCAAATGCTATGAAGCCCAGGTAAGGTGGATGGGAAATACAGGGGCTGGGGTGGAGGCTGACATTTTAAGCAGGGTGGTTAGGGAGGCCTCACCTAGAAGGTGCCATTTGAACAAGTAGATGAAGGGGGTGAGGGACCATCCATGTAGGTGGCTGGGAAGGGCTGCAGACAGAGGAAACAGCTGAACAGCTGGTGGGATGGGAGTAAGGCTGATAAGTTTAAGGAAAGCAAGGAGGACAGTGTGACTGGGGAATGAGTGAGGATGAGAGCAGTTGATGGGTAAGATCAAGGAAATGTAGGGCCAGATGATAAAGGGATGTGTGGCCCATTGTAAGGATTTCATATTTTCTCTAAGTAAAGTAGGAAGCCATTGGAAAGTTCTGAGTAGAGGAGTGATGTGATCTGACTTGGATTGCTTTAGGACCACACTAGTTTTAAAGGGGACAAGGAAGGAAGCAAGGAGAAGCACAAGCAAGCTGTTGACATAGTCCAGGTGAGAGATGTTGGTATCTGGGGCCAGGATGATGTAGGTGTAGGTGGTGAGGAGTATTTGAAATCTACATATATTTTGAAAGGAAGACCAATTATATGGGGGATGTATTGAGATAGGGCATAAAAAGAAGGAAGGAAGTAAAGGAAGAAGGAATGCAGGAAGAAAGGGAGGATAACTCCAAAATTTTTGGCCTGTGCCAAATGGCAAATTCTCTTCACCTTTCGTTGATATGAATTAATTTTTTTATCTAAATGAGATGAATAACAAATCATGAATACATACATGCATCCATGAATACAATGTTATGAGAGTACATTAACAATTTATAACATTAGTTGCCTTAAGAAAGGGGTAGCTGGCTGGGCATGGTGGCTCATACCTGTAGTTCCAGCTACTTGGGAGGCTGAGGCATGAGAACCATTTGAACCCAGGGAGCAGAAGTTGCAGTGAGCCGAGATCGTGCCACTGCATTCCAGACTGAGTGTCAGAGTGAGACTCTGTCTCAAAAAAAAAAGGGGGGTGTCTGAGAGCAGGAGTAGGAAGGAGATTCTTCCCTGCCTCCACTTTTGTATCTTCAAATGTCAAACCATTGAAATATATTTATGAATACAATCAACATTTTAAAATTTCCCTGGCAGGTGTGTGGAAGCTTGTACAGCAGGTGAGCCTCAGGACAAGCTGCCGGTTACTTTTTCCTCCAGTGTCCCTGTCGTGATCTCCCGCTCATTGTCTCATGACTCGCTCTTCTGAAGCAATGCTTAATTCAGCAGCATATAAACCAAAATTAGAATGACTCAGAGAACAGGACCCCTAAGCATTACAGTTTATATCATTATGAAGCAAATTTTTCCATGCAAGTTTCTTTAGATCAGTTCAAAAACAGTGCCTGTGTTTTAAGAAACCATAAACTACTATTAACATCTGATTTATAATAGAGGCCCATTCTCCTAACCTATCTGATAGATTTATATCTTGGTATTCTTGGTGAGTGGATTAGATCTCATTATGTGCTGCTGTATATATTGTGGGAGTAACTTTGATTAATGAAATAGATACATTATCTCTTACCTGAATGCTAAATGTATTTTATTTTATATAAAACTTCATGCCATCCAGCCTTGCTCCATTAACTTTGCAGTACACTTTTTATATGTAAATCATAAAATCATCTGAACCTCTAACACTCAGGGACCAATTTCAAGAACATGCATCGATTCAAGATGTCTTCCATGATGCTTTTCAACCTTCAAGACTTTAACAAATAGTTTTTTGGAAAGATATGACTAAATTATTTTCCTTACTCTTTTTGGAGGTCTAAAATCAGCTAAATTTTTACTTTTTGTGTTTCTTGGTCTAGGAATCTAGTCATGGAATCAACAAAGTTGAGTAGACAGAGAGTTTATTATTTTTTTTACCCAAATATAGGTAACCTAGGTTGTAGCTCCTATGCCTTACGAGCACAAACCTTTCATTTCTGCCTCAAGCTTAGAAATAAGATATAAGAAGCAAAGTGAATGGATGCTACACTCAGCTATTTGGGTGAGGTTTTTTTTGTGTCTGGTAGACTCTTAGCTTGCTTTCTGTAGCTTGGTAAAGGAATTATTAGGATGTTACCTTCTAAAGAAATCATTTTGTAAGAAATAAATTTCTATTGTTTATAAGCTACCCATCCTCTTGTATTTTGTTATGCCAGCCCAAATGGAAATAATACCCCATTCAATAGCTATTCTCTCCTTCTTCCTTACTAAGAGAACCCCGATTTAATGTGTGCCTCCAGTGTGTGTAGCCAAAATAATGCATTTTCAGACACCCTTGCTCATGGGGTGATCATGAGATGGAAGTAGTAGTTACTGGTTGAGGCTTCTAGTAAAGCTTTTTAAAAGAAAGTATCATGCCTATAATCCTAGCACTTTGGGAGGCTGAGGCATGTGGCTCATGAGGTCAGGAGATTGAGACCATCCTCACTAACATGGTGAAACCCTGTCTCTACTAAAAATACAAAAAATTAGCCAAGCGTGGTGGCGGGCGTCTGTAGTCTCAGCTACTCGGAAGGCTGAGACAGGAGAATGGCATGAACCCGGGAGGCAGAGCTTGCAGTGAGCCGAGATCACGCCACTGCACCCCAGCCTGGGTGAAAGAGTGAGACTCCATCTCTAAATAAATAAATAAAATAAAATAAAATAAAAAAGAAAGTAGACTCCCAAGATAACGGGAAGATGAGTTAGAGATAGGGAGAGAATACTTGCAAAAGACATATCTGATAAAACACTGTTATCCAAAATATACTAAGAACTCTTGAAGCTCAACAATAAGAAAATTAACAACTTGATGTAAAAATGGGCAAAAGACTGAACAGACACCTTGCCAAAGAAGATGTGGCAATAGGCATATGAAATGATGCTTCACATAGCATGTCATTAAAGAATTGCAAACTAAAATGATGAAATACTACTGTATGTCTATTAAAATGGCCAAAATCCAAAGCACTAAAACTCCAAATGCTGGAGAGGATGTGGAACAACAGTTACTCTTTCATTGCTGCTGGGAATGCGAATTGGTACAGTCATTTTGAAAGATGGTTTGGCCATTTCTTACAAAACTAAACATACTTTTACCATACGATCTAGCAATCACACTCCTTACTATTTACCCATATGATCTGAAAACCTATGTCCACACAAACACTTGCACACAGGTGTTTACAGATGTTTAATTCATAATTGTCAAAACTCAGAAGCAACCAAGATTTCCTTCATTGGGTGAAATGGATAAACCAGCTGTGGTGCATTGATAGAATGGAATATTATTCAGCACTAAAAAGAAATGAACGATCATGCTATGAAAAGACATGGAGGAACCTTAAGTGCATGTTATTAAGTAAAAGCTGCTAATCTGAAATGGTGTATTCATCCATTTTCACACTGCTATAAAGATACTACCTGAGACTGGGCAATTTATAAAGGAAAGAGGTTTAATTGACTCACAGTTCTGCATGGCTGGGAAGGCCTCAGGAAACTTACAATCATGGTGGAGGGGGAAGTAGGCATGTCTTACATCATGGCAGGCGAGAGAGCAAGTGCAAGAGAGAGCAGGGAAAACTGCCCTATAAAACGGTCAGATCTTGTGAGAACTCATTCACTATCATGAGAACAGTAATGGAGGAAAGTGCCCCCATGATCTAATCACCTCCCACCAGGTCCCTCCCTCAACACCTGGGGATTACAGTTTGAGATGAAATTTGGGTGGGGACACAAAGCCAAACAGTATCAAAAGGATACACACTGCATAATTCCAACTCTAGGACATTCTGGAAGAGGCAAAGCCATGGAAACAGTAAAAAGATTAGTGGTTTCCAGGGATGTGGCTGGAGGTAGAAGAGATAAATAGGCAGAGTACAGAAGACTTTTAGGGCAGTGAAACTACTCTGTAAGATACTATAATGGTATATGCATGTCATTATACATTTGTCAAAGCCCACAGAATGTACAACACCAAGAGTGAACCCTAGGGTAAACTATGGACTTTGGTTGATAATGATGTGTCAATGCAGGTTCATCTGTTGTAACAAATGTACCACTCTGGTGTGGGATGTTGACATCAGGAGAGGTTATGCATGTGTGGGCAGGGAGTATATGGGAACTCTGTATTTTCTGCTCAGTTTCGTGGTGAAACTAAGATTGCTCTAACAAATAAAGTTTATTTTAAAAATTAAAAAAGACACGTAGAGATATTAATGTAAATAATTTTTATTCTCTCTTCAAATAAAATGCCAATTTTCAGGAAAATAAAGAAGGTAGATCTCACTGGTGGATGCCTTTTGTTTATTTTCCTTTCTTTTCTTCCTACATGGGACTTAAACATGATGCTGAAGGTGGACCAGCCATCATGTGAGTACGAGGCAAAGAGAGCTCAGCCGAGTTGAAAAATGGAAGGATCCTGCATCCCTGTATTTATTTTCCAGGGCTTCCAGAACAAAGCTCCAAATATTGGGTGGCTTAAAACAATAGAGATCTGTTCTTTCACAGTTCTGGAAGCCAGAAGTCTGAAATCAAGGTGTTGGTAGGATCACACATCCACTGAAGTCTCTAGGCAAGGATCCTTCTTTGCCCCTTAGAAGGGAACCCCAGGTATTCCTGGGTTTGCTAGAGTGTAACTTAAATCTCTTCTTCCATCTTCAGATGGCCATCTTCCTGAGTGACTCTATCTAAATTTGGATTCTTATAAGGACACCAGTCATGTTGGATTAGAGCCCACCCTAATAACCTTATCTTAATTTGGTTACATCTGCAAAGACCCTATTTTCAAAAAGGTCAAATTCACAGGTACCAGGGCTTAGGACTTCAACTTAACTTTTAAGATGACAAAATTCAACACAAAACAGTCCCTGACGGCATTCTGAAGTTGCTTTACCAGCTGGATTTTCTACCTTTGAACTTATGACAAGAGAAACACAAAGGTTCCAATTTGTTTAAGCCTCTATATATTCAGGGTTTTCTGTATTCACAACAGAACTTAATTCCTTACTGATATGAAACTTCTAAGTGAGGGCTCTGGAAATTTAAAAATGATCTGCCATGTGGTTCCTACCTATTTAGAGGCTAGTTTGTAACTTTTTAAAGACAGAGACCATTATTCTCTTGTTTGGGAGTGGGAGGAGGTTGGGCAGGGACCGCTGCTTAGCTAAGATTTTTCTACTAATAATTTAAAGATCAACCTTGTTTTTAAAGTAAAGTTTGCCAGATACTGAAAAGGTCAGTGGACATGCATTCAGCAGCCAAATTTAGGCCCTAATCCTGCCCTGGACTCACACCCATCTCAGATATATCTTTGTCAGTCACCACTACATACCTCAGTGAATGAGAATATAAATGTAGCTTTTGTGCTTATGTTACCAGAAGCACAGTTTACTTGTCCAACACAATCATGTTCAATTTTATGATACCATCTTTCTGCCAGGTGTGGAGCTTGGAAATATATGTGCCAGAAAACACGTTAGGCAGCCAACACTGAAATTTGTCTTAATTTTGAGAGAGTTGCTAGGAGTTCTTAGACCATTTTCATGGCATGCATACCAGGAACATAAGCATGATTCACTCAAGTTATTTCTGGGCTCCAGCAGTAAGGACAAGCAATTGCTTCCATCATCTCTGTTAGTCAGAGAGCCCTGAATTGTTCACTTTACTTCTTGCAGGCTCAAGAAGGGCGGACATCAGAGTAATATCAGAGTCAATAGATATTTCCATCACTTCTTCTTAAGAAAGATGAAGGTTAAATGATGAGTGAGGACTTTCCATTCTTCCTTTCTTCAGAAAACATTTATTGAGTGCCTATCTAATGTCAGACTAATGGCAAGCACTGAGGACCAAACAAGTAAAAGACAATTCTTACCTTCTAGTGGCCTACAGTTAAGATACAGAGAGAGCGCAGTGGCTCACGCCTGTAATTCCAGCACTTTAGGAGGCCGAGGCGGGCAGATTGCTTGAGGTCAGGAGTTCGAGACCAACCTGGCCAACATGGTGAAGCCCCGTCTCTACTAAAAATACAACAAATTAGCCAGGCATGGTAGAGCACACCTGTAATCCCAGCTACTTGGGAGGCTGAGGAAGGAGAATTGCTTGAACCCGGGAGGTGGAGATTGCACTGAGCTGAAATTGCACTGCTGCCCTCCAGCCTGGGTGACACACCAAGACTCTGTCTCAGAAAAAAAAAAAAAAAAGATACAGAGGTAGACAAATCAACAGAAAATCCTAAGCCACTTTAATAAGTGTCTAATAAGTGTTTAATAGGTAGGTTTAAGAACAGAGTATTAGGGAAGCACACAGACAGGGCAATTAACTCTTTTTGGGGCAGTCATGTAGAAAGAATATGGTGGTATGCTAGGAGATAGCCAAGTGAGAGGCCACAGCACATGCAAACGCCCAGGAGTAAGAGAGTGTATGGCATATGTGGAGACCTGCATGGAGTTTGCTATGGTGGGCTAGGAGGTAGGGAATGTCAGCGAAACCAAATGAAAGGTGGTCCATATTTTGAAAGTGTTGGAAAGTCACAGAAGGGTTGTGAATCAAACAGTTCCATGATCAGGTTTGTGCTTTAGAAAAGATCTCTCTGGCAGCAGTATACAGAATGGATTGGACTAGAACATGCAGAAAACAATAGCAGTCAGCTGTGTTACTCTAAGAGAGGGGAACTAGGGAGAAGGGAGAAAAGAGACACATTTAAGGAGTAGAATTGATAGTACTTGATGAGTTATCGATTTTGGGCATATGTTGGAATAGCTGGCACGCAAGGATGACACTAAAATTTATGATTTAGTTAACAGGTATATGTGTGTTATGGGGGGAGGGTCTTATAGGTCAGAAATTAGGGAATATGATAAAAATGGTTTGTTCTCTAGTATCAATATTAAAAGCCCACATTCATATGTTTAATAAAGTCACAGAATTCTGATCCTAAACATATTTCTGATATAATAATGTACTGAATTTTTTAAAATATGAAAAGCAAATGTATTTTAAAAACTAGATATTGATGGAGATGAATAATGAAACAAAAATATGTGGGATATAAAAGTCATAACACATGAATCAATAGTTCTCCATTCTCTTCATCTCACATTTTCCTAGAGAATCCCACTCCCTCCCACCACCTAAATTCCAGTCAATCATCCATAGAACCCTGTTTTCTTTTTTGTAGGAAATAAATAAGCAATACTTTGGAGCCGAAAGGAGCTTTAGAGATCATGAAATATGAATTCTGTAAGTTGGAACTACTATATAACAACATTAAAATATTTTAAGATAATAAATATTCAGAATGCCATTATGCTGAAAGACATAGGTGTAATGCAAGAACGTTAGTTATGTTTGGTAACTACTATAAGCAAGGAGATCTTGGACATGCAGTTGTGTGTATTAAATGAGGCAGTATTTGTAAATAACTAAGCATAGTTCTCAATGATTGGTAACTATAACAACAGAGACTATCAGCCAAAATCCATTTTCTACTTTGCTCTGGAAACAAGAGAGCCCAACTAAACTGCGTTTCCCAGCCTTCTTTGCAGTTAGTTAGGTGTAGCCATGAGACAATATTCATCAAAGGAACAGGTGCAGAAATAGGAGTGTTGCTTCCCAGCATGGACCCTAGGATATTGCACAACTCCCCCACACTGTGTCCACTTTCTTTGAGCTGAACATAGGCATGACTGCAACCCAGCAGATAAGGACAATGCTCTAGGGAATGACATGGGAACAAGACAGAAGGAGCCTGGGTCCCTGGGTGGCCACATGGAGCAGAGTTGCCTTCCTCCCTGCCCTGGACTGATACAGAGGAAAGCAAACACTTTTGCCCTTTAAGCCACTGTATTTTCAGGTGTCTCTTTTACAGAAGGATCACGTTTCACCAAAATAATACAGCTTCTTTCTTCTTTCTGCTCTTCTCCAACACGACTATGCTATTTTTGCAGTATTATCTTTCATGGGCATAAATACTTTAAATAGCTGCAATCACAGTATACATGTTATTTTGTACTCTGTTATTTTCATTTTCCATATCACAGCCATGTTCCAGGATTCAAAGTTATCTTCAGTTATTCATTTTAAAACAAAAAAATGGAATTGCTCAGAGAAGACTGGTACAATGAAAAAAGCTAGGGTTTGTTTTTGAGATTCTCCCTTTATGTAATGCCTGTTACATTCACAAGCATATGTAGTGATTAAAGAAGGTTGGAGTTAGGGATTGTTTGTCAAGCAGAAAAATTTTAAAGTACCAATTTGCCAATAGCTGGCTCTTTCAGTTGGATCACTAGAAAATCTGACTCCCTCTCAGTCAACAATTACTCTCTTCCTAAAACAGTCCAACTTCCTAAGTGGAAGTTGAGATCATCCTAAAAGTATCAAGAACTTTTCTTAAGAGCAGATACCTCATTGTGGTTCTTCCCTTTGGGAAGACAATGTGTGCTTTTGATTTTATGACACCTGAAGTATTTGTGATTTTGCTTCCTTGAGAAGCTTAGTGAAAAATTAGTTCAATTTAGCATCATTTCAAAATGGTGAAAGTTTTTAAAATATTCTAGATAATATGGCAAATTAAAGGAGAAAATGAAGTGCCAATGGGACTTAGTTGGCTCTTGCAAAGAAGGAAGTCAACTAAGTAAACCATTTTCAAATCAATTTAAAACCATTTATTAAGCAACAACAGTATGCAAAGCACTATCTTCCCTGTATGCAGGTCATAGCCATTGTCTTTTCAGTCTAATGGGGATGACAGACATAAAATGAATAAAAATTCATGATTGAATAAAATGAACTCTGAATATTTGTATAAGCAAAGCATATTTGATCCACCTTGGAGGGAGAAATTAATGTAATAAATTTTGAGGAAGAGAGAGGGAAATAAGAGGAGGAATGAAAGGGTCTAATTGCAGAGAATATAATCAATGTTTATCTTCCCCCCCAACCATTCCCATTTCTCAACCTCTGAAAGTCACCTTCCTCTAGAATATTTGAGAAAGAGGATGTTTGTCCCTCAGTTTGTTCCTGAATCACCCTCTTTGCAGCTGTTTCTATGAGTCACTTGTTCCTCTCCATTGCCTTCAGCTCTGCCCTGATCCTCTGTCCTGGTGCCACCTGGATGATCTGGGATTCCTTTCTCATGCTATGATGATGATCTCCATGGAAGGATACAGGATCATGCTTCTTTTTGTTGCTCTTCTCTTTAATTCCCCACAATACCACCAACATAGAACTTGTGCATGTCTAATAGACTTAATTAAAGGGTTGGTGAAAAATAGAGGGATTTATAAGACAAGGAGAAAAATTTAAAATTGCATGACAAATATGACAAATCTCACAGCCCAAGTGGGGAAAAAACTGGAAGTCCTTTACCTGTGCCTTCCTGTGGAAATATTCCAGTTCTTAACCTTGCTCCCTTGCTTAAAAGCCCAGCCTTCTCTTGCCCCTTTTAAAAATGCTTAGTTCTTCAGTTCTCCAAATGTAAATCCTTATTCCTACTGTATATATCCCACCCACAGTAGGAGGCTCCCTTCTTTAGTTTTGTTTTGCTTTTAATGAGCAGACTCAGGACAGCCACGGTGGGCTTTGCACCACAAGTCCAATCTCTCTTTTGAAATCTCCGTGACAGTCCAACTTAAAGCTATGCATCCTCATTATTCTTGCAGTTTTCACTGTAACTGTTGGACTAATTACATCCCATATGCCTTTTCCAGTAGAAACAATACTTTCCAAACATAGTATACTCTGATCTATATGAGAGAAGATAAACTGTTTTTAAATGTGAGGTTATCTGCCTAAATTCCCCTGCCCACAATGGAACTAGCACTTTACAAGATAATGCCAAGAAGTTTTGGTCTCTTTTTCCTACTTGCAAACAAAACAATTTCAAGAGGCCTACCTGCACTTCAGAAATAAAGCCCACCATAGTATCTTGCCAAAGGAACCATCTGCCCCAAGGACCGATGTTAGTCACATAGAGATGATGAAGAAGCTTTCTTCTTTGGGCCAGGTTGAATTCATGGGTAGTCTACCTCTTCTCAGTGATCTCCATAAGGGTAAGGGAGACAGTGGGAAAATGCCAATAGATGTGCCATACCAACTTGTATGGCTCCCTGGTGCACAGTGATCTTATACTCTTCTTGCGGTAATAGAATCTCCCCCACTGCCTTTACTCTTAGAAATGGACACATGACCAGCCAATCATGGTACTTCATATTCTTATCCATAGCAATTCGTCCAAGGGTTGGAAACATGATTTAAATCTGGCCAATCAGAGGCCTGCTCCAGGATTTTTTTTTAACCTAAACATTGGATAAAGGAAGCTTGTTTTCCTCTAGGGATGAAGAAAGCCCAGGACTGGGAAAATCTTGTTTTCTAGCATAAAGAAAAAGCTTCTGGAGTTTGAGACCAGCCTGGGCAACACAGCAGAACCTCATCTCCACTAAAAATTTTTTAAAAATTAGCCAAGTCTGGTGGTGTGCACCTGTAGTCCCAGCTACTCAGGAGGCTGAGGTGGGAGGATTGCTTGAGCCCGGGAGATCAAGGCTGCACTGAGCCATGATTGTGCCACTGCACTCCAGCATGGGCAACATAACAAAACCCAGTCTCAAAAAAAAAAAAAAAGGAAACTCCTCGTAGCAAAATAGAATACAACCAACAAGCATAGGGAAACAGAAACAAGATTCAGAAGAGTGTGCTGTTTAGAGTTTGAGTGCCTGGTTCCACTCATGAAGGTCTTCAGCATTCCTGTAGTTCCTGAGAACCATCCTTCAATTCTCTGAGCTATTCCAGTATTCTTTCAATTAAGCTCAAATTTTACTGAAACTGGATTAAGTTGAGTTTATCTTCTTGCAAACGAAGTAGTCCTGGGATTATACTCTATCTAGATCAAATTACTTTCCCTGAGAATGGGAATGAAAATAGGAAGTTACTCCTGCTGTAAACATAAGCAAATCCTATATATGCAATCAGGAAGTCCTTTCTGGCTGATGGCATTATTCTATATATAGCCAACTATGACCCTTAGGAAAACAACTTCTAACATGCTAGCATGATATCACAGATCCTTTATATCCTAGTCAACCAATTGTTAAATACGGCTCTGTGGGAGGCCCTGGCTGGTCCTGCCGGGCCTTGCCACTCCTAATTGCATATGTCACAGGCTTGCCTCCAGAAATAATTGCTATGCATCTATGCATGTGATGTCTAATAATCATTGGGTAATCTGTGATCAATGAAGCAAAATGGTGATATGACATACCAAGAATTGTACTTGGAATATGATCTTTATCCAAGTGATAAAACTTAGTAAAGGCTTTTTTTTCTTCCAACTTTATAAAAATTATGATAGAGCTTTAGGGTAGTGAGGTTGATGAGAAGTTTTATAAGCCTCTAATTGGGGCTTCTGTTGATCTGAGAGAACTAACCATGGCCATACAGATTGCCATTGCCACCAACCCAAGTCTGTCTCCCATGAAAAACCAGGGAGACTCAAGAAACCACATTCAACAAACCCTCTAGCCTAATATTTCTTGATGTTTTCCTACAAGTATTTTATTTTGGTTTCTACAGTATCAATACACAGTAACTTTTTTTTTTTCTGAATTGTTCTTAGTGGGAAAGCTTTTATTATTATTATTATTGGTTAAATGTATTTAGCTGTAATAGGACTATTCAGAATTTTTATTTTTTATTTTTATTTTTTTAAATTTTATTATTATTATACTTTAAGTTTTAGGGTACATGTGCACAATGTGCAGGTTAGTTACATATGTATACATGTGCCATGCTGGTGTGCTGCACCCATTAACTCGTCATTTAGCATTAGGTATATTTGTGTATTGACTCAGAACCTCTGACCCAGTCCTGTGAAAAACCTCTTCAGGACTGTAGAAATGAAGAAATATTGGGAAATTCACAATCCAGTGAAGTCTTTACCAATGTCTAGACCAGAGATAACTGGGTAACTTCTGGATATTCAGCCCAAGGCCCTAGTTGTTACCAAAAGGTAAGAAAACTTTTTTTTTTTTTTGAGACGGACTCTTGCACTGTTGCCCAGGCTTGAGTGCAGTGACACGATCTCAGCTCACCACAACCTCTGCCTCCTGGGTTCAAGTGATTCTCCTGCCTCAGCCTCCTGAGTAGCTGGGACTACAGGCACACGCCACCACGCCTGGCTAATTTTTGTATTTTTTAGTAGAGACGAGGTTTCACCATGTTGCTCAGGCTAGTCTTGAACTCCTGACCTTGTGATCCGCCTGCCTCGGCCTCCCAAAGTGCTGGGATTACAGTTGTAAGCCACCACACCCAGCCAAGAAGTAAGAAATCTTAGTGTCTACATTTTCTATCTTAACTACAATCATATGCTTCGAAAGCAACCTGGTAAATACAAGATAATCCATTCAATTCCAAATATTCACTAACAGATAACCCAGATGTCAGAAGAGTATCCTTGCCTCTTAAGGTGGCTCAAACTCCCATTTCATATTTCCTTCAGTGAAAATCCAATGTGCGTCCCCAGAATATCTGGGAATTCCCAGGCTACTTTCACTCTCGTTATTTCTGGCTCCGAGTGCTGCTTCCACTGATGAGTTTAATTGACAGATTATCTTGCCATGTGGCATGTGCTGTCCCTATTTTGTACCACATTCACCCAGACATGGAACTCAGTCTCTCAATTCCCGCAGGACACAAGCTCACACATGAACAGCATCCACACAAGGCATTTGTGTAAATAGCAGAATCCACCAAAGATTTGGGATGGTGAAGGTGGGTTTGCATCACAGAAATGAAAAGATCCTAAAACTGAACATTGCATAATCTACATCTGAAAAGATTTTAAGGTATATCATCATATTTCTTCACCAGTCACTCTCCCTCCTCTCAGTTTTTCCCATCTCCATATATTTATTGTAGAGACGATTAGCTGTGACTGTTCTTTGTCCCCAGCTATCCCATGTCCTCAGGAGGCATCTTCCATGGCTCATAGTTTATGGAGTATTTCACTAGCACAGATTCTGGTCCCAGCTGTTAAGAATCTCCCTCCTCCCTGCCAGAGTACATGGAATGAATTTAATCCTGAAGCTGGAATATTCCAAAACACACCAGCTTTTTCTTGCATAAGTTGCATGGGTTATTACTCTGGAACAATAAAAGTTCTCTGTGTACTTCACATCTCTTCTATCTGATGTACACTGTATTACTCAGTTCATTTGCTTCAGGTAACTCCAACCAAGCAATGATATACTGTACAGTGTTACTATACTCTTGAAAATTGGTCTGTGAGAACATTTAGGTTCTTAATAATGTATAATAAATTAATTGAATCCCAAATTAAATTTTAAAAGTTTTCAAGAACAGAAAGGAAGCTAGATTCCTTCCTCTAGCAGAACATGTGGGGTTTTCAAATTTAAATGACACCAGGAAACAGCTGGTCTCTGGATAGATGTGTTTGTCCTCTAAAGTGATGAATAACTTCACCATTTTGGACTTTGAAATGGAATATTTTTCCAATTCTGCATGATAATTCTAGTCAAATAAATTCTTTATGTTTTATCTTGCTATTTTATTTCCCAGTGATATATGGAGCAAACATTGCTTCTCCTCGGGTGAAGGTGAGTAATTATATGGCCGAATGATCCATGGATCAAAATTCTTCCCTTTGAGTCCAGAAATGCAGTTGCATGAGTTTTCCCAGGGCATAGAGTTTTAATGCTGTGGCCTGAGCTCCAGCTACAGAAGCATCAGGTGATGGGAGTTTAGCCGTGTTTCCTTCTCAGAAGCGTGGAGGTGATGTCACCTCCACCAGTGTTGCCTGCCAGTGGCTGCTCAGTGCTCACCCGTGCCTAATATCTAACTACCCCTGCCCCAGAATATGCTTGGGCCGATTCATAGACTCAGTGTGAGTCTCACTGCGTGTCAGCCCTAATGATGGCTGTGCAGTTCCCCAAACTCACGAGGCATGTCCCGGTGTTAGGGCCTTTGTACTGCTGCTTCTCTGCCTGGAGAGTTTACTCTCCACAAATCTCCATGGCAGCGTCACTCACTTCATCCACTCAGACACAGCAGCTTTCTCCCACCATTCTATCTAAAACAGGATCCTAGCCATCCTTTATCTTCTTCCCTGCTTCATCTTTCCCATAGAACTTACTGCTGCCTGATACTATATTATAAACTTACTATCTGTCTCCCTACTAGGAGTCCCAAGGTCAAGGACTTTGTTTAGTTCACCAGTGAATCCCCTGCACCTGGAACAGTGGCTCTCACATAGTGTACAGGATCAGTGAGTGACAGTGATAACCCTGGAAGCAACTGTATAGGTAGGTAGGTTAGAACATGGGCTTTGGAGAGGGCAGACCCAGGTTCAAGTTATGACTCTTCTCTCTGCAAGCTATAGAACTTCACCAAGGCATTTAACCTGTCTCAGGGGATTACCGTACAGAGAGTAAATGAGGTAATATATGAGAGTCATTTGGCAGGATTAACGTCATTGTTTTCTCATTGTTCCAGCCCTCTTATTTTATAGATAAGGAACCAGAGGTTGATTGAGGCAGAGGGACTTAGGCAACATCTCTAATCTTGAGGATACCATTTGCAGGGAAGGAAGCAAATCTCCCATTCTCTTATGATGGTATCCTTAACAGTTATCGAAACCCTTAAAAATACACATTCACTTTGACCCAACAATTTTATTTCTGCAAATTTATCCTAAGCAAATAATCACCTATGTGTGCAAAGATTTAGCTACACAGACTTTTATCACAGCCTTGGTTATAATAGCAAGAAATTAGAGTCCAAGACAGAGCAGATTTGATAAATTATGGTACAGTCACATGATATCCCATTATATGACCATTCAGAATAAAATATAGAAGAATAGCTAATAACATGAGAAAATGCTTACATAGACTCAAATAAAAAAAACTAACATAGGTCAAGAGGTCTGCATGGTTAGAAGCAGGGTGCATTGTATTTTATTTGTGCTTCTCTGAATTTCTTGTGTCTTCTTCAATAAATAGGTATTATTTTCATAACTGGTCTTTTAAATAAAAATTATTATAGCTTGTTAATGTCTTCACAATAAAGTGTTAATACATTTTATGAAGAGAACAATCAGAGGAGCCTAAACTTTAGGGAGTGTTCCTCATGCTGATGGAATGAAATTCTTATCTTCTTTTCTAAATGTCATGATTTTCAGGGAGCAATTCTCCTACAGGTTTTGACAAACAGCAGATTCCAGAGTATTTGGGCTTCCTGACCATTAGGACCGATTGTGCTTGTGTCTGAACATCTACATTACTCTGTATTAGCACATTTAACTGATGACCTTAGCTAGGCTGCATTTTTTAAAACCAAATTGACTTACAGCATTACTCATTAGATTTAAGTACTAGGATGATTCATCATTTACAGTAAATCTATTAGAGAGATTACACTGCAAAATCCACCATTGTCCATGTGGCAGGCCTGCCTGGAAATTAAGAATGGGAAGGGAAATTGAAGGAGAGAGATTCCTATCCGTGATTTGAAATTTAAACTTAGATAGCTATGGCAAGCATCCGAGCCTCAGCCAAAGCGGACCAAGGCTTCTGTCACATGTCTCAGATATTCCACTCTAATAATAGCCTAAGATCTCTTTTGGAATAGGTTGGTGCCTTGTTTCATAAGGAAAAGGCTTGCATGTTAAAATACTTTAAGGAGTATTTCCTTACCCCTTAAAAAGATATTTGCAATATAACTGGGCTGCACATGTGATACATGTAACAATAGTTGAGTCTCTACTGGTTAAATATAACCCCAAACCAATAGCGTGTTCAGCTGGGGGCCCATGCTCACCAGATGTTATTCCACTAATAGTGAGTGAGCTCATCCTTGATGTGGAAGGTTATTCATTTGGGAGAGAATAATGAACGTGAGACAATCATTACATCACCTTTTCCTGTACATTATTCTCCCCTGCAGCTAAGAAGGAAAACATGCTGCCGGGTTAGCTGTCAGCTAACTCATGTTCTTGCTTTCTTAGATCTACATAAAGTGAATCACAGGGTAACTCTCGTCCAAATTAATTTTTAATGTAGTATCTAATAGTTTATTAGGAGAGTTAGACTTTGGGACGGTCTCTGTCTCAGACCAGAGCAGCATGGCTTTTTGAGGTGTGATTATCAGTACTTTACTCCTAGAGGCACTATCCTCTCCTCACTCCTTTGCGGGGGTTATCTCATTGTCCACAGTTGACCATCTGGGAGGCAGAGATGGCTGTTTCTAGAAACATGAAGACTTCTGAATAATAGAGTAAATGTTTAAAATAGTGCTCATGAGATCATGTCTTTTTTTGTTTGAATGACTCATTTGGGCTACCTATCAAACCACAAGTTCAAATTCAGAATAAATTAGGTTATAGATAATATAGCAAAAGGGAGCAAAACATATACACACACATATACATATATATACACACACATATATATACATATGTGTGTGTATATATATATATATTTTATGAAAGACAAAAACAATCTTTCTGAGAGAAACTGGGTTTTTTAGAAAGCACATATGTATCAGTTAAGAACCTTAACTCACCACTGAATTTTAATGCAGCCTTCCTTTAAACACAGTAACAACTCAGCAACTGGCAATCTTACTAAATGTCTTTAAAAGGCTTTAACTTTATGCCAAGGGCTTAAACTTTGTTTCTGTCATGTCTTATTCATGTTTATAGAACATGATCACAAAGGAAAGTGAAGCACTAATAATAACCACCCTGATGAGTCTGTCTTGGGCAGCAGCACCATCCCCTCACTTTCCCTTATACCTTCTTGGGCTACCTAAAAGTATACATTTTGACAACTAAGTGTCATCTCAGGAAGAAAATGTGGTGGCTGGGGAAACACTTGGCCAGTTATAAATCCTTCCATACTTTAAATTTTGATTCTATTCTTTCCATATTTGTCCCTGCCCCATATCTGCCACCTCCTGTGGCACCCTTTGCACAAAGAGCACTGAAATGAAGATCAGGACACCTGAGAGTAGCCCCCAACTCTATCACTTTCTTTCTCTTCACTGCCTTCCAGGCGTCAGAGTCTTCATTTGTAAAATGAGAATAAGAATATCACAGGTGGCAAAAAACTGCATAGCACATACATGTTTAATAAATTTAAATCATTTGGGACATGAGAGTGTACCCAGGGGTGCATTTTGTGACTTCTATGGGCCCTAGACACTTTTGCCTTCATGGACCCCTTCCTCATAAAAATATATTAAACATTATCTTATGACTGTGTTGGTATAATGATAAACACACTAATATCATATATCGAAACTTTTTCTTGGCTGGGCGCGGTGGCTCACACCTGTAATTCCAGCACTTTGGGAGGCCGAGGTGGGTGGATCACCAGGTCTGGAGTTTGAGACCAGCCTGGCCAACATAGTGAAAGCCCAAAGTTAGCCGGGCATGGTGGTGCACGCCTATAGTCTCAGCTACTCGGGAGGCTGAGGCAGGAGAATTGCTTGAACCTGGGAGGCAGAGGTTGTGGTGAGCCGAGATCATGCCACTGCACTCCAGCCTGGGCAACAGAGCGAGACTCTGTCTCAAAAAACAAACAAACAAACAAACAAACAAAAAACAACCTTTTTTCTTGACCTAAAGGCTCATTTATTTTTCTTCTGATGTTAAAGAAATTAAAACACTTTTCTAGCCCCTCAGCACTGTGCCCGATAGTAAGTCAGCCCTGTCTGCATCACAGAATCCCCGCTGGTGGATCATACTTTGCTCTTTTTTCTCCCTCTTGGATGGCTTTTGTGGATGCTGTTCCTTTCCTTCTCTTCTCCTCATTTCTTGCTGATTTTTTCAATGAGTATACATTATCTCTTCCACCTCTCTCCAACGTCTCTTGGGTTCTCCAACTCTGGTGAGTCAAAGCTCACTTACAAACAGACACATAGTTCAAAGAATAAAAAGGATCAAAAACTGTTCTAGGAGAGTGGAGAACTGATTCCAATTCAGTTCAGGCTGCTATCCTCCACCATCCCTGGAGACCCTTCTAAGCTGATCAGAAACACCTCTAAGTAGAGAGGTTTATATGCAGAGGTTTCTGGAATGGTGTGCAACAAATTTTAAGAATAGTTTGTATTAGGTAGTGGGCCTTGGGTGTATTTTCCCTTTCTTCTTGGTAATTTCTGTATTTCTTACACCTTTTAAATGAGCATTATTTTTAATAGGAATGGTAGAAATATTGAAATCCAACTTTAATAAGGATTGACTATTATACTTTGCTTCAGTAATTAAAAAGGGGGAGTTACTATCTTGGGATACTTTAAGTTGAATAGTTTTCTCAGCGGGTGGCCGGGTGCGTGCGCGCACACACACACACACACACACACACACACACACACACACGGTGGCTGTGGCCTAGCCCACCATATGGTCCTCATTTTCTGTATCTATTTCTATTTATGTTAACTCAAGAATTCGACCACTGTAATACAGCTGACTAACCTTTTTCCCCCTGCTTCCTTCTTGTATTAAACAGAGGGCTTATTTCTTGGGTGCTGTTTTCTTCAGTTTTCCTCACATAAGAGAAAGAATTCAAAGCTAAATTACATAGTAAAAAATTATATTTGTGTAATATTTTCTTTTAAGGCATTCCCTTCTCTCTGAATTGTCGAAATCATTTTCCTTTTGTGGCATTTCATTTATTGAAGGCCATAGTCTTACCATCTCCTTTTCAACCAAGGAAGAAAGCGAAGAAGTCTGAAGAATCAGAATCAGGGAACAATTGAGCACCTACAAAGAGCCCACCCTGAGCCCTGCCTTCTGCTGGCCACTATGGGCAGTTAGAAGAGGTTCCTGGAGAGACGGGGAGGTCCACTGCCTCGGTGTTCACAAGCACTCCAGTCTCAGAGTGGGGTGGGGACTGAGGAGAACTGGATAGCACCAGCAGCTGCTCCCCAGCTCCAGCCAACTGTTGCCATGTGGGAATGGAGGCTCAGTCTTGCCAGGTCAGCAAATTTTTCCAAAAAAGTTAGGAATCATGATTTTTGCATGAAACCGCTCTATTTAATAAGTTGACAACGAGAATTAAAAAACAAAAAAAAAAAAACAGAAACAAAAAACACTGTGTGGGCCAACAAATGTATAGGCCAAATTGAATATGTCTGCAGGCCTGATTTGGCCTGCCAGTTTGTACTGGCTGCTTTATATTATGAATTCCCTCAGAATTTAAAAATGCTTACCACTCAAAATGATTTGGTGACATTTATAATGATCTGTACACATTTTATGAGAAAAAAACTTGAATAAGATTGCTTGTATACAAATTATAAACTACAGAACTGGCAACTCTAGTCATTTAGCACTTCAGGGCAAAGTAACTTCTTGACAGAATTTTTCACTTTTGTTTTTCTTTTTAAGAGATGGAGTCTTGCTTTGTTGCCCAGGCTGGAGTGCAGTAGCACGATCATAACTCACTGCTGCCTCCAACTCCTGGGCTCCCACCTTAGCCTCATGAATAGCATATGCCACCACACTTGGCTTATTTTTAACATTGTTTATATATTGTAAAGACAAAGTCTCACTTTTGACCCTGTCTGGTCTTGAACTCCTGGGCTCAAGCAATCTTTCTGCCTCAGCCTCCCCAGGTCCTGGGATGATAGGCATGAGCCACTGCTCCCGGCCACAGAATTTTTACTTCTAAATAATTGCTTTGATATCATGTAGATTCAGGCTAAATTATGTCTATACCAAGTCTTAACAACATATTTTCGAGGATGGGCTCTACCTGTGGAAGATTATTTTGGGTTCCTGCAGGATTATTATTGTTGGAAATATCATTTTCAGTTTTGACAATAATCATTAATAAAATGCATAAATCTTTTTTGTCCTTGTATCAAAATAAGTTTGTTAGCATATTTTTGAAGTATAACATAAATATTAGAAGGTTCATGAATCTTAAAGGTACAGCTTAGATGAGTTTCACAAAGTAAGCAACTTGATATCCAAATAATCAACACCCAACTCAAGAAAAAGATCATTACCAGAAAATAATAAACCAGCACATTTGGTGTATTATTACTCTTAATCTTAAAATATCTAGAAATGAGACTCCTTATAGCATACCTTAACTTTCTAAGAAGCAGGAACCACCCTGTGGAATGATTAAGTTAAAACATATTTTATTATTTTCTTTAATTTTCCAACTTTATTAAGCTGATCATTTTTTAAAGAAAGATAACTTTCTGAAGAATCTCTTAAAAATCATATATGAAAAGCCCACAGCTAAATCATAATCAATGATGAAAGACTGAAAGCTTTTCCTCTAAGGTCAGGAACAAGACAAGGATGCCCACTTTTGCCACTTCTATTCAACATAATCCTGGAAGTCCCAGCTGAAGCAATCAGGCAAGAAAAAGAAAGAAAAGGCATCCAAATTGGTAAAGAAGTAAAAATTATCTCTGTTCACAGATGGCATGGTCTCATGTGTAGAAAGCCCTAAAGAAGGCCAGGCACGGTGGCTCCTGCCTGTAATCCCAGCACTTTGGGAGGCTAAGGCGGGTGGATCACTTGAGATCAGGAGTTTCAGACCAGCTGGCCAATATGGCAATACCCCATCTCAACTAAAAATACAAAAATTAGCCAGGTGTGCTGGCACAGGCCTGTAGTCTCAGCTACTCAAGAGGCTGAAGCAGGAGAATCACTTGAACCTGGCAGGCAGAGTTTGTAGTGAGCCAAGATGGCGCCACTGCACTCCAGCCTGGGCAACAGAACGAGATTCCATCTCAAAAAACAAAGAAACAAACAAAAACCCTAAAGATTACACACACACACACACACGCACACAAACACTGTTAGAACTAATAAATGAATTCAGCAAAGTTGAAGGATACTAAATCAACATACAAATATCAGTTGTGTTTCTGTACACTTAACAATGAAAAATCCACAAGGAAATTAAGAAAATAATGCCACTTACAATAGTCTTAACTGAGGAGGCAAAAGACTTATACACTGAAAACTACAGAAAGTTTCTGAAAGAAAACATAAATTAAAAGACATCCCATGTTCATGAATTAGAAGACTTAATATTGTAAAGCTGTCCATACTACCCAAAGCAATCTACAGAGTTAATGCAATTCCTATCAAAATCCTAACAGCTTTTTTTGCAGAAATAGAAAAATTCATTCTGAAATTCATATAGACTCCCAAAGACCCTGAATAGATGAAACAATTTTGAATAAGAGCATAGTTGGAGGGCTCATACTTCCTGATTTCAAAACATATTATAAAGTTACAGTAATCAAAACAGTGTAGGACTGGCATAAAGATAGGCATACAGACCAATGAAATATAATACAGTACAGAAATAAACCTTCACACGTGTGGTCAAATGATTTTCAACAAGGGTGCCAAGACTATTCAATGGCAAAAGGACAGTCTTTTCTCAAAAAATGATGTTGAGGAAACCAGATATACACATGCAGAATAATGAAAGTGGACACTTACTGTATTAGGCTACTTGGGCTGCCATAACAAAATACCACAGACTGAGTGTCTTAAACAATAGAGATTTATTTTCTCATAGTTCTAGATGTTGTAGGTCCAAGATCAAGGTGGCAGCAGAGTTAATTTCTGGGAAGGCCTCTCTTTCTGGCTTGAATATGACCACTTTTTCACTGAGTCCTTACGTGGCCTTTCCTCTGCATGCACATTGAGAGGGAGCAAGATCTCTGGTGTCTCCTCCTCTTCTTATAAGGATACCAGTGCTATTAGATCAGGGCCTCACTCTTATGACCTCATTTAACCTTAATTGTCCCCTTAAGGGCTTTATCTCCAAATGTAGTCACATTGTAGGTTAGAGCTTCAACATATGAACTGAAGAGGGTGCACAATTTAGTCTATAACACTTACTTTATGCCGTATAAAAAATTAACTCAATCAGTCAAAGACATAAACATAAAACCTAAAACTATACAACTCTTAGTAGGGAGAAACCTTCATGGCATTGGATTTGGCAATGATTTCTTGGATATGACACCAAAACATAGGCAACAAAAGGAAAAATAAACTGGACTACATCGAAATTAAAACTTTGTGCACATCAAATGACACAATTAACAGAGTGAAAAGTCAACCTACAAAATTAGAGAAGATATATGAACTCATGTATCTGAGAAGGGGTTAATATCCAGAATATATAATGAAATACAACTCAACAACAAAAAAAACTGAAACAACCTGAAGTAAAAATGGGCAAATAACTTGAATAGACATTTCTCCAAAGATGATATAGAAATGGGCAACAAGCGTGTGAAAAAATGCACAATATAAGTAATCATTACAAAACTGTAAATCAAAAGCACAAAGAGGTATCACTTCACACCCATTAGGATGGCAACTGTAAAATTAAAAAAAAAAAAACAGAAAATAACAAGTGTTGGTGAGAATGTGAAGAAACTGAAACCCACATACACTTGGTAGAAATGGAAAATGGTGCAGCCATGTGGAAAACAGTATGGCAGCTTTTTAAAAAATTAAAAATAGAATTAGTATATGACCCAGCAATTCCACTTCTAGGTATAGAGTTAAAAAATGGAAAACAAGGTCTTGAAGAGATACTTGTACATGCGTATTTATAGCAGTGTTGTTCACAACAGCCAAAAAGTGGAAGCAATTTGTGTCCTTTAATGAATGGATGGATAAATACAAAGTGGTATATACATACAATGGAATATTATTTAGCCTTACAAAGAAAGCAAATTCTGACACATGCTACGACGTGGAGAAACCTTGAGAATATTACCTTAAGTGAAATGAGCCAGTAACAAAAAGACAAGTACAATATGATTTCACTTATATGAATGAAGTATCTAAAGTAGTAAAACTCATAGAAACAGAATGTAGAGGCCAGGAATAGTGGCTCAGACCTGTAATCCCAGCACTCTGGGAGGCTGAAACAGGAGGATTGCTTGAAGCCAGGAGTTTGAGACCAGCCTCGGCAACATAGTAAGACCGTGTCTCTACAGAAAAATTTAAAACTTAGCTGGGCATGGTGACTCACACCTGTAGTTCCAGCTACTCAGGAGGCTGAGGCAGGAGGATTGCTCAAGCCCAGGTGTTTGAGGTTACAGTGAGTTATGATTGTGCCACTGTACTCCAACCTAGGCAACAGAACAGGACTCCATCTCTAAAATCAAACAAGCTGGGCACAGTGACTCACGCCTGTAATCCCAGCACTTTGGGAGGCTGAGGCAAGTGGATCACTTGAGGTCAGGAGTTCGAGACAAGCCTGGCCAACGTGGTGAAACCTCGTCTCTACTAAAAATACACAAAAAAGAGCCAGCTGTGGTGGCGCACGCCTGTAGTCCCAGCTATTCCAGAGGCTGAGGCAGGGGAATTGCTTGAACCCGGGAGGCAGAGGTTACAGTGAGGGGAGATCGTGTCACTGCACTCCAGCCTGCACTCCAGACTCTGTCTCAAAATAAATAAATAAATAAATAAAAAACAAAGAAAGTAGAATGATGGCTGCGAGGGGCTGGGGAGTTGGAGGGGCAAACAGGGAAATGGGAGAGTTGTTTTTTAATGGTTGTGTAAATCAGGGTTCTCCAGGGAAACAGAACCAATAGGATGTGAATATATGTATGCACACACACACACACACACACATGCGTGCACACACACACATACACACAAAGAAAGTTTATTTTAAGGAACTGGCTCAGGTGATTATGAAGAGTGGCAAGTCCAAAATGTGCAGGGTAGGTTGGCAGGTTGGAAACTCAGGCAAGGGCCAATGTTGCAATTTGAGTTCAAAGGCCACCAGGCCGGAGACCCAGAGAAGAGCCCATGTTGCAGTACAAGGCTGTCTGCTGGCAGAATCCCCTATTGTTTGAGGGAGGCAGTCTTGTTCTTTTCAGACCTTTGGCTGATTAGATAAGGCCCACTCACATTATGGAGGGCAGTCTGCTCTTCTCAAAGTCCATTAATTTAAATATGTAAATCTCTTTTTTAAAATTTAAAAATCCCATGGCAGTGTATTTATAAATGTAAATCTCATCCAAAAACACCCTCACAGAAACATTTAGAATAATGTTTGACCAAATATCTGGGGACTGTGGCCCAGCCAAGTTAACATATAAAATTAAGCATCACAATAGGTAATAGAATTTCTGTTTTGTACGATGAAAAGTTCTGTGCAACAACGTGAATATACTTAACACTACGGTACTGTACATGTAAAAATGGTTAAAATGATAAATGTTATGTGTATTTTACCACAATTTTTAATAAAGGTATATTAGCTCTTTCACTCAGACCTGTGGCACCAGCAAGATGAGCAAGTGTTGCAGTCTTTTTTTTTTTTTTTTTTTTTGAAACAGAGTCTCACTCTTTTACCCAGGCTGGAGTGCAGTGGCACGATCTCAGCTCACTACAACCTCCGCCTCCCAGGTTCAAGTGATTCTTCTGCCTCAGCCTCCCAAGTAGCTGGGACTACAGGCATGTGCCACAATGCCCGGCTAAGTTTTGTATTTTTTTAGTAGAGACAGGGTTTCGCCATATTGGCCAGGCTGGTCTCGAACTGCTGACCTCATGATCTACCCGCCTTGGCCTCTCAAAATGCTGGGATTACAGGTATGAGCCACCACAGCCGGCCTGTGTTGCAGTCTTTACACTGCCAGGAAGCTCTCGAGCCACCAATGCGACCAGAAGAGGCATAATAAACAGTTTAAGACCCATTTGGGTATATTTTTGAAGGCAAGCTGCCACCAAGTTTTTTTGGGGGAAAATGGTCTTGCTCTGTCACCCATGCTGGAATGCAGTGTCACAATCACAGCTCACTGCAACCTCGACCTCCCAGACTCAAGCGATCCTCCCACCTCAGCCTCCTGAGTAGCTGGAACCACAGGTGCATGCCACCACATCCAGCTAATTTAAAAAAAATTTTTTTTTAACAGATAGGACCTCACTGTGTTGCCCAGGCTGGTCTCAAACTCCTGGGCTCAAGTGATCCTCCCACCTTGGCTTCCCAAAGTGCTGGGATTCTGTAATCACAGGGGTGAGCCATCACACCTGACCTAAGGCAAACCCCTTTGAAGGCACTTCACATGCAAAGGGAATTGTGCTAGAAAAAGTAGAGGTTAAACCCAAATAGCCAGATGCTGCCAGCAAGAAGTGTATCAGGGTCCAGCTAACCAAGAAATGCAATAAAATCACAGCTCTCATACGCAATGACAGTTGCTTAAACTTTACCGAGGAAAATGATAAAGTTCTGGTTGCTAGATTTGGTTGCAAAAGTCATGCTGTTGGTGACATTCCCGGATTTCGCTTTAAGGTTGTCAAAGTAGCTGATGCTTCTCTTGGCCTGATGCAAAAACAAGAAGGAAAGGCCAAAATCATAAGGTTTGATGATGCAAAAATGGTAGCAATAAATTTTCATATGCTAAAAAGAAAGTATATTAGAGAGAGAAATTTCTTTAATTAAATACCAAAAGAAATCTTTCCCTAAGAGATGTTAGAATACAAAGAGAATTTTACCTTTGTCTTGGGTAAAAAGACCTTCAAAGAGTGAACTTCCATAAAGATTGAGAGGGCAACTTACTAAGTCATATCTCTAAGAAGCAATTTCTGTGGGGGAGTTGAGATTGCAAAATCCAGGTATATTGCTTCTTGGGAATGTAATTTTTCTCGGACATAGAGAGTAAGAGAAATAGCAAGTAGCTAATACATTCCTTCTATTGTTACTCTAAAATAACAAACTCTTAAAACAAAATTTTCTTCCCAATTGTTCTTTTAGAGACAAGTCCGAGATAACTTTTTTTTTTTTTTTTTGGAGACAGGGTCTCACTCTGTTGCCCAGGCTAGAGTGCAGTGGCATAATCACAGCTCACTGCAGCTTCAACCTCCCGGGCTCAAGCAATCCTCCTACCTCAGCCTCCTGAGTAGCTTAGGACTACAGGTGTGGGCCAGCATGCCTGGCTAATTTTTTAATTATTATTTGTAGAGATGGGGGTCTCACTATGTTGCCCAGGCTGGTCTTGAATTCCTGGGCTCAAACAATCCTGCCTCCGCCTACCAAAGTGCTGGGATTACAAGCATGAGTCAACACACCCAGCCTAAAATAACACACTTTTCAACTGAAGTATTGGTAATACCAGTTAATTTATGGCTAATTATACGACAAATGACTATAATTTTAATACTGTGGTGAACATTGCTATGTACACAGGAGGTAGAATTTGATCCATAGAATAACCAAATCTATGCTTCCAATGCATTTTAAGTAGATTTTATGAAATTTTATGTTCATACTTGGGGATTCTTCACTAGGTAAGGGAGGTATACATTAAATGACTGTTATGGTGATCTTAACTTGGAAACTATCAGAACATTCATTCAAGTTTTTGTATTCTAGAGAACCTCTTAATACAAGTTCCCGAAACACACTTAAGTATGACAAGAAGAATCTCTTCTTTAATCCCATTATATCGAGCCATTAGTTTATCCTATTAACAAGATTATATGAGTAATAATAGTTCTGATCCTAATGCTGATGGTCAAGGTATAATCAAGATAGTAAAATAATTACTAATTATAACCAAAAAAGTAATATAAATTCAACTTACTCTAAATTCTATAGGAAAGATCAATTTAGCTTTTTGTATTCTATTAATTTCTGTAGCAGCTTTTTTTCCTCCATGAAATTAGAGTTAAAGAAGAGAGATAAGTATTGCCAAATCAAGAAATTAGCTTTTCTTCCCCAAGGAAAGTTAATCCCTTGAAAAGTCTTCCAGGGCCTGGCGCAACAGCTCGTGCCCACAATCATAGCATTTTGGGAGGCGGAGGTGGGAGGATGGCTTGAGTCCAGGAGTTCAAGACCAGCCTGGGCAACATAGAGAGACCCTGTCTCTACAAAAAATAATTTAAAAATTAGGCAGACATGATGGCACATGCCTGTAGTCCCAGCTACTCGGGAGGCTAAGGTAGGAAGATCACTTGATCACTTGGGCCCAGGAGGTCGAGGCTACAGTGAGCAATGATTCATAATTGCACCACTGTACTCTAGCCTGGGTGACAAAATGAGACATCTCAAAAAAAAAAAAAAAAAAAAAAAGAAAGAAAGGAAAAGTCTTCCAGTCTCCAGTAAAAGCTCTAACCCTTTGAGGAGCTCATTTAGGTTGGGTAGAGCAAATCCAATGAGGTGATGACAGAGGAGCTAGCTGAAATGCTGAGCTCAGGCCATTGCAATTTCACGTTTTTAAGTATCCCTGTTTTGAAAGGAAATGTATTCTTTTCCTCCATTTCTACTTCACTTTAAAAAAATTCTTTTAAAAAATGAACACAAATTTGGGAAACCAATGAATCATAAATATGAATGAAATCTCTAAAGGGTGTCTAGCCTATTTTCCTGCTTCTGAGTAAAAGTCTAACTTAAAATATATCTCCAGGGAAGGCTTTTCCCTAAACTCCTCCAAATTAGGGCAGGTACCTCCAGTATACCCTTTCACACTATATTGTATTTATCCTTCAAAGCACTTACCACAAACGAACTCAAATAATTATGTGGATTTGTTTAAGATGGCTAACTAAACTCCTCACTCACCTCTCTTCCCTCCCAAAATCATAACAACATGATGAAAGAAATATGGCAATACAAATAAATCCATAACATGAAAGGTACCAATAGACTGGAAGAGTATGGAATTTCTAGAAGATTTAATCCAGCTAGAAGAAACCCTATAAACTTTCCTACTGAAGAATAGGACTAAACTCTGATTCAAAGTAGCTGGGGATAGCAGGAAACTGAGTCTAAGAGGCAGCCAGCATGTAATGAAGGGTCTAGGGAATAACTGCATCAGCTTGCAACTCTCAGAACTGCTGACTTGGCCTCAGCCCTGGGGTAAAGCCATGAATCCACTTTCAAATAGCCAAATAAAATTAATATTCTATTAAGTAAGACTCCCAGTGTGAGCTCTGAGACTACAGAGTTTAAGCAATAACCCCTATAACTGACAACTAGCTTGAGGGACAGGGAGCTCCCACATGCAGAAAACCAGGTTCCAGATGCCCTGAAGAACAGAGCTCATTTGGCCGCACTCAGTACTCCTGGCCCTCCCCTTCCTTCAATCACCATTGCTGGATCCTGTGACGGGAAGTCATATTCACTGACAGGAGATCAAGTGTCTTCAGAGACACATCAGCCAATCTAGGCCTCTTTTACAAGTAGTTACAAACAATAGAAAACTACCAAACATTGAAATAAAACCAAATTATTTCATTGTGTGGTATCATTTTATTTCACTGAATTAACCTCTGAGAAAATAGGATTAATACAGGAAATGAAAGATAATTTTTAAAGTATATAATTTATTATCCCAAGAGAATATCACACTCATTAAAACAGAAGAGATTGCTGTGAGAAAGAATCAATTACAGTTCTTGGAAACAAGAAATTTGATTAACTAAATTTAAATGTTTCAATATTTTGGAAAAATATTAAAGATAAACATTTCTCCTGACTACTAGCGATGTTGAACATCTTTTTATGTTTTTTTTTATTATTTAGACTTCCATTTCTATGAAATATCTGTTCATAGTTTTTGCTCACTTTTTCCTCTTAGGTCATTGCAATTTTTCTTATTGATTTGTGAGTTCTCTTTATATATTCTGTATATTGTTATACACCAGGCAGATAGTTTCTTTCAGCCTGCCACCTGCCTTTTAACTGTCTTTAAGTGTCTTTCAACCTATAGAAATTTAAATTTTTTATAGAGAGTAATCTGTAATTATTTCCCTAAAAGCTCACAAGCTCTAATTTTGCATAGAAATGTTTTCTCCAGCCCCAATACAATAACAAATCTTCTTCTGATATAATTATAAACATTTGCTGGGCGCAGTGGCTCACACCTGTAATCCAGCACTTTGGGAGGCTGAGGCAGGGAGATCACCTGAGGTCAGGAGTTTGAGACTAGCTTTGCCAACATGGTGAAACCCCGTCTCTACTAAAAATACAAAAATTAGCTGGGCGTGGTGGCACACGCCTGTAATCTCAGCCACTCAGGAGGCTGAGGCAGGAGAATTGCTTGAAACCATGAGGCGGAGGTTGCAGTGTACCAAGACTGTGCCACTGCACTCTAGTCTGGGAGACAGAGTGAGACTCCATCTCAAAAAAAAAAGATTATAAATATTAAAACCATCTAACCTTTCTATATTTCAGTTTCCTAATTTGTAAAATTGAGATAACTTCCTTGCAAGGTTGTTGTGGAATGAATGAGACAATGCACATAAAATGTATGATATACAATAGGCACTCAAAACAGACTTAGATGATGTAGCCTTATTACAGGGATAAGAAAAGTGAGAACAATGAAAGAAAGGGACCTGGCCAAGATCAGATACAAACAAAAATATAACCTCCCAAGTCATAGATTCAGAGCAACAAGACTAAATGATTTCTCTTTAGCCTCTTTTATGGCCTGGATAGGTCTTTACCACTACTTTATAGTTTAAAAAAAAAAAAAGAAAAAAATACATAGATACCTTGTAAATAGCTTATCCATCCCCCAATCAGCAAGGGAAGATTGTTGCACATGTTGAGATTTCACTTTATTGCTCTCTTCTCTTCCACCACTTGCTTGACTCAGCATAGCATGGCTATGGCTTCATCTTTCCCTCTCCTCACCTTGTCCTTCTCACCTCCTGCTTTTGCTTTAAATCTATCAGTCCACATGCCATGTCCCTGAAGCCTGGGACATTGATGGTCATGTCGCCAATGAAGGCACCAGGACTGCCAAACTCCGTAGGGAAGAAGGAGCATTTTTGATTTTCCTGACTCCCACCATTTCCCCATATTCACCAAGTCCTGCCATGCTAATTCCTAAGGCTCTCAATCTCATTTTCTTTCTTGTATGTTGCTTCAGCAGCTTCCTTGCCTCCCAGCCTCACATATACTCCATTCTGTTGTCCTAATGATATTCCTAAAGTATAATTGGATTATGTCACTTTTTATTTAAAACCCTTCAACGCTATGTCATTCACAAGTTGTTTGGCACCAGGAAAATATTTACCTTCATTGAGCCCATTTCTCCATTTGAAGAATAGGCATAATAATGGTGACCCCATTACTTTTAATATGAAATTAGAGTAGCTTAACTTGGCCTATAAATTCCTGCATGGTCTCCAGCTTCATCCCTGGCCATTCCCCATCTTACATTTCTTGGTCCAGTCATCTTAATCCTCTTTCTATTTCTAGAACACAACATGCTCACTGTTACTCTATCATTTTGCACATGCTGTTCCCTCTGTTTGGAATAATAATCTTCTCCCTAATCCCAGGGCCCTTCCATCCACCTTTATTGACTAACTCTTGTTAATACATCAATGTTTAGCCTTCTCCTGAAGTATGTTTCTGACACATAGTTATTATTGAATGAATAACAAATATGAAGCATCTACTCTGTGTTAATCATTTTATGTACAGTATATCATTTAATCTTCATGAAATTCCTATAAGGTAGATATCATTATTCCCATCATTGTGGAAGTTGAAAGCAAGGCATCAAGAGGTTGAGACACATGTCTAAGTTGATACAGTTATAAGAGGCAGAACTGGCATCTGAATCCAGGTCTTTCTGACTCTAAAGGCCAAGTTTGGAATGAAGCAGAGGATCAAGCAGGACATGAAAGATGAGGTAATACTAAAATCAAATCTTAATCAGAAAGCTTTCAAGAATAAGGCCCTCTCCTGCAGAGTCTGCATAGGTTTTCAGAAGCAGCACAATATCTTTAAAGGCTAGCTTTTTCACCAAGTCCTGAAGAAAGAAGCCAAGGACCCACACAGCAGTGGGCTCTCTTGGCCAGCAAAGAGACGTGGCAACCTGTGATTTATATATATATATATATATATTTTTTTTTTTTAATTCGCAGTTCCTGGCTTATACCTCCCATTGCCCTTGTTACAGTCCTTTGTTATAATGTTGGGGCACTTTAGGCCTCAGGACCAGCTCTCAGGAAACAGAATTTCTCCCTCTCACCTTCTCCTGTCCTCCTTTTACTTGCCTATGGCAGGACTCTAATCTGACTGTGGGCTAAAAGATCCTCACTTCAGAGAGAGTCCTGCCCCATACTCTGGAGGAAGGAGTGCTACAGAGAGAGGCCAAGAAGAATCTGAACAGACAGGCCTTGCTGAGTTTAAATCATATGCTTTTTGTCCAGTCACATTTCTGCATGGTTGTCAATCATGCCTACACAATGAAGTTGCCATAAAAACCCAAAAGGGCAGAGTTAGAGAGCTTCCAGAGAGCCGAACATGTGTAGGTTCATGGAGGGTGGTACACCAAGAAAAGGCATGGCAGTTCCGCGCCCCTTCCCCAATACTTCACGCTATGCATTTCTTCATCTGCCTCCTTTGCAATATCCTTTATAATAAACTGGTAAACATAAGTGTTTCCCTGAGTTCCGTGAGCCACCCTAGCAAATTATTGAGATCCAAAGAGAGGATTGTGGGAACCCCAGCTTGAAGCCAGTTGATCAGAAGTTCTAGAGGCTCAGACTTGCAACTGGTATCTGAAGGTGAGGGCAGTTTTGGGGTCTGAGCCCCAAACCTGTGGGATCTGACATTAGATTCAGGTAGATAGTGTTGTAATTAAATTAGAGAACATTAAGTTGGTGTCTGCTGCAGAAGTGACCGTATACTTGGTGGTGGGAAAAACCCCCACACACATATTTGGTCATATATGTCTTCTGTGTTAATGATTGTTGTGGCATGAGATCACAGGGGAAAATATTTCCTGAGTTTTTCCCAAACATGACCATTCTAGACAGCCCTCCCGGAGGAGCACTTTTGTCCCATGACGTCTCCATGCATAAGAAATTAGGAATTAGGCTGGGTGCAGTGGCTCACGCCTGTAATCCCAGCACTTTGGGAGGCCGAGGAGGGCAGATCACAAAGTCAAGAGATCAAGACCATCCTGGCTAACACGGTGAAACCCCATCTCTACTAAAAACACAAAAATTAGCTAGGCATAGTGGCACATGCCTGTAATCCCAGCTACTCAGGAGGCTGAGGCAGGAGAATTGCTTGAACCCCGGAGGCAGAGGTTGCAGTGAGCCAAGATCGTGCCACTGCACTCCAGCCTGGTGACAGAGCAAGGCTCTGTCTCCGAAAAAATAAAAAAAAAAATTAGGAATTAGAGGGTTATTTTCAGACTATTAGATCTCCTTTTGTGTTCGTCCTTTTTCATGCTGCTAATAAAGACATACCCAAGACTGAGCAATTTACAAAAGAAAGCCCCACAATCATGACTGAAGGCAAGGAGGAGCAAGTCACATCTTAAGTGGATGGCAGCAGGCAAAAAATGAGAGCTTGTGCAGGGGAATGCCTCTTTTTAAAACCGTCAGATCTCATAAGACTTATTCACTATCACGAGAACAGCATGGGAAAGACTTGCTCCCATGGTTCAATTTCCTCCCACCAGGTCTCTCCCAAAACATATGGGAATTCAAGATGAGATTTGGGTGGGGACACAGCCAAATCATGTCACCTTCTTTCTACACTATGAAGTGTAGTGCATTTCTTAAAAAATGTCTCTCTTTTTTAAAAAGACACTTGCACTTTTTTAAAAAGGACTTCCATCCTGATATATACAGGTTTACAAGAAAAATCATACTATTAGAGTAGAAACAATTTAAATATAAAGGATAATCTACTTAAACATCGATTTTTAGAGCTTAGGACAATCTTATTTGTAGTCATAGCAAATTAAAACACATTATTTTAGTGTGCTATACATGGTCATAGATTATAGGTGCAGAAATAAAAATATGGTAAAATATGGATCTTTCTATTTTCAAAATATCTGAGTTTCCTTTTTCTTTGTTCATCATAAGAAAATGATTTACAAATAATTGCATGCTTGTGGTACTGTTAAAGTTTGCTGGAAGCTTTTTTGAGTGGTCTGTTAATGGTATATACATAATGATTCTATAATGATTTATACCTAATAATTCTATAATGGTTTTTCCTCAAACAATTCTGACTTCAGGTAAGGAAGAAGGTAACTTCCTCTGAAGATTAGTGTAGTGATGAATAGAGAGCCAAAGAGAAGGTTAGAAGCAACAATTGTGTGCAATAATGATGGATATGGTGGGAACATAAGAACTGAAAGTGAGGCACTCAAAATATAATGGATAGATATATTGTTAAGTAAAAAAAGCAGAAAGAGCAATGGACAGAATATACTACTGTGTGTGTGTGTGTGCATGTGTGTGTGTGTGTGTGTGTGTGTGTGTGTGTGTGTGTATGAAAGAGAGAGAGAGACAGAGAGAAATGTCTCTGGAAAGACAGGAAACTAGTTGCCTCTTAAAAATGGGATTAGAAATACTGGGTTGAGGGAAGAGGTCAAGAGTTAGTAAAGGCTTCTGCTCCTACCATGTGAGACACCTGCTCCCCCTTCACCTTCCACCATGAATGTAAGCTTCCTGAAACCCTCACCAGAGGCAGATACTGGCACTATGCTTCCTGTCCGTGAGCCTATTAAACCTCTTTTTTTTTTTTTTTTTGAGACAGAGTGTCACTCTGTCACCCAGGCTGGAGTGCAGTGGCACAATCTTGGCTCACTGCAACCTCCACCTCCCGGGTTCAACCAATTCTCCTGCTTCAGCCTCCTGAGTAGCTGGGACTACAGGCACCCACCACCACGCCCAGATAATTTTTGTATTTTTAGTAGAGACGGGGTTTCACCATGTTGGCCAGACTGGTCTCGAACTCCTGACCTCAGGTGATCTACCCACCTCGGCCTCCCAAAGTGCTGGGATTACAGGCGGGAGCCACTATGCCCAGCTGTAAACCTGTTTTCTTTATAAATCACCCAGTCTCAGGTATTTCTTCATAGCAATGCAAGAACAGCCAAATACAGAAAATTCGTTCTGAGAAGTGGGGTATTGCTATAAAGATACCTGAAAATGTGGAAATGACTTTGGAACTGGGTAACAGGCAGAGGTTTGAAGAGTTTAGAGAGCTCAGAAGAAGACAAGAAGATGAGGGAACGTTTGGAACATCTTAGAGACGGGTAAAATGATTGCGACCAAAATACTGATAAGTGACTTGGACAATGAAGTCCAGTCTGACCAGGTCTCAGATGAAAGCGAGGAACTTACTGGAAGATGGCATAAAGGAAACCCTTGTTGTACCTTAGCAAAAAGCTTGGCTGTATTGTGTCAATGTCCTAGAGAACTGTGGAAGTTTGAACTTGAGAGTGATAACCTAGGGTATCCGGTGGATGAAATTTCTTTGTTTTTTTGTTTTGTTTTGTTTTGTTTTGTTTTTGAGACAGAGTCTCACCCTGTTACCCAGGCTGGAGTGCAATAGCACAGTCTCAGCTCACTGCAACCTCTGCCTCCCAGATTCAAGTGATTCTCCTGCCTCAGCCTCCTGAGTAGCTGGGATTACAGGCACACACTCCACGCCCGGCTAATTTTTGTATTTTTAGTAGAGACGGAGTTTCACCATGTTGGCCAGGCTGGTCTCGAACTCCTGACCTCATGATCCACCCACCTCGGCCTCCCAAAGTGCTGGGATTACAGGCATGAGCCACCACGCCCAGCCCGAAATTTCCAACCATCAAAGTGTTCAAGAGTTAGCGTGGCTGTTTCTAATGACCTACATTCAGATGCAGGAGCAAACAAATAACTTAAGGTTGGAAGTTATATTTAAACAGGAAGCAGAACATAAAAGTCCGGAAAATTTTCAGTCAGGCCATGTGACAGAGAAAGAAAAAGCATTATCTGGAGAGGAATTCAAGTAGGCTGCAGGGCAACTACTTGCCAGAGAGATTTGCATAACTAAAAAGGAGGCAAGTGCTGATAGCCAAGACAATGGGAAAAAGACCTTGAAGGCATTTCAGATATCTCTGCGGCAGCCCCTCCCATCATAGGCCTAGAGGCCTAGGAGAAAAGAATTGTTTAGTGGGTGAGGCCCAGCGCCCCACTGTTCTGAGCAGCCTGGGGACACTGGTACCTGCATACCTGCCTCCCTGCTGCTCCAGCTCCAGCTCCAGCTGCAGCTCAAAGGGGCCCAGTTACTGCTCAGACCTCCACTCTGGAGGGCACAAATCATAGGCCTTGGAGGCTTCCATGTAGTGTTAAGCTTGTAGGTGCACAGAGTGAAGGAGACTTGGCAGCCTTATCTAGATCTCAGAGGATGTATGAGAAACCCTGGGTGCCCAGGCAGAAGCTTGCTGCAGGAGTGGAGCCCTGATAGAGAACCCCTACTAGGGCAGTGCAGAGGGGAAATGTGGGGTTGTAAGCCCCACACAGAGTCCCTACCGGAGCACTGCCTAGCGGAGCTGTGGGAAAGGGGCTGCTATCCTCCAGACCCCCTAGAATGATAAAGCCACCAGCAGCTTGCATCCTAAGCCTGGAAAAGCCACAGGCACTCAAGCCCAACCTGTGACAGCAACTGCAGGGGCTGCATCCTACAAAGTCACAGAAGTGGAGCTTCCCAAGACCCTGGGAGCCCAACCCTTGTGCCAGTGTGCCCTGGTTGCAGGATATAGAAGGCATCAAAGGAGACAATTTTGGAGCTTTAAGATTTAATGACTGCCCTCCCCTGGGTTTCAGACTTGCATGGGGCCTGTAGCCCCTTTCTTTTGGCCAATTTCTCCTTTTTGTAATGAGAATGTTCACCCCATACTTGTACCCCCCTTGTATCTTGGAAGTAAATAACTTGTTTTGATTTTACAGGCTTATAGGTGGAAGTAGATGAGTCTCAGATGAGACTTTGGACTCTAACTTGGGACTTTTGAGTTAATGCTGAAATGGGTTAAGACTTTGGGGGACTATTTGGAAGGCATGATTGTATTCTGCAATATGAGAAGGGCACGAGATTTTGGGGAAACGAGGGGTGGCATAATATAGTATGGATATTTGGTCCTCATTCAAATCTCGTGTTGAAATGTAAACCCAATGTTGGAGGTGGGGTCTAGTGGGAGATGTTTGGGTCATGGAGGCAGCTCTCTCATGGCTTGGTACTGTCCCCATGATAGTGAGTGAGTTCTCATGAGATCTGGTTGTTTAAAAGCACCTACCCCCACCTCTTGTTCTCATTCCCACCATGTGACATGCCTGCTCCATCTTTGCCTTCCAGAGGCCTTCACCAGAAGCAGATGCCAAGACTATGCTTCCTGTACAGCCTATAGAACCATGAGCCAATTAAACTTTTCTTTATTTAAAAAAAAAAAAAGTATGAGTGGACTTTTTTGTTCTGTACTTTTTGTGTGTGTGCATGTGTTTTTGCTGGGTTTTTTTGTTTTTGGTTTTGGTGTTTTTTTTTTTTTTTTTTTTTTTTTGCCATGTATTTTCATTTCAAAACAAAACAAGAATGCATGAAGTTGCCCAGAAATGCTAGGCTCAGGTGATTGGGGCACATTCAAGTTTAGCCAAGCCATACTGGGTGCAGCCTCTCAGAAACTGGCCTGAAATAGATATACAACTTATATTAAATTAATGGTTAACCAATTTTATTGTGCTCTGCCTGGAGAAAGCCTGATGGCCAATCTGAGAGCCAAGGAAAGAGTAGTGGGACAACTGAAAGATAGATGAGCACTATGGAGCCAAGGAAAGTGAGAGATGGACATCAAGAATGTATCTCCATTCAGATACTAGGTACCCAAGTAAATGTAACTCTTGGTCTCTGTAAGGTCTTTCTCCAGCAGTAGAAGAAGGCACTTTAGACTATGATAGTGATTGACATAATCCATTTGACTCTACTTGCTTTGATAGCAAGTTTCTAATTATTATTTGGCTTCCCATGTGTATTATCCACATAGAAAATATGTCCCAATAGAGAAAATTTTTGCAATCTACCCATCTGACAAAGGGCTAATACCCAGAATCTACAAAGAACTTAAACAAATTTACAGGAAAAAAATCAAACAATCCCATCAAAAAGTGGGCAAAGGATATCAACAGACACTTCTCAAAAGAAGACATTTATGCAGCCAACAGACACATGAAAAAATGCTCGTCATCACTGGCCATCAGAGAAATGCAAATCAAAACCATAATGGGATATCATCTCACACCAGTTAGAATGGCAATCATTAAAAAGTCAGGAAACAACAGATGCTGGAGAGGATGTGGAGAAATAGGAATGCTTTTACACTGTTGGTGAGAGTGTAAACCAGTTCAACCATTGTGGAAGACAGTGGGGCAATTCCTCAAGGATCTAGAACTAGAAATATCATTTGACCCAGCCATCCCATTACTGGGTATATACCCAAAGGATTATAAATCATGCTACTATAAAGACACATGCACACGTATGTTTATTGCAGCACTATTCACAATAGCAAAGACTTGGAACCAACCCAAATGTCCATCAATGATAGACTGGATTAAGAAAATGTGGCACATACACACCATGGAATACTATGCAGCCATAAAAAAGGATGAGTTCATGTCCTTTGCAGGGACATGGATGAAGCTGGAAACCATCATTCTGAGCAAACTATCACAAGGACAGAAAACCAAACATGGCATCTTCATACTCATAGGTGGGAATTGAACAATGAGAACACTTGGACACAGGGCGGGAAACATCACACACTGGGGCCTGTCGTGGGGTGGGGGAATGGGAGAGGCATAGCACTGGGAGAAATACCTAATGTAAATGACGAGTTAATGGGTGCAGCAAACCAACGTGGCACATGTATACATATGTAACAAACCTGCACGTTGTGCACATGAACCCTAGAGCTTAAAGTATAAAAAAAAAAAAGAAAGAAAAGAAAATACATCCCAATCAGCCAAGGGAGGGTTAGGGGTGATTCCAGTCCACCTTGAATTCAAATTTCTTACTGTATTTAAATAAATAAATAATGAAGTCCTTTGTACGTAGACAAGACAATATTTCTGAAAGAGGAGTTTTTTGTTTCCCAGCATTTTCTTCACTCTACTAAGACACCTAAACCAATAGGTATTAATTGGCTTAGGAAAGATATGTAATAGCAGAAAAGAGAGGAAAAAATGGAAACTCTTTTTAGCTTTGTCTTTTGAAATTTAGCTCCTTAGAGTAACACAAAGGATCATGACAACATTCTTGAACAGTATGAGCAGACCTTTTCTATCAGCCTCCCTTACCAACTACAAACAGATTCTCCATATCTGGGGGGAAAAAAGTTAAAGGGGAAGTGATAACGGTATGATACCAGTGTGTCTGGGAGAGTCTGCCTGTCAGGCCTCTGACCCCAAGCTAAGCCATCATATTCCCTGTGACCTGCAAGTATACATCCAGATGGCCTGAAGCAACTGAAGATCCATAAAAGAAGTGAAAATAACCTTAACTGATGACATTCCACCATTGTGATTTGTTCCTGCCCCACCCTAACTGATATGATATTCTCCCCTGCCGTTAAGAAGGTACTTTGTAATATTCTCCCCTGCCCTTAAGAAGGTACTCTGTGATATTATCCCCGCCTTTGAGAATGTACTTTGTACGCCTATCCCAAACCTATAAGAATTAATGATAATCCCACCACCCTTTGCTGACTCCTTTTTTGGACGCAGCCTGCCTGTACCCAGGTGAAATAAACAGCCTTGTTGCTCACACAAAGTCTGTTTGGTGGTCTCTTCACATGGACACACATGACATTTGGTGCCGAAACCTGGGACGGGAGGACTCCTTCAGGAGACCAGTCCCCTGTCCTCGCCCTCACTCCTTGAGGAGATCCACCTATGACCTCAGGTCCTCAGACCAATGAGCCCAAGGAACATCTCACCAATGTCAAATCAGTAAGCGGTCTTCTCACTCTCTTCTCCAGCCTCTCTCGCTACCCTTGAATCTCCCTGTCCTTCCAATTCCAGTTCTTTTTTCCTCTCTAGTAGAAACAAAGGAGACACATTTTATCCGTGGACCCAAAACTCCGGCGCTGGTCACAGACTCGGGAAGACAGTCTTCCCTTGGTGTTTAATCACTGCAGGGACACCTGCCTGATTATTCACCCACACTCCATTGGTGTCTGATCACTGCAGGGACACCTGCCTTGGTCATTCACCCACATTCCCTTGGTGGCAAGTCAATTGCAGGGATGCCTGCTTTGGCTGCTCACCCACATTGCAGCCCAGGGCCACTCACCCACCTTCTCTGTGTCTCTACCTTTCTCATTAAACTTACCTCCTTCACTGTGGGCAACCTTCCACCCTCCATTCCCCCTTCTCCCTTAGCCTGTGTTTTCAAGAACTTAAAACCTCTTCAGCTCACACCTGACCTAAAACCTAATTGACTTATTTTCTTCTGCAACACCACTTGACCCCAGTACAAACTCGATAATGGTTCCAAATAGCCAGAAAACAGCACTTTCAATTTTTCCATCCTATAAGATCTAGATAATTCTTGTCGTAAACTGGGCAAATGGTCAGAGGTGCCTGATGTCTAGGCATTCTTTTACACATCGGTCCCTTCCTAATCTTTGCTCCCAATGCGGCTCATTCCAAATCTTTCTTCTTTTTCTCCTCTCTGTTCCTTCAGTCTCCACCCCAAGCTCTGAGTCGTTTGAATCCTCCTTTTCTATGAACACATCTGACCTCTCCCCTCCTCCCCTGGCTGCTCCTCGCCAGGCTGAGCGAGGTCCCAATTCTTCCTCAGCCTCCGCTCTCCCACTCTATAATCCTTCTGTAACCTCCCCTTCTCACATCTGGTCTGGCTTACAGTTTCATTCAGCAACTAGCCCTCCCCCACCTGCCCAACAATTTCCTCTTAAAGAGATGGATGGAGCTAAAGGCATAGTCATGGTTAATGCTCCTTTTTCTCTATCAGACCTTTCCCAAATCAGTTAGCATTTAGGCTCTTTTTCATCAAATATAAAAACCCAGCCCAGTTCATGGCCTGTTTGGCAACAACTCTTAGACGCTTTACCACCCTAGACCCAGAGGGTCCAGAAGGCTATCTTATTCTCAGTATGCATTTTATTACCCAATCCACTCCCGACATTAGAAAAAGCTCCAAAAATTAGATTCCGGCCCTCAAACCCCACAACAGGACTTAATTAACCTCACCTTCAAGGTGTACAATAATAGAAAACAGTTGCAATTACTTGCTTCCACTGTGAGAGAAATCCCAGCCACATCTCCAGCACACAAGAACTTCAAAATGCCTAAACCGCAGTGGCCAGGCATTGCTTCAGGACCTCCTCCCCCAGGATCTTGCTTCAAGTTCCAAAAATCTGGCCACTGGGCCAAGGAATGCCTTCAGCCCGTGATTCCTCCTAAGCCATGTCCCATCTGTGTGGGACCCCACTGGAAATCGGACTGTCCAACTTGCCCAGCAGCCACTCCCAGAGCCCCTAGATCTCTGGCCCAAGGCTCTCTGACTGACTCCTTCCCAGATCTTCTCAGCTTAGCAGCTGAAGACTGATGCTGCCTGATTGTCTCAGAGGCCCCCTGGGCCATCACGGACGCTGAGTTTTGGGTAACTCTCACAGTGGAGAGTAAGTCGTCCCCTTCTTAATCAATACGGAGGCTACCCACTCCACATTACCTTCTTTTCAAGGGCTTGTTTCCCTGTCCTCCATAACTGTTGTGGGTATTGATGGCCAGGCTTCTAAACCTCTTAAAACTCCCCAATTCTGGTGCCAACTTGGGCAACATTGTTCTGTGTACTCCTTTTTAATTATCCCCACCTGCCCAGCTCCCTTATTAGGTCGAGGCATTTTAACTAAATTATCTGCTTCACTGACTATTCCTAGGCTACCTCCATACCTCATTGCCGCCCTTCGCATTGCCTTAACTCGGGCCCTCACTCTTGCAAAGAGACTACATGTCAATATTTATACTGACTCTAAATATGCCTTCCATATCCTGCACCACCATGCTGTTAAATGGGCAGAAAGAAATTTCCTCACTACACAAGAGTCCTCCATCATTAATGCCGCCTTAATAAAAACTCTTCTTAAAGCTGCTTTACTTCCAAAGGAAGTTGGAGTCATTCACTGCAAGGGCCATCAAAAGGCATCAGATCCCATTGCTCAGGGCAATGCTTAGGCTGATAAGGTAGCTAAAGAAGCAGCTAGCGTTCCAACTTCTGTCCCTCATGGCCAGTTTTTCTCCTTCTCATTGGTCACTCCTATTTACTCTCCCACTGAAGTTCCCACCTATCAATCTGTCTCCACTCAAGGCAGATGGTTCTTAGACCAAAAAAAAAAAAATACATATATATATATATCCTTCCAGCCTCATAGGCCCATTCTATTCTGTCATCACTTCACATCCTCTTCCATGTAGGTTACAAGCCATTAGCCCACCTCTTAAAACCTCTCATTTTCTTTCCATCGTGAAAATCTATCCCCAATCCGCCACTCTTGACTCCCTTTTGGAGTGGATAGATGATCTTTGCTGACAGGGCACACTCCAACACTTTTACCCTGATGAAGTCCTTTTTTTTTACTTTTATACTCACTCTTATTCTTGTTCCCATTCTTATGTCACCATCCAGCTCTCCCCAGCTATCTCCACCACACTATCAATCTCACTCACTCTCTCCTAGCCGTTTCTAATCATTCTTTAACAAACAATTGCTGGCTTTGCATTTCTCTTTCCTCCAAAATTGCCGAGGCCCCGACTTACTCACTGCTTAAAAAAGGGGGGACTGGGTATATTTTTTAATGAAGAGTTGTTTTTATCTTAATCAATCTGGCCGGTATATGACAACATAAAAAAACTGAAAGAGCCCAAAAACTCACCAGCCAAGCAAATAATTATGCCGAAACCCCTTGGACACTCTCTAATTGGATGTCCTGGGTCCTCCCAATTCTTAGTCCCTTAATACCTATTTTTCTCCTTCTTTTATTTGGACCTTGTGTCTTCTGTTTAGTTTCTCAATTCATACAAAACCGCATCCAGGCCATCACCAATCATTCTATATGACAAATGCTCCTTCTAACAACCCCACAATACCACCCCTTACCCCAAAATCTTTCTTCAGTTTAATCTCTCCCACTCTAGGTTCCCATGCTGCTCCTAATCCCGCTCAAAGCAGCCCTGAGAAACATCGCCCATTATCTCTCCATACCACCCCCCAAAATTTTCACTGCCCCAACACTTCACCACTATTTTGTTTTTCTTATTAATATAAGAAGACAGGAATGTCAGGCCTCTGAGCCCAAGCTAAGCCATCATATTCTCTGTGACCTACATGTATACATCCAGATGGCCTGAAGCAACTGAAGATCCACAAAAGTGAAAATAGCCTTAACTGATGACATTCCACCATTGTGATTTGTTCCTGCCCCACCCTAACTGATACGATATATTCTCCCCTGCCCTTAAAAAGATACTTTGTAATATTCTCCCCACCCTTGAGAATGTACTTTGTATACCTATCGCAAATCTGTAAGAACTAATGTTAATCCCACCATCCTTTGCTGACTCTCTTTTCGGACTCAGCCCGCCTGTACCCAGGTGAAATAAACAGCCTTGTTGCTCACACAAAGCCTGTTCGGTGGGTTCACTTCACACAGACATGCGTGACACTGCCTTGCTCTCAGACTGAGCATAGGAAAGTGAGGCAGAGCCAAAACCCCAGACGAAATTATGGAATCCAACAGCAGAAGACACCTGTGCTCCTGCAACTAAGTAGAATCCTGGGTAAATAGCATAATACCACAGAAGAAATATCTCTGTGATCTGTCCAGAGATACTCTCAATGTCTAACTTTGAAGCTATCATGGTGGGGCAGCAACAGAATATTCTCATGCACCCAAAGGACAAAAATATTTGAGGGAGACTAACTAGATTTGCACAGATGAGAACAAAAGATATTGCCATGACAACCTGCATAGCCCAATGAGGGAGTAACAGATTTCCCTTTGGCACCCTCAGTGAAGACCAGATTTCCTTTAACCCTATGCTAACCACCAATGCTCTGGAACCAAATAAACCATATAATCACATAAATTTATATAAACCATACGAAGTCAGAACTCAGATATAACCCCATGTAAGAGAGAAGGCAGGAATTCAAGTTGGGAGAGATTAACTTTTTGCCATCCTGTTGGAATAGTGGCTCAGGATGTAAATTTAGCTGAGTTACATAAGAATAAAACTGATGTATTTCTTGTGCACCTAAATCTGTGGCCTTAGATTCATACCCACTATACATATTATTCACATCAGAGTTCTGTGAGTTGGAGAGGTTGATCCAGAACTACTTACATATTGTGTGCATCGTTGGAGTTTCAATTTCCCCATAAGTCAAATAAGGATTTTAATACCCATTGCATGAGGTTAATAAGAAGACTCAATGAGATGATGTATGCTGTATAAGTTGCCAGGCCCACCCAAAGTAGATGCTCCAGAAAAATGCTATTTCCCTCACCCAGTATTATTATTTCAATCAATATACATAAAATGTTACAATTTCCAAGTTTACAGCTGGTTATACATTAGTTATACTTTAGGTTGGCTGCTTCACGATGGCATTTTAGCATCTTAATCTCATCAGTAAAATGTCCTCAAATCACATGGATTACTTCTGGGAAGAATTTCTGTGGCCAGTTAGGCCCACCCACAATGTGTGGTTTCCAGTAAGCTTCAATCAAAGAGAGTGTCCCCTCCCTGACCTAAGCTTGCTGTCATTTCCCAGTCCTTTTGCCACAATCATCTCAGAGTCCATCTTTTGGCATGCTATCCCTCTGTCTTTTATACAGAAGTTAAGCCATGGCCTTCTTGTTCCAGGTCCGGGAAGTGTGTGCTGCACCATTGCAGGACATCTTCTCCTGTTACTAGGTAAGGAAAAGGGAAGGATACCAGAGCAGGTATTCAATCTTTGCAATTTTCATCATTTTATTAACCAAGAAACCAAGGCTCAGAGAGGCTAAGTGATTTCCTTGGTATCCAAGAACTAGTAAGTGATGGAGCAAAGCTTGAAGCTAAATGCAGTGGGCTCCAAAGCCAAAGCTCTTTCTACCATGTAATCACCACATAGGAAAGGATATGAATAGCAAGTATAATTTGTACTAAAGTGATGGTTGATTGGAGTATATGGCCAGTATGTAAAGGTATTTGCAATTGTCACCAAAACACATACATGTGTTTAGATAGTAGCATGTAAACTCAGAGAGAGAGAGAGAGAATTCAGTCGTCTTTCATTGGGCTACAGTCAAAACTTGGGTTGACATTTAGCTCTATAGTAGTAACAATAATGGTAATAATACTTCTTGTATGTCTAGTACTCAGCTTTGCTAAGTATTTTCATATCCATTATATGATTTAGTTATCACAAAATTCCTGGCAAGATATATAGGGAAAACATCATTATTCTCATTCTTTTGAAGAGGAAAAGAGGCACAGACTTGTTCCACATCCCCTAGCAGTCTCAGAAATACAGAATTGAAGCCTCAAACTGTGTTTGAGTATGTGTGGGTACTCTGAATGACGGCTGGAGATATGAAGACATATGGCTGCCTTTTCCTTGGTGAAGTAGAGAATGAGATGTACTGCTCAGTGCCTCAGCAGGAAACAGATGACATGGTCAAAGTTGATACTTTGAGGAGATTTTAATAAAGGAACTATCTACAAAAGAGTGCTCAGAATATAGGGAAACTACAAGACCTAGTGGAGTTCTCTAGGTGGCATCCGTGAGGAACCATTACCATGCATAGGACTGAGTGAGCAAGAGCATGATGTGGTTATTAGAACAGGGAGAGAAAAGTCTGTGTGGAGAGACCATGTGAAAGGAGCTTTAGCATTTGACCAAGGAACACAGCAGCTTGTAGTGACCCTACAAGGTGGGGGTCCAGGGAAAAAAATACCTTGATCTTACTCCTCTCTCTCCATTCCTCTGATCACCTGCTGATGATTCCCTTTGGCCAAACCCGCCTGGAAGTCAGAGGCAAGGATGCCTATTAATGGAGTCAATACCATTTTGTTTCATGAGGTAAGAACAGGGAGCAAACGAGTGGAACAGATCTGGAGGAGCAAACGGAAGATGTCCTGCACATGAGGTTTTCCACTGAGAGAGGCCACACTAGAACAGTGTATCAGTAAAACTTCAGCTTAGTTGAAGTAATTAAACAATAAAAAGGAGTTAACGGACAGGTTTCAAGTGCAGTCAGGTCAGGAGGCTGTCTCTCTACAATGCTGTGGGACCTGCTTTCCTCAGTGTGCCAACTGTCTACTTAGCCTACTTTACTGCATAGTAGCAAAATGGATGCAGCAGCTCCTGACATTGCACTGGAACACCACACTGACTGGAGAAAGAGAGGGACAATATTTCAGAATTCCCAGCAAAAGTTTTGAGACTCACTCTGATTGGGCTATCTTGGTTTAAACACCCAGTTGTGAACAGTATGGCTACACTATGGAGTGCACCAACTGGCTTTGTCCCTGGTAAGTCTGCTTCGTCCCTGAATATGGGAATGAGTTGGCTTTCCATAAACCATACAGATTTGGGAACAAAAGTAGGAACTTTGTGAACCAGTTAAAGAGACCACCAAAAGATGCACACTCAGGTAGAATTGCAAACTGCCACTGTAAAGAAAGGGAGCCAACTGGTGCTAAAAAGTGTTTCAATCCAAAGTGTAATCAAATAACGAGAGCCTAACATGGATTAAATGGACAGGGGTTTATTTATTTACCCAATGAAGGGACAATGGAAAGGAAATAAAGGTGGTTTAATAATGCCCTTAGAAGCCCAGGTTTCTTAGGATTGTTACTTCATGTGGAAAGATGGCTGCAGCACTTCCAGGTATTCCATCCAAGTTCAAGGTAGGAAAAAGAAAAAGAAAAAGGACCAAACAATTTAAAGGGAAAAAGTGTTTTCATAGGGAGCTATTACCTTTCTATTTGCCAAAGGAAGCACTTTGCTTCATTGGCCAGAAGTATTTTATATCTCTTCACTGCAAAGGAGGCTGGGAAGTAGGGAATTTTAGTTTTCTCATCTGAATTGCAGATAAAGGTAAGAGAGAAGATGATTATAAATTGTTTCAGATAGCTCAGCCTCAGTCTCTGTCACAGAAATGATTGCCTAACAGCACTGAAGATCCAGCCGACGCTTGAAATCACAAATTTGTGGTGGAACCAATCAGCAGAGAATCACCCACTTGGTTAACTGGAAAAAATGACAGCTTTATACTAAATTTCACTGATTCTGCTAACTTGGGAAATCTATGAGCCAAATTTTTCTAGCAAAGAGGGCAGTAAAACCAACCACATAGTTCAGGAAAATTGCTGGAACAATGCTGCTATTTTATTTCCAGAAAAATTAAGAGACTTTCTGAATAAATTTATAAACTAAAGCCCATAATTTGTAACATATCCCAACATTCATATTTGTTATTTTTCCAGAGAAGCTCATCCATTTAGGAAGAAACCTTGCATCTAATTTTAAAGACTACTGACAAAGTTTTAGTGCTTGTCTAGATAAATGCAAAAGAAAAAAATTATTTCGCTCTCTTTTAAGGCAGTTTTTCAAAAGAAATCCCTTAGTGGGCAGGTTTTCTCAACTTTTTTGCATTATCATCAAAAACACAATTTTTTTTCTTATATAAGCATTCTGCACAAGGCCATACACAAATGTGTATTTAATTAAATATAGCTGAATTAAATACATTTTGTGTATATGATTGTATCATTCAAATATAACATTGCTGCAATCTTAGGACTCACAGTGACACATTCAAAATATTTACAAATTCTGGTGCTGGGCATGGTGGCTGATGCCTGTAATCCCAGCACTTTGGGAGGCTGAGACGGGTGGATCACAAGGTTCAGGAGATTGAGACCATCCTGGCTAACATGATGAAACCCCGTCTTTACTAAAAATACAAAAAAATTAGCCGGGTGTGATGGCACACACCTGTAGTCCCAGCTACTCAGGAGGCTGAGGCAGGAGAATCGCTTGAATCCAGGAGGCGAAGGTTGCAGTGAGCTGAGATCGTGCCACTGCACTCCAGCCTGGCAACAGAGCAAGACTCCATCTCAAAAAAAAAAAAAAAAAAAAAAAAAAATTTACAAATTCAACTCCAAAAGCCTTGAAAAATAACATAAATCTTCATAGATCTTCTACATCACAAGGTTCCCTTCAGTCTCACATCGCATGGAAGCTGCTGTGCCCACAATATTCTTCCTGTCTCTCTTGCCTGTTCCAGGAGAGCTGCCTCGTGTCCTTATATATGTGAAACCATCTACCCTTTTTTCTAGGCTCCCATGGGTCGGCAGCCTTGCACATTTCTCCACCAGTATGTCAAAGGCCCCAGTCTATCTTCCCAAACAGGAAAAGACCTTCCTCTTTAGACAAAAGTGAAGAGAGAAAGACACATAAAGGTCAAATCATAGCAATAGCAAACTCCAAGCAAGTGCTTAATATAGCATCATAGAAAGTGCCAGTAACTTCCCACCTTCAATAAATAATAAAACGATTGGAACAAAAACATATTAATTTATTTTCATATGGCACCATACGGCAAAAATAACAAATGCCACAGATTTCACTGATCTTCAGTGTGAAACAGAAAAGGAAAAGGGAAAGAGGTAGATAACGACAAAAAATATATGAAGCAAGAGCAATAGTTAGATTTTCCTTTGCAAACCATGTGTAACTGGAAGGGAACTGCTGAAAATATGAATTTTAAGCTATCCAATAAAAGGCGTTAAGTGTTCTATTAAAATATGAAATAGCTTGCAGTGTAAATGAATAAGAAAAATTATGCTTCACTGGAAACCATCATTCTCAGCAAACTATCTCAAGGACAAAAAACCAAACACCACATGTTCTCACTGATAGGTGGGAACTGAACAATGAGAACACATGGACACAGGAAGGGGAACATCACACACCGGGGCCTGTTGTGGGGTCAGGGGAGGGGGGAGGGATAGCATTAGGAGATATACCTAATGTTAAATGACGAGTTAATGGGTGCAGCACACCAACATGGCACATGTATACATATGTAACAAACCTGCATGTTGTGCACATGTACCCTAAAACTTAAAGTATAATAAAAGAAAAAGAAAAAAGAAAAAGTATGCTTCATACAGCACATGAACTGACAAAGTTTCTTTGTGGTTTGTGGATATGCTTAGGTATATTACTACAAGGCAAGTAAAATAAGACAATTTCCATTTCAAAACAAAGACATGATTAGGGCAATTATTAAGCTAACCAACAATTCCACGAATGACTGTTTTCAATCTCCATGATTCTTATTAACAACCATGAGTAATAAAAACTTATATTCTACTTTGGGTTCTTCAGTTTACCAGCCATGTTCAACTCAACTTTTCTCCAAGCCTCTTTTCCTACCTCTATTACACTGAGATAACAGTTGCCCTTCTCCAGGTGCAGTGAGGACCAATTTAGATAATGCTATGCCACCATTTTGAGAATTGCAAAGTATTTATCAAACTTAAAGTAGTTTTGTTTGGCAAAATGCTGCTAGGTGCATTGGAGACATAAAATGCATGCATTATAGCCACTCTAAAATATTTAACTTTGGCATCATTGTCTAGGACAGTATAATATACTCCTTGGAATTTTAATTAGTAGATAATCATAGCATCTATCTTTTAGTGAGCACCTGTGAAGCATTAGTCTAAACTCTTTAAATACCTTATATCATTTAATGTTCACAGGAACATAATGAGAGAGGGTATTGTTATAATCAGCTTTATTTCATAGTAGAGTATAGGGACTCAAAGAGTTTAAGTAGGCCAGGCGCAGTGGCTCTTGCCTATAATCCTAGTACTTTGGGAGGCCGAGGTGGGTGGATCACTTGAGGCCAGGAGTTCAAGACCAGCCTGGCCAACATGGTGAAACCCCGTCTCTACTAAAAATAAAAAAAAGAATTAGCTGGGCATGGTGGCAGACACCTGTAATCCCAGCTACTCGGGAGGCTGAGGCAAGAGAATCACTTGAACCCAGGAGGCGGAGGTTGTAGTGAGCCAAGATCATGCCACTGCACTCCATCCTGGGTGACAGAGCAAGACTCTGTCTCAAAAAAAAAAAAAAAAAAGAGTTTAACTTCCTCAATCCCAGTTACAATAGTATTAAGTAGCAGAATTTGGGATTGAATCCAGGCAATCAAATTGACATGCCATGACATTCTCTTGTAGATAAACCATGGTGTGTGCGGGTACACAAGCAATAAAATACATGTTGACTGACTGAATGGACATATATAGATGCCTATTTTTCAAGTAGTCAGAGTATTACCAAGTTCTCGTGGCATATGTTATTATTTTCTAAATGAGGAAAGGAAAAAGAAACTTTCCCACTATTAATAACTGTCATCATTGAGAAATGAGCTTCCAAGAGCACAGTTTTTTGTTTTCTTTTCTTTACTCTTTTTTTTTTCTTTTTTCAAGACAGACTCTCGCTGTGTTGCCCAGGCTGGAGTGCAGAGGTGTGATCTTGGCTCACTGCAACCTCCATCTCCCGGGTTCAAGCGATTCTCCTGACTCAGCCTCCCAAGTAGCTAGGATTACGGGTGCCTGCCACCATGCCCAGCTGATTTTTGTATTTTTAGTAGAGATGGGGTTTCACCATGTTGGCCAAGCTGGTCTTGAACTCCTGACCTCGGGTGATCCGCCCTTCTCAGCCTCTCAAATTGCTGAGATTACAGGCATGAGCCACTGTACTCGGCTTCTCCCCAGCTTCTCTTCTTTTCTTTTCTCTGTTCTCTTCTCTTTTCTTCTTTTCTCTTTTTTGTATTCTTTTCTTTGAGACAGAGTCTTGTTCTGTCACCCAGGATGGACTGCAGTGGTGCAATCTCAGCTTACTGCAACTTCTGCCTCCTGGGTTCAAGTGATTTTCATGCTTCAGCCCTCCGAGTAGCTGGTATTACAGGCCCACACCACCGTGCCCAGCTAATTTTTGTATTTTTAGTAGACACAGAATTTTGCTATGTTGGCCAGGCTGATCTTGAACTCCTGGCCTCAAGCAATTTACCCGCTTGGCCTCCCAAAGTGCCTGGCCAAGAGCAGAGTTTTCTAGATAGACAATGAACTCTTAGAAGACTAAATTATAAATTATAAACTTTTAATTTACTTTGATAAAAATTTCTTAAAATATATTACAAAGAAACTTTTGAGGGTCAATAGAGGTGGATAGCTATTTGATGCCCCCTCCAGGAACTAAATTTCTTTGTCTCCTAAACTATAGTCTCTGCTTTCCAAGTATCTGTTACTCACTGCACCTGCTTCTAATACATGGTACTGTGATATATCTCTACTGTTTTCCTCTTCTTTTTTTCTCTCTTTGTTCTTGCATCACAGATCATTTATATCCTCTTTTCTCTATACTTTCATTTGAAAATCTGGCTTTTTACAGACAGAATCCAATTTTTTATTTATCAAAGTAAGTAATCACAATGAATTGAAAGTGTTCCTGGTATTTATTTTCCTTTCACTCAGTTTTCTTCTTGCTCCTTGCCCAGGACTTGTCTCATTAGAAACAAATACCTTTTAGGGGGTCTAAATCCTAGTTAGACTAAAGTGGGCCACCAGCACTTCCTGATAATCCTTCCACATTTCTGTAATCAATTTGCTATCCCATTCTCTCAAAGGATACCTTATCATTTCTCCTCAAACCTGCAACACCTTTTCACTTCAGCTGATGCTTATATCTCTAATTTTACTGAAAAAAATAGAAGCAATACAAAGGTATCTGCCTAATCTTCCATCACAAAATGCACCAATTTGCCTGTTTCCATACCCATACATACTCTCTCTTTGCTCTCCTGTATTCTGGGGTATTCCTTTTTAAGATCTTGGAAATCACTAATTTTTTCTTCAACTATATCAAAATTCAAATCTTCAAATACATTCGCACTCCAGCTTACAAATTTCTAATAATTTCTTTTGTATTTTATTTTTGCTTCTTTTTATTTCATAATTCCTTGTTCCTTTTAGTGGAACTTAGGCTTTTATGTCTTTGAACCACTCATTCATATTTACATTAAAAGCTTTTCAAATGGCCAGGTGTGGTGGCTCACACCTGTAATCCCAGCAATTTGGGAGGCTGAGGCAGGTGGATAGCCTGAGGTCAGGAGTTAGAGACAAGCCTGGCCAACATGGCAAAACCCTGTCTTTACTAAAAAATACAAAAATTAGCCTGGTGTGGTGGCACACACCTGCAATCCCAGCTACTAGGGAGGCTGAGGCAGGAGAATCACTTGAACCCAGGAGGCAGAGGTTGCAGTGATGTCACCACTGCACTCCAGCCTGGGCAACAGAATGAGACTCTGTCTCAAAAAAGAGAAGAGGTTCTTCCAAGATGGCCGAATAGGAAGAGCTCCAGTCTGCAGCTCCCAGTGAGATCAATACAGAAGGTGGGTGATTTCTGCATTACCAACTGAGGTACCCAGCTTATCTCACTGGGACTTGTTAGACAGTGGGCGCAGCCCACGGAGGGTCAGCCAAAGCAGGGTTGGGCATTGCCTCACCCAGGAAGTGCAAGGGGTCGGGGAACTCCCTCGCCTAGCCAAGGGAAGCTGTGAGGGGCTGTGCCAAGGGGAACGGTGCACTCCAGCCAAGATACCATGCTTTTCCCAGGGTCTTCGCAACCCACAGACCAGGAGATTTCCTCTGTTGCCTACGCCACCAGGGCCCTGGGTTTCAAGCACAAACCAGGCAGGCATTTGGGCATTCACCAAGCTAGCTGCAGGAGTTTTTTTGTTGTTGTTTGTTTTTTTTAAACCCAAGTGGCGCCTGGAACACCAGCGAGACAGGACTGTTCACTCCCCTGGAAAGGGGGCTGAAGCCAGGGAGCCAAATGGTCTGGCTCAATGGATCCCACCCCCACGGAGTGCAGCAAGCTAAGATCCACTGGCTTGAAATTCTTGCTGCCAGCACAGTAGTCTGAAGTGGACCTGGTGTGGGGAGGGGCATCTGCCATTACTGAGGCTTGAGTAGGCGGTTTTCCCCTCACAGTATAAACAAAGCCACTGGGAAGTTCAAACTGGGCAGAGCCCACCACAGCTTGGCAAAGCCCCTGTAGCCCGACTGCCTCTCTAGATTCCTCCTCTCCAGGCAGGGTATCTCTGAAAGAAACGCTGCAGCCCCAGTCAGGGGCTTATAGATAAAACTCCCATCTCCCTAGAACAGAGCACCTGGGGGAAGGGGCGACTGTGGGCACAGCTACAGCAGACTTAAACTTTCCTGCCTGCCAGCTCTGAAGAAAGCAGTGGATCTCCCAGCACAGTGCTCGAGCTCTGCTAAGGGACAGACTGCTTCCTCAAGTGGGACCCTGACCCCTGTGCCTCCTGACTGGGAGACACCTCCCAACAGGGGTCGACAGATACCACATACAGGAGAGCTCCAGCTGGCATCTGGTGGGTGCCCCTGTGGGATGAAGCTTATAGAGGAAGGAACAGGCAGCAATCTTTGCTGTTCTGCAGCCTCCGCTGGTGATACCCAGGCAAACAGGGTCTGTAGTGGACCTCCAGCAATCTCCAGCAGACCTGCAGCAGAGGGTCCTGACTGTTAGAAGGAAAACTAACAAATAGAAATGAATAGCATCAACATAAATTAAAAGGACATCCACACAGAAACCCCATCTGAAGGTCACCAACATCAAAGACCAAAAGTAGATAAATACACGAAGATGAGGATAAACCAGCCAAAAAGGCTGAAAATTCCAAAAACCAGAATGCCTCTTCTCCTCCAAAGGATCACAACTCCTCACCAGCGAGGGAACAAAACTGGACAGAGAATGAGTGCCAACTGACACAAGTAGGCTTCAGAAGGTGGGTAATAACAAACTCCTCCGAGCTAAAGGAACATGTTCTAACCCAATAAAGGAAGCTAAGAACCTTGAAAAAAATTTAGAGGAATTGCTAGCTAGAATAACCAGTTTAGAGAAGAACATAAATGACCTGATGGAGCTGAAAAACACAGCATGAGAACTTTGTGAAGCATACACAAGTATCAATAGCCGAATAAATCAAGTGGAAGAAAGGATATCAGAGACTGAAGATCAAATTAATGAAATAAAGTGTGAAGACAAGATTAGAGAAAAAAGAATGAAAAGGAATTAACAAAGCCTTCAAGAAATATGGTACTATATGAAAAGACCAAGCCTACATTTGATTGGTGTACCTGAAAGTGATGGGGAGAATGGAACCAAGTTGGAAAACACTCTTCAGGATATTATCCAGGTGAATGTCCCCAATCTAGCAAGACAGGCCAACATTCAAATTCAGGAAATACAGAGAACACCACAAAGATACCCCTTGAGAAGAACTCCCATGACACATAATTGTCAGATTCACCAAGCTTGAAATGAGGGAAAAAATGTTAAGGGCAGCCAGAGAGAAAAGTCAGGTTACTCACAAAGGGAAGCCCATCAGAGTAACAGTGGATTTACCCACAGAAACCCTACAAGCCACAGGAGAGTGGGGGCCAATATTCAACATTCTTAAAGAAAAGAATTTTCAATCCAGAATTTCATATCCAGCCAAACTAAGCTACATAAGTGAAGGAGAAATAAAATCCTTTACAGACAAGCAAATGCTGAGAGATTTTGTCACCACCAGGCCTACCTTACAAGAACTCCTGAAGGAAGCACTAAATATGGAACAGAAAAACCAGTACCAGCCACTGCAAAAACTTACCAAATTCTAAAGACCACCAACACTATGAAGAAACTGCATCAACAAACAGGCAAAATAACCAGCTAGCATCATAATGACAGGATCAAATTGGCACATAACAATATTAACCTTAAATGTAAATGGGCTAAATGCCCCAATTAAAAGACACACACTGGCAAATTGGATCAAGAGTCAAGACCCATCAGTGTGCTGTCATCAGGAGACCCATCTCCCATGCAAAGGCACACATAGGCTCAAAATAAGGGGATGGAGGAAGATCTACCAAGCAAATAGAAAGCAAAAAAAATCAGGAGTTGCAATCCTAGTCTCTGATAAAACAGACTTTAAGCCAACAAAGATCAGAAAAGACAAAGAAGGGCATGACATAATAGTAAAGGGATCAATGCAACAAGAAGAGCTAACTATCCTAAATATATATGCACCCAATACAGGAGCACCCAGATTAATAAAGCAAGTCCTTAGAGACCTACAAAGAGACTTAGACTCCCACACAATAATAGTGGGGGACTTTAACACCCCTCTGTCAATATTAGATAAAAGAGACAGAAAATTAACAAGGATATTCAGGACTTGAACTCAGCTCTGGACCAAGCAGACCTAATAGACCATCTACAGAACCCTCCACCCCAAATCAACAGACTATACATTCTTCTCAGCACCACATCTCACTTATTCTAAAATTGACCATATAATTGGAAGTAAAACACTCCTCAGCAAATGCAAAAGAACAGAATTCATAACAGTCTCTCAGACCACAGTGCAATCAAATTAGAACTCAGGATTAAGAATCTCACTCAAGTGGCCAGGCACGGTGGCTCATGCCTGTAATCCCAGCACTTTGGGAGGCTGAGGCGGGCAGATCACGAGGTCAGGAGATCGAGACCATCGTGGCCAACATGGTGAAACCCCATCTCTATTAAAATACAAAAAATTAGCCAGGCGTGGTGGTACACGCCTGTAGTCCCAGCTACTCAGGGGGCTGAGGCAGTGGAATCGCTTGAACCCAGGAGGCAGAGGTTGCAGTGAGCCGAGATCGCGCCACTGCACTCCAGCTTAGCGACAGAGCAAGATTCTGTCTCAAAAAAAAAAAAAAAGAATCTCACTCAAAACCTCACAACTACCTGGAAACTGAACAACCTGCTCCTGAATGACTACTGGGTAAATAACAAAATTAAGGCAGAAATAAATAAATTATTTGAAACCAATGAGTTATTTGAAACAAATAAGTTATTTGAAACCAATGAGAACAAAAAAACAATGTACCAGAATCTTTGGGACACATTTAAAGCAGTGTTTAAAGGGAAGTTTATAGCACTAAATGCCCACAGGAGAAAGTAGGAAAGGTCTAAAATCAACACCCTAACATCACAATTAAAAGAACTAGAGAAGCAAGAGCAAACAAATTCAAAAGATAGCAGAAGACAAGAAATAACTAAGATCAGAGCAGAACTGAAGGAGATAGAGACGCGAAAAACCCTTCAAAAAAATCAATGAATCCAGGAGCTGGTGTTTCAAAAAGATTAACAAAATAGACTGCTAGCAAGACTAACGAAGAAATGAGAGAAGAATCAAATAGACACAATAACAAATGAAAAAGGGGAGATCACCACTGATCCTACAGAGATACGACCTACCATCAGAAAATACTATAAACACCTCTATGCAAATAAACTAGAAAATCTAGAAGAAATGGATAAATTCCTGGACACATACACCATCCCCAGACTAAACCAGAAAGAAGCTGAATCCCTGAATAGACCAATAAGAAGTTCTGAAATTGAGGCAGTAATTAATAGCCTACCAACTAAAAAAGGCCCAGGACTAGACAAATTCACAGCCAAATTCTACCAGAGGTACAAAGAGGAGCTGGTACCATTCCTTCTGAAACTATTCCAAACAATAGAAAAAGAGGGACTCCTCCCTAACTCATTTTATGAGGCCAGCATCATCCTAATACCAAAACCTGGCAGAGACACAGTTACAATCATCTGATCGTTGACAAACCTGACAGAAATAAGCAAGGGGGAAAGGATAGCCTATTTAATAAATGGTGTTGGGAAAACTGGCTAGTCATATGCAGAAAACTGAAACTGGACCCTTTCCTTATACCTTACACAAAAATTAACTGAAGATGGTTTAAAGGCTTAAATGTAAGACCTGAAACCACAAAAACCCTAGAAGAAAACCTAGGCAATACCATTCAGGATGTAGGCATGGGCAAGGACTTCATGACTAAAACACCAAAAGCAATGGCAAAAATAAAGCCTAAATTGACAAATGGGATCTAATTAAACTAAAGAGCTTCTGCACAACAAAAGAAACTATCATCACAGTGAATAGGCAACCTACAGAATGGGAGAAAAGTTTTGCAATCTATCCATCTGACAAAGGGCTAATATCCAGAATCTACAAAAAACTTACACAAATGTACAAGAAAAAAACAACCCCACCAAAATTGGGTGAAGGATATGAACAGACACTTCTGAAAAGAAGACATTTATGCGGCCAACAAACATGAAAAAAAGCTCATCATAGGCTGTGCATGGTGGCTCACACCTGTAATCCTATCACTTTGGGAGGCCAAGGCAGTGAGATCACCTGAGGTTGGGAGTTCAAGACCAACCTGACCAACATGGAGAAACCCCATCTCTACTAAAAATACAAAATTAGCTGGGCGTGGTGGCACATGCCTGTAATGCCAGCTACTTGGGAGGCTGAGGCAAGAGAATTGCTTGAACCCAGGAGGTGGAGGTTGTGGTGAGCCAAGATCGTGCTATTGCACTCCAGCCTGGGCAACAAGAGCAAAACTCCATCTACGGGGAAAAAAAAAAGCTCATCATCACTGGTCATTAGAGAAATGCAAATCAAAACCACAATGAGATACCATCTCATGCCAGTTAGAATGGCAATCATTAAAAAGTCAGGAAACAACAGATGCTGGAGAGGATGTGGAGAAATAGGAACACTTTTACACTGTTGGTGGGAGTGTAAATTAGTTCAATCATTGTGGAAGACAGTGTGGCCAGTTTTCAAGGATCTAGAACCAGAAATACCATTTGACCCAGCAATCCAATTACAGGGTATATACCCAAAGGATTATAAATCATTCTACTATAAAGATACATGCACACGTATATTTATTGCAGCACTGTTCACAATAGCGAAGACTTGGAACCAACCCAAATGCCCATCAATGATAGACTGGATAAAGAAAATGTGGCACATATACACCATGGAATACTATGCAGTCGTAAAAAGGATGAGTTCACGTCCTTTGCAGGGATGTGGATGAAGCTGGAAACCCTCATTCTCAGCAAACTAACACAGGAACAGAAAACCAAACACCACATGTCCTCACTCATAAGTGGGAGTTGAACAATGAGAACACATGGACACAGGGAGGGGAACATCACACACCAGGGCCTGTCAGGGAGTAGGTGGCTAAGGGAGGGATAGCATTAGGAGAAATACCTGGCTGGTTGCAGTGGCTCACGCCTGTAACCCCAACACTTTGGGTGGCCAAGGTGGACGTATCACCTGAGGTCAAGAGTTCAAGACCAGCCTGAGCAACATGGCAAAACCCCGTCTCTACTAAAAATACAAAAATTAGCCCAGCATGGTGGCAGGAGCCTGTAATCCCAGCTATGTGAGAGGCTGACATGGGAGAATCGCTTGAACCTGGGAGGCAGAGGTTGCAGTGAGCCGAGATTGCACCACTGCACTCCAGCCTGGGCAACAAGAGCAAAACCCCATCTCAAAAAAGAAAGAAAGAAAAAAAGAAATACCTAATGTAGATGATGGGTTGATGGGTGCAGCAAACTACCATGGCGTGTGTATACCTATGTAACAAACCTGCACGTTCTGCACATGTATCCCAGAACTTAAAGTATAATAATAATTTTTTTAAAAAAGATTATCAAGCTGCTCCAGAGGTAAAATTAATTTTTATCTACAGGCAATTCACATTCTAATTATTGATTTTGTTGACTTTCTTGCTGAGCATTAGACCTACCCATGTTTTTTGGAATTTGGCTTTTCAGGCTCATATTGAAACATTTGCAAGCTTTTAACATTTTTTTCTGCCCTTCCCCCATGCCTTAACCATGAACTCATTCTGTCAGCAGACCTTCAATCAGAAACCAAATCCAACTGTTCCAGCTTGAAATTTTGTCTACAAGGTGATATTGAGGACTCCATAGGTCTAGTCATAGAGCAATTAGGTATTTTGACTCAATTTTTGATTGTGAGATTGTATCTATGCACCCCCTTCTCCTTAGGTCCACAGCTTTCTAAAAGCCACATCTCCAAATACAAGTCATGCAGAGTTTTAATATTTTTTCAGAGCCAGGCATGGTGGCACACATCTGTAGTCCCCACTATTCAGGAGGCTGAGGCAGGAGGATCACTTGAGGCCAAAAGTTCAAGGCTGCAGTGAGCCATGATTGAACCTGTGAATAGCTTTACACTCCAGCCTGGGTGACAGAGTGAAACCCATCTCTAAAAAATAGATAAATAAATGTAATTTTTTCCAGCCTCACTCCTGAGAATAGAAGAGTTTTCAAGCTGTAAAACTGGATTCAGTTTCTCATGGAGCAAGTTTAGTGTCCTCTGCCCCTCAGGAGCTGAAATCCTAACCAGTACTTTATGCTTTCTGGATTTTCCATAAACTTTGTGACTTCAGTCTAGCCACTTTGACATTTTTGTTCTATTTTCATTTAGGAGATGTTTGTCTTATTTTTTATCCTAGACTTATCTTTTTTTTACATTTGATCTATTTTTGTCATGTATTTGGAGCAAAGTGCGTTATCGAAGCTTAAACTCAGTGAGCCGTCTTGCCTATAAGTTGTGCCCCCATACTCTGCTTTCTCTGTCATTTACATCAAATGCTGATCTCATTTGTGCTTTGTATTTTGTCTCCCCCGTCTTCTTGAGGACTTTACTCCTACAATTATTCCCCTTTCCCTGAGTCATTCATTTCTTCTTTCCTAAACCACTCCCATTATTATACTAATAGGTTGAAATATTATTCTTTTTATAAAATGAAACAAAATTCTCCTGAGATTTTACATTCTCCTCCAGCTACTTCCCATTTTTCTGTTCCTCTGCTCTTCTTTCTATCAAAACTCCTGAAAGAGTTCTCTATACTGTATTCACTGTCTTCACTTTCTCACTCCTCATTCTTCCCTCAACTCACAGTCATTCATCTTTGAGTCTCCATTACAAAGGCAATGCTTTGCTCATGTTAAGTTTTAGTTGCCAAGTGTGCATCCAAGCACAGTAAGTGGTCTTGAGGCTTGGAGAAGAGTGCAGGGCTGGAAATATGAATATGGGACTCTTTGATATATTGATGTTATGGCAGAAACTACTAGGTACTTACCAAATATTCTTTTTCCTCTTCCCCCTTAGAACTTCACATTTAGGCAGGGAGCAGTGGCTCACACCTGTAATCGCAACACTTTGGGATGCCGAGGTGGGAGGATCACGAGATCAAGAGATTGAGACCATCCTGGCCAACATGGTGAAACCCCATCTCAACTAAAAATACAAAAATCAGCTGGATGTGGTGGTGCGTGCCTGTAGTCCCAGACTTGAGAATATAAGCCACGTGCTAAGATGATGGAACAGAAAGTCAGAAGCAGCCTGAGTTTCTGATGACCTTGTGAATATGCCATATCAGCTGTGGATGGCCTCCTTCTGACTCCTAATATGGAAGAGAATGAACTATTTTGTGTCAAAGCTGCTGTAATTGGATCTTTGTTATCAGCAGTTGAGCAAAATTTCTTAGGGAACAGATGATATTTAAAGTCATGGAACTGGATGAGATCACTTGGGAAGTGAATGGAGGTAGAGGAGAGTAGAGGACCATGCCAGAGCCTATGGAATTCTAGCATGCTAATGTTCAGGAAGAGGAAGAGGATACAGAAAGAGATCAGCCATGAAGGATCAACTAAGTAACAGGACAACCAGCCTCTGTGGTGTCTTGGAAGCAAGTGAAGAAAATGTTTGCCAAATGCTGCCCATAGGCCAAATTAGAGGAGAACTGAGAAGCGGCCATTGGATTTAGCAACATGGAGGTCACTGGTTACCCTGACGAGAGCAAGTTCAGGGGCAGGTGGGGAAAAGCCTGATTTGAATAAGAAGAAGACAGAAAGTATAAGCAACTTTTTCAAGTAATTTTTGCTGCAGAGGAGGGCAGAGACACAGGGCAGTAGCTGGAGAAGTAGGCTCAAAAGAAGTTGTATTGGCTGGGCATGGTGGCTCACACCTGTAATCCAGCAGTTTGAGAGGCCGAGGTGGACAGATCACTTGAGGTCAAGAGTTCGAGACCAGGTCAACATGGCAAAACCTTGTCTTTGCTAAAAATACAAAAATTAGCTGGGCATGATGGCACGCACCTGTAGTCCCAGCTGCTTAGGAGGCTAAGGCAGGAGAATTGCTTGAACCCAGGAGGCAAAGATTGCAGTGAGCCAAGGTCACACCACTACACTCTAGTCTGGGCAACAGAGTGACACTCTGTCTCAAAAAAAAAAAAAAAAAAAAGAGTCATATTTGTTTAAGATTAGAAAAACAATAGTATATTTGATGCTTGTAGGAATGATCTAATTTAATAATGCACAAATGAGAAGGTAGAATTGGTGGTGTGATATCTTTGTTTAAGTCAAGTTGCTCCCTGAGTTTCACTCAAATAATCACTTTATTATGTTTCCATAACTACCACATAGCTAACTTTTCCTGGTTCTTTTTCATTTGTGTAATTTTTTTAAAAATCAATGCAATGAGTTAAAATGGCATAAATATAGAAAAGAATTTTAAAGAGAATGCTTGATTCTAAAAAACAATTAAATATATTCTAATTTAATCTTATTTATATTACATCATTTAGATTCTAAGTGCTTCAAATACTTAGATTCTAAGTGCTTCAAATTTCTAAGTGCTTCAAATATCTCCAATTTATTAGGAGAAAGTATAGATTGAAGAAAAAAAGAACAAAAAAGTACAGTAATTTTGTTTTTTATACATTTGTATCTAAGGATAAGAACTTTAATCTACAATGTATGAGGCATGATGTGGGGGTTATCTTTCCTGTCCATCCAGGAATTTATAACAAAAACAAATACATACGATTTTAAAATAACATTACTTGCTTCAAAAAGTGTTTAAAGTGTTAGTCAATATTAAATCAGGACAGACATGAATACAATGTGAATGTTGAGCCTTAGTGTTTATAATGTTCTATAGAAACTGGAACTGTATAAAGACCAGAGGGTGGATTCTTTAACATGATACCTATAGGCTCTCCAGGAAGGAACTATGGTGACCCCTGCTGGGAGGATGAAGCTCTCCATATAGGGCCAGGCTTAGAGTAAATGAGAAGGTCACAAATTAGAAAACTTAAGAACATGAGGATTTAACATGAGGAAGGAAAAAGAATACCAGAAAAAGTGATCATGCATGAACAGGCTGAAGTAGCTGGTCTTCAGTAAAAATCAGAGCAAGGGCAGGATGAAGAGTCATAGCATGAAAAGAAAGAACTGTAACAGACGATACACAGGATGTGTAAATTAAAATGGAGCTTTGGGTTCCAGACCCCTTTTAAAGGGGATCTTTGAATGCTGTAAGTGTTCCCAAACCCCACATAGGTCAAAACTCCCTGCTAGGAGAAGGCAATATTCTCTCAGATGTGCAAGTGGTCAATCTTCATACACAAAAACTCTTGAGAGATTCATCACAATTTCAGAGAAACATTGGGATTTTAAAAAAAGTCTGGAGAGAGAGGAGGAAATGGCAAAGGGAAAGATGAGTTTTTTCCAGGGGCCGTCAGTGTCCCTTTGCACCACAGTTTAGAAATTGCTGCTCCAAGTTATTTTAATTATTTCCTGTCTCACTTCAGACAATTATACTTAATAGATGAAGGTAAAAGTGAAGAGATAGATTAGTATCAGAAGATTAAAGCCTTATTGATAGATGAAGTTGTTAGCCCTTGGTTTATAAGCCAGAGAACTAATGGATGACTTCTAGAGGATCCACAAACCTGGGGAAAAATATACTTTTTTTGTACGTCTTCCCCAATATTTAAAACTATATTTTGGGGAGAAAAACTTTTTGTATAACATTTTATGAAAGCATTGTTTCATAATAAATAAGTAAAAAGCAGTATGCAAAATTACAGTTTGGTACATTATTGGTGTCATTGGCCTGTTATAATATTTACCAGGCCATTCTTTGACATGAATTGAAAATGAAACATGATTATGAACATCTGTTTATACCTTAATATCAGTTTAGGCTAGGATATATCACCAAAAAAAAAGAATCCCTCTTTTTTTTTTTTGAGACCGAGTCTCGCTCTGTCGCCCAGGCTGGAGTGCAGTGGCGCAATCTCAGCTCACTGCACCCGCCTCCAGGTTCAAGCGATTCTCCTGCCTCAGGCTCCCCAGTAGCTGGGACTACAGGCGCCCACCACCACGCCTGGATAATTTTTTTTTATTTTTAGTAGAGATGGGGTTTCACCGTGTTAGTTAGGATGGTCTCAATCTCCTGACCTCATGATCACCCGCCTTGGCCTCTCAAAGTGCTGGGATTACAGGCATGAGCTACCGTGCCCAGCAAAAATCTCGCTTTTTTTTTTTTTTTTTTTTTTTTTTTCTTGAGACGGAGCCTCACTCTGTCGCCCAGGTTGGAGTGCAGTGGCACAATCTCGGCTCACTGCAAGCTCCGCCTTCCGGGTTCACGCCATTCTTCTGCCTCAGCCTCCCAAGTAGCTGGGACTACAGGCGCCTGCCACCATGCCCGGCTAATTTTTTGTATTTTTAGTAGAGACGGGGTTTCACCGTGTTAGCCAGGATGGTCTCGATCTCCTTACCTCGTGATCCGTCTGCCTCGGCCTCCCAAAGTGCTGGGATTACAGGCGTGAGTCACCGCGCCTGGCCAAGAATCTCTCTTTATCTCTGTCTGCCCCCTTGGATTTTGCTTGCATTGTTGAACATATTACCTATGGAAGCAGGAACCGAACAAAGCTGAAGTGATCCCTTACATCCTGAAAATACACTGCACAGTCTGCCTCTTTTGCCTTAGTAAAAGGGTCAATTGGAAAGCATTAAAAACTTGGATTTTCTCCAACACAAAGATGTATTGTCTTGAGTCATCCTGCAAGATCGCTTGCTGCACGACTAAATAAAAGACCTTGCTGAAGCAAAATGTCCTGGAAATGGTTATTCTGATTTGTAATTTGAAGGAAAATTTAAAAAGTAAAACAATGCTTCTGTCAAATCTTCTCATCCATTCCAGAATCACTAAAATCTATTCCAATATTTTGAAGCAGATCATGAAGGAATCGCTATTTCTCTTCATCGTGAAAGTATTGACATCTGTTGGCAGAGCCAGGTCCAGTTCCCATGTTATCTGCACAAGAACAGCATCAAATGAGGATTTCTATTTTGGGAGCACTTTTAGAAAGTTCAAAGGCCTCCTATGGTGTTGAAATTGTAAAAACTTTATTGGCCAAACAAAATTTCCACTCAAAGAAACATTGATACTATGCATGCTTGGAGAACTAGCAATGAGATTCATTCCATTCTAGATTGTCTTGCATTAGTGTCAAAGGTAAATCCCAAATAAAATTTTGCTTGCAACCACAAAGTCATCAACCTATTTAGCTTCAGAGCCTTGCATTTCTGTCTTTTCAAGAAGTTTTCTTAGAAAAGCAGATTATGAAGTTTTCTTTTGCTATATGGAAATTCATCAGCTGTCTGGAAGTTAAGTCTAATAGAACTTAATTGAACTTGGGGTAAGTAACTCTTTGATAACTTCTACTTAGTCTTAAGATTGCAGATTAAACAATGTTTTCTTATTGGTTAAGTCTCCATTATTTTTTCTCACAGAACAATATACCTTTTCTCCACAGCAACTTTACATGTGTGTTTATGACTATTTGATTAATATCTGTCTTCCCCATTAGACTGAAGGCTCAATGAGGCCAGGCACTGATTCTATTTTAGCTGATCATTGTATCTCTGGCACACAGCACAATGCTGAGCACATAGTGGGTGCTCAGTAAATACTTAGAAATATATGAATGAATGAACAGAAGAACGAACAGCAAGGAAGAGATTTTTTCATAGTCTTCCAGATATATGTGGCCATTTGAACAACTAAAAAATGCAGATGCCCCTATTATAAGGTTTTATCTGAATTAAGCTAATTCCTATAATAATCCTATCAAATAGGTACTGTTTTACTCACTGATGAAGAAACAGGCAAGTCACTTGCTTAAATTACCATGGTTAGCAAGGGGGTGGAGCAAAGCTTTTAACCTTGGTAGTCTAAATTTGGAGCCCATACTCCTAACTACAGGTCTCATACTCACCATTATGGAGTTGTTGGAAAACCGCACTTTGGAGGAAGTACCTCTCTGTATGTGAATATTCGAGGTAAGCAACTGTAGAAACTTTCCAGATCTGGGGGAAATTCTTCTGGCAGCTAGAGTCTGTAGTGGCCATCTCTCTGCGGGAAGAAACTGCAGCACTTGGAAACACTGCAAAACTCTGCTCAAAATACCATGTAGACAGTGCCAGTAACAAAGATGTTCTCAATGATCTGGGGAAAAAAAAAAAGGCACAAATAGAATCTAACTCATAAACTGTTTGAGAATTCTGGTATTTTTTGATACAATCCTTACTTGAAAAAGCAAGCAAGCAATGGGAATTTTGATTCCATCTGCAATTACTCACCCTTGGAAGTCAGAGATTTCATAACTTTCTATCATTAGTGTTAGAGTTGACATCTGTGGAATGTCAAAGTTGAAAAAGTTGGCATGTTAACCTGCCAGTGACCGCTCCAAAAGTTGTTCTTATTGAAGTTAAAAAAAAAAAAAAAATCCATGTACTTTTGGAATGTCCTTGTTAACAGAAATTTCCTATTGAATTTCTTTTTTTTAAATTTTAAATACACAATTTGGATTTATTTTTTAAGTTGTTACATATTGGCCACTTTTTTTTCTGAGAATATAAGTGAAAAAATCAAATTCATTATTTACTAAAATATTATCTGTCTCTGAGGAGGCAAAATATTGTACATAAATTTGTGTGAGTACTTACATGCACATCTTAAAATCTGTGACCCCAAAGGAATTAAGAACCACCAATCTCTCTCTCTTTGTTTTTTGTTTGTTTGTTTGTTTTTGTTTTTTTGAGACAGAGTCTTGGTCTGTCACCCAGGATGGAGGGCAGTGGTGCCATCTCAGCTCACTGCAACCTCCACCTCCCGGATTCAAGCGATTCTCCAGTCTCAGCCTCCCAAGTAGCTGGGACCACCATGCCTGGCTAATTTTTTGGCATTTTGAATAGAGACGGGGTTTCACCATGTTGCCCAGGCTGGTCTTGAACTCCTGGCCTCAAGTGATCTGCCTGCTTTGGCCTCCCAAAGTGCTGGAATTACAGGCATAAGCCATTGCACCAGGCCTTCTTTTTTTTTTTTATGTATAACAAATAGAATTTATTTCTCACAGTTCTGGATGCTGGGAAGTCCAAGGTCAAGGTGCCAGGAGGTTCTGTGTCTGGTGAAGTCAGCTCTCTGCTTCATAGGTGGTGCTCTGTTGTTGCATACTCACATGGTGGGAGGAAGACAGGCAAGAGGGCCTGACTAGTTCTCTCCACCCCCAAGGTCACTAATGAGAGCTCCACCCTCATGACCTAATCAGCTTCTACAGGCCCTCTATACCTAATTCCATTGCACTGGGTATTTAAGTTTCAACATGAATTTTGAGGGGGACATAAGCTTTCAAACCATAGCGCCTCCCTAATGAATAAGTTTCTTGTATGTATTTTATTTTTTCTTCCAGTGCAAGTATTTCTGTTTCTATGAGCTCTCTAAATAGTGATTCAGGGACTCAGATTTCATCCATCTTTGACCTTTTCATCTTCAACATATGATTCCTAACATCATAATAGTAAAGTTTGCCTTCATTCCAGCCAATTTAAAGAGGAAAAGAGCATGGATGATCAAACATGCAGTTTTTCATGAGCCAAGCTTGAAAGAGGGATAAACCCTTTATACTCACCTCCCATTGGTCAATTCAGTCTCAATGTGTCACCTACATACAAGGGGATGGGAAATGTGGCTCCTGGATGAGTGTTTACTTCCTAGAATAATCTGACATTAGGAAAGTATAGAAAGAAAATTTTGAGAACCACTAGTCTCTAGATTGAAACCATGTATTATGACTTTCTAGATCAGAAGTGAGTAGTTTAAGGCATTAATGTATAAGGAGAACAGGGTATTGTTGGAAGTCTGTACATGGATATTCTCTGTATGCTTCTCCAGACCCACTATCTATTCTTTCTGGCTCTTCTTTGAACCTCTGGTGACTGAGCTGTGCAGAATGCATCATGGATCCCCTGTCTTCTGGCTTCCAGTTGGTTCCAGAAGTCAACAGGCAGGAGCAGAGGCCTGGCTAGCTTCCTGCAGGTCTACAGTATGGCAATAGTTGTGTGCCCCCACTAAGACCCTACTTTTGTCTGGCACATTCAGCCTTTGCCAGCTTCCAATTGCCAATCCCTCATATTGCCCCCTTAGCCCTTAGATTTATTTGACTCATGGTTCTGCAGACTGGGAAGTCCAAAAGCATGGTGCTCTAGCATCTGCCAAGGGTCACCCCACAGTGGAAGGCAGAATGACAAGGAAGCATACAAGGCAGAGAGAAAATCAAGCCAAACTCATCTGTTTATCAGGAGACCACTCCCAAGATAATGGCATTAATCTTTCACCTCTTAGAGGCCCCACTTCTGAATACTGTTACAAAGGCAATTAAGTTTCCAACACATGAAATTTTGGGGGACACATTAAAACCATAACATAGGCATATGTCAAAATGCATCTAAATGGGGGTTCCATTCCAAGATGGTCGAATAGGAACACCTCCGGTCTGCAGCTCCCAACACGATTGATGCAGAAGACAGGTGATTTCTACATTTCCAACTGTGCTCTGAAGAGAGCAGTGGTTCTCCCAGCATGGCCTTTGAGGTCTGAGAACAGACAGACTGTCCCCAAGTGGGTCCCTGAACCCCATGTAGCCTAACTGGGAGACACTTTACAGTAGGAGCCAATGGGCACCTCATACAGACAGGTGACCTTCTGGGACGAAGCTTCCAGAGGAAAGATCAGGCAGCAATATTTGCTGTTCTGCAATATTTGCCGTTCTGCAGCCTCTGCTGGTGACACCCAGGCAAACAGAGTCTGGAGTGGACCTCCAGCAAACTCCAGCAGACCTGCAGCTGAGGGACCTGACTTGTAGAAGGAAAACTAACAAACAGAAAGGAATAGCATCAACATCAACAAAAAGGACATCCACACCAAAACCCCATCTGTAGGTCACCAACATCAAAGACCAAAGGTAGATAAAACCACAAAGATGGGGAGAAACCAGAGCAGAAAAGCTGAAAATTCTAAAAACCAGAGCCTCTTCTCCTCCAAAGGATCACAGCTCCTCGCCAGTAATGGAACAAAGCTGGATGGAGAATGACTTTGACGAGTGGACAGAAGTAGGCTTCAGAAGGTCAGTAATTACAAACTTCTCCAAGCTAAAGGAGCATGTTCTAACCCATTACAAGGAAGCTAAAAACCTTGAAAAAAGGTTAGACGAATGGCTAACTAAAATAAACCGTGTAGAGAAGACCTTAAATGACCTGATGGAGCTGAAAACCATGACACGAGAAATTTGTGATGCATGCACAAGCTTCAATAGCCGATTTGATCAAATGGAAGAAAGGGTATCAGTGATTGAAGATCAAATGAATGAAATAAAGTGAGAAGACAAGGTTAGAGAAAAAAGAGTAAAAAGAAATGAACAAAGCCTCCAAGAAATATGGGACTATATGAAAAGACCAAATCTACATTTGATTGGTGTACCTGAAAGTGCTGGGGAGAATGGAACCAAGTTGGAAAACACTCTTCAGGATATTATCCAGGAGAACTTCCCCAACCTAGCAAGGCAGGCCAACATTCAAATTCAGGAAATACAGAGGAACATCACAAAGATACTCCTTGAGAAGAACAACCCCAAGACACATAATTGTCAGATTCACCAAAGTTGAAATGAAGGAAAAAATGTTAAGGGCAGCCAGAGAGAAAGGCCGGGTTACCCACAAAGGGAAGCCCATCAGACTAACAGCGGATCTCTCCAAGGAAAACCTACAAGCCAGAAGAGAGTGGAGGCCAATATGCAACATTCAGAAAAGAATTTTCAACCCAGAATTTCATATCCAGCCAAACTAAGCTTCATAAGTGAAGGAGAAATAAAATACTTTACAGACAAGCAAATGCTGAGAGATTTTGTCACCACCAGGCCTGCCTTACAAGAGCTCCTGAAGGAAGCACTAAACATGGAAAGGAACAACTGGTACCAGCCACTGCAAAAACATGCCAAATTGTAAAGACCATCGATGCTAAGAAGAAACTGCATCAATTAATGGGCAAAATAACCAGCTAACATCATAATGACAAATCAAATTCACACATAACAATATTAACCTTAAATGTAAATGGGCTAAATGCCCCAATTAAAAGACACAGACTGGTAAATTGGATCGAGAGTCAAGACCCATCAGTGTACTGTATTCAGGAGACCCATCTTATATGCAGAGACACACATAGGCTCAAAATAAAGAGATGGAGGAATATTTACCAAGCAAATAGAAAGCACAAAAAGCAAGGGTTGCAATCCTAGTCTCTAATAAAACAGGCTTTAAACCAACAAAGATCAAAGGAGACAAAGAAGGCCATTACATAATGATAAAGGGATCAATTCAACAAGAAGAGCTAACTATGCTAAATATATATGCACCCAATACAGGAGCACCCAGATTCATAAAGCAAGTCCTTAGAGACCTACAAAGAGACTTAGACTCCCACACAATAATAATGGGAGAATTTAACATCCCACTGTCAATATTAGACAGATCAACGAGACAGAAGGTTAACAAGGATATTCAGGACTTGAACTCCGTTCTGCACCAAGCAGACCTAATAGACATCTACAGAACTCTCTATCCCAAATCAACAGAATATAAATTCTTCTCAGCACCACATCTCACTTATTCTAAAATTGACCACATAATTGGAAGTAAAGCACTCTTCAGCAGATGTAAAGAACAGAAATCACAACAAACTGTCTCTCAGACCACGGTGCAATCAAATTAGAATGCAGGATTAAGAAACTCACTCAAAACCACACAACTACATGGAAACTGAACAACCTGCTTCTGAATGACTACTGGGTAAATAAGGAAATGAAGGCAGAAACAAAGATGTTCTTTGAAACTAATGAGAACAAAGACACAACGTACCAGAATCTCTGGGATACATTTAAAGCAGTGTGTAGAGGGAAATTTATAGCACTAAATGCCGACAAGAGAAAGCAGGAAATATCTAGAATTGACACCCTAACATCACAATTAAAAGAACTAGAGAAGCAAGAGCAAACAAATTCAAAAGGTAGCAGAACAGAAGAAATAACTAAGATCAGAGCAGAACTGAAGGAGATAGAGACACGAAAAAACCTTCAAAAAAATCAATGAATCCAGGAGCTGGTTTTTTGAAAAAATCAACAAAATTGATAGACAGCTAGCCAGACTAATAAAGAAGAGAAGAGAGAAGAATCAAACAGATGCAATAAGAGATGATAAAGGGGATAACACCACCGATCCCACAGAAACACAAACTACCATCAGAGAATACTACAAACACCTCTACACAAATAAACTAGAAAATCTAGAAGAAATGGATAAATTCCAGGACACATACACCCTCCCAAGACTAAACCAGGAAGAAGTTGAATCTCTGAATAGACCAATAACAGGTTCTGAAATTGAGGCAATAATTAATAGCCTACCAACCAGAAAAAATCCAGGACCAGACAGATTCACAGCTGAATTCTACCAGAGGTACAAAGAGGAGCTGGTACCATTCCTTCTGAAACTATTCCAATCAATAGAAAAAGAGGGAAGCCTCCCTAACTCATTTGATGAGGCCAGCATCATCCTGATACCAAAGTCTGGCAGAGACACAAGAAAAGAAAATTTTAGACCAATATCCCTGATGAACATCAATGCAAAAATCCTCAATAAAATACTGGCAAACCGAATCCAGCAGCACATCAAAAAGCTTATCCACCACGATCAAGTTGGCTTCATCCCTGGGCTGCAAGGCTGGTTCAACATATGCAAATCAATAAACATAATCCATCACATACACAGAACCAACGACAAAACCACATGATTATCTCAATAGATGCAGAAAAGGCCTTCGACAAAATTAAACAGCCCTTCATGCTAAAAACTCTCAATAAACTAGGTATTGATGGAACGTATCTCAAAATAATAAGAACTACTTATGACACACTCACAGCCAATATCATACTGAATGGCCAAAAACTGGAAGCATTCCCTTTGAAAACTGGCACAAGACAATGATGCCCTCTCTCACCACTCCTATTCAACATAGTGTTGGAAGTTCTGGCCAGGGCAATCAGGCAAGAGAAAGAAATAAAGGGTATTCAATCAGGAAAAGAGGAAGTCAAATTGTCCCTGTTTGCAGATGACATGATTGTATATCTAGAAAACCCCATCGTCTCAGCCCAAAATCTCCTTAAGCTGATAAGCAACTTCGGCAAAGTCTCAGGATACAAAATCAGTGTGCAAAAATCACAAGCATTCCTCTACACCAATAACAAACAAACAGAGAGCCAAATCATGAATGAACTACCATTCACAATTGCTACAAAGAGAACAAAATACCTAGGAAGCCATCTTACAAGGGATGGGAAGGACCTCTTCAAGGAGAACTACAAACCACTGCTCGACGAAATAAAAGAGGATGCAAAAAAATGGAAGAATATTCCATGCTCATGGATAGGAAGAATCAATATTGTGAAAATGGCCATACTGCCCAAGATAATTTATAGATTCAATGCCATCCCCATCAAGCTACCAAGGACTTTCTTCAAAGAATTGGAAAAAACTACTTTAAAGTTCATATGGAACCAAAAAAGAGCCTGCATTGTCAAGACAATCCTAAACCAAAAGAACAAAGCTGGTGGCATCACACTACCTGACTTCAAATTATACTACAAGGTGATAGTAACAAAAACAGCATGGTACTGGTACCAAAACAGATATATAGACCAATGGAACAGAACAGAGGCCTCAGAAATAACACCACACATCTACAACCATCTGATCTTTGACAAACCTGACAAAAACAAGAAATGGGGAAAGGATTCCCTATTTAATAAATGGTGCTGGGAAAACTGGCTAGCCATATGGAGAAAGCTGAAACTGGATCCCTTCCTTACACCTTATACAAAAATTAATTCAAAATGGATTAAAGATTTAAATGTTAGACCTAAAACCATAAAAACCCTAGAAGAAAACCTAGGCAATACCATTCAGGACATAGGCATGGGCAAGGACTTCATGACTAAAACACCAAAAGCAATGGCAACAAAAGCAACAATAGACAAATGAGATCTAATTAAACTAAAGAGCTTCTGCACAGCAAAAGAAACTACCATCTGAGTGAACAGGCAATCTACAGAATGGGAGAAAGTTTTTGCAAACTACCCATCTGACAAAGGGCTAATATCCAGAATCTACAAAGAACTTAAACAAATGTACAAGAAAAAAACAAACAACCCCATCAAAAAGTGGGCAAAGGATATGAACAGACCCTCCTCAAAAGAATTCATTTATGCAACCAACAGATACATTACAAAAATGCTCATCATCACTGGTCATTAGAGAAATGCAAATCAAAACCACAATGTGATACCATCTCAAGCCAGTTGGAATGGGAATCATTAAAAAGTCAGGAAACAACAGATGCTGGAGAGCATGTGGAGAAATAGGAAAGCTTTTACACTGTTGGTGAGAGTATAAATTAGTTCAACCATTGTGGAAGACAGTGTGGTGATTCCTCAAGGATCCAGAACTCGAAATACCATTTGACCCAGTGATCTCATTACTGGGTACATACCCAAAGGATTATAAATCATGCTGCTATAAAGACACATGCACACGTATGTTTATTGCGGCGCTATTCACGATAGCAAAGACTTGGAACCAACCCAAATGTCCATCAATGATAGACTGGATTAGGAAAATGTGGCACATACATACCATGGAATACTATGCAGCCATAAAAAAGGATGAGTTCATGTCCTTTGCAGGGACATGGATGAAGCTGGAAACCATCATTTTCAGCAAACTATCACAAGAACAGAAAACCAAACACCACATGTTCTCACTCATAGGTGGGAATTGAACAATGATAACACTTGGACACAGGGCGGGGGACATCAAACACCAGAGCCTGTCGGTGGGTTGGGGGCTGGGGGAGGGATAGCATTAGGAGAAATAGTTGATGGGTGCAGCAAACCAACACGACACATGTATACCTATGTAACAAACCTGCAGGTTGTGCACAGGTACCCTGGAAATTAAAGTATTTTAAAAAAATGTATCTAAGTAGACACTTTAAAAATATGCAGTTTATTATAATATTTTCTGTTATATAATTATATATTATAATTGCTTTATTGAAGTATTACCTCGGTTTAAAAAATAGAGATAACAAAAGACACACAATGTTGCAATTTGCTTTTAGGCAACTTATATGTTTTTTCTAATGTAAAGTAGGTGACAGGCACAATTAAGGTCAGTCTTACTAAACAAAATGCTCAGGGATAAAAAGAAACTCCCTCGTTGTTCAACAAATGAACATATTACTAGATTATCTTTCTTTTCATATTTCCATAGTGTTATCTACAAAGTTTCTGAAAGATAACCATTGACTTAAGATGGTAAAAATTGATATTATAAATTTAAAAATGAGTTATTGTGTAAGTTTTGTTATCCTTTTCAAGTATTTCTTTAAATTTTTTTTTTTAGTTTATACATGTAGGGGGTAAAAGTATAGGTATTTTACATGTGCATAACGTGTAGTGGTAAAGTAGGGGCTTTTAGTGTACACATCAGCCAAATAGTGAACGCTGTACTAAATAGGTAATTTTTCTCCCCTCACTCCCCTTTCGCCCTCCCACCTTTTAGAGTCTCCAGTGTCTATTATTTCAGTCTGTATGTCCCTGTGTGTCTATTGCTTAGTTCTCACTTGTAAGAAAGGACATGCAGTATTTCTGTTTCCGGGTTATTTCACTTAGGATAATAGCCTCCAGTCCCATCCTTGTTACTGCAAAAGACATGATTTTATTCTTTTCTATGGTTGAGTAGTGTTCATACATATATATCACATTTTCTTTATCCATTCCTCTGTTGATGGAGACTTAAGTTGATTCCATGTCTTTGCTGTTGTGAATAGTGCTGCAATAAACATATGAGTACCGGTATCTTTTTGGTACAATGATTTATTTTTCTTTGGGTGTATACCCAATAATGAGATTGCTAGATAGAATGTTAGTTCTATATTGAGTTCTTTGAGAAATCTGCATACAGTTTTGTATAACAGTTGTACTAATTTACATTCTAACAGTGTACAAGCATTCCCTTTTCTTTCTTTCTTTCTTTCTTTCTTTCTTTCTTTCTTTCTTTCTTTCTTTCTTTCTTTCTTTCTTTCTTTTTCTTTCTTTCTTGCTTTATTTTGAGACAGTCTGTCTCTGTCACCCAGGCTGGAGTGCAGAGACACGATCTTGGCTCAGTACAACCTTTGCCTCCCTGGTACAAGCAATTCTTGTGCCTCAGCCTCCCAAGTAGCTGAGATTACAGGCGTGTGCCACCATGCCTGCCAGGCTGGTCTCGAACACCTGCCCCCAAGTGATCCACCCGTGGCCTCCCAGAGTGCTGGGATTACAGGTGTGAGCCACTGTGCCCGGCCACCTTTTCTTCACATCCTCACTAACATCTGTTGTTTTTTGACTTTTTAAATATAGCCATTCTGACTGGTATGAGATGGTATTTCACTGTGGTTTTAATTTGCATTTCTCTAATGATTAGTGATGTTAAGCATTTTTTCATATGTTTGTTGGTCACTTATATGTCTTCCTTTGGAAAATGTCTGTTCATGTCCTTTGCCCACTTTTTAATAGGATTATTTTTTTTTCTTGTTGAGTTGTTTGAATTCCTTATAGATTCTGGATATTAGCCCTTATGGATGCATTGTTTGCAAAAAATTTTTTCCCATTCGTAGGTTGTCTGTTATTCAGTTGCTTTTATTTATTTATCTACTTATTTAGTTACTGCTGTGCAGAAGTTTTTTAGTTTAGTTCGTTCCATTTGTCTTTTGAGGACTTAGTCATAAATTTTTGCCTAGGCCAGCATCCAAAAGAGTTTCTCTTCTAGGATTTCTATAGTTTCAGGTATTGGATTTAAGTCTTTAATTGATCTTAAGTTTTATATATGGTGAGAGATAGCAGTCCAGTTTCATTCTTCTGCATATGGCTCTCCAATTTTCCCAGCACCATTTCTTGAATAGAGTGTCCTTTATCCAGTGTAAATTTTGTTGACTTTGTCAAAGATCAGTTGTTTTTAGGTATGTGCCTTTATTTCTGGGTTCTCTATTCTGTTCCACTGATCTATGTGTCTATTTTTATACCAGTCCCATGCTGTTTCAGTTACTATACTCCTGTATAATTTGAAGTTAGCTAATGTAATGCCTTCAGCTTTGTTGTTTTTGCTTAGGGTTGCTTTGGCTATTTGGCTCTTTTTTGGTGTCATGTGATTTTTACAATTGCTTTTTTCTAATTCTGTGAAAAATGACATTGATAATTTGATAGGGACTTTATTAAATCTGTAGATTGCTTTGGGCTTTTTGATCATTTTAACAATATTGATTCTCCTAATCCATGAGCATGGGATATTTTTCCATTTGTTTGTGTCATCTACGATTTCTTTCATCAGTGTTTTGTAGTTCTCCTTATGGAGATCTTTCACCTCCTTGGTTAAATATATTCCTAGGTATTTCATTATTATTTTTAGCTATTATAAATGGAATTGCCTTCTTGATTTGGTCCTCAGCCAAATTGGTATTGGTGTATAGAAATGCTAGTGTTTCTGTACATTAATTTTGTATCCTGAAACTTGACTAAATTTATTTATCAAATCCAAGAGTTTGTGGTGGTATCTTTAGGGTTTTCTAGATATAAAATCATATCATCAGTGAACAGGAATAATTTGACTTTCTCTCTTCCAGTTTGGATGCGTTTTATTTCTTTATCTTGCCTGATTGCTCTGGCGAAGACTTCCAGTAGTATGTTGAATAAGAGTGGTGAAAGTGGGCATTCTTGACTTGTTCCAGTTCTTAGAGGAAGTGCTTTCGACTTTTTCTTATTAAGTGTGATTTTGGCTGTGGGTTTGTCATAAACAGCCTTTCTTATGTTCAGGTATGGTACTTTTATGCCTAGTTTGTCAAGGATTTTTATCATGAAGGTATGCTGAATTTTATCTTTTAAAATTCATTTATCTAATGCGTTTTCTGTGTCTATGGAGATGATCATATGGTTTTTGTCCAAATTCTGTTTATATGATGTATCATATTTATTGATTCCTTTTCAAATATTTAAAAATCTCTAATTGGTTTAATGCAATTTCTGTCTTAGTATTATTTAAAGGGGAAATGGTTATTGATATATTTTTTAAATGCTAATAATTTCAGTGCCCATATTTCAAAGTCAAACAGATCTCAATTTGGATCATCACTTTAATCATAGGTAGAGTCTCCTCTACCTATGATCAATAAAAAAGAAAAAAACGATTCCTATTTTTTAGGGTTTTCATGAAGAGTAAATGTGGTAATTCATATAATACACTCAACAAATGTTAGTTCCCGCTTGTTCTTCATAAGCATATTTTTCTAGTCCAGTAAATAATCTTCTATATAAATCATAGAATGACAAGTGGGATAGTTTCTGGGAACCTTAGAGGGTCTGATGAGGCCTCCCTGGGAATCTTAGAGGGTCCGACGAGGCCTCAAATTTGAGATAGGTGGCATAAGGGCCCACACATTCAAAGAGAGAAATTAGACACATTCCTTTCAAGGTAGCCACACTGGTCCAGCAACCAGTGCCCACCAAAAGCCTAGCAATTCATTTGATAGCAGATTTCTTTCATGGAATCTGAAGGGTAGAGAATCACTGCAGATACACAGACCCAAGGTACAACCAGATCACAATGCAGTGTACAGTAAGAGTTCTTACAGAAACGTGACACGTGTCCCCTGAAATTTGGGAGCACAGAAGCTGGTGCCTGGATGAGCCTGAACACAGGAGGATGTCTTGAGCTGCCAGCAACATCAGGGCCAGCATGCAAAACAGCAGAGGGCCCACAGTCTTACATAGCTGTAAATATTCTGAGTTCCAATTGAACTAGTAACTTCTCATAGCAAAATAGGAATTGCTTTCATGAACCAAAGACAAACATATATATATACCTACAAAATGGAAAAGGAGTTTAAGGTTTTATTATACTTTTCATATTGATGAAACATTGTTTATGTAATTCAAACATATATGGATAAAAATATGTTAAACATGTTACTGCTATCAAACCATGAATCCTTAAGTGGCTGTAGCTGGAGGCAGAAATATTTGAATATGTTATTCAATTCTTTGGAATAAAATTGTGCTCATTTCAGCAGCATATATACTAAACACTGGAATAAAATTATATTTGAAGGTGGGGTACTTACTTCCCTTTATTATAAATAGTATTTGTTCTGTATACAAGTATAGGTAAATAAAACCACAGAGAGTAATATCATTGAACTAATAAACTATTAGTTTAGTTGAATCACATACTTTCTATGATCAAAAGCTATTATCTTTTCCCAAAACAGTTAAATACTTCTAGTGCCTTGGGATAGACTGTTACATAAATCAGCCAAAGATAGCCTCTGTATATTAGCCTCAAAGTTGGTTGTTTCTCCACTGCAGGCTGAGACCCATTAGCTCAAAAGCCCACTGACACCAAACTTAAATTTTTACACATCCAGTTATTTTAAAAATAGCCTGACCAAGAAAAGTTTAGCTGCTTAGAGCCTGTCTGCTTTGCATACCCCGCAAAATCTCACCCAGCAGCTGTTACCTATTCATAAGACAGGGCCGTGTAGTTATAAGGCCTCAAGCCAAGCTGGGCTCTCTGACCCAGAGACTCTATGTAAGCTTCCTCTCCAATCTCTCTCTCCCTTGTCCTCCTCCCTCACCAGTAAGGCTGTGAGGGACTTCTCCTCTCATGCAACCCTGGCCAAGCACCAACAAACTTGTCACTGCCTCTCTTGTGGACATCCTGTTCCTTGATCAGCCCCATATCCCTCGACCCCCTACATAGACTAATTACAAATTCAGTGAAAAATTATAAGATGCTGCTGATTATGGTTAAGATATAACTATAGAAAAGAAAAAATTTGTGAACTGCATCTAAAATTCATTAATTGTAATCTGAGACTATTAAGAAAAGTTGTGAAATTTTATATGGATTCAAAAGATGTCAATCTGGGATAGGCAAAGAAATATGTCTCAAACTTAAAAAAATTCTTCCTATTTCCACATGCATTCAATAGGAATGGACCATCATCTTGATTCTCTCATTTACTAGTTGTGGGAATTTAAACAAGTTTTTCTTTTTGAAGAAAACTCTCTCTGAACTTCCAGTTCTGTTCCAATAAAATGGAATTAGTCGTGCTTATTTGCAATGTTATTGTGGGTTACTGTGAATATTATTTGAGATAACAAGTGTAAGTCACCTGCCACATAATGGGTTTTCAAAGTTCGTTAGCTCTCTACCCTAGACATGATAACAACACGTTTTCTTGAAAAGAAAAACTATCACTAACATATATAGGAAGTATTTCATTGATCTTTACAAACAGTATTTTCAGGAGTAATTTATTAAAGAAAAAGCTAACATTCAAAAGGCAGAGATGGCTCAAGTCACTCGCCTGTGAATAAGGCTATTCTTACTGTTCCCTGTCCTTGCCTTAAAAGAAGTTTTTATAAAACAAGTGAGTTGAAGAGTTTCCTTCCTGCTTTCAGCACTACTGTGGTTTCATTTGGAAGACAATGTGGTCTAGTGGGAAGACAGAACAAGGATCTTGGAGCCAGCTGATTCCAACACAGTGTAGAGGAGGCTAGCCACAAAGTCACCAACCTGAGACCCCAGGCAAATCCCTTGACCCCCCAAGCCCCAGTCAAACCCATGACAACCAAGTAAAATGTGCTAAAATCTGACTCTCTTTTCCTGAAAGGAAGGCATCTTTTAAAGGAACCAAAGTGCCTTGAGAATTTTTTTAATAGTGTCTTTCAGAAACATGAATTCTGAATGAAGTAGCAAAAAAGTGATAATATGAATGATAATATGTATGATTCCAAATACCGGAATCCATACAGATGGCAATTTCTCCACATCCTTTATTGCTAAATATTTGGCTTAAGCTTCCATTATGCCAACCATGGTAAATGCTGATGTCTGAAGTGTTGATTCAGAAAAATAGGTATAAGGGATTTCTTACATACATGAAAGAACTCCCTTTCAATCCAAACTTTTACAAAATTTGGGCCAAACAATAGTCTCCATTTTGCTTAGAACCTCACATTGAACTTCAGAACATTTTTAAGATTTTTGTTCTAAAAGTATCTAATCCAAGGCAAAGAACTGGAGAATATTTGTTGTAGAAAAAAAAAGGAAGACATCATTTAGTCAACATGTAGTTGCATAATGAAAGAGGTCTCAGGATGCCTAGCTTCTATATTAATTTATATTTCATTCTAGACCTCAAATAACATTTGGATCAGCTTTTAAATCCATCAAGCTGTCAAAACATACATACACACATCCAATAAGCAAAAATCTCTGTAACACATGCCCAAGGATCTAATGCCACCTAAAGGCAACTGTAGCTAATTGCAAAAACAAAACAAAACAAAAAAAGGATATATGACAAGATATTAAAACTTTTCTCCCTGGATATAAACATAAATGATATGTTCTTAGCTTAATACATTCCTATGTTGCTTACAGACAATACCTACTAAAGTGAGTGACAAATTTAGCATAATCAATTTTAAAATACAAATAGCTACTCAGGGGCAAAATCTGTGTGTTTGTGTGTGTATGTGTTCAGTATTACAATAAATCAAATAAATACAATTAAAACTAGGGTAGAGTCTTTTTAAAATTCAATGCTGAATAGCCAAAAGGTGAAAGCAACCCCAGTCTCCATTGAAAGATGAATGGAAAAACAAAATGTGCTATATACATACAATGAAATATTATTCAACCCTAAAAAGGAAGGAAATTCTGACAGATGCCATAACGTGGATAAACCTTGAAGGCAATTAATTAAATAAACCCATCACAAAAGGAGAGATGTGATTCCACCCATATGAGGTACCTAGAGTAGTTAAATTCATACAGACAGAAAGTAGAAGGGTGTTGCCTGTGGTCGTGGGGAGAAGAGAAAGTTAGTGTTTCATGTGGACAGAGTTTCAGTTTAGGAAGAGGAAAAAGTTCTGGAGATGCATGGTGATGATGGTTGCACAACAATGTGAATACACTTAATGTCACAGAACTGTACACTTAAAAATGGCTAAAATGGTAAACATTATGTTACCATATGTTTATGGTATATTTTACCACAATAAAAAAATTCAGTGCTGATATGAGAAGGATGAGATGCACTAACATATTGCTAATAGAAGTAAAAAGTGATGCAACCTTTCTGCAAAATGTGACAATTATGGAGCAAGAAAATTTTAAATGCTTATATCATTTGATTAATTAATTCTATACCTAGGACTCTAGCCAAAATATATATATAACAGAGATACATTCAAAGAATTATGTCCTAGGATGATCATCAAAGTCTTATTTATAACAGAAAAAAATAGGCCGGGTGTGGTGGCTCCCGCCTGTAATCCCAGCACTTTGGGAGGTAGAGATGGGTGGATCATGAGGTTAGGAGTTCAAGACCAGCCTGGCCAAGATGGTGGAACCCCATCTCTACTTAAAATACAAAAAAAAAAAAAAATTAGCAAGGTGTGGTGGCGGGTGCCTGTAATCCCAGCTACTCAGGAGGCTGAGACAGGAGAATTGCTTGAACCCGGGAGGCAGAGATTGCAGTGAGCCAAGATCGTGCCATTGCACTCCAGCCTGGAGGACAGAGCGAGACTCTGCCTCAAAAAAAAAAAAAAAACAGAAAAATAGAAAACAATCTACAAATTTTGTAACAGGAGACTATAAAACTAAATTGTAGAAAAGCCATATGGAATTGTTACAATTACAACCATATTTATAAAGAATAGTTAATGACATGCAGCATTAAATGGAAAAAGGAGATTTTTGTGTATTTTATCAATATTCTCTAAGTATTTCTCATGGCTAATTGGAATAAGTGTGTACATATATTTAACAATTTGTAACGTGAGGAAAGAGTTGAATTAACTTGCTCTTTGAAATATATCAGGAGGTTATTTTACTAAACTAAAGCCTCAGAACAACCCATGATCACATTATACTAATAGCCAAAACTATATTCTGTTTTAATTTAATGAGAAATCTGTTGAGAATGTTTAAGAATTTTTAAGGGTTATATTGAGATATAATTATCTTTTATTTTACAAAAAAAAATTGAATTTATTCAAAATTCACATCATATCTACCACTGTAAGAATCCATTGTGAGTGGAAATGTAATAGGCCCTTAACAGATTAAATACAATTTATTTAAAACCATCAACTCTCTCCAGCTACGCTTAGACTTCATTTGAACTTAAATGACATGATACAACTTTTAGATGAACAGAATGCTTGTTCTGTCACAACAAATAAAATAAGCATTTGTCTCTATGCCAAAGATAATGCTTTAAAACGTTGATTGCAAGCCAGATGCACACCTATAATCCCAGCTACTTGGGAGGCTGAGGCAAGAGGGAGGATCACTTGAGCCCAAGTGTTCAAAGCTGTTCTGTGCCATTATCACACCTGTGAATAGTCACCGCACTGCAGCCTAGGCAACACAGTGAGACTTTGTCTCTAAAAGCAAATAATTATAATAAAATAAGTGTTGATGGTTTTATTCAATCCAGTAACATTTACCAGTATGATATAGGTATTAGAGCTATAGAAGTGATGGCAACAGGAGGAAGCCAAATGCCCAGGCAGATAGGGGTGGGTCCCCAGTGAAACCACCTTCAAGCCAGAAACAGCCTGAAGGCTGAAAGACCAGACTGCTGGTTACAAATGAAATCCACAACCCAGAGAACTTCTATTTCTGTTTGCCTGCCCTTTCCCAATTGATTCTTTCTGAATAGTGCATTTTAACCAATCAAATATTGCCTTTCCCAATACTACCTATGGCCTGCACCTCCCCATTCTGATCCCATAAAAGCCCTGGACTCAGCCATATACAGGGCACTTTCCTGTCTTAAGGTAGGAGGACAACCCCCACATCTCCTCACCCCTGAAAGCTATTTCAACACTCAAGAAAACTCCCCGCCTTGCTCACTTTTCAGTTGTCAACATATTCTCATTCTTCCTGGATGTGAGACAAGAACTCGGGAACTGATGTGCAAGCAAGACTTGGCCCAGACGGGCCAAGTGAGCAGGCCATCTCCTGCAGCAGGTAGCATGCCCTGAGCAAGGCCCAGGCAGGGGCATCACCAGCCAGAGGTCCTTGACTGGCAAAGGGACTGAGAAAAATCCTGCATCAGGAGTTAACACAACAGACAAAAATCCCTACTTTTACAGGATTTACAATCTAGTGAGGAAGAGAGAAAATAAAGGAAATAGATAAGTAAAACAAAAAGTATGTTAGATTATGATAAGTGCTTTGGAAAAAGATAAAACAGAGTAAAAGAATACAGAGTACTAGAGGGGAGTAAGTAATGTGATGAGGAAAAGTGACCTTTGAGGAGGCATGAGAAAATCGAGGGATGTGTGTGTGTTAGCCCATTCTTGCATTGCTATAAAGAAATACCTGATGCTGGGTGCTTTATAACGAAAAGAGGTATAACTGGTCACAGTTCTGCAGGCTTTACCGGAAGCATGGTGCTGGCATCTGCTTCTAGTGAGGCCTCAGGAAGCTTATAATTGTGGCAGAAGGTGACCAGGAGTAAGGCATGTCACATGAAGAGAACAAGAGAGTCATGGGGGGAAGTACCACACTCTTTCAAACAACCAGACCTCACATGAACTCAGAGTGAGAACTCACTCATCACCAAGGAGATGGTGTTAAGCCATTCATGAGGGAATCACCCCAGTAACCCAAACACCTCCAACCTGGCCCCATCTCCAATACTGGGGATTACATTTCAACATGAGATTTGGGAAGACCAATATTCAAACCACTTCACTGGAGATATTTGGGTAAAGGGCGAAGGCATTTCAGGCACACAAAAAGGAGCCTAGTGTGCCTGGGGCAGAATGCACAAGGGAAAGAACAGGGGGTCAGAGAGGTGGGGAGAGCAGGAAATCATGTAGAGCCTCTCGTAGATCATCATTAGGATTTTGGCTTTTGTTCTACAAGACTGTCCATGAAGCCTGGAAATGTAAATAATTATGTTATTTTATTTTTTACAGATTGAAGATGTCCTGGATAGTGTTATATATATGAGCCTATGTTTTCAGACTTTATGAACACCTTGAAATGAGATAGAAAGTCATTTGGAGGGACAACTGAATGACACACTTCTGGTAGGTCCAAATGTTATCCTTCCACAGGTTAGCCTAGGATGTTCCCATCGTGAAGGCAGAGGAACCAGACAGTGAGTGGAAATGTGCAAGCACTTTTTCAAGCCCCTGGTTGAAAAACATCCCATTGGTCATATCAAATCACATGGCTGAGACCAGAACAAAATCCCAAGGCAGATCATCTCATCCAGAATGGGAGGGTATTACAAAGTTAAAAGGGCATGGATATGGGGAGGGGTGAAGCACTGGGCCCAATAATGAACACAACTCCCTGAGGGAGGGAGCTGCTGTAGGAAATTCTTATTTCTCAGCCAGATGAGAGCCTAAGAACCTACACTAGAGAACACCAATGCTAGAATCTGATCCACAGTTCCTGTGTAAACCATGGTTCTCAAAGGTCAATAGACCACTGGGAGGAAGGACAATATATTAGGTCTAGCAGCCAAGGAGAAGATGAATACTCAGAAGAATCCCTTATTAAAAGAGAGTGACTGGAAGAGAGTTAAAAGTATAATAAGAACTCTTAAAAGAGTTTCATGAATAGCATGAATGAACTAGGAACTCAGCGTCTCAATTAAAAGAGATGTTTAAAGTTGAAATTCAGGTTACTGGCCTGAAGTTCAAGTGAAAGAGATCTTGAAGCAAAGAACAAAATTACAAAGAGATGAAAATCATTAGGGAAATGATAAAGGATTTGAAGGATAGATCCAGAAGATCCAACATGTGAGTAATAGGCAATCCACAGGGGAATAAAATGAAATAATGGAAAAAAGAAAATAATTAAACATAGAAGAAGAAAATTACCTTGAGCTGAAGAAACATACGCATCTGCAGACTGTAAGGGCTCACTGAATTCCAGATGGTTTTAACAAGAAAACACACATTGCTGGGCACGCTCTTGTAAACTTAAAACTTCAAGAATGATGAAAAACTCATAAAAACTTCGAGGCAGAAAAAAAATTTACTCATAAAGGAAGAAAGACAATCTGTCATTTGACTTCAAATCTACAATGTTAGAAGCTAGAAATTAGTAGAGGCCAGGCGCAGTGGCTCACGCCTGTAATCCCAGCACTTTGGGAGGCCGAGGCGGGTGGAACACGAGGTCAGGAGATCGAGACCATCCTGGCTAACACAGTGAAACCCCGTCTCTACTAAAAATACAAAAAATTAGCCTGGCGTGGTGGGGGGCACCTGTAGTCCCAGCTACTAGGGGAGGCTGAGACAGGAGAATAGCGTGAACCTGGGAGGCAGAGCTTGCAGTGAGCCGAGATCGCGCCACTGCACTCCAGCCTGGGCGACAGAGTGAGACTCTGTCTCAAATAAAAATTTTAAAAAAATTTAAAAAAAAGAAATTAGTACAATAACATCTACCCATTACTGTGAGGAAAGGGCTGACATGCTACTTTACATAGACAAAGAACAAAAACAAAACAAAACAATTGGCTAACCAGGAAATAAAGTTATATGCAGGAACACAGATAATATATTACCCTTGTATTTGATCTGAGAACAATGCTTGAAAAATAACTCTAACCAAGCAATACACAAATCAGACAAGAAGCCCTATGAGTGTTGAGCAAACAAGGAAAAATGACCACACAGCACACATATAGTTGCATTCATAGGAGAAGATTCACAGAAACAGAAATCTTAGGAATGTAGATTGTCCCATTTTCCATACATTCTGGGGCAGCACAGAGACTTCTGGCTGTGTCAGTCTGTGGGGGAAGGACCCCAACCCTTGGGCTATGAGGCCTTTTTGCTGCTCATTATTAAGGAAGCAATAGCCCCCTACTCCAAACCCCCATCCCCCATGAGGTATCATCAGAGCCTGCAACACAACAGCAATATGACAGAGCAGAAACACAGATCTAGCTCTGTTCTTCCAGTTCAGCACTATCCTCTCATCTTCTGGTATGAAATGAGTAGAGGCTGGAGTCCAAGCCTGGAAGCTATGTGATATGGTGAGTTGGTTGCCTAACTCAATACCTTAACATTCACAGTTAGGGGAGCACCAATCCATTCCCTGACATCATTAGGATGGGGGAGCTTAGGTCCAATACTTACCATTGGCCATTGTCTTATGCACTGAGCAATAATCAATTTCCATAAAACTTTTCAGGAAGCCAACTCATTTTCTAAACAGCATCCTGCAAGGGGATCAATCTTGTACAAGTTGACCCTTATCTCTTAGTGCCTCCTCCTGCAACTCTGATCCCCGGGTTTGCCTGGGGACTTCACTCTGTCGGCACTCTGTTTCAACCACAGGGCCAGTGAGGCTGGTCACTGACTTTGTAGGTTGCACTATAGATAATTAGGAATGACCAAGGGTGAACCCTAGAGTACTCTGTACCCCAGAGCACAGATAATATGTACTCAAAACAGACAGAAGAGGCCATTTGTGAGAACAGCCTGTGAGGCACACATTATCCAGTCTGGAATGTAAAACAAGACCAGCATACATTGCTTTAGTCCAGGGATACAGTAAAGGTTGAACAGAACCTGGGACTTTGCTGGCATACCTCCTTCAATGACAGGGTATCCCATGTTTACTAGGGAGAGGAAGAGCCATCCTGTGTGACTTGATCACCAATCTTTCCTATCTTTCATCTGTCATTGCTTACAGACCCAGAAATAGAGTCAGATCACAGCATGCTGTGGGGGAGAATTGCAATCTGATCCAGGTGCAGATAGCCTATATACCAAAAGAATTGTCAAATCTTGCCAATTTTCATCAGAATGAGCCCAGGTAAAATGTTTAAAGATAGTTTCTTTTTTTTTTTTTTTTTTTTGAGATGGAGTTTCGTTCTTGTTGCCCAGGCTGGAGTGCAATGGCGCAATCTCAGCTCACTGTAACCTCCACCTCCCAGGTTCAAGCAGTTCTCCTGCCTCAGCCTCCCACGTAGGCGGGATTACGGGCATGTGCCACCACGCCCGGCTAATTTTGTATTTTTAGTAAAGACAGGGTTTCACCATGTTGGCCAGGCTGGTTTCAAACTCCTGACCTCAGGTGATCCACTGGCCTCGGCCTCCCAAAGTGCTGGGATTACAGGCATGAGCCACCATGCCTAGCCTAAAGATAGTTTTTAGGGTGCTAGACCAAAGAGAATGGAATTTAACACTGAATCAAGCCAAATTTATCTAAGGGTGCACTTATTCAGTATATAAGATTTGGGGTACGTAAGTGGGAAATGGCTTAGCAGTGTCCTTGGTTGATTGGCTTAAACTTGTATTCAGTAGAGGCCTACCTTCAATGAAGTTAACATACCAGAACTTCCCTTCAAAATGTGGAAGAAGAAATTTTAAAAGCTTAGGGGTACGAGAATGTTGGAGTAGATTAATTCTATGAAACTCACTCGCCCTTTCCCTATTTTCCTTATTTGCTACTTCACTGAGAAAATGCATTAGCAAAAGGTGCACCAGCATCTTGGAAAAACCTGGTGGTGGCTGTTCTTTGTTGACTGGGTAGGATGCTGGAAGATGCTGCCATTGGGATGAGCTCCACAACTTGAGTGGGAATAATTGGATCCTGGCATGACCTAGGCCAGGTGAAAGCTCTTAACTATCAGAAACAAACTGGATGCAATTACCAGAATGAGCAGCAACAGGTACACAGTGACAATGAGAGTATTTTGACACCAAGGGATCTGTGGTGGTGGCTAACTGAACAAAGTGTTCTTAGGAATGAAATAGATGGCAGCATACTAACACATTTGATCTATACCATCAGAAATATTCTAGAAGTGAGGAGCTGAAACCTTACCTGATCACTGCAAAAGGAATTCATAGCCTCTCACATTTCCCAGATCTAAGCCAATTCGACAGCTTGGGACCCTTTGAAAGGGAGAGTGGGGTTTTTTTTCTTTTTTTCTTTTCTTTGTTGAAACGGAATTTTGCTCTTGTCACTCAGGCTGGAGTGCAATGGCACGATCTTGGCTCTCTGCAACCTCTGCCTCCTGGGTTCAAGCAATTCTCCTGTCTCAGCCTCCCAAGTAGCTAGGATTACAGGCACCGGCCAACATGCCCGGCTAATTTTTGTATTTTTAGTACAGATGGGGTTTCACTATGTTGGCCTGGCTAGTCTCGAACTCCGGACCTCAGGTGATCCACCTGCCTTGGCCTCCTGAAGTGCTGGGATTACAGGTGTGAGTCACCGTGCCCAGCCAGGAGTATGGGTTTTATCAGGAAGGATCTGAAAACACTGCCTGCTTGTACTAGAAATCGTCCTTCAAACCTACCCCGTGAGATCTGCAGTCCTTTACCAGGATGACTGTGCACTGGGAAAAGACAAGTATCCAAATTTGGGGGAATTCATAGATTTGAGTTGATGCTAATCAAATTTGAGTTGATGCTAATCCCTGGGAAAAATCACTGTGATCCATCATTCATTCAGAATGGGGGCTTATAGAGGTCAGGGGGTTAATGGAGTTTGGGGCTGAGACTATGTCACAGTGGGCCCAGTGGGCTCGCAGCCCCATCCTGTGGTTATATCCTCTGTCTCTGGATATATCTCTGGATAGTTGAGGTAGACATACCTAGCAACTGCAGAATCTCACATGCAACTACTCATAACTCAGAGTACAGTGGAGAGGGGAGCAAAAAGAAGATATTCGGTACAGCCTCTTTTCTCACCCATCGTGGTACTTGATTGCATACAAAGTGACCATAGCAGTAGGGATAGAGTCAATCATAACAGGGACTTCAATAACAGAGACTTCCCTTAACAAGGCTGATCTGACTATAGCCACTGCTGGGTGCCCAACCAGCCAACAGCAGAGGCCAACACTGAGTCACTGATAGGGCACATTTCCCAGAGGAGACCAGCCAGCTGTTTTGTGGTAGGTAGACAATAGTGAGCTCCTTCCATCACAGAAGGAGCAAATTAAGCACTTACTGAGGATATGCATTGGTCCTCAATGCCTGCAATAAATCTCCCAATACCATCTATGGGTTCACAGGAGGCCTTATTCAGTAGCATGGTATTCCTTACAATATGACTTCTGGAAACCATTTTACAAAAAAAAAAAAAAAAAAGTACAATTGTTCATTGCTCATGGAGTTCACTGGTCTTACTACCTAAATTATCAGCCAGAAGCAGCTGGCCTAATAGAATGGAAGAATAGCTTACTAAGAAGCCAGTTATGTCATCTGCCAGAAGACAACATTCTATGATGTAGGGGTGCAGTATAACTCTGATCCAGCTCTCTACTTATGATGTGTTATTTCTCTCATAGCCATAATACATGGGATAGTCCAAGTGATAGAAATGGGAGTGGCCTCTCTCCCTGTTAAGCCTAGCCCTTTCTCAGAGGTTTTGCCTCTCATTCTCACCCTTGGGCTTTGCTAGTTTACAGGACTTAGTTCCCAAAGAGGAATATTGTCACCAGAGAATCCAACACAAGTCCCATCAAATTGGAAGCTGAGACTCACCAACAAGTAGAGAAGGAAGTTGCTGTAGAGACTGGAAAAATTGATCTGATTAACACAAGAAAACTGGGTGGCTGGTGCATGGTGCAGGTAGGGAGGATCATGTCTAGAACCCCAGGGATTCTCTAGGATATCTCATTACTTCTATGTCCAGTGTAAAGCCACCCAATAAAATCTGAACTTCTATGGACTAAGATCCTTCAATATAAAGGTCTTAGTCACCCAATCAGGTACAGAATCCCAACAAATCCAGGTGCTATATTAGGACAAAGCAATCATGAAATGGGTGGTGGAAGAAGGAAGTAATAAATATCACTCTTGACCCTGTAATCAGTTACAGAAATATGGATCATAGCAGCTATGCACATACACGCACACAATATTTCATATGTGCCAGTTTTTTTTTCTTTCAGATTTTCTTACCATTATCTTCCCTCTTATGTTGAATGAGAATTGGTAGTGACTAATTTTACAATTTAGTTCACAGGTAACCAGGACCACAAGGAACCACAACAGGGAGGATTACAGGATTGTGTTATCACCTGGAAAATCTTGAGATAGGTACAATGGCTGACTTTTCTAGGACCTTGTGTGTCCATTTTCTGGAAAAAAAGACAACAGTATCTTTGTTTGCATGATGGATAGTAGACTCATGTTAGGCAGAATCATGGAGTTGCTGTTGTATTGGTATAAGGGTGTTATGGTTTGGCTCTGTGTCCCCACCCAAATCTCACCTTGAATTGTAATAATCCCCATATGTCCTGGGAGGAACCTGGTGAGAGGTAATTGAATCATAGGGGCGGGTTTTCCTCCACTGTTTTCATGATAGTGAATAAGTCTCATGAGATATGATGGTTTTATAAAGGGGAGATCCCCTGCACAAGCTCTCTTGCCTGCCACCATGTAAGATGTACCTCTGCTTCCCCTTTGCCTCTGCCATGATTGTGAGGCCTCCCCAGCCATGTGAATGTGTGAGCCCATTAAATTTCTTTCCTTTATAAATTACCCAGTCTCAGGTAAATCTTTATTAGCAGCATGACAACAGACTAATACAAAGAATAAGAATAGATCCTGAATGGCAAAATGGTTAGACTCTCAAATAAATTTTCTGCCTTTTCTGTGCTCCCCCCACGCTATCTCACAGGAAAGTACATTTTCCAGGTTCCTTCTTCCTCTGGCTTCCAGACAGGTTCAGCCAATGGAAAACACTGGTGGAAAATTGAAGTACAGGAGGAAACAAGAAGGTAAATTACTTGTAACTCTGCTAGGGGTGGTGGTAGCTTATTGTGGGGCCAGTCTCTTGGTTGCCTCAATGTCCTATGCTTAAATTTTCAGCTTTTGTTTCTGACCATTAATTCTCCGTATCAAAGCTCCCTCTGGTGAAACATCTTGAGTGGTTTATGCTTTCCTTCCTGGACCTTGAATGAAACTATATGTATATATATATTTCATTATAAACTACTTCAAACTGTTCTGAAAGTAGGTAGGAGTTTTTTAAATTAAAAGATATTGAAATTGTACTTGAAATTTTGTCACAATTATCTCTTTAAAAAGTCAGTTATTAATTTTATAAAATGTAAAAACAAAGCTTTTTCCTTATATAAGTGAAAAAGTACTTTAATATAAGATGGTGTTATTATTTACATGAATATTGTTGAGTATTTTTCTTGTAATGCAGCAAAGAAATGACCTTCTAAGTTTAATCTCTTTATTTACACAATGAGTATGGATAGTTTTTTGATAAATAAAACTCCACAAGCCTACCCAAAGAAGTCCATTTTTCAAATTTCATATATGGCCAAGCCTTAAATATATTCTTCTAGGCATTTTATTTTTTCCCTTAAAATTGCATGTGAAGTTGCAAGTAATCCAGATATTACTGATTTGTTTATATTTAACAAGAATTGTTTGCTACAAAATATTTAAAGGCCAAAATGCATTTCAAATATCTTTATTCTTAGAAAACTAAAGTTGAGTACTGCCGATGCTAAGTGAAACTTCAACTACACAAGGCTCAAGTCCAACGAACCTAAGAATTTTCAAATTTTCACATGGCCCAAAGCTAAGTGATATTTTCACATCTGACTCTAGATACTAAGCCACCAAAGACAGGAATTTTTTTAAATGGTTAATTCTATTCTTGTTGAAGTTCTTATTTTGTCACAAATTATATTTTAATGCCTTGTGATTTTAACCAGATAGTTTCAAAATTATACCACATTGGAATGCAAGAATGCAGCCAATATATTTGGCCTCTTTATTCTGAAACATTTTTTACTGATCAAATGAGGTAACTAGTCACCAAATAATACCTATACATTTCCCCTCCCATGTATTCAATTTTATTGTGCTGATGTTCAGCCAAAGTTCATTGAAGAATTCAGGAAAGAAGAAAGAAGAATTCATTGAAAGAAGAAAAGAACAGCAGTATGGCAGTGATTAAACACAAGTTTTTGAGTCAATAATACGTGGGTGTCTCTAGTGTTGTTCCTAGTTGTGTTACATCAATGCCTTCCTTCATAACATGAGATAATTGTACCTGTCTCATGGAATTGTAGAGATTAATTGAGAAACCATTTGTAAAGATCTGAGTATACTACTTGGCACACAACGTATGTTCAGTTAGCTACTACTATTTTATACATTTTCCAAACATACTTTTTCCACGTTGGAAAGGCTTTTTATACAAGATGAAAGATGGAGATTATAAAGCATTCCTAAGTATGGCTAGAATTAATGAAAGTTTTGTGGGTTCATCTGTGTATATTTAGTTTTAAATGATTTGTGTTTTGAACAGTTAGTACATTTACATGATTCAAAATTCAAAAAGTACTAAAAGGTATACAGTGAAAGGTACACACTAAAAGGACCCACTCCCCCCTCTGTATGTCAGTCACCCAGTACCACTTGTCATGAGGCAATCAATGCTAGCACTTGCTGATGTATCCAAAGACATGTTATGCATATACCAACAAATAAATATGAATACAACCCCTCTCTTTTACACAAATAGTAGCATACTATTCACTTTGATTTTTACTACACTCACTATTTTTGCTTCACAGTATGTATCTTATACATCATTCCATATTGATATGGCTCTGTAGTATTCCTTATTTTATTTAACCTGTCTTTTATTAATAGAAATTTAGGTTGTTTTCAGGCTTTTGCTATTACAAAAATATGTCACAACAAATAACCTATGTGTGCATGCTTTAGCATATATGTATATGCTATAAATATCTGTAGGATAAATTCTGTATATCTGCAGCAGAAATTCCCAGAAGACCTTCTGTGTCATTGGGTATATATAATTGTAATTTTGATGATTATTTGCAAATTATTCCCCATAGAAGTTACATCATTATATATACCAACAAACAATGCGTCTGGATAGTTAAAATTCCTTTTTTTTTTTTTGAGACGGAGTCTCACTCTGTCGCCCAGACTGGAGTGCAGTGGCACGATCTCGGCTCACTGCAAGCTCTGCCTCTCGGGTTCACGCCATTCTCCTGCCTCAGCCTCCTGAGTAGCTGGGACTACAGGCGCCCGCCACCACGCCCGGCTAATTTTTTGTATTTTAGTAGAGACGGGGTTTCACCGTGTTAGCCAGGATGGTCTCGATCTCCTGACATCGTGATCCACCCGCCTCGGCCTCCTAAAGTGCTGGAATTACAGGCGTGAGCCACCACGCCCGGCCTAAAATTATTTTTCAAAACTACTAACAGACCAAGGGTTCAGCTAGCTTAACAGTCCACGAGTCTGTCTAGATATACTTTGAGCTTCACATCCTTTTTTTAGTAATAAGCTCCATGCGGGAGGAGATCTCGGAGAGATTTCTTTTTGTATCCATGGCAACACTTACCTACTTAGAAGCCTCAAATTATCGTTCCTAGGTTACGAAAGTAAAAACTCTGGATTAAAACATTCTGCCCACTCCATGTTTTAAATAGAGAAGAGATAAGAAAAATCTGTGTTGGAAACCAATGGTACACACACTGCTTCAGGTACTTGAGGATTGCTCGATTTAGGCATTTTCCTAGTGCGTATTTGGAATATATTTTTCTGCTTTCTGAGGCTCTCTTCAGTTTTGCTCCCTGGCTTTTGAGAAACAGACTAATTTGTTTTCTTTACTGGCTGAACATGGAGCAAGTCCAGGGTAGGAGTGGTATGATTACGGGTTTGTCCTTAATTCTTAGCCTCTCCTTTAAGCAGGTAAATGTGCTATATTCTGGTATGGCCCTTATTGACCTAAATGCATTTGAATTTATTTTTGCTGCTAAGACTTAAATTGGAGTGAACAGTATTATCCAAGTACAAAAATGTGTCTACTTGTCAAATTTTTTTTTTCATTTAAATAGTAATTAGAAAAAAAATCAACTGAGCATTTGGAAAATCTCACAGGGAAGAAGTAAACACATGTATAATCCTTAGTGTTATTAGCTGCAGTTACAAAAAAAAAAAGTCCCTTTAAGATGTCCTGCTTTGAAAACATCAGAGGCATGTACATATATGCTCCTGCCACTTGCAGTCCACATGTAAAAATCTGCCTATTTGCAGAAATGATTCAATTGACTGTTAACCTATTTGTTTGCAACATTGAACAGCCCATTTGTAAATGTGTGCCCATCTCCGGATGAACTGTCTTTTGCACATAGGCCAAGCCATTGGAAGGTATTTAAAAACAAAAGTTTCTGTGGGGCTAGGCTCTCACTACAATCCCCTTCTTTCACAGTGTTGATTTTAAACTCAAATTCAGCATTAAGTGAGGTATGATTTAGTTGGTCCAGTTTTATAATGCTTTTCAGAGTGAAGCAGCAAAAAGCATTGTTGTTTCCTTATTGGTACAAAATTAGTCTTTGAATTGTGGATAACTTGTAATTTCAGTTAAAAGAGAAAAATAAAAGCAAAACTAGCCTATTGTACGATAATAACTCAAATCAGTTATTTGCCACACATAAGAACAAAAACTTGACTGATGTAACAAATGTTTTTTGCTTTTTATCTATCTTTTTTAACATCATAAATACAGCTACTGAAATATTTTCTGACTGCAAGTAATCGATACAGCACAACTGATCTTTTCAAGGTTCTCTCCAGGAACTGATATAGAGTTGAAATGTGAACTACAGCAAATGAATTGAGATTACTTTATTTACATGAATAATAGTCTTTAAAAAAAAAAAAAAGAGCCACAAAAACTCCAGCAAATAAATTTTTAGAACAATTGCTCAAAGTAGCTTAGGAAAAAAAGAAATTAATTGGTTCAACTAGCCAAACATGAAAATTTTGACTTATGACCTAAAATTTAATAACCTCACCTCCAAAGGCCTGATAATTATTGAAAAAATGCTGCTCTGGCCGGGCGCGGTGGCTCACGCCTGTAATCCCAGCACTTTGGGAGGCCGAGGTGGGCGGATCACGAGGTCAGGAGATTGAAACCATCCTGGCTAACACGGTGAAACCCCGTCTCTACTAAAAATACAAAAAATTAGCCGGGCATAGTGGCGGGCGCCTGTAGTCCCAGCTACTCCTGAGGCAGGAGAATGGCGTGAACCTGGGAGGCGGAGTTTGCAGTGAGCCCAGATCGCGCCACTGCACTCTAGCCTGGGTGACACAGCGAGATTCCATCTCAAAAAAAAAAAAAGAAAGAAAGAAAGAAAAAATTCTGCTCTGTGTATCTTTTCTTAATGTACAGTAAGCTTAATTTGATAAAAAAATATTGAAATGTATCAAACAAATTTTTAAAAAAGAATAAGAGAAGGCAATTTGGTCAGAGGATATTAAGACAAGGCTACTTGTATATATGTTTTATTTTATATTTTTCTCAGAAAAATAAAACTAGCTTTAAATAGTCACTGGTTTTATTTCAGGACTATGACTGGAGCTTCTCTTCACTGCAATATAGAACAGCATCAAAGGCAAATAAGACCAATAGAATCACATTGCTAATACTGCCCTCATTTCGTTGTGTGCACACCATCAAACAGGCAGATGAAGAGGATCCTTGTCTTGGGTAGATTCAGTACTTTTTTAAAAAGTCGAACAGTGTTCAATGTTTAGTAATAATATTTTTGTACCCTGGGCTCTACCTAATTATTCTTCCTAAACCAACTTTTATAGGCAAAGGTTGAACTATATACAATACACCTTCAGGGGTTTTCCTTTCAAAATATAATGTATCTACACTATGGGTGAAGCAGTATAGCATAGTAGATGAACTTAGGAGTCAGTGAAGCCTTGGTTCAAGTTTTGTCAAGTTATTGTAATTTTAGTATTTTCATATTTAAAACAAATAACAAAACTTCCTAGAGTGACAATTAAACAAGATAATATATGAAAAACATAGTTCCTTAAATAAAATGGAGTGTTAACAAATAGAGGCTATTGCTATTACAGTATGCTATCTGAATATTCCTTAGGCACCATATACAGTTGGCCCCCTGTATATCCGCAGGTTCTGCATCTGCAGATTCAACCAACCGTGGGTTGAAAATATGTGCAAAAAACCATTTTAAATAGCAATACACCGATAAAAAAATACAAATAAAAAAACACAACAAATATTTACATGGCATTTACATTGTATTAGGTATTATAAGTAATCTAGAGATGACCAAGTATACCAGAGGATACGCATAGGTTGTACGCAAATATGACACCATTTCATACAAGGGACTTGAACAGCATGGATTTTGGTATCTGCAGCGATCTTGGAACCAATTCCCCCTTTCACACTCCCCCACCCCACCCCATGGATACTGAGGGAGGGCTGTCCTGTAGTACATATTTAAATAAGACCCCTAAAGGGAAATAACCACATTTGTAACGCTATGGAATTTCCATTCATCAACTAAATAGCAAACAACATGCATGGCACTGTAACAGATGTGCCAATTGCCATCTAATTGGCAATAACAAAATGTATATATGCAAAATATGGCCTTAGATACCGTTAGCTAAAAATGTAAAATTGTGCCATATGGGCGGTTAGGGAAGAAGCACAGTGTAAAGTAGCAAATGGTTAGTACATATAAAATATGCTGAAGGAATAAAGAGTGGAAGTGAGAATGCGGTCAAGGGTCCTCAGGAAAGTTAACATTTTAGGATACTCAATTATAAGTGATAGAAACCTAACACAAAGTAGCTTAGGGGGAAAAATAAATTAGTTGGTACAAGTAACTAAACCGTGGTAAGGGCCAGGGCACATTTGTGCCTGTGATAATACTAAAACCAGGCGCTCTAACGCCAACATTTTTTTTTTCATTTTCCTCCTACTGTTGCTTTTCTCTATATGTCAACTTCATTTTCTTAGACTGACTTTTTCCACAAGGCTAGGAAATTACTAAGCCAAGGGAAAAGTCAAGCTGGGAACTAGGTCAGACAAACCTGCCTCCCATTTTATTTCTAAATAAAATACCTACAAAGCTACATACCTCCCTCACAATTTGCCCACAAGGAAATTCCTTGTGGGCCTCAAGATCTTTACCCTAAAACAGTTCTGTTGAAGTTCATCCTGATCGCTTATCTTCACAGATGTGAGCAGAAGCTCATCCCTCTGCTCACCTGAGAGAAATGCATATCTGATGGCTTCCTCTGCCCTAATATTCATGTAAAAATGTGGATTCACTGAGCCAGACTAAATTGTGTACTCAGTAAAAAGCTGATCAAGGACTCAAAAAGAATGTAACCCTTTGTCTCTCACCTACCAGTGTCCTAGAAGCCCCTTGCTTTGAGTTGTCCCATCTTTCCAGACCGAACCAATGTACATCTTATATGTATTGATTGATGCCTCATGCCTCCCTAAAATGTATAAAATCAATCTGTACCCTGACTACCTTGGGCACATGTTGTCAGGACCTGCTGTGGCTGTGTCATGGGCGTGTCCTTAACCTTGGCAAAATAAACTTTCTAAATTGATTAAGATCTGTCAGGTACTTTTGGGTTCATATCACGGATAGCAGATTTAGGGAGCAGCCACTACCCACAGAACCGAGATAAGGAAGCCCATTCCGGGCTGACATCCAGACCTCATAGAAACAGCAAGGACTTAGCTCAGTGGATGGCAGAGAAGTTTGCGGAGGTGCCATACTAATGAAACTTGCTGGAAATCCACCTAATGAAGTGCTGGGGGAAGCTGTTCATGGAGAAATAACTTGTCGCCAGCACTCCACTGTCAAGTCACCAAAGAGGTCCCATGAAAAGCTGTTCATAGGGAGGTGCCATATGCTAATAATCACTGGGTGCAACTGGGTGTGGCTGAGTACTGCAGGAGCCTGACAAGAAGAGCACACTGCAACCAGGGAGAGAGAAACTCTTTTCTTCTCCAGCCAGCATCCCCCCAACACCCTCTACTGACAAAGCTTAACATCATGGCAACTGGCAAAGGAGAAAGTCTAGCTTCATTATTATGGTGCAGGCAATGAAGTGTGGATTTGGAGCTAAGAAGCAATAAACTAGTAATTGACACAGATTATTTATGGAATTTTCTTAAATACTCATCTTGAAAAAATACCATCCATCAGCCTTATGCTGCTCTACTTAAACACAACTTAGCCAGAGAAGGAGGAGGGGATATAGTGTCTCAAAAGGCTCTGCAAATTCTGCAGGTGAAAGGAGACTACTTAAAAATTAAAAGAGGCCAGGTGCAGTGGCTCATGCCTGTAATCTCAGCACTTTGGGAGGCCATGGTGGGCAGCTCACCTGAGGCCGGGAGTTTGAGACCAGCCTGACCGACATGCAGAAACCCCGTTTCTAGTAAAAATACAAAATTAGCCAGGCGTGGTGGCACATACCTGTAATCCCAGCTGCTCTGGAGGCTGAGTCAGGAGAATCGCTTGAACCCAGGAGGTGGAGGCTGCAGTGAGCTGAGATGGCGCCATTGCATTCCAGCCTGGGCAACAAGAGCAAAACTCTGTCTCAAAAAAAAAAAAAAAATTAAAAGAAAGGGGGCCGGGCGCAGTGGCTCACGCTTGTAATCCCAGCACTTTGGGAGGCTGAGGTGGGCAGATCACCTGAGGTTGGGAGTTCGAGACCAGCCTGACAGACATGGAGAAACCCCGTCTCTACTAAAAATACAAAATTAGCTAGGCGTGGTGGTACATGCCTGTAATCCCAGCTACTCAGGAGGCTGAGGCAGGAGAATCGCTTGAACCGGAGAGGCGGAGGTTTCAGTGAGCAAAGATCTCGACATTGCACTCAGGCCTGGGCAACAAGAGTGAAACTCCGTCTCAAAAAAAAGAAGAAAAAGAAGAAAAAGAAGAAAAGAAAAAAAAGAAAGGGTTACATATCTTGCCACTGGAAGAGCTTTTTGGTTCTGGATAGATGACCGAAGATGGAAATTTGGTAGTCTCTCTCTTTTATCTGGGGAGTGGTCTGGAAATATATTAATAGAACTTCTGCTCTTACAAATACAATTGGAATTATACTTTTATAATTTTTATTTCACAAAAATGTGTTACATACTCTAAGAAAAAGAGTCTTCAGTGTTTATTTTATATGGAAATCCATTCATTAAGACAAGAGGCATTATAGGTGGTGGTTAAGCATGTTGAAAAACAAGTGCATAAGTTCAAACTGAGATGAACTTAAAAATTTAGCTAGAAAGATGATTTGGGTTGAGTTAACCAAGGAGCAAAACTTACCCATTTTTTCTTCTCTTTTGGTTCAGTCTTTACCCTTTATAAAAGAAGAAGGGAATGTTGCTCCATGTTACAGCTAGCAAAGGGTAGTATTGTATCAGCCACAGTCCAGTCAGGAAGGAAAACAAACAAACAAACAAAAAACAGTGCTAGGTATTTGAACAGGGGAGATTACAGAGACAGAATTGATTACTCAAGTGCTGTAAGACTGGAAGAACAAAAATGGAGCCCTGGGGTAACCCAGAGAGAACAGCAGAAACAACAACCTTCAGGTCTCGGGAAATAAAAGGGAAGATATTGAGATGACCACTCATCTCCTTGGAGGAAGGGCCTCCTGAACTGGGGATAAGACATCTGAGAAGTGCATGCTCCCTGGCACCTCTGAGAGGGTAATGAGGCTTCTTCTGGGGGTGAGAGAAAAAGCTAGGCCAACATAAAAACAGCAAAAAGTCAGAAAGAAGTCACTTCTCCTCCCCTTCAACTTTCCAATCTCCCTCTTGTGCCTCTGATTTGCAGAATTTAACAGATTGCCAACTGGCGAAGGAGCTCGGGAAATGTAATTTGCAAAGTCCCAGTCCTGGCATCAGTGAGCAGCTACAAAAGGATCTATTTGGGATCAAGAGACAATAGGTAAATTGTTGTCTCAGTAAGCTCAGGAGCATAACTTACCATTTTTTTGTTCTTTCTTGTTTCTTTTTCTTTCTGTGTTACAGTAAGGGAAGAAGTCACCACACATCCCAGCTGGAGGAGGGAACATGACTGGCTCACTTCAGCACCCTCACCATTGTTCCAGATATCCAAGGCCCTCCTTGGACCTCAACAAGACTTAAGCCGCTGCAGAGACGGTGTAAATGTGGAGTGGCTGGTTGGGGACAGAGTGAAACTCCTGGAATCAGATGGTGATCTGCTGATAAGCTGGGTCTGTGCCAGCCAGCAGAGTCCATGCGTGCAAGAGCCTGGAGTCTCCCCCTGTGAAGGCTTGGGGCTGGTTGGGCAGTAAGCCTCACAGTAATCCTTAGTCCTGTTAGATGGGAGTTCTAAATTTATTTTCAAAGAATTAATATGTCAGTATGTTCAATTCTTTGCCTTCTACTTTTAAACTTAACTTCCTCATAAAGCAACCTTTTTCCATTACCTACCCCACCCTAACTCATTCTGATCACCTGCTCCACCCTAACTCATTCTGACCACCTGCTCCACTCTAACTCATTAGGATTACCTGCTACCTGCTCTGCCCTGACTCCCGCCAAAGCTCTCATCCCATCATTCTCTTTCAATTAGCCAATCGGAATTAGTTTAGCCTGTGTGGTCTAACCCTAGCTAACAGGAGAATGACACAGCGGCTGCAGCCAAGTTCGTCAGGGATAAGAACCCCTTCCCCTCCCTTGTCCACCTGGGCGCTCACCATTGTTCCATCTGTAAGGGCGCACCGTTCTATATAGAAGTAACTTGCCTTGCTGAGAATTAAAAAGAAAATTTTATATTCGAGTGCTATTTCTTTTGCGGCACCAAAACTTTATGTGTAATAGTCCACCTACTCTGCACTTCTTGCGCACCAGGCTCCTACTTTCTGTGACATTTTTTCCTAGGTTTATGTCCCAATCACCAGTTCCTATCATCTCACTTCATGTGCTTTCTGCTTTTTTTTTTTTTGTACATAGTCACACACAAATCAAATGACTATTCTTAATTTCTTTCACAATAGTTTTTTTTTTTTTTTTTTTGAGACTGACTCTTGCTCTGTCGCCCAGGCTGGAGTGCAGTGGTGTGATCTCGGCTCACTGCAACCTCCACCTCCTGGGTTCAAGCAATTTTATTGCCTCAGCCTCCCAAGTAGCTGGGATTACAGGCGTGCGCCACCACTCCTGGCTAATTTTTGTGGTTTTAGTAGAGACGAGGTTTCACCATGTTGCCCAGGCTAGTCTTGAACTCCTGGGCTCAAGCAATCCACCCACCTCGGCCTCCCAAAGTGCTTGGATTACAAGTGTGCACCACCATGCCAGGCCCCACAATAGATCTTGATGGCTCATTAAAACTCGTGCTTAGAGCAATAGCCTTATAGGCTAGTGGTCAGTCTTTAAAACAGGTAAGGGAAATACCTTCATTCCATTCTCAGGAGTGGCAGTAGACATGCCTTTCCTGGAATGTGTTTATTGCAAAGAAAGAGAAAGAAAACATTAAAACAAGAAGTTCATGTCCTGCTACACTTTCTCATTCTACTGGTGCTTTATTTTTTCTTGGTACTTTATTGTCTACTTCTTCATCTTAGATTATCTATGGATAAGATTTTTATAAAAATGGATAATTAGGAGACTGAATGTGCTATTTATAGTTACAAGTATTTATCCTAGAAGATAATACCAGACAAGCTTATTATATTACCAAATAATGAGTTTACACATGTTGACTGTTCTTGCTAATTGGGGAAAATGAAACAAACACTTACTGAATTGTTTGGAAACATGGTAGATTTTGGCACAAGAAAATGTGGCTGACTTTATACAACTGAGCCTTGTGGTAGACCCAACAGCAAATACAGGAGTCTCCCTTTATCTGAGGTTTTGCTTTCTGCAGTTTCAGTTCCCCATGGTACAGTACAATAAGATATTTTCAAAGAAAGAAAGGGAAAGACCACATTCACATAACTTTTATTACAGTATTTTATTATAATTATTCTATTTTATTTGCCGAGTTTATAAATTAAACTTCATCATAAGTATGCATTAATATGTATAGAAAAAAACAGAACGTATAGGTTTCGGTACTGTCTACAGTTTCAGTCATTCCCCTGGGGGTCTTGAAATGTATCTCCCGCCAGTAAGGGGAGATTACTATAATAAAATGCATTTTTTTTAATTTTTAAGTTTATTTGAAATACTTATACTTCTTATTTATTTATGTATTTATATTTTTGGAGACAGAACCTCACTCTATCCCCCAAGCTGGAGTGCAGTGGCGTCATATCAGCTCACTGCAACCTCCACCTCCCAGGTTCAAGTAATTCCCATGACTCAGCCTCCCCCATGTAGATGGGATTACAGGCGCCTGCCACCACACCTGGCTAATTTTTGTATTTTTAGTAGAGAAGAGGTTTCGCTATGTCGACCAGGCTGGTCTTGAACTCCTGACCTCAGGTAATCCGCCCGCCTTGGCCTCCCAAAGTGCTAGGATTACACGTGTGAGCCCCACCATGCCTGGCCCATTTTTATTTATTTTTTATGGCAGCTCTATTGAGGTATAATTCATATCTCACAAAATTCACCTTTTCAAAGTGCACAATTTCATGGTTTTAGCATATTCATAGAGATGCACAACTTTTACCCTGATCTAATTTCAAAATATTTTCACCTGTCCTCAAAAATCTTACCTATTAACAGCCACTCCCCATTCTCCCACTCCTCAACTCCCTCTACTTTCTGTCTCTATGGATTTGCCTTTTCTGGACATTTCATATAAAGGGAATCATACATGTGGCCTTTTGTGCCAGGCTTGTTTCATTTAGCATATTTTCAAGGTTCACCATTTTGTTGTTGTGTTGTACTTTGATTTTAATTGTATTATATGGATATACCATATTTGTTTATTCATCCATCAGTTGATGGACATTTGGGTTATCTCTACTTTTCAGCTATTATGAATAATGTTGCTAAGAACATTAGTATACAAGTTTTTATCTGGACACGTTTTTAATTATCTTGAATGTATACCTTGAAGTATAATTGTTCGATCATATGATAATTCTATATTTCAGATTTTAGGAAACTGGCAAACTGGTTTTCCAAAGTGGCTGTACAATCCCTCTAGCAATGTATGAGAGTTTTACAATCCCTCTAGCAATGTATGAGAGTTCCAATTTCTCCACATCCTTACCAAAACTTGCTATTGTCTGTCTTTTTTATTATAGCCATCCTAGTATGTGTGAAGTGGTATCTCATCACGGTTTTGATCTGTATTTCCATGATAAGTAATGAAAAATCTTTTCATGTGCTTATTGGCTATTTTTATATCTTTTTTGGAGAAATGGCTATTCAAATCTACTGCTTATTTTTAATAGGGCTGTCTTTTTATTCAGTTGTAACAGTTCTTTTATATTCTCAATAAAATCCCTTACTAGATATATGATTTATAAATATCTTCTCCCAAGAATTGTCTTTTTTTTTTTTTGGAGAGTCTTGCTCTGTCACCCAGGCTGGAGTTCAGTGGCACAATCTCAGTTCACTGGAACCTCTGCCTCCCAGGTTCAAGTGATTCTACTGCCTCAGTCTCCCAAGTAACTGGGATTACAGGCGCACACCACCACGCTCGGCTAATTTTTTGTATTTTAGTAGAGACAGGGTTTCACCATGTTGTCCAGCTGGTCTTGAACTCCTGAGCTCGGGCAATCTGCCCACCTCAGCCTCCCAAACTGCTGGGATTACAGGTGTGAGCCACCACGCCTGGTTACTGTAGCTTTGTAATAATTTTGAGATTGAGAAGCATGAATACTATAATTTTGTTCTTCTTTCTCAAGATTGTTTTGACTATTCTGGGTCTCCTTCATTTCCATATAAATTTGAGGATTAGCTTCTCAATTTCTGCCAAGGTAGCTGGGATTTTGGTAGGGATTATGTTGAATTTGTAGATTGATTTTTGTAGTATTACCATCTTAACAATATTAAGTCTTCTGGCCAGGCGCAGTGGCTCACGCCTGTAATTCCAGCACTTTGGTAGGCCGAGGTGGCCAGATCACGAGGTCAGGAGTTCTAGACCAACCTGACCAACATAGTGAAACCCCGCCTCTATTAACAATACAAAAATTACCCGGGCATGGTGGTGTGTGCCTGTAATCCCAGCTGCTCAGGAGGCTAAGGCAGGAGAATTGCTTGAACCCAGGAGGTGGAAGTTTCAGTGAGCTGAGATCCTGCCACTGTCCCCCAGCCTGGGTGACAGAGCTAAACTCCATCTCAAAAAAAAAAAAAATTAAGTCTTCTGATCCATGAACATTAATATCTTTCTATGTGTTTATATCTCTTTTAATTTCTTTCAACAATGCTTTATACTTTTCAGCATACAATTCTCAAACTTCTTTTGTGAATTTTTTTCTAAGATTTTATTTTTTTGGATGCTATTGTAAATAGAATTTTTTTAATGTCATTTTTGGATTGTTTATTGCTAGTGTGTAGAAATACAATTGGTTTTGGATTGAACATGTATCTTGCAACCTTACTAAACTCATGTATTGATCCTTAGAGTGTTTTGTGGATTCTATTTTATTTTTTCCAGTGTGAAAATGCATCTTTGGTATGTATGTCAAATATGTACTTCTTTCACTTTTAGAAAACTCTTTCTTGGCCGGGCATGGTGCCTCCTGCCTGTAATCCCAGCACTTTGGGAGGCCGAGGCGGGCGGATCGTGAGGGCAGGAGTTCCAGACCAGCCTGAACAACATGGTGAAACACCATCTCTTGGCCGGACACGGTGGCTCACGCCTGTAATCCTAGCACTTTGGGAGGCCAAGGCGGGTGGATCACGAGGTAAGGAGATCGAGACCATCCTGGCTAACATGGTGAAACCCTGTCTCTACTAAAAATACAAAAAATTAGCCGGGCGTGGTGGCCAGCGCCTGTAGTCTCAGCTACTTGGAGAATGTCGTGAACCTGGGAGGTGGAGCTTGCCGTCAGCAGAGATCGTGCCACTGCACTCCAGCCTGGGCGACAGAGTGAGACTCCATCTCAAAAAAAATAAAAAAAAAAAGAAACCCCATCTCTACTAAAAACACAAAAAATTAGCCAGGCATGGTGGAGCACACCTGTAATCCCAGCTACTTGGGAGGCTGAGGAAGGAGAATTACTTGAACCCAGGAGGCAGAGGTTGCAGTGAGCCAAGATCACGCCACTGCACTCCAGCCTGGGTGACAGAGTGAGACTTCATTTCAAAAAATAAATAAATAAATAAATAAAAACTCTTTCTCTCCAGCTGAGTTTGGTGGCTCACTCCTGTAACCCCAGTACTTTGGGAGGTCAAGGCAGGTGGATCACTTGAGGTCAGGAGTTCAACACAAGCCTGGTCAACATGGTGAAACTCTGTGTCTACTAAAAACACAAAAGTTAGCCAGGTGTGGCGGCGTGTGGCTGCAGTCTCAGCTTCTCAGGAGGCTGAGGCATGAGAATCACTTGAACCCGGATGGCAGAGGTGGCAGTGAGCCAAGATCACGCCACTGCACTCCAGCCTGGGTGACAGAGTGAGACTTCACCTCAAAAAAAAAAAAAAAAAAAAAAAAAAGCAGGGGAAACTAGACTTATTTTGTGGCCCAAACTGAAAAGTCTGTAAACATAAAAATACTCATTGTATTTGTTTTCAAATTTCTGCTTCTGGCCAAGATGTAGTAGTAGAGATCTTATTTACCTTTCCTCCTGAAATGACAAAGAAAAAAGTCAAGAAAATATATGAAAGAATAATTTTCAAGACACTGGATATTAGACAACAAAGGACAGCAATTACAGAGGTGGGAAACAGATGAAGTAAGCCTATAATTACCTCAGCTTATTGCCTTGAGAGAGTTTTCAGTCATGGCACAGGCAGGGGAAATTCAAGTGAAGTGTAGGGACTCCCTGAATTGAGTAGATGGATCTAAGAGTCTGAGAGAGCAAGGCAACTCCAATTCACTGGACACAGTACAACAGAGAAGAGGGCTGCATAGAGAAATAACTGTGATGATTTGTGGAGAAGTCTTGTAACGAATGCATGCATGGGAGGAAACCACCCAAGGCCAGGGAAACAACTTCCTGAGAAAATTAGAGAAAACAATGCCCAGTATAGAGACAGTGCAAGGAGAGCGCTGGTTCCTCCTAGCCACACTGGAAAATCTCATAATTCATGAGACATTGGTTAGAATACTCAGAAAGGTCTTGCCTCAGTAGTGGATATAAATTAACCCTAAGCTAAATGCTGCTCTGGTCCCACCTAACAAATCCTAAAAGCAAGACCCCCAACCAAATTGAATACTCAACCAAAGAAGAAATACAAATGACATACAAGCACATGAAAGGAGGCTCCACATCATTAGTCATTAAGGAAATACAAAGTAAAACTGCAATGAAATGCCACTGCATACTCATTAGAGTAGTTAATATTTAAAAAGTCTGTTACGGCTGTAATCCCAGCACTTTGGGAGGCCGAGGCGGGTGGATCACGAGGTCAGGAGATCGAGACCATCCTGGCTAACATGGTGAAACCCCGTGTCTACTAAAAGTACAAAAAAAAAAAAAATTATCCGGGCATGGTGGCGGGTGCCTATATTCCCAGGTACTCAGGAGGCTGAGGCAGGAGAATGGTGTGAACCCAGGAGGCAGAGGTTGCAGTGAGCCGAGATCACGCCACTGCACTCCAGCCTGGGCGACAGAGTAAGACTTCATCTCAAAAAAAAAAAAAAAAAGGCTGACCATACCAAGTGTTGGAGAGGATGTGAAGGGACTAGAACTCTCATGTACTGTTGGTGTAACCAATGAATATAAAATGGTACAACCCACTTGGAACAGTTTGGTAGTTTTTTTTTTTGTTAGAAAGTTAAACGTTCACTTACCATGTGACATATGACCCAGTCATTACACTCCTAGGTAATTTGCCTGAGAAAAGTGAAGAGTGTATTGTAGCTTTATTTTTAATAGCGCAAACCTGGAAACAACCCAAATATACGACAGCTGAATGGATAAACAATGTGTGGTATGCTCATACAGTGGAATGCTACTCCACCAAAGAAAGAAAAAGAAAAAAACTACTGATACATGAAATGAACAAATCAGTCCCAGAATAATTGTGCTGAGTGAAATAAGTCAGACAAAACAGAGCACATATAGTATAATTCAATTTATATAAAAACTCTAGAAAATACAAACTAATCAGCTGGGCACGGTGGCTCACGCCTGTAATCCCAGCATTTTGGGAGGCCGAGGCGGGTGGATCACAAGGTCAGGAGATCGAATCCATCCTGGCTAACACGGTGAAACCCTGTCTCTACTAAAAAATACAAAAAATTAGCTGGGCGTGGTAGCAGGTGCCTGTAGTCCCAGCAACTCAGGAGGCTGAGGCAGGAGAATGATGTGAACTTGGGAGGTGGAGCTGCAGTGAGCCAAGATTGTGCCACTGCACTCCAGCCTGGGTGACAGAGTGAGACTCCGTCTCAAAAAAAAAAAATAAGATAAATAAATAAAAGAAAATACAAACTAATCTACAGTAACAAAGAACAGATCGGTAGTTATCTGGAGACTTGGTGGGGGTGTGTGTGTGTGTGTGTGTTTGTGTGTGTGTGTGCATGTGTGTGTGTGATATACAGGGATTACAAAAAAGGAAAAGGAAACTTTGAGGGGTGATGGATATGTTCATTAGTTTGATTATGGTGATAGTTTCATGGGCATATCATTATATCAAGATATCAAAATTGTACACTTTAAATATATGCAGTTTATTGGGTCAATTGTATCTCAAAGCTGTTAAAAATTATTTTACTCAGGTTTTACAGTGCTTTTAAGAGTAATATGTTCCGGGCCAGGAGCAGTGGCTCACACCTGTAATCCCACCAATTTGGCAGGCAGAGGTGGGTGGATTACTTGAGGTCAGGAGTTTGAGACCAGCCTGGCCAATGTGGCAAAACCCTGTCTCTACTAAAAATACAAAAATTAAGGCCAGGTGCAGTAGCTCACGCCTGTAACCCCAGCACTTTGGGAAGCTGAGGCGGGTGGATCACAAGGTCAGGAGCTCGAGACCAGCCTGGCCAACATAGTGAAACCCCGTCCCTACTAAAAATACAAAAATTAGCCGGGCATGGTGGCATGTGCCTATAGTTCCAGCTACTCAGGAGGCTGAGGCAGGAGAATTGCTTGAACTCGGGAGGCAGAGGTTGTGGTAAGCTGAGATCGTGCCACTGCACTCCAGCCTGGGCAACAGAGCAAGACTCCATCTCAAAAAAAAAAAAAAAAATTAGCCAGGTGTGGTGGTGCAAACCTAAAATCCCAGCTACTTGGGAGGCTAAGACAGGAGAATCGCTTGAACCTGGGAGGTGGAGGTTGCAGTGAGCTGAGATCACGCCATTGCACTCCAGCCCGGGCAACAGAGCAAGACTCCATCTCAAAAAAAAAAAAAAAATTAGCCGGGCGTGGTGATGCACACCTATAATCCCAGCTACTTTGGAGGCTGAGACAGGAGAATCGCTTGAACCTGGGAGGTGGAGGTTGCAGTGAGCCGAGATTGCACCACTGCACTCCAGCCTGGGCAACAGAGTGAGACTCTGTCTACAAAAAATAAAAAAATAAATGAATAAATAAATAAAAACAAAAGTACATATTCCACATATATGTTGTTTTGGATTTTTATGCTACATATTTGCATATTTTGTTAACAATGCCTTATTGTATGTTTTTACTTTAATGTAAAAATATTGATACTACATTTTACAACCATCTCAAAAATACAATTTTATCTTTAGATGTCTTTGCAGATGGTATTATAAATAAAACAATGTGCAATATTAAGATTGGAGTCTTCAGAAATTTTTCCTGGTGATCTAGAACAGGAATTATAAACTTGGGATGCAGGTCACAGTCTATTTGCTTATATTAATTTAAAAATTTATAATTTCCTTTTCTTGGGTTGGTGCCTCCCCTATCCCAATTTTCAGATGCTCCCAAATGCTGGCTGACCTTCAGAATCACCTGGGGAGAAACTGAAAAAAACACAGATTCCTGTGTACCATTCCTGGTCATTCTGAGACAGGAAAATTGAAGTGTGATTTTATTTATTTATTTACTATTTTTTTTGAGACAGAGTCTTACTCTGTTGCCCAGGCTGGAGTGCAGTGGTGTGATCTCAGCTCACCGCAACCTCTGCCTCCCAGGTTCAAGTGATTCTCTTGCCTCGGCCTCCCAAGTAGCTGGGATTACAGGCACGTGCCACCACACCTGGCTAGGTTTTGTAATTTTAGTAGAGGTGGCGTTTCACCATGTTGGCCAGGCTGGTCTCGGATCCCCGACCTCAGGCGATCCACCCACCTTGGCCTCCCAAACTGCTGGGATTACAGGTGTGAACTACCACATCCAGCCTGAAGTAGGATATTAAAAACCCTGTTTTTAAACTTTTTTGTTATAGAAAATTCCAAACACATACAAAGTAAAAGGAACAGTATAATGAACTCACGTGTGCTCATCACCTAAGTTGTACAATCATTAATTTGTGACTGATATTAGACTAATTCATCACCATCTTCTACCTTCAATTTCAATAATCTGTGGTTTTATACAGTTTTCTGGATGATTGTGATATGACACACACACAGAAACAGACACATTGTATTTAAAGGCTGAATAGTACTGTATTCTAATTGTATTGACATATTAGAATGTGTTTGACCAATTCTCTATTTAGATTATCTTCAATTTGTTTGGTTAGGAAGATGGTATTAAGTATTACTTAACATATAATCTTGGTCCACTGTTCTATATCAAATATTTAGACCTCAACCTACAGGTTGAGGTTCCATAACCTGTGGTTATTTATGTATTTTCATTTGAAATACTTTCTTCTTTGAGCATTTCATTGGGAATACATGAAATCATTTAATGAATATTCATTGAATTTTTAATCTGAATATGCAAAAGCAAATATACTATTAGACACTTGAAAAAGAAAAAAAGAATCTTAAATTCTACAAGCCTACAAAGAGTTTACAATCCTATTTGGGGAGCTAAAGTAAATACCTTGCAATGGGACTTTGCAAGTTTGCTTCTGTCAGGGTGGAATCAAGAGGTAGTGGTGGAAGGAGAGGTAAATGGTTGGAAGTACGTGGAGGTTTTATTTGCAGAGATAATGGACTATGACTAGCTATAGCTACTTGTGTAAGAGCCTCAGTCTACTGTGAGGTTTATTAGTTCATCCAGCTTAGGCATAGGAATATACGGAAGTCGAAGCTCTAATAAGAAACTAAATCATAGTTTCACTTCTCTAGTCATACAGGTTATAGGGTCTCAGGACTGCAGTCCTAGCTCTGGGGTTTGAAACTTATTCAGTTCATCTGTCTAAAGTGCAGATGGGGGCTCTTTTTTCTCTACTAGGATTGAGTAAGGATCTCATGGCATATACCAACTTTGGTACTACAGAGCAGTCAAGCTACGAAGTGCTGGTACAGTTAAGTAGCATGGCCAACAAGAGATGCTCCCTCATGCGGAGGCTGGATGGTGAGCTAGAAAAGACAGATATCTGAGCATTTGCAGCCAAGCCCCTTGCAAGGTCCTTCTCTAGGTTAGCTCACTTGGCTAATAGATGGCACCAGGGTCCTGGCCCCTTTACCCTTCCTTGTACTTCCTTCCTTCTTTCCTTTTTTTTTTTCTTTTGTAATTTTTTGAATTGATCTTGATGACCATTAAGCCAGAGTGAAATTTTAAAAATTACTTTAAAAACTAAGAAAAGTGGTCTTCTTTTCTTTCAAGCCTTGATCTTCAAACACTCTCCTGCAGTAAGAAGTATTTGCTTCCCATTTTGGGAGATGAAGTCTCCCCTCTGTAATTCTTTTGATCCTTTTGCTCTAGCAAGGAAAAGGTAAACTAACTCATGCAATGTTATTTTCTGCTATGCAGGAATGTATAGTATTGAAGACTTGGAAGGCTTGTGAAGGACTTTGCTAAGGTTGATATTCCAAGTTACCAGAGAAGGTGGGCAATGCGTATAGAATCATAAGCTTACTAGGTAAAATCTTTTACTACTACCAGCCAGTTCCTCCTTGTGATAGCTTGCAAATGAAACACAAAAGCTATAGCATACATTCTCTCCTATCATTTCATTCTGTTGTAAATTTACAGATAAGATTATTTTTCTGAATGATCATTCCTCCAAAATATAAATTGGAAATGTAGTCCCATCACACCAGTTTTTTCCTGATTTTCCTGAGCATTTAACTAAATTATTTCATTTGCAAAAAGTTGGTTTTTATCACCTTGACTATAACTCCTTATTGTTTCTCATCTATTCCACAGAGAATGGATAACGATTAAGCAAAAACAAGAGCTATCTACCATAATAAATGATACATCATTAAATCATTCAGCAAATGTTGTGTTTTTTGAGTATCTACTATTTAAACCCAATGCTTGATGTTAGAGTGCTTGAGGGGGATGGTTTTAAGGGAAAAATGAGTTTACTTTTAGAAATGTGTTTTAGATGGAAATGTCCTGCATGGACTAGAGATAAGACATTAAAGCTTGAAAAAGAGAACAGGGCTAAATAAAGTTAAAACTTGAGACCTGGGGCACCCCCACATTTAGGAGATGGGGAGTGGGGGAGAAAAGGAATCAGCAAAGGAGATATAATCAAGACAAGATATTTAAATAGCTTGACTACACAAGATATCTCACCTTACAAAAGGTGAAGGAGAGTAACAAAATGAAAAGGTGGTCAACACCATCAAATGTAGCAGCTGAAGGGGAATGTGGGTTGGTGAGGGAGAAAGTCATTAGTTGAAATAACACCATTATTTCGATGTTAAAACTTCATATTTTGAAGCCCTTTAACATTTGGAATCTTGCAATTAAGACTTTGGCAATTCCCTAACTTCTCAGAAAAAAGAATTATGGGCCAGGTGTGGTGGCTCACGCCTGTAATCTCAGCACTTTTGGAGGCTGGGGCAGGAGGATTGCTTGTACTCAGGAGTTTGAGACCAGCTGGGGCAACATGGCGAAAACCCATCTCTACTAAAAACACACAAAATATTAGCTGGGAGTGGGGGTGCACACCTGTAGTCCCAGCTACTTTGGAGGCTAAGGTAGGAAGATCACCTGAGCCTGGGGAGGTGAGCCGTGATGGTGCCACTGCACTCCAGCCTGGGTGACAGACTCTGTCTCAAAAGAAAAAAAAAAAGAATTATGTTCTGCTCAACTCAGAAACTCTTATAAATAAATTTAATTTGTCCCAAATGTTATCACTTATTTAATATTTGAGGGGGAAATGTGCTAGAATACATAGACTAAGTAGCTATAATAACAACAGCAGCAACGGTTGGTAAAATAAGTTTATTTCTCACAGTCTGGAGAGGACTGGTTCAAGGATCACAGGCTATGAAGTATTCAGGAGCTCAGTCCTCCATCTCATTGCTCTGTTATCTTACGGTGTTGTCTTTGCATGATCAAAGCTGGGTAACTAGTTTCGTTTTTTGTTTTTTTTTTTTGAGACGGAATCTCCCTCTGTTGCCCACCCAGGCTGAAGTGCAATGGCCGGATCTTGGCTCGCTGCAACCTCCGCCTCTCGGTTTCCAGCGATTCTTCTGCCTCAGCCTCCCGAGTAGCCGGGATTACAGGCGTGTGCCACCACAACCAGCTAATTTTTGAATTTTTAGTAGAGCCAGGATTTCACCATGTTGGTCAGGCTGGTCTCAAACTCCAGACCTCGTGATCCGCCTGCCTCGGCCTCCCAAAGTGCTGGGATTACAGGCGTGAGCCACTGTGCCCGGCAAAGCTGGCTAACTAGTTTCAACCATTTTTTTTTTTTTTTTTCTGAGATGGAGTCTCACTCTGTTGCCCAGGCTGGAGTGCAGTTGAGCGATCTCGGCTCCCAGGTCCAAGTGATTCTCCTGCCTCAGCCTCCACAGTAGCTGGGATTACAGGTGCCCGCCACCAAGCCTGGCTAATTTTGTATTTTTCATAGAGATGGGGTTTCACTACTTTAGCCAGGCTGGTCTTGAACTCCTGACCTCAGCTGATCCGCCCGCCTGGGCCTCCCAAAGTGCTGGGATTACAGACGTAAGCTACCGCACTCGGCCTTCAACCATGTTTTCAGAGCAGCTCATGGGAAGTAGGACAGAGAGTAGAAGGCAAGAAGCTTCATCTTTAAGGAGATGAGCTGGAAGTTAAATAATTCTGCTTACATCCCATTGACCTAAACACAATCACAGGGTCACATTTAGTTCTAAGGTAGCTGGGAGATATAGCCCAAAGTTGGGTGCCCATGGGCCCAGCAAAAACTCAGGGGAAATCAAATGGGAAGTGGAGAACGACAATTAGCAGCCTCTGGCAGATAAGATCCAGAAGAAACAGGTCTTTCTTCATAAAATACATTTTTTGAGTAGGATTCCATTACTTGAATTTTTGTAGAAAATGAAACAATGCTATGTGGCAATAAAGACATTCTTAGGTTACTCTATTTTTGTAAGAGATTTCATAGATTCAAAAGAAATCCTATTACTTACTATTTTGACTCTTTGGTAAAATAACTTACCTTTTCATCTTTAGAATTCAGAGAACTGGTACAACCACGGATACTAAACTAGTGATTATTTTCACGAATTGTCAAAATGCATTCATTCTCTATCTAGTAAAGACAAATAATGAAGAATTATATCTGTATTATTTATCTATTGCCATGTAACAAATTACGACTAAATTTAGGAGCTTAAAATAAACACTATCTCACCCAGTTTCTGAGGTCAAGAATTTCAGAGCTTATCTGGGTAGTTCTGGCCAGGGTTTCTCCTGAGGTTGTAGTCAAGATTTTGGCCAACGCTGGAGTTGTCTGAAAACCTGACTGGGCTGGAGGATTCGCTTCAAAGCTGACTCACATGACTGCTGGAGGAAAGCAGGCTCCAGTTTCTTACAAGGGGAACCTCTCTGTAAATCTGACACATAGCAGCCAGGTTCCACCAGCATGAGTGACCCATGAGACAGGGAGTATGAGAGGCCAATCAAAATGCCAAAAATGTCTCTTATAACCTAATCTCAGAAGTGACATACCACTACTTTTGCTCTATTCTATTGGTCACTCAGACCAATCCTGTTACAAGGTGGAGGTGATTATATGAGTGTGAATACCAGGAAGTGGGAATCACTTGGTGGGGGTCGGGAGTGGGGCATTTTAGAGGCTGCCTACTACAATACCTAACCTTAGGTATTGTTGGAAAAAACAAAACTCCATAAAATCTATCAATCTATGAAGTTTAAAAACAATTTAAAAAATTCTATCTAGTACAATTATTAGCCCTAAAGTTTGTCAGAGTAAACAAACTTAAGGCATTGACTTTGCACAAGAAGAAAAAAGTTGGTTGACTCCTTTGCATAAGTTTAATTTTATAATTTCATTAGGTCTCAAAAGCATTGAATCTTTCAGGTATTATTTGATTAAAATGATGTCTGTTTAGAGTTCTTCACACAGTCAGAAATGGCTTCCTTAGAATAAACATTCATCAACTCTGGTTTGGTTTCTTGAAAAGGTTCAGAAGTTAATGTCAACAAGCAAAGATCCTTTGAAAGTTAAGTGAGTTTCTCTAAGTTTTGGTGCAGTTTAAAGACATAGGATCCTCTAATATTGCCTTAACGCTGAGCTATATTTGGGAAGTTGGCATACAGAGGGTCTGTCTTGGATTAAGTCTCAAAATACCTAAAGGATTTCCTTAAACAGGCCCAGGGTCAGATATAACAGGTGCATCACTTCTAATTTTGGAACCAGAAGCAGCCAGCTTAGAGTGAGGTTGTTCTACATTCATTCAGCAGGAGTTTAGATATTACTTTGAGTTTCTCTTTGAGTTTAAAAGGCAAGCTTTTAAACTCAAAAACAAGGGCGATCCATGTTTTAAGTAGTGGCAATACTCAGGAATTTTTTTTTTTTTGAGAAGAATGAGAAGTATATGCAATGTAAGTGTATTTTAAAAAGAAAAGCAACAGGTTTGACTTGAAGCTATATTTTTCTTTTCCGTTTTTTTTTTTTTTTTTTTGAGACGGAGTTTCGCTCTTGTTGCCCAGGCTGGAATGCAATGTTGGGATCTCGGCTCACCGCAACCTCTGCCTCCTGGGTTCAAGCTATTCTCCTGCCTCAGCCTCCCGAGTAGCTGGGAGTAGCCTCCCGAGTAGCATGTGCCACCACGCCCGACTAATTTTGTATTTTTAGTAGAGACGGGGTTTCTCCATGTTGGTCAGGCTGGTCTCGAACTCCTGACCTCAGGTGACCGGGCTGCCTCGGCCTCCCAAAGTGCTGGGATTACAGGCGTGAGCCACCACGCCCAGCTGAAACTATACTTTTCTAAACCTGATTTCAAAGTGTTTCTTCGCTACAACAAGTAAATTTGAGGCAGGGACATTTTTTCATTTAGGTAACGATAACGTTTGTATTCTCTAAAAGCAGCATAATTTGAGATACAATATTTAAACATTAAGAAATCAAAGACGCTCCAAGGAAAGTGAATACATGACTGATTGCTTGCACTGAAAATACTGAAAAGTGTCTAACGTAGTTTTTAAAAAATTTTTGTCGTTGGACTCTCACCACCTGGCCTGCCTTGCCCCCCATTCCAAGGTATTTGACTACATGTCTAAACCTATAGTAATGCTCCCTTTTCTTCTCCCTCTCCTCCACCATAGCCTAAAAGACTGAATTAGTTCCTATGATTAACCATGTATTTAAATAAGGACACCAGATGTTGTATCTTAGCAAAATAAAATTTTGGTGCAACAGAAGCATGCTGGATAAATTCTGGGTTCTAAAGCATAATTTAACTTTGTCAATTCCCTGCCATTCAACGTCGGAGGGTGGGAAGTTGAGCTGAAGCCTCGAGCACTGGTGGAAGCCATGGCCAGTCCAGTCAGCATGTTATCAAGCAATTTACAAGATGAATTTTTTAAGGGGGAAAAAAAAACCCTAACGTCTTCCGACAGTGACATGTCTCTGTGATGGGGTGCTCAGCTACAGTGACAGGGTGAACAAAAATGTCTTTGGCAAAGCCTTCATCTTGCCGTAGTACGTGAGCTGTACTACTAATAGCAATCAGCAGTCCACGGTTGATTTATGGACAGAGTGTGTCGTCCCGCACCGTGCCAGTTCCCGGAGCCTCAGCCAATTAGCTCTATTTTCTGCTTAAGCCGTTAAAGCCACCTCCATGGAAACACCAGGAGAGCAGGCCGGGGGGAAGGGAGCAGACAGGTGCGCCCTCTGGAAAGAAATACACAAAGGGCCGACACTGCGCCGCCGTGTCCCTGGCAACTCCACGCCAGCCCGGCGCGCGCGATTCCCGCGGCGCAGCGGCAGGGTTGGCGGGTGGCGCGCGCAGGTCGCCCCACATCGGCCGGCGGAGCCCCTCGGCCTGCTCGCGGACGCGGCGCCAGTGCAGCGCGAAGCCGGCTTGGGGCGGTGGCGGTGGCGGCGGCGCGCCCGCGCTGTAGGGACTTGTAGTCCGCGCGCCTCCCGGGCACCTCCCCCGGGTAGGCCGGCCAGCGCGTCCCCGCCCGCCGCAAGCCGACTTCCTGCGGCTGCCAAGACTACATCTCCCGCCGTCCTCTCCGCTGTCGGGCCGAAAGCGAAAACAAATTCTGGGCTGCGAGGTGCTGTTCTCTCCCGGGCGCCCCCACCCGCTCCCTGCCCCTCCGGCGCCCTCCAGCGAGGTGGGGAAACGAAAGGCCGCGTCTTTCTTTTTGGTTTCCTCGGCTCCCGGCGTGGGGAGTGCGCGGGGGCGCAGGCCCCGCTTCACCTGAGCCGGCCCAGCGTGCGCGCCAGGGGCGGGGGTTTTCTCGCTTCACACCGGTACGGAGGAGGAAACTTGTGGGGGCGGCGACCCCCGGCCTGGGTCCTGAGTCAGGCAGCGAGGCCGTCGGGAAGTGACTACTCACTCTCGGGGTTTTCCTTAATCCCGCTCCCCCCGTTTGTCGTGGGCGCGTGTTCGCTCCGAGGAGGCGGCCGCGTGCGGACAGCCATGCATTAGGCAGGGCTTCCCTATGCGCCCGGAGAGCGCGGACCGCTGCCTCGGGCCGCCGCCGCCTGCCGCCGCTCGCGGAGCCCGAGCCCCAGCCCGAGCCGCCGCCTGCCCCAGGCCGGGGCGTCGAGCAGCCGGCGGCCTGGCCATGTGGGGCTAGCCCTCGCCGCGCCTGGCCTGCAGCAGGACCAGCAACATGGAGGCTGCCGTCGGCGTCCCCGACGGCGGGGACCAGGGCGGCGCGGGGCCCCGCGAGGACGCGACGCCCATGGACGCCTATCTGCGGAAACTGGGCTTGTATCGGAAACTGGTCGCCAAGGACGGGTCGTGCCTGTTCCGGGCCGTGGCGGAGCAGGTAATTGCGGGGGGGCGGGGAGGGCTTCGAGGGGAGGCGGGGACGGCCCGGCGGGTCTGGGTGGGGAGGCAGCTGCGGGCTGTCCGGGCCGCCCACGGCCGGGGCTGCGCGTGCCCTGGCTGTCGTCACAGCGCCCCATTGTAACGCCGGAGTGGGACGCTGCTTTGCGTCTGAAAGGTGCAAATTGAAACTCGAAAGCCCGCAAATTAACGGGGTGTCTCTCTCCTGATGAAGAGGTAATGAGTTGAGGACAACTTGTGAGGCCTGCTCGGAGCTTGTACAGTTGATTTATTGCTGGGGACCTGGCGACATGATATTTTTTACTTTTGTTCCGCATTCACCTTCCTTCCCTTCGTTTGAGAAGCACCACGCTCACCCCACTCCAGTAAACCAAGTGTTTACTAGAAGTGGTGGATCAAACTTTACTTGTGGAACATATTTTGGTTTGCTGCTGGACTTTGGAATGTAGGGTAGGCAAGCTCGCCCATGTCACTTGAATCAAATGGGCAAACTGCCGTTTGAGAAAACCAGCCTTTTACAAATATAGAATATTTTGAAGGATTTGTCTTGAGTAGGTTCCACCCTTTATTATGCTCTGCTGGGCTGTGTAGGTATACTAAACAGAACTGACTTTTTTAAAAAAGCCTGTTTTGATGTTGGTAGTAGAAAGGGTACGTGTAACTGGAGCTTTTCAAAACCATTTTCTAACACAGTTGCTCAGGAAGATTTTTCTGAATTTTTTTTTTTGAGCGAGCTTATTCCATGTTATATAACACTGTGTGTTGTAGGTGTGCAGTCACCAAAACCCATCCTATATTGAAAAATAGCTGCCGAAGTAGCTGGATAAAAGTTTCTGCTCTGGTGTGTCTTTCAGACGATTCACATGTGCTTTCCTTTGACCTAGGACCTGCTCCCCACACCCCATTGCACACCCCTCCCTACCCGCCTGTGGGGTTTTTATGATGTTTCTGTTTTCTTTTCCCTCACCTTTTTTGAATGCTAAATAACTTTTAAAATTTCTATTTGTGAGTAAATGTTTTACTTAACATGTGGAGGCCAGTCTGTTCTCATTTTTAAACATTGAAAGGCAAGCCATTTATTTACCATAGGTAGCGTAAAATCTTTCTTTAAAACAAGAAATTGATTTAACGGACACAAACCGTTGCTTTATGTTGCGGACATTGTCATTGAAAAATTCTTCCAAAAGCTCCCCAAACCAGGCTCTGTCCGTTTCTCATTTTCAGTGTTGCTGTGGGGTATGTTCACAGCCACCCACTGCCTCCGGTCCTTATTGTTAGTAGGTAAATAGTCTGCCCCATTTGTGAATTTTCTGAATCTCTGTCTGTCCTGCTTCCTTGGACTCCTCAGCACCTCCAGAAGCCTAGGGAAGAGGTGGAAGTGAATTCAGCCCGTATTTATAACGTACTGTTAGACCTAGCAAGAGTTTGGTAAGCAAGGAGGTAGAAATAAATGGCGGTAAGGGAAGCTTGGCGCTTACTTGGATTTGAGTTATCTTGAGTCCTAGTTTATATTGAAGCAGAAGGGTGTGCCTGATTTCCGTAGTGCATACCATAGATACTCGGTGGCCTTGATTATACAGAAGCCTCTTTTATTATAGTGGGATCTCTGTTTTTAAGTAGAAAAGGGGCAAGAGCTAGTTTACACTAAGAACTCTTTGTTACATCAGGTAACACATTTTATTGTATTTTGTAATGGGGTTTAGGTTAGGCATAAGGGACTACCCTTCCCAGTTATGTGACTCAGTTTTAGTCTGATGAGCTTAGCTGAAGACCTTGAACTTTGGGGGAAGTTCAGTTATTCAGTAGGCTACAGTTATAGCCATCATCGCCAAAGGCAAAGTGTGTGTGTGTGGGAAAAAGGAAGTAATACCAGCGTCAGGCTTCCCTTTTAAAATGTGTACCAATAATTTATATTTTTTGCCAACAATTTCTCCTATAAAATCACAAATACTCATCATTTCTAAGAAGGAATCAAAGTAAATAATCTAAGTGGCAGTTTTTAAAGACGGGGAGGAGACTCGAGTTAGGATTTTGGTCTTTCTCTCCAAATTATCTGATTTAGATAGGCCATTTCCTTTTTACACTTACGGATTTGGGCCTGCCGGAGGCCTGACCTGAATCAGCTCCACAGCCATGGAGCTAAAAATAGGGCAGTCTTGGAGGACTTGCTAAAACAGTGTCTCAGCCTTTCCCAGTATTTATCACTATCTTGTCCCAAGTAAAAATGGGAAAGCCTTCTAGTTTGCTTTCATGTATATATTAATTTGCAGAGATATTTGTCATACTACTTTAATTCTTTCGAAGTGTTATCAACCTTGCACAATAATTTACATTTTAGACAGTTGTCATTTAACCTTGCTTTTCTTGCAGTGCTTGACTTTGTGAATTACCAGCACTCTCACACTTTATAGAAGTTGCTAAGAGTTTTGCTTCTGAGCAACAGGTTCAGATAGATTGTATGTGCCAAAATCTTTGTTAAAAGAGAAGAACCAGTAGATATGCCTACCATTGCTTTTGATTGAAAATAAGCTTTACTAACTTATGTTTGCCACCTGTTGCTAGGTAAATGGCTTTAAGACTAGCTCCACGTTGCTAATGGCAGAGGAAAGCCCTATCAGATGACACTGTGGTTTATTCATACGAGTAATACCTTGATTCATGATAGTGTCTAACATAGCTTCTGTGAAAGAAGTGTTGCTAAATGTCATTTGTTGAATTGGCAAAAAAATTCTACGGTGGTTATTTTTATATATAGATAGTCCTTTTTGGTCACATACTCTTAGAATATATAAGAATATAGTTTAATAGTGTCCAAGAACAGCAGTGAAGGTAGAATCAGTTAAACTGAAAACCAGTTATTACACTGAAAACAAACTAATTGCTAACCTCAACAGGTGCATTTTCAGTGTATCTCAGCGTAATAGGACATACTAGGCGTCCAGGCAGTTGTGCCGGTTCTGTGGGTATAAATGAGCCTTGGTTGTGATCCAAGAGAGCTGTAGAATGCACAGCTGGAGCCTCCCTTTTCCCAAATGCTCTACTCATGCTAAACGTAAAGGGAGAACCACTCAATTGGATCTGTAACTTTTTTTTTTTGAGACAGAGTCTTACTCTGTCACTCAGGCTGGAGTGCCCTGGCACGATCTCGGCTCACTGCAACCTCTGCCTCCTGGTTTCAAGCCATTCTCCTGCCTCAGCCTCCCAGGTAGCTGGGACTACAGGCACGCACCACCACACCTGGCTAATTTTTTTTTTTTTTTTGTATTTTTTAGTAGAGATGGGGTTTTCACCATGTTGACCAGGCTAGTCTCAAACTCCTGACCTCAGGGGACCCACCCTCCTCGGCCTCCCAAAGTGCTGGGATTACAGGCGTGAGCCACAGTGCCCGGCCAGGATCTGTAACTTTTAAAGATACTTTCTATTAATATAAATTCTCAAGAGGCCTTGATGGTAGTTTGAAATGTGTTACTTTAAGTGTGTCTGAGTTTTTTTTTTTTAAACCATAACCCTTTACGGTACAGGAATATCTTTATTTGAGATACCCAGTAATAGAAAAGAATTTTAATCTCCTTTAAGCATGTTAAATAATTGGGAGCTAGGGCCGGGCGTGGTGGCTCATGTCTGTAATCCCAGCACTTTGAGAGGCCCAGGCGGGCAGATCACCTGAGGTCAGGAGTTTGAGACCACCCTGCCCAACATGGTGAAACCCTGTCTCTACTAAAAATAGAAAAATGAGCCGGAAAAAAAAAAAAGAAAGAAAGAAAAATTAGCCGGACATGGCAGCTCCTGTAATCCGGCTACTCGGGAGGCTGAGGCAGGAGAATCGCTTGAACTTGTGAGGCGGAGGTTGCGGTGAGCTGAGATTGCACCACTGCACTCCAGCCTGGTGGGGGAAAAAAGAATTGGGAGCTAGCTAGAAGGAAGCATTGGATAAGAAATAGTTGTTTCAGGCTGGGCACAGTGGCTCATGCCTGTTGTAATCCCAGCACATTGGGAGGTCGAGGTGGGCGGATCACGAGGTCAGGAGTTTGAGACCAGCCTGGCCAAGATGGTGAAACCCTGTCTCTACTAAAAATACAAAAATTAGCCAAGCGCCGTGGTAGTTGGCTGTAATCCCAGCTACTCAGGAGGCTGAGGCAGGAAGATCGCTTGAACCTGGGAGGTGAAGGTTGCAGAGAGCCAAGCTTGCGCCACTGCACTCTAGCCTGGGTGACAGAGCAGGACTCCGTCTCAAAAAAAAAAAAAGAAATAGTTGTTTCAATTCACAGCTTTAGAATTTTGGTAAAAGACCACATGCCAGTAAGTTATCTTTTTGTTGAACTGGTTGTTTAATAGAAGAAAATGTAAACTGCAGAGTGAGAGGATCTGGATCATACTTTGTAGGTTGGTACTTTACAATTTAGGGCATAAAAACAAACCCCAAACCTCTTGGGATGATACCACACAACATTTTTGCACCCCCTATGCTGCCTACTTGGATGTTCTTTCTTGTCTTATAAGCTTGATCACCAAGGAAAGAATGAGTGCCTTAATTTTTCTGAAACCATAGTGGACTTAAATTTTTACACAGAGCCTCTAAGTGGATTCAGAATTAATGGGAAAAATAAATCGGCCTCTTACAGGCTGAAAGCCTCAAAATACATTCCTACAGAAGTTGCCAGTTTGTCTTTTTCAATATGTATAGGATGAAGTTGAGCGTGGCGTAGCATGGATTTTGTTAGCTCTTCTTTGTGAAGAGTAAAGTTATTGTGGAGGGAAGGCCAAGGGAAGAGAGTGTCCTAAATTTACAAAAATGTCCTAAAGGAGAAAGGCTAATAAATTCTTTACAAATTTGGCTTAAGAAGTAGTATTGTTTGTATATGTCATGTCTTCGCTGTGCTTAGTTAGAAGAAGAGGTAGGAATGAGTAAAGATATCGAAATTATAGAAAGGGAAATGGAGAAAGACTGATAATCTATTGGTTGTCAGATTATTTTGGGTGTAAAAGAAGACATTAGGTTGTAACTTTTAACTAAATGCTTAATAGTGTGTTTGTTGCCTTTTCTTTTTAGGTATTGCACTCTCAGTCTCGCCATGTTGAAGTCAGAATGGCCTGTATTCACTATCTTCGAGAGAACAGAGAGAAATTTGAAGCGGTAACTTGTAATTTCAAACATGTAATGGTGTCTTGACTTGGTTTTACATTTTGGCTTTTAGAAGTGTTCTAGTAGAATTTCACAGGCTGGATCTTAATGCGGGTTATGAAAATAACACTTATTAAAAAAACTTCTCTATTGAACTTAATCTAGTTATATTCAGTTATGTTGTTTTCTAGGCTATTTTATGTTTTGCATTTATTTGGACATTTAGAAAGCTACTATGATGGATAAGACGCTGAGCTGTGGGGGATGGAAAGATGACCTGGACAAGGCCCTTGCATACTAAGAGTGGGCTTTGTCTGACATGGTCAGGGAATTGGGGGTGTTGTGATTAATAGTGGTTTCTGTGATGGGTAACTCCCTATAAATTAAAAGAAAAAAAATTCAGTCTGGGCATGGTGGCTCACACCTGTAATCCCAGTACTTTGGGAGGTGAAGAGTTCAAGACCAGCTTGGCCAACATGGCAAAACTCTGTGTCTACTAAAAGTAGTGGCATGGTGGCACATGCCTGAGTCCCAGCTACTCTTGAGTCTGAGGCACGAGGATTGCTCGAACCCAGGAGGCAGAGGTTGCAGTGAGCCGAGTTGCGCCGCTGCACCACAGCCTGGGTGACAGAGTGAGACTCTGTCTCAAAAAAAAAAAAAAAAAAATTCAGACTTGCAGTGTAAAAAATACGCTGAGTGTAAGTAATGCTGAACCCTTAATTTTATCAGAAGGCATTCATAGGTTTTTAATTTTCAGGGTTCAGTGTGAACTCACATGTCAGAACATTATAATTATGTAAGTAGTGATTAATAGTTAATAAAATGTTGTATAACAGCTTAATATAATTTTCTCAGTAGTATGTGAAATAAGATGCCACAGTGACCTGTTTTCATTTTACATTCAAAGTCTTACAGGATTTATTACTTACTGGTTTTAAGACCTAGAATTATGTAATCTGACAACTTTGGGTGTTATTTCCCCCAGTTGACTGGTAGAGAATGTTGATATAATACTTTGCAAATGATAGGCTTGAAACCTTGTTTTATTAAAAAAACCTGGTAACGCAGAGGCTAGATAAGAGAGTGCAGAGGTGTGGTAGAGAAGGGAAGTGGGGAGGTGGAATGGTCTTTAAATTAATTCTTATTAATCATTGGCCCCAGAGGGTAAAACTGTGTTGATAATAATGGACATTGCTAACATTGGTTGAGGTGCTTACTATATGCCAGGCATTAAGTGTTTTGCATATATTTTTTTTAGTCCATATAATTTTTTTTTTTTGAGACAGAGTCTCGCTCTGTCGCCCAGGCTGGAGTGCAGTGGCGCCATCTTGGCTCACTGCAAGCTCCGCCTCCCGGGTTCATGCCATTCTCCTGCCTCAGCCTCCAGTGTAGCTGGGTCTACAGGTGCCTGGCACCATCACGCCAGGCTAATTTTTTGTATTTTTAGTAGAGATGGGGTTTCACCATGTTAGCTAGGATGGTCTCGATCTCCTGACCTCATGCTCTGCCTGCCCCGGCCTCCCAAAGTGCTGGGATTACAGGCGTGAGCCACCGTGCCTGGCCTTAGTCCATATAATTTTATGAGGTATGATCAGAGGTTGAAAGTTCCATGGGGAAAAGTTTCACTTTCCTTTTATGAACCTTCAAGCAGTTTCAGTTGTCCAGAATTGGAAAGAGATGTTGTAGAAAGTATTATGCCTTGTTACTGACATTGTTCAGCCATGGCATAGGTGGACGCTTTCTGCTCAGAAAGGAGACTCTCAGAGAGGATGCAGGCTTGTGTCAGAATTCTGCAGTCTCTAGTAACTTTAAATGGTTCTGTGTTTTTTTTTTCCTTAGACCTATAATCATCTAATACAGAACAGTAGCCCTTTATTGGTGGGCTCTTTAATATATATGGCTCTTTTATTATAAATATCTTTCGAAATTTAAGATATTTTTGGCAATTTGACATTATATAATCTATGAAAGAATCTCAATCTTAAAATCCAAGGGTGCTTAAAAGATTTTATAGACAAGGGAGTATACTTTAATGTCTTTAAGTATATCTCTGCTAAATCAACTGGGACTGTAATTTAAACGCAATTGAATTTGGTGGTTCAACAAATGACTTTTAGAGATTTCTCAAATGAGTGCGATTGCTATTAAAGAAACATAAAAAAGGTTGTGTTATTACACAGCTTGAATAAACTGTTTTTATGTCAAAGTAACAATGAAGCGATGAAGCAAGCTGTATTAGAAAAATTTTGTTGATGCTTCAAAATATTTTTCGCCTTACTAGTTCTCATCGCTCTTTCTAGTATCACTTGAGAGACAATGAGTACTCTTATCTGTATTATTAAGCTATACTATTTCTTAGCTTGTAAGTCAGTCTTTGTTTTATTCCCTTCTACACACTGGTCACTACCAAGTTAAAGCACTGCTTTCATCATATAATTTCTCAGTTCAGAATGTCACCTGAAGTGGCCTTGAATGGCCTTTCTCATCTAGCCTTCAAGTCCTGCCTGGGCTCAAGGCCCTCTGTAAACAGGCCCCCCTTTGGGTTCTTCTCCCACTCAGTTCCACAACAGGTTGTCCTGCTCCAGCTGGCCAGATTGCTTGTCTTCCCAACACAGTGTTCCTCTTCCTCCTCACGCCACATTGGCCCTCTCTGTAGAGTATCAGCTGCCTGTTGCCATCCAGATCCTGTCCAGCATTCATCTTGAGTCACTCTTCTTTCAGGAAACCTTTCCTGACAGAATTTCCTTCTTTAAATTCTTTTGTATGTTTATAGTCTTTAATGATTGCTATATGTTTTCATAATTAGATTATGTACATATTTTTAAATAATACTGAGGTATTTTAGGTTTATGTACAAACTCAGTAATTCACAGTGAATGTTTACACAGCGAAGCGGTTAACTGTTTTGGCATATATGTTAGATGACATTTCTAATAGATTTATTTTTTGCAGTTTATAGAAGGATCATTTGAAGAATATTTAAAGCGTTTGGAAAATCCACAGGTATGTCACAGTCTTCTAGTATATTTCTATTTTTATATATCCAAATAATGTATTTAAAATTCATTAAAATAGAAGATTACTATTACAGTGTATAGAGGAGTTGCAGTGACGGTGTATCCTATTTCCTTATAAACGTTTCCTACACATTTTATGCAGCACTTAAGTTGGAGCTATATGTTAGAGGTTGCCTCACTAAGGCAGAGTTGTGATATTTTATCTTGGCTATAATGGCATGTAAATGTAGTATAAAAATCTGAAATAATACTGGGGTGATGATTTTCAGAATGC